>NC_000008.11:131964222-132589222 GCF_000001405.40 Homo sapiens
GCAATCAGGCAGGAGAAGGAAATAAAGGGTATTCAATTAGGAAAAGAGGAAGTCAAATTGTCCCTGTTTGCAGATGACATGATTGTATATCTAAAAAACCCCATCATCTCAGCCCAAAATCTCCTTAAGCTGATAAGCAACTTCAGCAAAGTCTCAGGATACAAAATCAATGTGCAAAAATCACAAGCATTCTTATACACCAATAACAGACAAACAGAGAGCCAAATCATGAGTGAACTCCCATTCACAATTGCTTCAAAGAGAATAAAATACCTAGGAATCCAACTTACAGGGGATGTGAAGGACCTCTTCAAGGAGAACTACAAACCACTGCTCAACGAAATAAAAGACTATATAAACAAATGGAAGAACATTCCATGCTCATGGTAGAAGAATCAATATCATGAAAATGTCCATACTGCCCAAGGTAATTTATAGATTCAATGCCATCCCCATCAAGCTACCAATGACTTTCTTCATAGAATTGGAAAAAACTAAAGTTCATATGGAACCAAAAAAAGAGCCCGCATTGCCAAGTCAATGCTAAGCCAAAGAACAAAGCTGGAGTCATCACGCTACCTGACTTCAAATTGTACTACAAGGCTACGGTAACCAAAACAGCATGGTACTGGTACCAAAACAGAGATATAGACCAATGGAACAGAACAGAGCCCTCAGAAATAATGCCACATATCTACAACTCTCTGATCTTTGGCAAACCTGAGAAAAACAAGAAATGGGGAAAGGATTCCCTATTTACTAAATGGTGCTGGGAAAACTGGCTAGCCATATGTAGAAAGCTGAAACTGGATCCCTTCCTTACACCTTATACAAAAATTAATTCAAGATGGATTAAAGACTTAAATGTTAGACTTAAAACCATAAAAACCCTAGAAGAAAACCTAGGCAATACCATTCAGGACATAGGCATGGGCAAGGACTTCATGTCTAAAACACCAAAAGCAATGGCAACAAAAGCCACAATTGACAAATGGGATCTAATTAAACTAAAGAGCTTCTGCACAGCAGAAGAAACTACCATCAGAGTCAACAGGCAACCTACAGAATGGGAGAAAATTTTTGCAATCTACTCATCTGACGAAGGGCTAATATGCAGACTCCACAAAGAACTCAAAACAAGTTTGCAAGAAAAAAACAACATCAACAAGTGGGTGAAGGATATGAACAGACACTTCTCAAAAGAAGACATTTATGCAGCCAAAAGACACATGAGATAATGCTCATCATCACTGGCCATCAGATAAATGCAAATCAAAACCACAATGAGATACCATCTCACGCCAATTAGAATGGCAATCATTAAAAAGTCAGGAAACAACAGGTGCTGGAGAGGATGTAGAGAAATAGGCACACTTTTACACTGTTGGTGGGACTGTAAACTAGTTCAACCATTGTGGAAGGCAGTGTGGCAATTCCTCAGGGATCTAGAACTAGAAATACCATTTGACCCAGCCATCCCATTACTGGGTATATACCCAAAGGATTGTAAATCATGCTGCTATAAAGACACATGCACACGTATGTTTATTGCGGCACTATTCACAATAGCAAAGACTTGGAACCAACCCAGATGTCCAACAATGATAGACTGGATTAAGAAAATGTGGCACATATACACCATGGAATACTATGCAGCCATAAAAAATGATGAGTTCATGTCCTTTGTAGGGACATGGATGAAATTGGAAACCATCATTCTCAGCAAACTATCGCAAGGACAAAAAACCAAACACCGCATGTTCTCACTCATAGGTGGGAATTGAACAGTGAGAACACATGGACACAGGAAGGGGAACATCACACACTGGGGCCTGTTGTGGGGTGGGGTGAGGGGGAAGGGATAGCATTAGGAGATATACCTAACGTAAATGACGAGTTAATGGGTGCAGCACACCAACATGGCACATGTATACATATGTCACAAACCTGCACATTGTGCACATGTACCCTAAAACTTAAAGTTTAATAAAAAAATAAATAAATAAAAAGCAACAAAAAAAAGAGTTTCTGCATGACCTTAGACAAGTTACTAAAACTTGCCTTATTTATACTGTGAAGAGCATGGAGTAATTACGGTGAACCTACCTCCTAGAACTGTTTATGTAAATAATACATATATAGTACTTAGAAGAGTGCCAGTGCTTCTGGTCACTTCTGAATGAAATGCTCTTTTGTCGTCATTATTGTTATGTTCAATGTTAATAGTCATATATTAGCTCACAAGTCACAAATTGAAAAGTAGTAATAATAACTAATACATATTAAGCATTTTTCATACAATAGACACAATTTGGGTGCTTTATACAAATTAACTCATTTAATTGCCCCAAGAATCCTATGAGTAATTGTTATTGTTTAAATATTGTAGATGAGAGAAACTGAGTTACAGGGAGATTAAATAAAATGCTCTCTTAATCTGAGAGCTATTTAGCTATTAAATGATAGTCAGAATTCGATCTTGGGCGAGTTTGGCTCCAGGGCTTATGTACTTCACCACCACTGTATTATGTTGCGTCTTAAAGCGATTCATCTGTTAACATTGCCTTAAACTTCAGTGTAAGGGCAAATTTTACCATAGGTAAATGAAACCTCAGTACACATGACTTCAACATACTGTATTACGTCTTCTCACTTTCCTTCCTTTCACTCCATATTCTTTTGTTTAATACATGATATCATTCTTGAGTTGTTCTTTATAAGTAGAAAGAACACATGCTCTGGTTTGCTTAGTATAGTCGTACTTTATAATTATTGATAATACCTCCTTCACTCTCTGCAGTGTCCCCATTTGGACAGTAAATCAAATGGCTACCTTACCTATAAAGGCAGACTAATAATTGCACAAGGTTCACACATCAGAAGCATGCAGCTTCCTGGACAAGAAGTTCAGTTTCAGGTTTTGTGTGTGTCTTCCTGCCTAACATTCATCTATTTTAACATAACTTTAAATGAAACAAAGTAAAGATGAAAACACAAACTTAGTTTTTACCTTGGGTGATTTTAAAAGTAGATGTGTATTATGACAAAAATTTGAGAAATACCTAGAGATGAAATCTGTTACTTGATAGAGAAGGAGGGGAACTTTTTGCTTTTGAGCAGAGTAACCATTATGCATAGGGCACTCCTGCTTCTTATCAAACCACACATTCCAAAGGAAAGAAAGGTAACCAGCCTGAAAACAGGGCAGAGGGGACCTGTCTGAAGACAAATACAGACAGGGAGATTGAGAGCCACAGGTGCTTTTTACAGCTTGGTGGATGATAGTAGACCGATCGTGACTCATGGGTGTAAGTGTAGGTTTTAAAAAAACAAAACTTTGCTGTTCTTCAAAAAAAAAAAAAAAACCTATTCACTGGAGTTAAGAATAAACATTTTTTTGGCTATCCTTTTTTTGATTTAGGCCCCAATATCATTCACTATGGTTGATCAATTTTATTTATATGTGATAAAGTTGCCTTTGTTAATTGCACATCTTTTGAGATCTCCTTGATTTAAATTTTGTCAGGTACACATGGATAATATTTTCATTTTGACACTAGCTCTTGATTAGATGAGTGTTTTGACTCTTTAGCATTGTTAGGTGTCCATGTTAAATAGTATTTATCTAGTTTGGCTATGGGAAAATACTGTGAATGTCATAATTTATGTTTTTTACAAAATTTTGTCCTATTATAAAAGTTTATAAATGCACTTTGAAATTACAGAGAAATATAAAGATAATGAAGTTTTCTCATAAATCCCTTTCTCAGAGGTGGCCAGTGTTAATCTTTTTATATATAATTTTAATTTACTTTTTAAAAACTAGATTGAATTTTATTAAACATAGAATTGTGCAGTATGCTTTTTTTCACTCAGAGTGTCATAAATATTTTCCAGCATCTCTGTTTATTCTTTAAAAGAATGGCTTTGTATTGTGGCTATTTATTGTCTCATAACATGACCACCAGTCACTAATTGGTCATTTACGTGTCAGGTGTTTTTTTTATTCTTAGGAATTCTGCCAAGGTACATGTACTTTTTATACATCTTTGTACTGTTTTGTCTCCTTCAGGCTCAGTATTCTCACCATGTGATCCAGGAGATTCTAGGACACCTTGATGCTCGTAAAAAAGATGCTCCCCGGGTTCGAGCAGGTATTATTCAGGTTCTGTTAGAGGCTGTTGCCATTGCTGCTAAAGGTTCCATAGGTGAGTGCCAATAAATAAAATAAAATAGTGCGTTGATCTGGTTCAAAGTGTCCTTTCAGTATGCATAGCAGTGTATGAAGAACTCTTTAAGAATATTTCTACACATTTTTCGGTGTACAATAATTTTTTTTGAAATTTGGGTTCATGCAATTATTTTCAGGCTTCTTTAGCACACAGTTAAGTATTTTCCTTCACATCAATTCCTCCTCCCTTTCCTTCTTCTAATAAAGGTTTTTGAGTATTGATTATATACTGAACATTGAGAGAATGCAGATATAAGAAACTGATGGTGTACTTGTGATTAGACAGCTCCACCTAATACTGTAATATGTGGCAAGCTTTGATCACATATCATTTAAAAAGCCAGGGTTTACAGAAGGGAGGGAAAATGGATTAGGATTAGCACAAGCAAAATTTTATGTGGCCCATTTTGGGTAGAATGTATGGTGTTAGTTTAGAAGTCAGAGAAGTGGCTTTAAAATTAAGTTGTAGCCAAATTGTGGACATAGTTCTTCAGCTGATTAATAGTCCTTAAAGATTTACTGTAATCTTCATGAGAAATGTGCTATAGGATAATTTTTCTGGCAGCAAAATGTAGGGCACATTAGAAATAACAAGTCAGTGTCATTGTTATATCCATGTGGAAAAGAACTTGCCCTTGCATGGAAGCAGTAGGAATGACAATGTCAAGTTGATAGGATTTGATAATGGGTTAATGAGAAAAAGGGATAGTTCAAAAATTACGATATTTTACTTACATGTAACTACAAAAATGAAATAGTGCATATTAGAAATACAGAAGTTTGAAGGAGAATCTGGTTATGGTTTCTTTGCTTGAAATTCAAAGTGGAAATATATTATCTAATGATATAGTCATCCCTCAGTATCTGCAGGGGATTGGTTCGAGGACCCCTGAGAATACCTAACTCTGCAGGTACTCAAATTCTGTATATAAAATGGCGTAGTTTTTGCATATAACCTTTGCACACCCTCCAATATACTTCACATCATCTTTAGATTATTTATAATACCTAATGCAGTGTAAATGCTATGTGATTAGTTGTTACACTGTATTGCTTTTTTATTTGTGTGTGTTTTTTTTTTTTATCGTGGGTTTTTTTTTTCCCCCGAATATTTTCAACCCATAGTTGGTTGAATCTGTGAATCCAGAACTGCAGATATGGAGGACCAACTGTATTCCTTTGTTCTTTTATTGTCAAATAAAGGTGGGCATCTTGGATGTGAATTTTCTGTTTTATCTTGTAACTTGAAGAGATAAAACTGGTTATTTAATTGGAAAGTTATTTAATTGCAAATAATGAAATAAAACATAGATGATACATTGAATCATCACATCGATTAATGTCTACTGTGTGTTAGGTACTCTGTGCTAGGCTCTATACGTTTGAAGAGGCATTTAAACACGGCTGCCTTTCCTGAAGAAGCTTAAATCAAGAGTAAAAGGCAGAAATGAAACCCACTAATTAAAATAAAGTGGACAGAAGCAGTGATAGAAACACATGCAGAGGATTTATACAAAAAGCGAGAACAAATGCAGTTAACCTGAATCTAATAAATTTGGTAGTTTCTGTCTCATAATTGAGGCATATTCTCCCTTCAGTCTCAAAAGATACAAAATAAATATTTGATGCTTCTGTGAGCTATATTACATAATTTTGTGGATTCTTACCTAGCAGTTAAGTTAAATATTGTCCTAGTACACATTATTGTGAACAGATAAGATTAAATAGTTAGAAAGTTTTTGGTAATTCTTATATGCCTATACACATTTTTTAAGGGTGGAACCAGAGATTCAAACGGTGAGTTGCTCATAAATGCCCAGTAAATGTTTGTTGTTATAATGAGTGTCTTTCTTAATTATTTCTCATTTACTCTTTTTTAAAAAAATGAAATAGTTTATAAATTACTATGGATTTCTGACTATTTAGAAAATTACAGAAACAATCTGTGGAGAAATAAGGTAATTGACTTCAAATATGCAATACTAGAAACATGTATCTTCTCACATAAGTGATCCTTTATAGGTCCGACAGTGCTGGAAGTCTTCAATACCCTTTTGAAACATCTGCGTCTCAGCGTTGAATTCGAAGCAAATGATTTACAGGGGGGATCTGTAGGCAGTGTCAACTTAAATACAAGTTCCAAAGACAATGATGAGAAGATTGTGCAGAATGCTATCATCCAAACAATAGGTGAGTACATTTCACTTTTCAAAACTATCATGTAAAACAGTGATTTACAAAGCTCTCACATAAGGTCCTGGACTATTATAGTACATTTGTCAAAGATGAATGATAGCTTAAATTTCTGAAAATTTAATTTTCGAAAACAAGCAAGCATGAGAATGGAACAAAGAACACTATGTTGTTCCATTAAATCTGCAGGACACAAATTCATCTATTGTTGACATTTTATGGCATTTACTTCTTCATTTGCTTTTACTCTCTTTTTCCTGCATCTCTTCCTCCCTTCTCTCTCTCTCTGTTTCTTTCTCTCCCTATGTGTGTCTCTTTGTGTGTGTATGTATATGTGGGAATACACACATACACATGCATATTTTTTTCTAAACCACGAGATACAGGAAGTTGCATACATCATGGTCTATTACCACTAAATACTTTGATGTATTTTTCCAAAAAATAAATGTACTTTTTAATATAACCAGAGTAAAATTGTCAACATCACTAAATTTAGGATTGATCCAGTACTTGAATCAGCCTTTCATATTTCAGTTTTATCAGTTGACCCAATAATGTACTATATTGACTTTTTTCCTTGAATCCAAGATTCAGTCTAGGATCATATATTGCATTTAGTTGTAATATTTCTTTAGGTCCATTAGTCAGGAACATTTCCATTATGACATGGACATTTCTTATGAGTAAAGTCCCCCTCCCACTTTTTTAAAAATAGAAAGTTCTTCATTTGGTTTTGTATGGTGTTTCCTTGTGATTAGGCCGTGCGCGGTGGCTCACACCTGTAATCCCAGCACTTTGGGAGGCTGAGGCGGGCGGATCACGAGGTCAGGAGATCAAGACCATCCTAGCTAACACGGTGAAACCCCGTCTCTACTAAGAATACAAAAAATTAGCCGGGCGAGGTGGCGGGCACCTGTAGTCCCAGCTACGCGGGAGGCTGAGGCAGGAGCATGGCGTGAACCCGGGAGGCAGAGCTTGCAGTGAGCCGAGATGGCGCCACTGCACTCCAGTCTGGGCGACAGCAAGACTCCGTCTCAAAAAAAAAAAAAAAAATTCAAGTTAGATATTCCTGACTGGAATACTACATACGTGATATGTTCTTCTCAGATTAGCACATCCAGAGGTGCACACTGTAACTTGCTCCTTTTTCATTATATTAATTTTGATCACTTAAGGCATTATTATATTCCTCCACTGTATAGTTTTAGTTTTTTCCATTGCAAATAATAAGCAACCTCTGAGAAGACACTTTCAGATCATGCGGATATTCTGCTTTTCATCCAGACTTAAGGTTAGATCTAGCAATCATTTATAATTCTTGTCTGAATTAGTCTTTACCATGATGGCTGCAAAATGATGGTTTTTAAACTCTAGCACTCCTTCCAAACCTATCAGTTGCCTCTCAATGTTCTATTGTAAGCAGGGGCCCCCTTTTCTACCTTTCTATGTATGTAGGAATGCATGTATTTGTTTATTGGTATGAACTCAATGGATTTATATTTTAATGGTTTATAATTCATTACTGTAGTTAATCATTTTAGTGCTCAGATTGTCCCTGATTTGGCTCATGGGAGCTCCTTCAAGACATCCCCCCACCTCCCTGAACCTTTTTTTTTTTTTTTTAAAGCACTGCCTTACTTGAGTAAGCGGTTCCAGACGAATTCTGTACTTTCTGCCCCAGCCCTGGAATCAGTCATTTCTCCAAAGGAGCTGCGGTTGTTTTTAGTGGATAGTAGTATTAGAGACTAAGATCTGGATGCTAATATCTTGGACTTTAATATCATATGCTTTTCTTTCTTTTTTAAATTTTCTTTTTTTTTTTTCCTGTCTGTAGTCAAAGTACAAACAGTGAAGAGCTTCCTTAAGAAAACAGCCATGAGAATTTACAATTTTGGAAATGAAATAATCTGACTGTATAAATACAGATTCAAGCAAGCAAGCTATTTTTCTAATTTAACTTTTTTCTTTCAATATTTTCTTTAGGATAGCCAGATCATATTTTAATATAACTAACTGGTTGCTATGATAATTTCACAATTGGATTGTATTCCTGGGGTCTAGTACCTAATTTCTAACCTAATAATAGTTTCAATTAATAGTAGAGTCATATATAAATTTCTTCTGAAACTGGGCTTATGCCTTTTATCTGGGTAATTTTTTCACTTATGGGCTACTTATTTATAATAATCCTTTGGGATACTTAATACAGAGTTTCTCTTGGTCATCTTGTTTTTGAAGTTTATGGATATGCATACATGCATTTTGCATCTCCATTGACACCACCTATTTATTTATTGGACATATGCGTACACCAGTTCTTGTACTAGGGCCTCATGATACATGGGGCTCTCACCTTGTAGAGGCATTTGTTGATCTGTGTGGAGTGGTACCTCTGTTTCATCTAGTTGCAGTCTCATCACATGTCTAGAAATTGTCCTCATTAAGGGAAATACCCAGGAGTGTCTCATTCAACACACTAACACAAAGTAGGCACTTAAGATTTTGAGATTGACTGAAAAGACAAAATATCATAAACTCCAACATTACCATGGAGTCATAATAAAGCATAGACATTCTAGTTATTGCTTAAGACAGTTAGTATTAATATATAGTGAACCTCGCTTCTGTGGTGACTTTCACATTTATTTCGGTTATTTATAGATTTTTTGCGATATTCGAGGATGTTAAATCAGCTAATCTTGTTTTCACAGAATTGATTTACATTGCTTTAATGACTTCTAATTAATTCAGTGTTACTCTTTCACTCTAGAATATTTAATGTATTGTTTCTTAAGTATTATAAAATGTATATATAGCAGACTCAAGCCATATTTCTGTGATACAGCACATTCAGAATAACATGTAAGAATTTAAAAATGAGAGGAAAGAAATGCAGTGTGGCACAGTAAGATTTCTCTTTTAAAATCAAACTTTTAAAAAAAATCTGGTTTCCTTAATAGTTTCCTTTTTAATTTCTCAGTATTCTGGCAGTTGTCAGATCATGGCGTTATTCCTGTCGGTGGGCCATGGAACAGGGCTGCTATAGCTTTTGCACTTTAAGTTATCAGGCTGTTGGCCAACTTCTCTTTCTTTTAAAATAGTGAAGAACATAGCTACCTGCTGTGTTCTTTTCTTCTGGGCTCATTTCTGTTCACTAGTTCAAATACAAACAGTAGGTATAGTGAATGAGATGCTTTTGGTGACTTTATCCTTAGAGTTAATCATGTTGAAGACTCCTACCCAATTTTAAGTTAAAAAAAAATCAAAGCAATTCTAAAGCATATATTAGTTGCATTTCTTTCCTACTATTATTATTTTTAGGTCTTTAATAGTCGTTTGTCTAATTAACATCAGAGATAGTGGACTCAGTTGACCATATACTTGGGAGACAAAAATAAGAGTTTTTCCTTAGGACAGTGGTTCTTAACTTTGTTGAACGTTGAAATTACCTCAGGATCTTAGAAAAGTACTGATGCTTGGACTCCCACCCCCAGATATTCTGACTTAATTACTTTGGTATGTAACCTATGCATCAGCATGTTAAAAGCTCCCCTAGGTAATTATAATATGCAGCAAAGCTTGGGAACCACTGGATTAGAGGAAACTATTCCACGCATTTGAAAAGCATGAAGAATGACCTTGAATCAGAGATACAAATGTTGTTGAATACAGGGAAGTATGATAGTGCTTGCTAACTCCAAACTTTTACTGTAGTTAGGTGCTGTGGTAAAGAGAAGTGCAGGGTACTTTATGTCCTTGTGGTAATAACTAAGTTGTTTGAAACAGAAGGTCAGTGTCCAGTTTTCTGCAAGACTAGGAATGTATCTAGTTGTATGGAAGAAGTATAGAATAATAATAGCATAAGCTTTGGAAATAAATAACCCTTACCTCAGGCCCTAATGTTAGCTGTGTAATTTTTTGGTAAGAGTTCTTGACTTCTCTTATCCTCATTTCCATAAGAGGAAACTGAGACAAATAATAGAACCTAGACTCAAAAGGTTATTTTGCGGATCCAAATACAAAATAGTTTCTTATTCCATAAATATGTATTCCGTAAGTGTTAACAACAATATACTTTATGGAGATGGAGTCATGTTAAGGTTATGAGATTTTTGACTGCTAATGTACGTGATTGTGGGAAATGACTTTTACCCCTAAGTCCAATCAAAATGATGAATAGAACAGTTTGAGTTTATATAAACACATCATTAACTCCAGTAATAGAAGCTCAACAGTTACATTGAAAAGTCAGCTTATTCTTAAAAAATACTAAAAATGCAGAAAGTTTCTGTAATGACTACATTGAATTTTAAGAAAGGAACATAACAGCCATGATTTGATAGTCTGTTCCAATCTTTCAAAGAAATAAGAAACTTTTAAAGTGTGAGTAATTGATAATTAAAGGTTATAAATCTTTTGTGACCAGGAAGTAAGTATCAAAAGCTACAGCAGATAAATTTAAAATATTCTCAGAAACTAGACTGCATAAGAAAAATGACAAGTAAGTTATTTACTTATTTTTTACATCAGTTGAATTATGTATGTTGAATTAATTCACAGGGGTAAACTATAAACTTGGCTTATTACAATGACATTCAAATATTTGAGAAATCCTGGAAAACCAGAGTAGTGACTAATTATTAACTTCTTTACCAGACAATGTGTGGCCTGATTACCGGAACAAAAATTTAGGCTTACGATGTGTGAACTAGAATTTCATCAGAAATACTACCAAAATATTTTTCCTTCTTTTTTTTTTCCTATTTTTTTTTTTTTTTTTTTTGGAGACAGAGTTTTGCTCTTGTTGCCCAGGCTGGAGTGCAGTGGCACGATCTTGGCTCACCGCGACCTCCACCTCCCAGGTTCAAGCAATTCTCCTGCCTCAACCTCCTGAGTAGCTGGGATTACAGGCATGTGCCACCACGCCCAGCTAATTTTGTATTTTTAGTAGAGACGAGGTTTCACCATGTTGGTCCGGCTGGTCTCGAACTCCCAACCTCAGGTGATCCGCACACCTCGGCCTCCCAAAGTGTTGGGATTATGGGCATGAGCCACTACACCCGGCCAATATTTTTCCTTTTTCTAAAACTCCAGTCAACTCAAGTCAGTCCCGGTTTGTCACTGTTATAATTATATAAAAAAAGACTTTGATATATTTATCATTTTATCTACCAGTCCATTATACACAGTTTATATTGTACATAACTAAATGATTTTGTACAAATGAAATTGTAATATCCTTTAATGTTACATGTAGCTTACAGACTTGTGAGGGATTGTTTTACCACATATTGAAAACTTTGGCTAAAAATAATTTTGTATTATATGGAAAAGTAGACTTTTTCAGTTTCTAAAATTTGTCTTAATACTTTCATAGGATTTTTTGGAAGTAACCTACCAGATTATCAGAGGTCAGAAATCATGATGTTCATTATGGGGAAAGTACCTGTCTTTGGAACATCTACCCATACTTTGGATATCAGTCAACTAGGGTATGTTCTCAGACTGTAAATTTGAACTTAATCTTGAGTTACATTTTATCCTAACGAAATCTAGAAAATGTTAACGTTTTGTTTTTTTTTAAAAATCATTAGTAATAGCATTCCTATGGAAAGCAGTTAGTATTATTATGACAGTAGATTGCTAAGCAATTGAATTAGCATTTTTAGGCCTTTAGAATCATTTTCAGCTTATAAATTCTCAGATATTTCCATCTTTAGAAATTGTTTGGCCTGGACATTGTGTGTGTGCATACACATTTAGGGTAAAGCTTCAAGTTTCCTGTATAAATTTTAAACATTAATGTCAATATATCAGAAATATTGGCTTATTCCTAGAATTTTAGAACTGAAAGTAATTTTAAAGATTATGTGACCCCCTTATTTTATACATTTAATTGGATTTTATAATATGCTGAAGTTTTTGTTTGTGAATGTTGTTTTGTTAATTTAATAAGGAAGTAATAGTATCTTATTCGACTTACATTTCTTTGACCATAATTTGTTATTTTTTAAAATTGTTCTTACCTGTTTATTCATATTTGTTAAAGAAAGATTATATTCATCAACTATGTAGTAATTATTTTCTCCAATTTAAGGTACCTTAATTTGGGTTGTTTAGTTGTCTGTTTATATGATTTAATTTTCTTGTCATCAGATGCATAGGACTGTTTGAGAGCCAATAACAAATTTTTTGTTTGATATTTTTAAATATAATAGTTTTAATTCACGTGAAATTTTACTTTGGCATGTGAAGTGAGCCATGACTTAAACTGTTACAAAAATAAAATCTATTTAGCCAATAAGAATAGAATTTTAAAATCAGTAATTGAAGTAAATGAAGTAATATAAATGCTAATTAGTATAATAATTCAGCCTTTTGTATATTTTAGGGATTTGGGAACCAGGAGAATTCAGATAATGTTGCTGAGATCTTTGCTTATGGTAAGGCATTTAAGACAAATAAAGGACACACTTAACCTTAAATTACTGAAAACATTAATTGAATAGCTTCATGTTACAACCGTTCTTTCTTAAGTAAGTTACTGTTTATGGTTAGTATTTTATTATGTTCTTCATTTTAAAGATTATCCAATTTTTTTACCGTTTATTTCTCACTTCTTCTGTCACTGTCTTTGATCTTCATAATGATGAAACATACAGAGGGCAGAAACTATTGCTGTCTTATAGACGAAGATACCTGGGCCCAGAGACTGTGAGTGGAAGGAGTTGATAAGGTCCACCAAAGTCACTGGGCTAAAAAACAGAACTCAGACTTGAAATCCAAAGTTCTTTCAACATATTATGCTAATTCTTTCTCATACTGACCAAATAATTGCTTCTGATTGGGAAAATAATTCATTAAAATGAATATTTGCCATTTAAAATTTGAAGTGGCTATAAGTAGCTGAAAAGGAAAAGTATACCCAGAATGAAAGGTCCTCTGGTTATTGTCTAGCAATTGTACTCATATTTGATTCAGCCATTGCTAGCACATATGCGTCCTCTCAAAATCAGTATCTTTCAGATTTATCCTAGAAATGTTTACTATACATGATCTAATTTTTTAAACAGACTCTCTCAAGTGCAGAAATACCTTGTGTGGTTGTATTTTTAATTTTTTTTAATTCTGTTTATGGCGCTTGTCATTTAGAAGTTTTGAATTCTAATATAGCCAGATTTATCAGTTTTTTCTATATGTTTTGCACTTTTTCATTTGTATCTTATATAAGAACTCCATTCCTCCTCTGATGATATAAACACATTTGTTTGTATTTTCTTATAGCAGTTTTAAAATTTTAGCTCTCTACATTTAGAACTTTAATCTGAAGTTTATGTTTATATGTGGTATGAGGCATGGATTTTCCCAGATGGGTAGACAGTTGTCCCACCAGTTTCCCAGCTGACTTATAAAACTATCTCCATCCTATAATAAATGCCCAAATGTAAATGTTAAGTATTCCATACATGTTTATAATCCTGAAAATATGTTGAGATCTCCCACCTGCAATTTAATTTGATCCTAAGCCTTTATTTATATTAAACAAATTCCCTAAGTAAATTATTTTGCCTTGCCTTTCTGATTATACCATATAGTCAACTGAATATATGTTATGCTTAAAATGTTTAATAGCATTTAAGTATATTCTCTTTAAAAGTTTTATGTTTAGAAGATATTGACGTACTCTTAAATGTCAAATCAAGTAACTAAGTACAGCTTTCCAAAATGAAAATGTATTCCTATTAACCAACTGCCTAATTTAAAATGAAAGAATAATTTGCAAACTTAAATTTAAAATTTGCAGGTCTTACTTTTACTCTTTGTCACCTAAGCTCCTTATATCTGTTTTGTACTAACCTTAACCTCTCTGTGCCTCAGTTTCTCCTTATGAATGGCGATTCACTAGTGTCTACCTTACAGGGATATGGTGAGGACAAAGTTAATACATATGCAGTGCTTAGAATCATGCCTAACACATGGTAAATGTGTGCTATTATTAACTTTATTTTTCTTATGAATGATGTTTTTGTAAATTCAGCAAAATCCTTCATTACTTTGCACATTTCTTTTATGTCTTTTCTCCAGGCTTCTGTCCATATTTTCTTTCCTAAGTTTATGGTTCTTATAAAAGAATATGAGAATTTTACAAAAAAAGGACTCATGACAAAAGGTTGTTTGTTTTCTTCTCGATAATCAGGTGACCTCTGGATATAAAGCGAAGACGATTGTTACTGCACTGCCAGGGTCTTTCCTGGATCCTTTGTTATCACCATCTCTCATGGAGGACTACGAACTGAGACAGTTGGTCTTGGAAGTAATGCATAATCTCATGGATCGTCATGACAATAGGGCAAAGCTTCGAGGGATCAGGTAATGTGCCATTTTGAAATGGATCTAATGATAATGTTTTTAAATTGCTAAATTAGTGTATTTAAGTATTGTGATTTTTAAAAATCTAGCATGTTCAGGTTTTATTAATCCATAATTTTATTTAATTGGTATTGAGATAATTTAATCAATATGTTTTAAGATAACAAATTTTTGGAGGGCACGTATGTACTCTTCAGAAGCAATTCAGTAGTATCATTACATACAGGCTTATCAAACTCCTAAGTATAAATACAATTTTCCATATAAGATGTGATATTGTAAATAAGTGTGCTATTCATTAAAAATGATATATTGATCGTCTCTAGAATAATACCGGATGTAGCTGACCTAAAGATAAAAAGAGAAAAAATTTGCAGACAAGACACAAGTTTCATGAAAAAGGTAAGACATCTTCTAAAAAAATAAATGTGTAGTGTAAATTACAGCCGTTTGAATTGTTAGGTGGTTTTATATTGATCTGTGCCCTTGAAATTAAGCCATAGAATTTTGAATTTGAAAGACCTCAAGACGCCATCTTCAGCCTCCCTCAAGTGTAACATTCCTGTCGGTGTCTCCTCCAGCCTGTATTTGAGCATTCTATTGTTGGGCTGCTGTAGTAGTTCTAAATTTCTTCTCTGAGTAAAATGTCTTCCTATAATTCTTGCCCTGGCAGTCCTCTCCCACTAAAAACACACGTACTGATTCCTCTTTTAGCAGCTCTTTTATATAGACAGCTTCAAGTTTCTGAAAATAGCTATCACCATCAAATAAATTAACTATGGTGAGTTTTTGCTGTCTTATTAGACATTGTTTTCTACACTATTTGGGATATAAAGATGAGTTGGGCAGGATCTCTGCCCCAATAATGGTTTTAGCTGGATTTTCATGATGATAATTTAAATTCTGTAGATCTACTGGCAAATGGCTGAATTTAGAAGATTATGATATTTATGGTTATTTGCATATTGAGTAAACTTTCTGTGCGGTTATTATTCGTCCAAAGCTTGGGCACCTAATATTTGCTATACACTGAGTCAATATTAAGAGATACGATAACCATGACACTGCCAGCTGCCCTTATAACGAACACAGTATTGCCAGCTAAGGGAGCCTGTTTTTAGAGGTGTGAGGAAAAGGAGACAGAGCCCCGTAGGAAGCTAGGTGTAGAGACCCGTAATCCATGTTCTTTTTTGCCTCTTTACTAGACCATGCTTTCTCCCTGACACTGTCTTTAATGTTTCTGTCTTTACCATTACTATTGATTGCTGTGTTTCAAGTTAACTCCATTTTAAAACTTCATTTAAAAAATAATTTACAAAATATCACTCTTCCTAAATTAATGTGATTCCTTGAATAAAATATTTAAATGAGGCTATACTGTATATCAAAAAACTGGTTAATAAATAGGACAGATACATTAATTCCTCTCAATTTTTATTTTTGTATTTCTTTATATCACCTAACTAATGAATTCTGCATAACTGAGGAACCTCAAACAATTTTTTAAAATATTTTTTATTGACATTATAATTATATACATTTATGGGATATAATATGTTTTGATTATATGTATATAATGTGGAAAGTTTAAATCCAGCTAATTAACATATCCATTTTCTTGCTTACCTATCTTGTTTTATGGTGACATACTTGAAATTTACTCTCTTAGTTATTTTGAAATATACAATACACTATTATTGACTATAGTCACCCTGCTGTGCAGTAGATCTCAAAACTTAACTCCTTCTATCTGTCTGAAACCTTGTAACCTTTGATCAATAATCTCTCCATACCCTCCTCCTCGCTTTCAGGCCCCAGCTCTTGCTAACCACCATTCTCTACTTCTGTGAGTTCAACTCTTTTAAATTCCACATATAAGTGAGATTATGCAGTATTTCTTGTGACTGACTTGTTTGACCTAGCATAATGTCCTCCAGGTTCATCCATATTGTCAAAAATGAAAGAATTTTCCTCTAGTGTAAGGCTGAATAGTATTTCATTTTATATATATATATATATATATATACACACACTACATTTTCTTTATCCATTCATCTGTTGATGGACACTTAGGCTGATTCCGTACTGAGGAATTTTAAATCATTACTGATATAATGAATTTTGTAAACTCAATTTATAACTAATTTTTGAGTTTTTGACTTTATGCAATGACATTAAACAGTCATGAACATTGAGACTGGATTTCATTTTATCCATTATAAGTTATAGAAATAATACTTCTGTTTATTTTGCTAGTCAACCAATTTGAAAAGCTGTAATTTAACGGCAAGATTAGACTATTATTTCATGTTAGATTTTGAATCCTTAAACTGTTCTCAGAATTAGTTATTCCTCTGTTTTATAATTTAAAGTAACTTTCCTTGCTAAGCATTTGTTGTCATTAATGTAAACCATTCCTTTTTGGGTCTTTCTCTTTAGAAGCAATGTGTTCACACTTTTTTTCCTTTGTCAAAATTTTATTTTTATAATTTGACACCATTTTTCATTTACCTTCCAATTTGTTTTATGAGTAAAAATGTTGTTTGATTTTCATATGAAACCTTAACTAGCAACTCAGATAAGTTTCTGCAAAGAACTAAAGAAAAAAAATTGGGTTCTGTAGGCACAGGATGATGGACTGGCCTTTAGTTAAGAGAATCCTAGTTTAGCATAGACAGTATATTTTCTATATTAACTTTGTTCAGGCAACTGTGTCTTAAATTACTACCCAGCCTAAAACTACTCCATCTGAATGTTTTAGGGGCATCTTATATACGGAGTCTGTTTGAAAAACGGTTCCAGGGCTGGAACCCCTTATACATTGGGAGGTATCACTTCACCTGTAATTTCCTAGTGAAGCGTATTCTTCCAGAGAAAATAGCTGCCACCACTGAGTCTACAACTCACTATATAGTTTCTCACCATGTGAAAAAGCTCTTGTTAATGTTTCACCTAATCAAGGAATTATGTCAAAAAGAGTACTTTTTATTATGAAATATAAAATACATGGGAATTATTACTTTAATTATTTTAAGGTGAACAACAGTATAACCAAAAGCATCCCACATGTTCTGTCTTCTTCATAACTCCATCCTCTCCCCTACAGGTAATCACTATCATTGCTCTGACTTTGATGGAAATTGACTCTTTCAAATTTTTTTTACAGTTTGATAACCTAAATATACATTATGTCCTTGAACTATATTGTTTAGTTTTGCCAGTTTTTGTAATTTGGGTGAAAGGAACCATACATTGTGTATTCTTTTAAGTTTAGGTTTTTTTTAATTCAGCTCTATTTTGGTAAAATTCATCTGCGTGTGGCTTCGATAGTATTCCATGATATGAATATACCACAAGTTTTCTTTTGTTGTCAGACATTTGAATTCTTTCCAGTTAGTGAGTGTTATGAACTGTGCTCCTAAAAACATGCTTGTACACATGTTGTGCTGTATATAACTCCCATTTCTCCAAGGCCTGTAAGAGAGGAATTGCTGAGTAATAGGTTATGTATTCTTCAGATTCACTAGATAATGCCATACCAATTTGTAAAGTTATTATACCTATTTGTATTTTTACATTACATATTACAAATTTTTTATTTCATCTAATATGGTGACTATGTAGTAGGTAATTTTTAAAAACAAACTTGAATTACTTAAGGAACTTGAAGTCTAAATTATCACGTATGTATGCACCACTTTAATGTTTGTTAATGATGTTTAGAACCATAGAATTCAAGAATATTCTGAGGTTTTGAGAGGACCCAATGCATAGTTTTTTTTACCCCACCCAAGTATAGAAACCTTATGTGTTTGAGAGAGAGAAAGAACGAGAGAGACAAACTCTAGATTCAGAAAGGTGGAAACCAAAATAACAACTTCAGAAATAAAGGAATCTGGTGGGTAGCTTTATGTCTGTAGCCAAAAAAGGCTTACTAACACTGTAACACACATTTAAGCTGACTTAACCAGTCAGTCATTGTCACAGCTGGAGAACTATAGGCCTCCTTACGGGGATGGGACCTCAGTGCATATTAAATAGAGAACAGAGCAGAATGCATACTTGTTACAGACATACTGGCTTCAGAAGAGTCTGTGCTGTTCTCGCCCAGTTTCTTCTCCTAAAATGATCAGAAGAACCTTCTGAGAAACAGGCTTGGAATATTAAGCCTAAAGTCTCTCCACATGGGAAAAAATGAGTGTTCTTAACCCTGCCTGCCTATTATAACCACATGGGGAGCTTTATACTTGAAAAATACTGATGCTTGTGCTTTGCCACTGACCAGTTACATCATATTGGAGGAGGGTGGACAGTAGTGAGAAGTGGGGAGGGCAAGAGCATGGTGGTCATTCCAGTTGTCCAGTGATTCCAGCGGGCAGTTAGAGTTGAGAGCTAATTGAGTTAATGTCGCCATTGTGACTGGATGTGGCATTGCACCTGTATCCAGGAATGCTTTAGAAAGGAAAGGCTTTAATAATCTTTATTATAATAATAAATAATAAATCTTTATTATAATAATCTTTACTTAGATCAGTCTAGTTTAGGGGAAACCTCTGTGCAATACCTGGGGAGTTTCTATAACCTCTTCTCTGTTAATAGGCTTTAGACTCGCCTTCAGGGACTCCATGCCAAAATGTAACAGAACCTGCAGATGCTCTTCTCTGTACGGCTAACCCACAGCACAGGGATTGTTCCCCAGTCAAGAGAGCCTCAGTACATTTCCTCTCAGTACAATAATCTTTATCATTGCTGAGGCTGTATTGCCAAAGTGTCTCAGGATTCTGCCATCCATTTCACTTTTTTTCTCAAGTCAATCCATAATTTGCTTTTGTTTTTTCAAATTACTATTAAAAAACATTTTCATTGTTAGCACAGGAACTATTTTTTACTGGTTATTTTTATTTAAGGTTTGTCTTCAACTTTAACATTAGTTTGTAGTTGTATATTAGCATGTTGTTTGATATTTATAATTGAAATTTGACTATCTGATCAACTTAAATTTCATTTCCATGTTAAGCTATATAATAACATAGCTACACTGTAAAAGTATATGCATGTGAAATCTGCCTTTTCTACATTTTAAGCAAAATTACCTTTGTCCTCTGTCTTTTCTCCTCAGAATGGGCAACAGCTGTATCGGCACATATATTTGGGTTGTAAAGAGGAAGACAACGTTCAGAAAAACTATGAACTACTTTATACTTCTCTTGCTCTTATAACTATTGAACTGGCTAATGAAGAAGTAGTTATTGATCTCATTCGACTGGCCATTGCTTTACAGGTATGCTTTCATAACCGTTCACTGCAGAAAACATTTTTTATAAAGCAGACAACATCTTTGAAATGTTGCCGTTATCCAAGGACATGAATTTTAAAAGGGAGGTATCTAGTTGTAAATCTAAAATACTCAAGACTATGACTACATTCTTCATTTATTCCTTTTACATATGTTGCATGAGCATCAACTGGTGTGCTAAATATCCTTCAAGGCCATAGGGATATAGTGTGATGAAGCAGACAAACATAGTCCCTGTATCCACACTTCCTACACTGGGGGGGATAGTCATTAAATAAGAATGACATACATGCAGTTGTTTAATTAGAGTTGCGTAAGTGTTATGTAATAGAAGGACAGTATGCAATGGCCATATATGCATGTCCGTGTGTGTGTGTATATATATATGAGAACAGGAAAGGCTTTCCTAGGGAAGAGAGTTTAAGTTGGAAAAATTAACTCTCTTGTAAAAGAACATTTGTTTTCCTTTCAGAATTGTTTTAGAAAA
Source organism: Homo sapiens (assembly GCF_000001405.40). Classification (NCBI taxonomy): domain Eukaryota; kingdom Metazoa; phylum Chordata; class Mammalia; order Primates; family Hominidae; genus Homo; species Homo sapiens. The sequence continues at coordinate 131,984,803 of NC_000008.11, forward strand.
TAACTTCTGATAAAGTGGCATTTTTGTTAGCTTTCCAAACTACCTGCAGTTTTCCAGTGTAATCAGAGAAAATGCTGGTGAAGTATAAGAACTTGATCTCTCTGATGTGTTTGTTTCTTATTAAAGGACAGTGCAATTATCAATGAGGATAATTTGCCAATGTTCCATCGTTGTGGAATCATGGCACTGGTTGCAGCATACCTCAACTTTGTAAGTCAGATGATAGCTGTCCCTGCATTTTGCCAGCATGTTAGCAAGGTAATGTATTTAGAAAAGTCCTTAAACTTGAATTTTGTACAAAATTGCTAATTTTATTCCAGTGATGATTATTTTTAACTTTGGTGATTACGTATCAAATTAAGGTAATTCTATAAAAATCTACAGCCAGTAAACTGAAACTACAGCTAAAACTGTAGCTACTGTTTTTATATTTTCTTAGATGCATGTTGTTTTATTATAATAGTTTAATGTAGTGGTTGAATGGAATATGTGGTTTTCTTCTAGAATACCTTATGTGATTTATTCTATGACTTTTTTCCTTTGAACCCTTATGACTCTTAGTATGTAAATTTTCTTAAATTATACTCTTTTGTTGTTTATTCTAAACTACTTGAGGCAGATCTCAAAAGTTGAATAATTACTGTGCATCTCAGAGAATTGTCTTGTGTCTTTCAAATATATTTAGTTGTCTTTAGCAGTAACTCTTACATGGTTATTTGCATGACTTAATAAACATTTCAATGCCCCCAAGTTACCTAGCAGAAAAAGTCCACTTTTAAAGACATCTGTAAGAGAGAACTTTATTTTTCTTAAATTGGAAGCACATCATTTAGTCCTTGCTAAAATGTAGACTTGTAGTGTACTCTAAGAAACAAAACTCATCCATTCATTAATCAGACATTTGAGTGAATATTTGATGCCCACCACTAGAGAAGTAAATACTACAAAAGCAGAGTACCTCTTTGCTCACAGTTCATTGGAGGAGCCAGTCCACACAAGTGCCTGGAGACCTTGTACACAGGCTGCAAAAGGTAATGCAGCAGGTGGAGGATGGTGATTTGTAAAGCGATTTCCAAAATAGTGCATTTGAGAAAATAGATATTCTTGCTTTATTATAATAGGCTTAATCAAATGTAATGTGTCATCATTTTTTGCTTTATATATTATTTTATTGTCACAGTTTTATCTGTTAAATTTTAAAAATAATAGATGTGAAAACAAAACAAACTTTACATTTGGGCTGTAAACTTAGCTTAAATTCAAAAACAAAGTGATGTTATTTCTTATAAATGTTTAAAGTTGTTTTTTTTTAAGCTGTTTTCTGAATTTTTATAGCAAGGTACTGAGGGGTAGGGTTTTTGATTTTTGTTCTGTTTTTGAATATTTTTTAGGTTATTGAAATTCGAACTATGGAAGCCCCTTATTTTCTACCAGAGCATATCTTCAGAGATAAGTGCATGTATGTTAATTCTTTACATTTTAAGGATGGGGTACTGACTTGATAAACCCATCAGTAATAATTATAAAGGAGTAAATATTGTTACAATAATTCCTGGTGCTTTATACTAATCATCATTTTGTGTCTGTCATTTAATTCATTTAATTATTTCCCTTGTTATAAAAGGGCCTGCACATTATGGATGTTGACTTATGCACAACATGGAGTCAATCTTGAAAAAATTTTTTAAGAATAAGACTTGGCCAGGCGCAGTGGTTCACGCCTGTAATCCTAACACTTCGGGACGCTGAGGCGGGTGAATCACCTGAGGTCAGGAGTTTTAGACCAGCTTGGCCAACATGGTGAAACCCCGTCTCTACTAAAAAATACTAAAATTAGCTGGGTATGGTGGCATGTGCCTGTAGTCCCAGCTACTCAGGAGGCTGAGGCTGGAGAATCGCTTGATCCCAGGAGGTGGAGGTTGCAGTGAGCCAAGATCACACCACTGCACTCCAGCCTGGGTAAAAGAGCAGAGCGAGACTCCATCTCAAAAAAAAAAAAAAAAAAAGAATAAGAAAACTTACCCCACTTTTTAAAAACTGTTGGATATGTCTCTTAAATATAGCATATTTTATGTTCTCATATGTAAATGATCAAACCTTTAAGAGAGTACAGTATCCTGTTGAAGACGTTCAGTAATAGGTAACAATACTCAAAATATTGTGGAAGAAAGAATGTATTAAGGAAAATCCGTGTTATTTCCTGCATTATTTCTTGTTCTCTAAAGAAAAGTATATATATGAATAATATTTTGTTTGAACTTTTGGGCTATAAAAGCAGTTTATTTTGAAAGCATCAGCATAAGATAATATCAAGCAGTTTGCAAGGAAAGTGAAACCTTATGTGGGTGGGCAAGTACTTCCTTACACTTAGCTGGCTAATGTGGTTTTCATTAACAATCAGTGGGCTAATGATTTTTTTTTTATTTTGTCTCTCAGTACACTTTTTAATTAACATGACAATAAAAGCTACATTTAGTGTTCTTTATTACTTAACAAGTAAAGATCAACAGAGTAATACAAGGCTGAATTCACTATTGGAATGTTACTGAGAGAAGAATCACTGCAGAATGGTTAATATATGGGACCACATACTGTGTGTTTTTAAAGAGCTCAAATTAGTTGCCTAAAATATACTGATTTTTCTGCTACTACAGTTTACATTGTGTTTATATTTAGAATATTGAGGCTTTTGCTCTGGAATGTTTTGCATAGTAACTTATTTTTGCTCAGTAATTTAATACTGAATGATTGTTGTTTTGATGAACTTCGCAGGCTTCCAAAATCTTTAGAGAAGCATGAAAAAGATTTGTACTTTCTGACCAACAAGATTGCAGAGTCGCTAGGTGGAAGTGGATATAGTGTTGAGAGATTGTCAGTTCCGTATGTACCACAAGTAACAGGTAAGAGGAGGATAATTAGAACTTTCACTCTGGTGATTGCTTATGTTATAGTAAATTTTTCATTACCCAGTTAACAATGAAAATTAATTCTGGTGTGTGTCCTTACTATAGCCCAGCCATTTTCAAATGCTTAAGAGTATTTACTTCTGTTTTTTAATTTTGCTATTGAAAACCTTCAGTAAATCTCTAACGACATAGATATGATTTTACCAGGAGCAAATCAAGTCCTTGAATATTTATTGTTACAATACTTAATATTTTATTTAATAGTATATTTTAAAGTGAGATCTTTTCTCATTAAATGATATTCTATTTAAGTTATGGAAATTGATGAAAATTGTTTAATGATAAGTGATTATTTAGGTTAATGAATTAGGCAACTTTCGTTATTTGAAAGAGTACAGACTTGTTATATAAATAAAACTACAAACTTTTTGAGTTAGGAATTTTTTTTTCTCTGTGAACTATATATTTTCTCTGTGAACTATATATTTTCCCATTGCTTGAAATAATTCTGTTTGAAGGCAAAATTGCATAGTGTCTTGTATTCAACTTTTACTGTAAAAATTAAAATCAAAGAATTTATGTCTTATGCTTTCATTTTAATTTGGTGACTATATAAATATTAAATTTTGTAAGTGAATTAGTTCTTTGGGGATACCTCTGTTCTACAAGAGAACCATTTGATTTCACTTAGAAAGATTTCTGGATTAGTCACTACAAGTAGTGCAGTCTTTGTAAATGGCTTTTTTTTAATAACATGGATCCAAAATATATACATTTAGTACAGTAATAGTTGTTCATAACAGTCTGAGATGTTAATGAGTGCTTTTGCATTTTCTTTTAAATTTTATGCTTTAAAAGATTGTGTTCCTCAGGAACTCCTTGAGGAAATAAAAGTGCTAAGAACAAAAGATTATTAGAGCTTTATAATTTAAAATATTAAAAAAACATTTAAAATATTTTACTCTTATAATTTGAATTTAGCTCTCTTTCCTTCAAGCAAAAAACCTCTTAAACCCAGGCACAAGCACAAAGGTAAATCCAGTTGTCAGTTTGGCCTGCCTTTTCCCTTACCTGTCCTCTAGGAAAATAGCTTAATAAAATGTGCCTTTTAGAAAATGGGGCCAGTGGCCTGCATATTTTCTATAATTAGTTTAATTATTATTTTCCTTTATCTTCCTTATAGCCCTAGTTTATTTTTACCCCTGTTATTTCTTTTTACCCTGTTCCTTTAACTCTTAACAATTTTTAATGAAAGCTCTGGTACTTTCAAAATTTTTAACAAATGGTCTGCACTTCCCTGATTCCTCCCATCCCTAAAAAAGATGTATTCTCTCATAATGCATCTCTACCAATGACTAGAAGAATTCTGAATATTTTAGTGTCTACTTAATTGTATAACTGCACTACTAGAAATCCTACTAGATTTTTCTGATTTGTGAAGACTGATAGTTTAGAACCTATCTGTGGCATTAGTATCCTACCTTAATGCAGAAACAGAATAAACAGTGATATTTTATGGGATACTGAATCTGTAATTAAATTTCCTTTTGCTGTGTAACCATCAGATATTCATTTAAAAAATTCAAGGGATTTAAGAACAATGTATTAAAATAAAAAGCAGAACATATTTAGTTTGTTGTGTGTCATGTAGTACCCATCATCATCACAATAGTAGCTACCATTTATTATGCACTGTGTGCTAGGCACTGTGATAAGTGCTTAGTATTCATTTTCTTATGTAATTCTCATAATGGTTTGGTGAGGAAGATAGCATTATCTTTGTTTACAAATGAGTATAGTGAGGCTAAAATTGAATTAAATGATTAGGTGACACCACTAACAGCCTCTCCAGTTAGTTGCTTAATAAATTATTTGATTTCACTATTTTTCAGGGACTCAAATATTGTTCAGGCATCCAGAAAGATCCAGATTGATTTTTATCATTTCTTTCTCTAATTTCTACTGAGTGCCTACAATGTAATATATATCAAGCACTGTTATAACTTTCAAAGGGTAGAAAGGTGTTAAGATGCAATTCTTATCCTCAAGGAATACAATCTAGTGGGAAAAGCAGATGAATGAATGAAACACAGTGATAACTAGATCTAGAGAAAGAATGATGATCTACCTAAAGTTTATTGAACTATTGATGCCTGGCATCATCATAATGTGGTTGATAAATGTTAGCTGATTATTGTATTTTACTTATCTCTTATCAACCTAGAATTCGAATGAATAGTGTATGTTTAGGCCTGTGCCAAGTACTGCTTTGTGAGGGGAAAACAGTAGTGTCCCCCATCTGAATCGTTCAGAGGTACCAGTGGCTTCAGTCAACTCATACAGTTATTTAAGTATTAAGCGAGCACCTCCAGTGTGCCAGCTGCTGTGCAAGCAAAAGCCAGAATGAACAAGACGGGTAGGTCCCTACTTTCACAAAGCTCACAGTCTCTCTTAAATGTATTGTTCACTTGAACCACAAAACACAGCAGCTGATTTGGTATTATTCTAGGTGCATAGGAAATAAGTTAATTTCATTATATAATTTTTCTCTAAGAAGATAAATAACCAGGCAATTGTAATATGACTATTCAGCTATTATTAGGGACATTTAGGGTCCTCCAATAGCACATACAAATATTTAATCCAGGTTTGGCTGGCCAGGGATATCTTCCAGAGGAAAAAGCCTCTAAGATGAGCTTGAAACAGGTGTTAGGCAAGTAAACTGTGCTTCATATGGTAGTAACACATGTGTGAAGGAATGAGGTAGGCAAGAACAGGATTTGTTCCGTGAATTAATATAGAGTAACAACAGACTTCAGGGAGTGGAGTTAGGAATTGTAAAGCAAGGTGAACTAGTTTGAACTCTGTTCTGAAGGCAATGGGGAAGCATGAGTGATTTTAATCAGAGGATAACATGATCAGAGTTGCATTTTAGAAGTAGTACTTTGGTTGTAATTTTGCAAACTGGAGATGGGGTGACTATTTATTTTGATGGCATGTTAGTCATCCTTAGGAGAAATGACAGTGGCCCATAATAAAGAGGCATCAGTGAGGATACAGAGTAGGTAGATTCTAGAAAAATTTATGAGAGAGAATTTATAGGCATTTGATTGGTATGGAGAGACAAGAAGAAAGCCAGGGATTTTGTCCAGGATTCTGGCTTGGGCACTTGAGTGAATGGTGTAAAACTGAGGGGACGCATAGGATTTACTTACCATTTCATTTGCTTGTTTTTTTGTGTGTGTTTTGTTTTTCTGGGAGGGATGACAGATATAGCTGGTGTATTAGTCCATTTTCACACTGCTGATAGAGACATACCAGAGACTGGGCAATTTACAAAAGAAAGAGGTTTAATTAGACTTACAGTTCCACGTGGCTGGGGAAGGTCTCACAATCATCATGGCAGAGGGTGAAAGACAATTCTTACATGGCAGTGGCAAGAAAGAATGAGGAAGAAGCAAAAGCAGAAACCCCTGATAAACCGATCAGATCTCATGAGACTTATTCACTATCACGAGACTAATGTGGGAAAGACCAACCCTCATGATTCAGTTACCTACCACTGTGTCCCTCCCACAACAGGTGGGAATTCTTCAGATGCAATTCAAGTTGAGACTTGGGTGGGGACACAGCCAAACCATATCAGCTGCGTTCAAGTGAAGAAGGAAAGAAGTACATATTTCAGCTGAAACTCTCTATAAGTAGTTTTGAATCTGTGGTGGTAGAAGGATAGAGTTTTTATTAATAGAAATGAATAGGAAAAAGTGGCTGGTTTTGGAGATAAACCTCTTGTTGAGTATCTTTGACAGTGGAACATGCAAGTAAAGTAGCTTGTAGGCAGTTAGGAGATAGGACTGGGTTTTGTGTGAGGGTTAGGAGGTTATAATGAAAATTTTAAAAACAGCAACATAGGGGATTTTGCTAAAGCCTTCAGGGAGGATGACTTCTCACAGTGAAGGCATGGAGAGAAAGAGGATGGAATGGCTTTAGACAGTTCTCTTTTCCTGAGGAGAGGCCATGTTGGGAAGGAACGTAAAGCTCCAAAGCCGAAAGTCTCAAGAAAGTGAAAGGAAAGTAAGGTAATGTTGGAATGTGGGTGCTAGGAAGTTGGGGGGTGAGAAGGCAGGTAGAGGAGCTTCCACAAAGGGAAAGGTGGCACAAATTGCTGAAGCTTCAGAGAAGTAGAAAATTGATTAAGACCTTCCTTTGGATTTTCCTAGAAGGTGATTATTGATCACCTTTGAGACAACACTATATTTCCTTTTTGTTCTCAATGATTTTGCCGCTCAGTGACCCCTTTCCTGCCCCCATACTTGTCTTTTCTTTTTTATTATTGGCTTCAACATGACTCTCTTTCTGCAACCCCTCAGCTTTCATAAATTAACCCAGAAATTATTTTATAGCCTCCTTTGAGAGAAGCCCTTATTTTCACTTCCGGTGAGACCTTGAAAGTTAATTTACCTAGATGCTATAAGCAGATCAGCAGGCATGACCACATACTGCTTTGTGGCAATTCCATTGATGTCTTTATGTCCAGTTATTTGTATCAAAGCATATGATTATGAAGGAAAAACAAAAAATACAGGGTCTAGGTTAACTCAGCAGTAGCCACATGCAGGATATAAAATATTCTCATCCTGAAAATTCTTGCAAAACAATGTGTCCTGTTTTGTTGCAGTTGAGTATGTACTGATTCTGTACCTTCAGCCTTCATGCAGTAGAACCTGGATGACTTTTGTATGGGAGATACAAAACCCAGAGTCTCACTGAATTTTGTGTATGGATATATAGGTCAGACATCAGTGTACATGACGGTAGTACAAGGGTGAAGGATGATGGAAGGGAAGTTCATTAATAACTGGTAGTAAGTTTTTGTAGCTCAGAAGAAAGAGGGACAAGTAGAAATAATTGGAGTAATATTTAACACTTTAAGGAAGCGATGTGATGTTCAGATAGGCCTTGAAAGATAATCTCTGTAGTGAAGAGGATGACGAAGGGCAGGTAATGACATGATTCTAGAAAGCAGATATCCCACAGCGTGCACAGAGGTTAGAAAACAGGCATCTTTGAGTTGAACACTAGATTAATTAGGGAAGGTTGAAGTTACTGTTGGTAAGATCTGATGAGAGAGCCTAGAATGTCCTTTTAATTCACAAGCAGTTTGGGGGGCATGGCTTGGGAAGTTATGTGGTTAGTGTTTTAAGAAGCTTAGTTAACATGGTGGTGACATACAGGTAAAATTGTAGAAAGGTCTGTCAATAGGATGGACTGAGTTACTGGTTCTCAGCTAAGGGTGACTTTTGCAATCTTGGGGAAATTTTTAGTTGTCACAACTGGGACAGAGAGAGATGAGATAGGCCTATTGGCATCTAGTGCATAGAAGCTAGGAATGCTGCTGAACATCTTATAATACAAGGGACAGCTTCCCACAACAAGAATTATGTGGCCAAAAATGTCCATAGTGTCAAGGTTAAGAAACCCTAGCTAGGTTATGCTATAGTAGCAAACAACCCCAAGTTCTTAATGGTTTGAAACAGTAAAGATTTATTTATTGCTCAGACTCGCTGTACATAACTATACATCATCCACATTCTGGAATCCAAGCTAATGGAGCTACCACTGTCTGGCACATTACTCATACTGTATTGGCCAGGACTTGTTACAGAACCCCTCCTAACCACAGAGAGGACAGAAATTGCAATCCTGTCACATCCCCAGAAAGGGGCAAACTGTAATATTGACTAACAGCATTAGTTACAACCATGGAAGGCTGTCTTGGAGTAGAGGAGTTGTCAGTAAGAGAGAAACCAGTTTCTTGCTGATTGCTGTTAATTCTTCATTCTTTGCCCCTTCAGGAAAGTAAAATCACAGTATATACAGAATGGGATTAGAAAGATGGAGCATAGGCTGGGCACAGTGGCTCACACCTGTAATCCTGGCACTTTGGGAGGCCGAGGTAGGAGGATTGCTTGAAGCCAAGAGTTGAGACCAGCTTGAGAAAAAAAAAAAAATACCCCATCTCTGCAAAAAGTTAAAACAAAAAATTTAGCCAGTTGATTCCATGTCTTTGCTGTTGTGAGCAGTGCTGCAATGAACATAGGCGTGTGCAAACCAACACAGTAACAGAAAACCAAATACCACATGTTCTCACTTGTAAGTGGGAGCTGAATGATGAGAACACACAGACACATAGAGGGGAACAATGCACACTGGGACCTGTTGGAGGGTGGAGGGTGGGAGAAAGGAGAGCATCCAGAAAACAACTAATGGATACTAGACTTAATATGTGGGTGATGAAATAATCTGTACAACAAACCCCCATGACACAAATTTATGTGTATAACAAACCTGCGCATGTACCCCTGAACTTAAAAGTTAAAAAAAATTAACTGGGCACGGTGGCACATGCCTGTAGTCCTGACTACTCGGGAGGCTAAAATGGGAGAATCACGTGAGCCCAAGAGTTTGAGGCTGCAGTGAGCTCTGATCACACCACTGTACTCCAGCCAGGGTGACAGAGAAGAGACACTGTCTCAGGAAGAAAAAAAAAAAAGAGAGAGAAAGATGAAGTGTTGCCACATGATACAGTAACTCTGCTGTTACACTGATTCTAGACCTGAGCTTCCCTACTGTTTTGGGGGAACATTATAGGTGTGTCTGGGTACTGTTCTCCTTAGCTCTTCAGGTAGCTGGAGAGGGCCTGGGGCAGTCTGAGCCTGCAATATGAGCAGGCCCTTCCATTTATCTCTGTGTACCATGCATGCATTATAATTTAATGTGTGCAGTGAGGTAGAAAACCTTGGGAACTCTGCATTAAGCAGTGGGCTGCATTTGTTTAACAATTATAATTAGGACTGAAAATGATCTGTTTTAGAAAACTCTATTGGTAGTATAGAAGGGAGAAACATACTAGAAGACCCACTTGAAAGCTATACTAAGAGTTTAGGTAAGAAAAGATGAAGATTTTGAACGATGACACTCTTGAAAATAAATAGGACAATGTGGAGATAAAGATGGCTTATTTAGAGATGCGGAATTGGATTTAGAACATGTCAAATAGAATTGATTAATAAGAAACTGGAAATGTTGAACTCAGAAAAGGAGGTGCCGGAATCCTGCTCAGTCACACAAGTATTTATGGAGTACTTACTAGGTGCCAGCTGCAACCCTAATAGTACCTGGGAACTCTTTGAGAGAGTTAGAAGTCCTGGGATGTGACCTGGGTGAGTACATTCTTTTTAGGACTGGGAGTAGAACAGTAGCCAGCTTGGCATCATTGTCACCCTTTCTGAATTCTCTTCTGTATCATAAAGGAAAAATTGGAACTATGTTTTTTCAGAATCAGAGACTGACAATGAAAAGCACTCAGAAAAATTTGCAAGTAGAAGAGGAAAAACTATTATCTTTGAAAGACAGTGTAGCATTCAAATGGGTGGAGATCAGACTAGAAGCTTCCAGAGCTTCTTGAGAATTACCATCTCCATGCTGCAGACTGAGACTATCCGATGGCTAGCCTAACTTTTACTCACTCAGCTTTCCAAGGGTTGAATCAGCCTCTAATTCTATATGTTAGAATACACAAAGTGACTTCCTTTTTTCGACTGTAATCATGATTATTTGATATTTTCCTACCATCCTGTACTTTCATCACACTTTAATAATTTGTGTGATTTTATTGTATATTTTTCCTGTTAAACTGTAAGCTGCACGGGATGTGTAATGTCTATTCAGCAGACTGTCCCTAACACCTAACAGGGTCTCTAATCACTTCCTAGATTTGTTGAGTATTGAATGCTAAAGTAGAAAAACAGAAGTAGAAAAGAAGGTATGTAAGGACATTATGATCAACAAATTCAAATGTTCATGAAGTGGTTAAGCAGAAAATGGGCTAGGAATAGCTTTTGAATTTAGTGATTTGGAAGACCGTGGAATTTTATTTAAAAGCGCTGTCAGAAGAGTGGTTGGGGTTGGGATTATAATTACAGGACTTCAGCATAGTCAGTAGTGAAAAATCAGAGCAATTTGTTCAGACTGTACAAATGAATTGGGGGCACAAAAGTAGATTAGCTAGAGCACTCAGGTAAAGACAACATCTTTCTGGAGAAGTGGTCAAATTATAAAGCAAAATAACAACAGCTGATGGAGATGACTGAATGGACAATGCTGGAGGAGATATTAATTGAAACAGCAAATTCTTTCAGCCCACAAATTGTAATGCACTGTAAACACCTTTAGACATTGCTTCCCAAACTGTCATCCTAGAACCAGAGTTAGCTGACAGCTTTCACTGTTTCGTGAAAATATTAGAGATATAAGGGCAATATTGTCAGTTTTCATTTAGGCTAAATGTATTAAGTTTAGATTATGTACTTCCTTCATTTGCTGTTACATTGACTTGCTTTTTTTAATTAAACTATTTGGTAGTGGTTGTTGATGTTGCTGTCCTAAATGCCCCTTTTTGAAAAATAAAAATCCGATAACCTTATTTCAGTTCACCTCATCAATTTTACTTTTTAATCTGCTTCACGAAATGTAAAAGTCCGAGAACACGCTGCTTTTATGTATTTAGAAGGAACAAAAAAGACAAACTGTCTGAATTTTTTGACAGTTTTTGAAATCTGAAATAAGTAGAGTTTATAAATGAAAACCAACATAACATTTCTAGCAAATAATGGGAAGAAAACAATTTTATTTTAGATGAAGATCGACTTTCTAGAAGAAAAAGCATTGTGGACACCGTATCCATTCAGGTGGATATTTTATCCAACAATGTTCCTTCTGATGATGTGGTAAGTTACTGAAAGTTTATGGTAGAGTACTGTCTTGGTAGACATCATTTAAAAGAATTTTTTGCCTTCCACACTTTCGAACAGGAGGAAATACAACTCTAAATTATCCTCAAATCAACTAAATTATTAGTAGAAATTAATCTGATTTAGCTTTGAATTTATTTATAATTTATTTTACTGAACTCATTTCAGCTGTCTGTAAAGATATATAAACCTAACATTATATGTTATGATGTCAGATTTCACATTATAATTTAGTGTAATAAAAGGAACTGTAAAGTATAAGATTTTTTTGCTAAGAAACTTTATACAAAGCCTGTCATTAAATTAGTGGGCCCTCTAGGTCCTACTTATTTTTAAAAATTTAGGAAATGCAAATTACAGAAATAAATAGAACTATACATCCTCATGTGAAGCCAAATGCTGACTACCTTTGAAAAGTTTTAAAACTGCATCTATAAGGGAAAATGTTTTAATTATTTTGGATAGTAAGGATGTTGTTTAAGCTGTGTCAGTGAACTATGTACTCTGTAAGGACTGTGGCTTATTTAAAACATCATAGATTTCATGCTCTCCTCCCGTTTCAAAAAAGCACAAGAGTGTACCCTCCTGACTTATAGGGGAAAAAGCAGCCAGTATTCTCTAGGACTTATTCTACACAAATCACCAGAGAATTTTTTCATAGTCAAGTAAAAATGCCAAAATGCCAGCATGTCAAGTCAACCTCCACCTTGTGGTTTATCCATTGTTTGCCTTCCTAAGTATTTTATTATTTCTCATTGGTACAATATGCATAATTAAAAGAATATCCATATAGGGAAAGGGAAAGGAAGTTAGCTGAATTATGCTTTCTCAAGCCTCCCTCCTACCCCCTTACAATTCCTATTGATTTATTTGTCTTCAGGTACTAAACCTATTTGGTGGCCAGAGTACAGCCAACTGACTTATGTTTTCTATGCCATTCAACTTCCCATTACATAGAAGTTATGTTTTATTAAGAACTTATCAGCACGGCATCAAGAGTAGTTGAAGAAGCACTTAGTGTTCATTTTGAAACTCAACGCATTAAGTCTAAAGTTTCTTACCAGTTTAAGGCTTAATAACAACTTTTCCCAAATTCACCTCTTTCTTCAGAGCTATTTAATTTATACACTCCTTACCAGTAAGAAGAGTATCTTGCTAGTTCTGTCTTTTAATGATTATGAATTTGCCACTATTACCTTTCTAGGGAAGAAATTCATCCAGAGTCTTAGATTATAAACTTAATTTTGTTAAGGGGACACTATGTGTTATTGACTGGTATTTTCACCTTTCTCCTTTTGTTAACTATTCTTACTTCTTTCAAAAATATATAGAGAACACTTGAAACTGTTGGAAAGAGTCAGTCTATTTTGATAAAATCAACTGAAAAAACATTTGCATAAAGACTCAATGTAGGGGAAAGATTCTTGACACAAATCTTACATTAAAAGTCTGTTAATATTTTTATTAACTTTTACAAGATCCTGTTGTTTTTCATTTACTATAAGTCCTAAGTCAAATATGCCTCACACCAAGCATCTGAAAAGTTAAGTACAGTTTAGTGTCACATTTGCTTGAGCACATTTGAGTTTCAGATTCATTTACCATTGTGGAATCTGCTTTTGGATATTAGAGATGTTTGTTCAAATACCAGAAGACAGAATAATACTATCTTCTAGGCTAAAACTAATTAATTACTTTCATATAATGGACAGGAGAAATTCACATCAGATAGATATTTTACCAGTTAATGGTGCAGCAGAATATCAAACTATTTTCTTAAAATGAATCAGATAAGAACATTGCTCATAAAAAATAACTTTTTTGTTTGATCAAAATTATTTATAGTTTTATATGTATAATCCTAGTTTATCCTGAGATGTATTTGCTTTTGCTTTTTAAACTTATAATTTAAAAAAAAAGAGAGAGAGTCAGAAGGTTGTTTAGATGGAGACCATAACAAACTTCTGTTTCCCTAAACTCAAATTGTTACTCTAGTCTATTGAAATACCTGATCCACTTGAGATCTGCCAGTTCTGACATTTGCAATTCCAACCTTGGCCTACTGAGAATCATTTGGTGAACTTTTTCTAAAAGTTGCCATATATAAAAAGATGTATATTATTATTTCTTCTAAATAATGCATTATTTCTTCTAAAAATGTGCTGATGCCATAAAATGTATTATTGATATTTTTATCATAAAGCAGTTGATTTTATACCTTTTACATATCTCAAAGCAAGAGGGAGATTTGAGAGACTCAAGGTAAAAGGTATTTTTAGAGAGTATAAATTGGTGGTTGACTTTAGACGAATGCTTCCCAATGCATATATATGCACACTACACATATATATGCATATATGTGTGTATACACACACATTTTTATAACGATACCTAATTTAAATTAACGTATTCAAGAAGATAAATGACTAAAATAGAACAGAGGCATCTCTGTCTCCTGAGATAAAATTATCAGCTTGACTAATAGAATAAAGCACTATAGGCATGATTTTTTGCTTCCTTATATATGCATAACTGATATGAGTAAAACCTGAAATCACCACACTACTCTTCTCTCTAAAAGCTTATAGTAAGTGCTTGATTATTTAAGGGCATGGGCAGGATGTTATATATATTAAATTTTGAGTATATGTTAAATTTTTTGATATAAAATTAAGTCACTGGTTGACTGTAAAAGATTGTTGTTTTTTCTATTACAAATAACAGATCTTTGTTTTATATCCATCTACTCCTGCCTTTTTTCCCCAAATGCAACTGGAGAAACTTGTGTGTATGCTAGCATCTAGTCAATATTAGTCACACTCTGTGGTGCTAGATGCTATCAAATTACTATATTAGTAGTAGTGACATAGCAACTACTATAATTAGAAAAAGATGAATGGCAGATTTTATGTAGGCCCAAGGGCATTATATAGTCTAGGTTAGTGTTGTAGATCATAGATAAAGCAAAAGTCATAGATTATAAAGGGAATGTTGAAATTCCTTTAGGATGGTGCCTTTGCACCACTTCTCTATAACTCCAACATAACCAGTTTTCCCTCTATAGAGTTGGAACAGATTATAGTTTAGTAGCTCACCAAATAAAGTACGTAGCTTGTATTTACCAGCTATGGTATATAAAAATATGAATCATTAAATGCTAGTATAAAGCAGTTAGTCTTAAAAAAAAAAAAAGATCCACAAAAGGGATGAGTGGGAGATAAGATTGAAGCAAAATTATAGAAAGTTGTATACCAGGCTGAGGGCTTTCTGTGTCACTTCACAGGAAGTAGGTAAACACCGAAATTTAGTCAGTGTCATTATTAGAGTTGTGCTTTCATAAAAAGAATCTCTCAAGTGTGACAAGGCTAAATTAGAAAGAAGAGACTGGAGGTAGAGGCCAGTTAGGAGATCCTTGTAATAATCCACAGTTGATGGAATGAGGATCTAGAGTAGCCAGGCTGGAGGTAACAAAGAGGGACAGGAGGGCAGGAGTACTCTACTTTAAAGTAGAATGAATAGGACCAACAAATGACTTAAAGGGATTTAAAGAAAGGAGACATTAAAAAAAAGAAAAAATGTAGACACTGATGGCATGACTTAGGGGTTCTTTTTTTGTTTGTTTTTTGAGACGGAGTCTTGTTCTGTCACCCAGGCTGGAGTGCAGTGGCGCGATTTCGGCTCACTGCAAGCTCCGCCTCCCGGGTTCACGCCATTCTCCTGCCTCAGCCTCCTGAGTAGCTGGGACTACAGGCGCCTGCCACCATGCCCAGCTAATTTTTTGTATTTTTAGTAGAGACGGGGTTTCACCATGTTTGCCAGGATGGTCTCGATCTCCTGACCTCATGATCCACCCGCCTCCGCCTCCCAAAGTGCTGGGATTACAGGCGTGAGCCACTGTGCCTGGCCGACTTGGGGGTTCTTGATGCTAGGAAGCTGCATCATAATTATCTGAATTAAGGCAAACAGGGACAAAAAGTGAAGAGTTAGTAGGGTAAGGTATTTTAGCTCTTTACTTACCTGAGATTGACAGGTGATAAGTAAAAATTATATGTATCAAGAATGCTGGCCTTCTAACTTCTCCCATGTTCTTTTTCCTCTACTGTAGTTGTGTCTCAAAAGTCAGAAGCTCCTAGCCAGTTCTAAGAACAAAAGCAATTTCTTTTTTTCACTGAAGTACTAGAATGCTTATAAGTACAAATAATTGACCAGCCAGAGCCTAATCTTACATGTCTGCTCCGAATATCTAGAACAAAACAACAGAAGATTCCCAAGTTTAATCTGACTTCAACTAGAACTATGAAGCTCAGTAGCAAAACTGAGGGAGTGGAACTCTTGCTGCTTGATTTCCAGCTAAAGCCTTTGTATTGCAGAGAAGCTAAGGTGCAGAGAATGACGTCTTTTGCTTTCATTAGTCTTGCTGCCTTAGACTTAGCAAAAGAAGCTCATGAGCTAAAATTAGGGATGACCAGATTCCCAGGCAAGTACTCATGTATCGTTTCTTAATTTTTATTCAGAGATACTATAGGAACTGGATATATTATTTATCCTAAGAATGTGCTGATGCCATAAAATGTATTACTGACTTTTATCATAAAGCGGTTGATTTCATACCTTTTTATGTATCTCAAAGCAAGAGAGACTTGAAAGACATAAGTTAAAAGGATAGTTTCAGAGATTATAAATTGGTGGTTAACTTTAGAGAAATACTTCCCAAAGTAGTGGTTCTAACTTTTAAATCATTTAAAATCTTAGTTTTCCTTTTGATTTGTAAACTGTGTGTGGTACCAAAATCATAGAGGCTGTAAAGTACTTAGTTGTTTTTTATCACATGGCTAAAAATGTATTTATGTATAATCTCAGCCTTCACTCTCTCAGAGCATTGTTTACTTACAACACAGTGTTCAGTCAGTGGGACTCAAATCTTCTTGTACATCACAGTACTGGGACTGAGTTCTGTAATTCAAGGGTGGTTTTGTTGCCTAGGGTATGTTAATTATTGCAGTCTAATGCTAATCTATAGACTTGTTTTGGGGAACCACTGCAGTAAGCCATTGTTAGAACCAATGAAAAAGTGGAGATTATTTGGTACTGTGGAGTATAATCACAGCTCACAGCTCAGACCCAACACAAAGAAGAAAACAAATCTGAAAAACTTCTTAGATGACTTGTAACTAGGTAAAGGTGTTATTTATATTGACCCTTTTTAACTCTCGATTTCACTTATCACTTTTCTCTAGGTTAGTAACACTGAAGAAATCACTTTTGAAGCATTGAAGAAAGCAATTGGTGAGATATTTTGCACTTGTTAGTACTACCAATATTTAACTTATCTTTATCTGCTGCTTTTTTCGATGACAGAATACGTAGAGGGGACATTACAAAAATAAACCAAAGAAACTTGTTGGCTTCTATAGACATGTATCATTTATTTAGCTACATGTTTTAGGCTTCAGAATTGTCTTGTCCCTTCAGGGTCATATTCCTGAACAAACAGACACAATTATGGCAGTGATATAAAAGAAGACATTTATTAATTTACTTTCTCACAAACTTTGGCCAGACCATACGTCATCATAAGACCAAGAAAATTCCTTTCCAAATTGTGGTAAATAAATGGAAAAGGCTACAACAACATGGTTCCAAATGACCCCATTCTTATTTCAGTTATTCCACTCAGTACCAAGATTCAATTTAGCAAATATTTTATGTAGTACCTCGTATGTGCAAGAACGTAGTTGTATAAAAGAATCATCCTTCAGGAAGGACTGTGAAGTAGTTCGACTTGTAGGAAGCTCCCATTCCCTTGCCATTTTTTGGTAAGAGAGACAAAGGCATTCTGTGAAAGAGAATCTTGTGATGTGTAGTTTTAACCCTTAGATTTTTTTGGGTTTTTGTGTGTGTGTGCTTTCTAGCCTTAAACAAGACATTTCATGGATGTTAGGCCTTTTTATTTTTTTCTTATAGAAGCCCTGTAAATTGCCCTTAATTTTGGATGATATATCATTAACTCTTAACGGTCATTGACTGGGTTCTGTGAAATTATGTATTCCCTTTAATAAGTCTTTATAAATATTTGTATAGATACCAGTGGAATGGAAGAACAGGAAAAGGAAAAGAGGCGTCTTGTGATAGAGAAATTTCAGAAAGCACCTTTTGAAGAAATAGCAGCACAGTGTGAATCCAAAGTAAGTGAAGAAACGGTGAAGGGCTTGTGGGTGGACTGTTGTTTTGTGGAAACTCTTCCTTGGTGATTAGTTGATAAGTTCCAAGCTTTAGTCAAATCAACGGAACACAGGAAAATATATCAGATAAGGACTGAAACTCTGAAGGCATATCTATGAGACCTAAATAATTTCTTTGTATGATGTAAGCTGATGGAAATAGTGGAACTGTTTTCCCAAATTAAGTATTAGTGATTGTTATTGTTTTGATAGTTTTTTGCAGTGGTTTTCCATGATTTTGCTGCAGGTATTTTGTTTTATGTGTTTGTTGATATGTTTTTAACATTGAGACGAGGAAAGGGAAAAAAAGACAACCCTTACATTAAATTCTAATAGATAAGACAGATCAAACCAAAACTTTAAAGCATTGTGTACTTAATAATTAATCAGCTTAATAGTCACAATTATACTTTGTCTCTTAAGTTACATTGATATTATTATATATAGATACCTAGAAAATAAACCATTCTTAACATTTTTTTCTTTTTTGCAGGCAAATTTGCTTCATGATAGACTTGCCCAAATATTGGAACTCACCATACGGTAAGGGTTTTGTTATCACAATAGCAATAACACACACACACGAATAGAAACTGACAGACCCCTATGAATTTGTGGTTCATTATGTTTAAGTTATCATGTTAAAGTAATGCTTTTCATTTAGGATTAACATAAGATCATATAGGTGATCCTTTGCTTAATAGTGATTCTGTTTTTTAGGCAGAGTCTGATACCCTTTCTTGACTAGTTGTCCTCTAGCTTTTTAGCTTCTTTTTTAGATTATTCATTCCTTCCTGATGATCTCTTAAGTACATCTGGGTAATTTAAAAAAGACCCATATTCTAATATTATGCTTAATTAGGAAATTGCTCATATTGAATCGTTTTGTCCTGCAGAAACTGCATTTTAATATGTCAGCCTCATGGTTCTTTTCAGGGCAGTAATAAGTCTACTTATGCAGATAGCTCATTTGAATTATTGAACTTTCCTTTAGTTTTTGTACATCATATTCATTTGAGTTCTGTTGTGAATTATTATGCTCTTTGATTATCCTATGTCTATACATTAATAAGAAATGTAGCACCTGAAGGAAGGAGAGGCAAACTCTAGGTTCCATCTAAAGAAGGAACTTCCACATAGTCTTACATTGACTTCAGTGTGGAAACCTGCCTTTGTGAGAGGTGGCCAGTAGAGATGTCTATGCTTCTGGAAATTTTTTCTATATCTGGCATATCTTTCATATTTTTAACTTGATTAATTAAGTCTGTTTTTCTTCAACCCTGTATTATATTAATATTAGAGACAGGTAAATGCTCTAGGCCACTTGCTTTTTTGTTTCAGTCTTTTTTCTGCTTTCATAAGCAAGGCACATTTTTGTCATTATATATCTTACTCTAGACATTTCCCTCCCATTCCTGCTATACTCTCTTAAGTTGAGAATCACTCATTTACAAAATTTAAGAACAGAAAATCAGACTAAAATATTCAATATGTGCTAGACAAGGGGTCCCCAACCCTCAGTCCAGAGACCTGTACTGGCCCATGGCCTATTAGGAACCAGGCTCCACAGCAGGAGGTGAGCAGTGGGCAAGTGAACATTATTGTCTGAGCTCCGCTTCCTGTCAGATCAGCGCGGCATTAGATTCTCATAGGAGCAGGAACCCTATTGTGAACTGCTCATGCAAGGGATCTAGGTTGCATGCGCCTTATGGGAATCTAATGCCTGATGATCTGAGGTGGATCAATTTCATCCTGAAATCATCCCCCCAGTCCCCATCCTTGGAAAAACTGTCTTCCACAAAACTGGTCCCTGGTGCCAAAAAGGTCGGCGACTGTTGTGCTAGACTTAGGATTCAATTAAAATTGCTGGGTGTGGGCATTTACTTCTTTGATGACTAAATGTCAAACATTTAATAGTAAATGTCTACTGTGTACTTGATCTTATGCTACATGGTTTATATCTATTATTTCTGCTAATCCTCACCATAGCCCTGAAAGGTAGGTAGACACTATTTTTTTGATTTTTCAGGTGAAGACACCAAGGCTTAGAGAAAAGTAAAATAATTTGCTGAAGGGCATACAGCTAATGAGTGGCAAAGTCAAAATTCAAATCCATAACTGATGTTCTTAAAAGGAATGTTGCTAGAGATCACCATATCACATTTAGTCAAACTAACATAACTATATGAATTTAATATTTTAGAATAAGTATTATAACTAATTCTGTTTCATTGGTACCACAACTACTACTAATACTTACATTCATTGAACAGTTACTACTAATAATTAACATTTTTAAACACCTATGTTGTTCTAAGCACTGTGCTAAATGTATTATTTTATTTAATATCTGCAACAGACTCTAACAAACAGATAGTGATTATTCTCATTTTACATGTTTGTAAACAGACATACATGGAAGTTAGGTAACTTATACAGGGTCACCTATTTAGGAAGCAGTAGCTCTGGAATAGCTTATGGAGAAACTAAATAGACTTTATAGAAATGTGTCTTCAGAGTTTTCAGGTCCTGTCTGGTACATTTTCTCTTGTTAATTTGCCTCACCCTAACCATCAGACAGTGGAAAGAGTTTGTATCCTCCATAAAAGAAACAGAACAACACAATATTATACTTCGCTCCCACTGTTCTTTCATTTACATTTTAACCATACCTGAGTATGGTTAAAAAAAAAAACAAGAAAGGCAAAGAAGCAGTAAAATACAGTGAGAATAAGCAGCCTCACAGATAACCCAGTTATTGGAATTAGTAGAAAAGGCCCTTAGAACACCACACACCCACACCCCCCACCCAGGCCCCACACACACACGTCAAAGAATTTAAAGGACAAGATACATATAGTTTGGAGAGAAATGTGTGTGACATTGCTTATTCTCACGATCGTCTCCTGTTTCTTTGCATTATAATTGCAAATTTTAATGTTCCTCTCATAAGAGTACTAAAACATAACTAACAAGAAGACAAAAATGCAGAAAGGATATAAGATTTGAACCATTTCAGTCAATTTAAGTGGCCTTTAGAAAACACAATGCTAGGCAAATACAGAATATAGATTCTTTTGAAGTGCACATACAACATTCACAAAATAGACAGATGTGGGACTATAGCAAGTGTAAGTAAATGTCAGGAAACTGACATGTTAAGACATCATATTGAGTATGTTCTCTTGCCACAAAAAAAAGTATAATGCATTAACACATATCTAGAAAAAT
Organism: Homo sapiens; assembly: GCF_000001405.40. NCBI lineage: Eukaryota > Metazoa > Chordata > Mammalia > Primates > Hominidae > Homo > Homo sapiens. The sequence goes on from NC_000008.11 coordinate 132,005,974, forward strand.
TTCAAATATCTGGAAATTAAAAGACACCCATACCTCAAAGAAGAAATGACAGGACGAATTAGAAAACATTTTAAACTGAAAATACCTATCAAAGTTTTGTAAGATGAAACTAAAATCGTGCTCAGGAGCAATTTTATATCTTTAGATGCTTTTGCTTGCAAAGAAGAGAGATCTGAAAGCAGTGAATTAATGACTTTTGGTGAGACATTAGAGAAAGAAGAACAACATAAGCTAAACTAAGTATATCAGAAGTCAATGAAACAGAAAATAGGCAAACAATAGAAAATATTAACAAACCTAAAAGTTTGTTCTTTGAAATGGTTGATAAAATTGGTAAACCTCTGGTCAGTGTTAAGGAAGAAAAAGAGAGAAAACACAGATTACCAATATTACAAATAAAAAAGAATTATAGATAATAAAGGAATGTTATACACAATTTTATGACAATAAATTCAACACTTTAGATGAAATGAGCAAAAATTATTGAAAGTCAAAACTAACTAAAATTGACACAAAAAGTAGTAAAACATCCAAATAACCCTATAACTGTTGAAATAGATTTGCAGTTTAAAAGCATCCTACAAGAAAATGCATTTAACTTCACTGCTTACTTTTATCATACATTTAGGTAAGAAATAATACCAGTTTCATACATATTCAGGAAACAAAGGAGGTAGAAACATTTTCTAACTCATGAGGCCAGTATAACTTCAACACTTAAATGAGACAAGGATATTTTAAGAAAAATGAAATTATAGACAAGTACCCCTCCTGAATATAGTCACAGAAATCTTTATCAAAATGTTAGCAAATGTATAAAACTGATGATATGGCCTAAATAAATGGGGTTACTATGAGGAAAGCAAGATCAGTTTTACATTAGAAAATTGATCAGTCAGCAAAATTCACCACATTAACATAGTAAGAAAGCAAAGTTGCATGATCACACCAGTAGGAAAAAAAGCATTTGAAAAAGCTCAATGTTCATTTAAGACAAAAATTATCAGAAAATTTGGAATAGAAGGGAACTTAATCTGATAAAGAGTAATTATAAAAAAATCTATTGCTGATGTTATGTATAATGGTGAAAGTCTGATGCCTTTCACCTAAAACTGGGTCAAGGATGTCTACTCTCACCATGTCAACATTGTATTGAAAGTCTTAGGTAAGTAAAGTGAAAAAAGGAAAAATATAAAGATGAGAAAGGAAGAAATAAAACTATCTTTTCACAGATGACATGGTTGTGTATGTGGAAAATCGTAAGTAATCAAGAAAAAAAACCCTACTAGAGTTAATACATGAATTAAATGAATTTTAGTAAGGTCACAGGATTCAGGGTATTCAAGGTCAGTATTCAAAATTCAGTTGTATATCTATATATTAACAACAAACAATTGCAAGAGTAAATTTTTAAACATAGCATTAAAAAAATTAGCCATAATTTAACAGTATGTAAGATTTCTGTTATGAATATAAAACATGAATGAGAGAAATTAACACCTAAACAAAGGAGAGATATACCATGTTCATGGACTGAAGGATTAAATATTGTTTATATGCTGTTTCTTTCAAGTTGATCTGTAGCTTCAATAAAATCCCAATCAAAACCCCAACAGACTTTTTTGTAAAAACGTATAAATTGATTTTAAAATTCAGATGAAAGTACAAAGGACCTGGAGTAGCTAAACAGTTTTGAAAAGGAAAAATAAAGTTGAAGAATTTACACTGCCTAATTTCAATACTTGATTTATAAAGCCAGAGTAGTCAAGACATTATTGGTATAAGAGTACACAAAGAGATCAAGATAACAGAATGGAGAGTCCTATCAAAAACTTAAGTGATTTTTGATAAAGGAATCAAAACAATTTAATGAGGAAAAGAAAATATTTTCAACAAATGTCCTGGAACAACTAGATAAGCTAAAAGAAAAATACTAATCTCAATCCCTACCTTCCACCAAACACAAACATTAATTATTAAGTTGGGTAATCAATGTCTATGTAAAAGCTAAAATCAAAATTTCTAAAAGAAAACATAGGAAAGAGTCCTCTCAGTCTTAAAATGAGCAAAAAGATTTCTTAGGACACACAAAGTACTAAACAAAATTGGTAAATTGGTCTTCATCCAAATTAAAAACTTACCATTAAAAGACTCCAGTAAGAAAATGAAAAGGCAGACCACAAACTCAGAAAATACAGTATACACAATACCAATATCTGATAAAGAACCCCTACAACTGAAAAATAAAAAGACAATTTTCAGTGGCCAAGACAGTAGTTGTTTTACAAAAGGAATGTTTGAATCGCCAATAAGCATGTGTAAAAGTGTTTAAAATCATTCGTTAACAAGGAAATGCAAATTTAAGATACCATTTTGTGCCCAATAAAATGAGAGAATTGAATATATTCACAGAAAGATATATGTGAATGTTTATGACAGTTTTATTCATAGTTGCCAAATGTCCATTAGCACGAGAACAGACAAATGGTGATAATATAATGAAATACTATTCAGCAATAAAAAGGAACACAATTTTTGGGGTAAATCTGAAAAACATATTAAGTAACAGAAATCAGACATAAAAGAAGACAGTTTGTTGGACTGTTCATAGAGCCTGTATAGACCATTTACGTGAAGTTTAAGAACAAGCACCACTAATCTTCAGTGATGGAGATCAGAACATAGTTGTTGCATGTGGATGTATGTGTATGGGTATGTCAGAGTGGGGAGAAATTGACTGGTTAGGGACATGAAACATTTTGGGGGTGATTGAAAGTGTTCAGTATCTCTTGAACCCAGGAGGTGGAGGTTACAGTGAGCCAAGATCACACAATTGCACTCCAGCCTGGGTGACAAGAGTAAAACTCCATCTCAAAAAAAAAAAAAAAAAAAAAAAAAAAAGAAAGTGTTCATTATCTCTATTGGGCTGTGATTTACATGGGTGTGATTTACATGAGTGTATACATTTGTCAATTTTTGTCAAACAGTACCCTTAAGATCAGTTTATTTCATTCTGTGAAAATTATCCCTTAATAAAAAATTTAAGTGTATTGTAAATACTGGAACAATTGCAAAATTGTTAGTTACCAAAAATAGATATACCAGGAAAATATAAGAAAACCAACTGAATAACTTAACAATTGAGGACAGTTTGCAGTTAAAAATAATTATATGAAATTAATATCTGTGCATTTATTAATTAAAATGAAAACACTCTTAACCATGAGCTAATAAATTCAAAGAAGTATATAAGACTTACATGAAGAAACTATATATCTCTGAAATATGCTTAAGAATATTTATATAAATGGAAACATCTTATTCTTGAATAGGAAGTTAACATAGATGTCAGTTTTCTGTAGATTAAGCTATCATTTTAGTAAGATAATTTTTTTTAAGTATTTGAACAAATGATGCTAAGGTCAATGTGAAAGAATCCACATGCAAGAGCAGTCAGGAAAATGCTGTAGAAAGAAACAAGGGAGTATTTGCCTTGCTTGGTAGAAAAACATATGACAGATCTTTGGTACTTACACCAGATTGGACCTGCATATGGGTAAGTGGAAGAGAGGAAAATTCAAGTATAGAAGGTATCTGTGGTAAAGATAAGATTTCAGATTTTCAAAGAAAAGGGCAACTGTTGAGTTGATCTCATTTGGACAACTGCTGAACACTACTGACCAGCGAGGAAGGGTCGGGGGAAGTTTTCCACTTCACTTCTTTTGCCAAGGTAGACAGCTTCACTCATTGTTTAGAAAAATACATAAAAACACTAGAATTAATACAGGAGTATTTCTTGTAATCTTGATGTAGAGGGAAAGTTTTTCTTAGCATAACTAAAAAACTAAAAATTATAAGGAAATAATTGATTTTTTTTGGTAAGGCTTTTAAGCATTTGGCAACAAAAAAAGTTGAGAATTAAATAATGAATTGGAGGAAAGCATCTGTATCATATGACAAAAGGTTAGTTTCCCAAATTGATAAGAGAAAAATATCTGAGTAGGATTAGAGGCAGTGGACTTAAATAGGCAGTTTACATTTTCAAAGAAATGTAAAATGGATACTACAAAGATACTTACCATTAATAGTAACATAGAATTTAAAAATGAAAATAAGAATGAATTATCTCCTACCTCTCAGATTGGCAAAGCTGTTTTAAAAAGACTGACTATATCTAATATTTGTAACAGTGTAAAAGGCACAGTGAAATGCTGAAAGTGTAAATTGCTGGTATTCCGGCAATATGTATGTACCAAAGTCAACATTTTGAGTACACTTTGATGCAGAAATTCTACTTGTAAGACTATAAACCAAGGTGACAATCAGTCGGAATAAAATTATGTATGTATAAGAACAGACTTTTTAACATTATTTATCATGATGAAAAAATGAAAATGAACCTGCATTTGTTCTCTGGATTAAATCAAGTATGAGATATATATATATATATATATATATATATATATATATATATATAATGAAATACCATTCTGTCATCAAAAAAGATAATATCTGTATACATGAAATAATTTTTTACTAATGAAACAAAGCTCACAAGAATGGGTAGAGTATAATCGCATTTAAAATTGTATATACATATTTTCCAAGGAAAATGTCTGCTTTAGACTTAAAAACAGTTTGACACTACTGCAGTCTGTTTCCCATGCAGCCTTGTAGCTGGCCAGTAACTACAATGGCATTGATCACTGCAATTAAGGAGTCTGACTTTGATATTCGCAGATAGTAGATAGAATACTCGGTGAAATGAACAGCTTGTAAGTACACCTGCTGACAATGTATTTTTGTTCTTTTATAGTCCTCCTCCCAGTCCATCAGGAACACTGACCATTACTTCTGGGCATGCCCAATACCAATCTGTCCCAGTCTATGAGATGAAGTTTCCAGATCTGTGTGTGTACTGATCGGCGCATGAAGACCTCAGGATATGATTTGTAAAGCCTAAAAATTAAGGCCAAGCTGAGCTTTCAGGGTTTACTTAATGTGTATTAACATACTTCTTGAAAATAATGATGGAACATATCTTTAACCAAATGTTTGGCATACCATATTAGAAGTTTTGGAGCTATATATAATTTCGAGTACTTTCAAAGATAGATTTATGCCATGTTAATTTGCTTTGAGGTTCCTGTTGCCTTTTTAAGTTGAACATGTTTTGGTTTCACTTTATTCCACTGTTAAGTAGTATGTTTTAAACTTTTCACAAATGTAATGTTTTTTAAAAAGTAAGCCTTCAGAGGATTGAAACTGTATAAATTGTTTATCTCTTAAACATCTACACAGCCGCTTAGATGTAGAATTTTTGTTGTTGTTTTCTGCAAAGGCAGATACATTTAAATATATTCCTAGTCCTGGGACTGCAAAACTGTTCGGTGGCTTTTTGTCCCCATGCTTTAGATAAGCTGGGATAGGCACCTTGCTATTCAGTTACTATAATAATATGTGATAGGCATTCCTCATCTTCTTCACAATAATAGGACATCTGTTGAATAGCATTCCTCGAATATAACCCTAAAAACGCCATACTTTAAATTGTCTGGTTCTTGTAATATTGTGTTTCCTGCCAAGAGTTTGACCATTCTGCTTGAGAAGTGTAGAGCTTACTCTTGGAGTACCAAACTGTGCAATATTTTTACATCATAAGATGTATTAGTTTACAGGCTGTGCTTTGAAATTATAGTAGTATTTTGCTGTGGCTCCATTAATTAAATGAGATATATATTTAGTGCAGAAAAAAGACATTTAAAACAGCTATTAGTTCACCTGTGAAGAGTCTGTACATTTTGATTTCTATTAAGAGCACATTTATTTACATTTGTATATTATTTTAAATCCTCATAGTCAAAAAATTCTCCAGATGGACTTTTAATTTGTAAGATTTGAACTGTGACTTGTATACATCTGTTTAGAATCAATTATATTTGAAAAGCTGCCTGTGTTTTAACAGTCAAGTGTGCTAAAGTTTGTCAATTTAAGCTGCTTTTGATTTCAGCTACCAAGATCACAGGTGCACTCTACACATAACACTGACAGACCCATAACATTACATACATCTTAGTGAATTCTATCACATGGTAAAATGAACAGCTTTCTTTGTAACTCATAAAATTCTCTTAGGACATTTTTATAAAGTCACCTGTTTATAGTTCTATCTTTTCAGATTCCATTTCTTTTTACATAAAACAGCATACATATCAAAAACTGTAGCCTAGAATACAGTTTAATTTTTGGCTTTTGTTTTTGTTTAAAAAATTGCAGTGAAGAATGGGATGTTTGTGTTTATGGCTATTTGGGCACCTTTAGTAGAAACAGACAAAAGTAAGGAAACGATAATAGGACAAGCATACTTGAAAATTTCTGAATACTTAAACAAAAGCGCAACATCTTGAAAACCAGTCTAGTCATTGAAACCTATGAAATGACACTGAAAGATCCTGGGCTGCTTCTTAAATAAGTAGATCAGCAAGACTTGTTTCAGAGTGACAGTGGAGTCGTTACCGCTGGAGGACTAAAGGGCCCTGTGGCAGCTGTCACTGGAACTTTGCCTCTTGATCAGGAAAAATGCTTCACCAGTCCGTAAAGCCAAGTTGTATTTTTTTAATTGCCCTTTTTTCCTTCTGTATTTTTAAAGAAGGATGTTAATTTTTGACTATATATTTTAAAAAAATCTAAGCAGGGGGACATGCAAAAACAATCATCATCCACTTGGATGTCATTTTATAGATTAACACTGTGTGCTTTTGTATGGAAAAAATATATATAATTTAATAGTATAAAAAATAAAATATATATTCATTTGCACTTACGTGAAACACAAACTTTGCTCTACAAAATTTCGTGTTTCTTAGTGATTTTAAAATGCATGTATTGCATGTAAAGGAAAACCATTACAATTAATGTTTATCACACCTTTATCTTGGTCTTTGTTGATTTGGGTTTTGTTGGGGTTTTTGTTACTGTTTTTAAATTACAGTAGGCTTCTATATATCCTGGATTTCTGAACTGGTCTTGTTGACAAGGATTCCCAAGAAATGGATCTTTTCACTGGCTGACTCTCCCATATCTGCAAGAGATTCTGCAGGAACTGGGTGTGCACACGGTGTTGTAGCCAGTTCAGGTACTGAATATTTAGGATTTGGTGAAGTTCACTGTATTGCTATATTTTTGTAGATAAATAAAACTCAATAAATTGTTAATCATTCTCTTTTTGCTGTATAGAATTGCTTATATCACTCTTTCTTTCATGACATTGGTTAACATTTAAATGTTCCTCCTGTACTTGTGTTGTCTGTGACCGCTTATAGAGTTTTATTGTTATTGGTGTTTACCTGAATACCTATGCGTACACACACACATATTTCCTTAATACTTCTGAACTCATTATCTTTTAGAATAATAATACTACTACACTTTACCAGCAATTAACTTCTCCCTACCCAAAATGTTTTTCTTCCTGTCTGAAAATGGAACTAATTTGTCTTATTCGTGCTTATATCTGTATTAAATGCAATAAAGTTAGTTTTTGAAATGTAAAAATTCACTGTGCAATTCATATGTCAGCAATAAAACATAGATTATTTGTATATAAGTTCATTTTTATAGCTATTGTTACATTTAATTAAATTTATTCAATATTTGCTTAAATTAAAAATGAATTGCTTCTTTTGAGCCCAATAGTTCAAGGCTGCAGTGAGCTAGGATCATGCCACTATACTCCAGTCTGGGTGACAAAGCATGACCCCATCTCAAAAACAAAAACTGAAGAGCTTTAGTAAAAATCAGTATGCCAAGTGAATTCGTTCCCATGTACATTGGAAGTATCAGAATGATAACTGCTAGTCATGACAATGACAAGACGTAGTAAGGTAAAGTTCACAGTGTGTGCTTGTGAAAGTGTAGTTGCCATCTCTGTGTCAGTCTTAATGATTGTCTTTTCAACCTTACCTCCTTGTCCTATAAATTACACAAAGCAGCTCTTAAAAAAAAATATATATATATATATATATGTATATATATATATACACACACACATACTCTCAGTACCCTATCCCCACCTGATTTGCTTATTCTACCACTTACAAAGATGTGCATCATAGCCTAAATGTGGTTCAGGGACCTCCTTTGTTAGGCAACGTAGCATAGCGGTGAGGAGCTCAGGCTGTTGTTCACAAATTCAGCACCACCACTACCTAAGTGACCTTAGGCCAATGACTGAACTTTGATCCGTGAAGTTCTCATCTGTAAAGTGAGCATGGTAAGTTCTGCCCTCCGAGGTTAGCTGTGAGGAGTAAGTGAACCACTTAGAAGAGGTTCCCTGTGCCACGCCTACGTGACACAGAGTAAGCATTCAATAAATGATTAATAATCATCTTTGAGTTCACTACACTGGGACATAGGCAACTGGGCAGTCCTCAGCTCTGCAGTCTTAGGCCAGCCATTCCACATTTCTGAACCTGTTTGCATGGGTACAAAATGAGCACTGTGTTTGCTGTGCTATCCCATATACTTTCCTTCCAACTCTAACTTGCTGTGATCCTGTTACCTGTTCTCTCATCTGATAAAATTATTGATCTCAAGTGCCAAGTTCAAATGAATGAAAAAGCAGAGGCAAGGTGGAACATCAAACTCTGCCTCTTAGTTTTGCTGTATTCAGCCTTTTACCTGTACGTTGAATCAGATGCAGACTCTTACGAAGGCACTGTCTTAGCCTAGGTTTCTCTAAAGCAGAGCCTGAGACAAGGTGTACGTGGAGGTATTACTTTGGGAATTGATCTAACATGGAAGCAGAAAAAGCCGATTAAGAGGATTTCTTGATTGTCTCACTTGAGGTGCCTGGATAACCATTCCACTGGACATTCTAAGGAGTCTCATAAAAATAATCTCAAAACTTCCCAGGGGATGAAAAATTGGGAAAGCATTTATTATTTGGCTTCTGTTCATGGTTGAAGGTGGCCCTGTGGTCATTAACTCTCCCACGTTTTTGGACTGTTTGTGCTTGAGTGCTGAGCTGTTACCCCAAGTTTCCCATACCTCATTCTCAGGGAAGTCCTGTGCCAGAAGGCAGGAAGTACAGCAGTACAGCAAGCAGGCAAGCATTGCCATTCCACTTCCATGAGGCAGTCAGAGTCCGTGTGGAAATTGTTATCACAGCAGGGTCTGAAGGGATATGTGAGGATTAGAGGATGTGAAGTCAAGCAAAAGATGTCCAAGATAGCACCATCTAGTCTGGTAGTTAAGAACAAGGCTAAATCTGGGAGCATTTGGTTTATAATTTCATATGTCCCCCATCTTGCTCACTGGTTTTGGCCATAATACCTTTTGCACCGTTGTATTTGCTGACCCTTTGCTTTTCTTATCCTACCTCACCTGCATAAAGGTTACAGCTGTACACTTGTAGAATTCCTGATTCAAGAGACTTAAGGGCTGAAAGAATCTTAGAGTCAGGTTCATTCAAAGCTTATGTTTGACAGATGAGAACATTGAAATTCAGACTTAAAGCTGACAGTAGTCATTCACCAACTAGCTTTAAACTAGTAAACTTCTGATTATGACATCAACTTTTGTATATCTGAAATTAGAAATACCATTCAATTCCCTAATACCGCAAGAAAATATAAAAAGTAATCATCTCAAATATGATCATTGTAAGTCATCTAAATGAATAAAGAAATTGAAATTAGGGATCCAGCACATTCAACTCAGTGCACAGTAGGCTTCTTTAAAAAAAAATGCTTTACTGAGATATAATTCACGTACCATAAAATTCACATTTTAAAGCGTACAGTTCAGTGACTTTTAATATATTCACAATATGAAACACTGATCACCACTATCTAATCCCAGAACACTTAAATCACTCAAAAAGAAACCGCATACTCCTTACCAGACACACATTTCCCCTTCCCCACCAGGCCTTGGCAACTGCATTTCTCTAGAGACTAATGATGTTGAACATCTTTCCATGTGCTCTTTGGCCATTTGTATATCTTCTTTGGAGAAATATATATTCTGAATCTTTACTTTTTGGGGGGTTGTCTTTTTATGGCTGTAGCCTCTTGTCCCTAGTCTGCACTCTTTCCAATTTTTTATTTTGCTGCCACATACATCTTTCTGAAGTGTAGGAAGCACTACTTAAAATACTTCTCAGACTTTCCTATACACAATAGGACCCAAACTTCCTTGCCCAACATTATAGGGCTTCCATCGTCGTTATAACACCAGCCTTTCTGCTTCCTGAGGAAGTGACTCTAACATGAGTCCTGTTTTGGATGTGTTAAATTTAAGGTGCCTGGGGAGCATCCAAGTAACATATACTAGCATGAGGTTGAATATTCAGGCCTGGAATTCAGAGATTTGGTAGTGATTCAGAAGTCAAAAGCATACTGACAACAATTAAAACTGAAAATGAATGAGCGTGTCCCAAGGAAGAGAGGGTTTGTGACTTGTGAAAAGCTGCTGGCCCCACATAGACACCTGGGAACACATAGCTTTAGAAAGAGGGGCTGCAAAAGGGATCAAGAGAAAGATACCAAGAAGTTATAAGAGCTGCTTGTTCATGTGTTTGCCTGTTCCCTTTTTCAAACTATTAGGATTTGAAATCTAAAAATAGCCTAGAAACCGTATAAACTCAAAGTGGGGGAAAAAGTCTTTCTCTCCATCCATTATTGATGTATACTGTGGGGGGAGAAGTTACCATCAGAATTCTGTAATCTCAGGGAAAGTATCACCTTTAAATTCCCTTTCGGCTCTAGCTTTTTGTAATTCAGTCTACAGTGTAGTGCTATGAAGACTATTTTCACTGAGTCAGACCTGGAATAATCCTTAGAAGTCATCAAATCTAACGCCTTCACTCTGGCCTTCTGGAGCAGAACGGGACTGTCCCCTCCCTCCGCTATGCAGCCAGCAAGACGGGCCCAAGGGAAAAGACATGAAATGAACAGTGATTTAGGAAACTAAGCAGGATAGAAGTTGGTGCTTACTCCAAGACACACAGCGGGGAATGGGACATGGCGGGACTTTTAAGTTCTAGTTCAGTTAAGCACTGTCAGGATCACCTCTTAAAACATAAGTTCACTACTTCTGCTTAACAGTATTTACAGGGAGAACCATTAAAGATTGTTAAGCAGAAGTAGTGAACTTGATGTGTTTTAAAAGAACCAATATGCTCATTTCTTAGCCAGACACTCAAGGCCCTTCACAATCTAAACCTACCCTGCAGATTGTTAAGCATAAACCCTGAATTTTTTATAAGATGGTATTTTTACCAGGGATCTGGGATGCCTGAATCCTGCCTTTACAAGTCAGCCAACCAGGGTGAAATTCTTCATAAGCTGTTAAGATAAAACAAATGTACTTTAGTCCCCCATTATCTGCAGGTGATATATTCCAAGACCCCCAGTGGATGCCTGAGACCGTGGATACTACCAAACTCTATATACCACTATGTTTTTTCCTATCATACATACCTATGATAAAGTTTAATTTATAAATTAGGCACAGTAAGAGACTAACAACAATAAGCTCATAGAAAAATTATAACAATATACTTCTATACACAGAAAATAAGGGTGACGAACACAAGCGCTGCAATATTGCAGCAGTCAATCTGATAACAGTTTCTAAGTGACTAATGGGCATGTAGTGTCTACAGCACAGACATGCTAGGCAAAGGGGTGATTCACATCCTAGGTGGGATGAATTTGGGTGGTGAGAGATTTTGTCACACTACTTAGAAGAGTGCACAGTTTAAAAACTCTGAATTGTTTATTTCTAGAGTTTTCCATTTAATATTTTCAGACCTGAATTGTCCACAGGTAACTAAAACCACAAAAAGCAAAACTGCAGATAAGCGGGGGACTACTGTAAATAGAAAGCAAACTACCACTTTAAGCTGTACCTGACAGACATATTGCAAGACACCCCTTTAAAAAGCTCTCCATATTGGGAGGCCAAGGCGGGTGGATCACAAGATCAGGAGATCGAGACCATCCTGGCTAACACGGTGAAACCCCATCTCTACTAAAAATACAAAAAATTAGCCGGGTGCGGTGGTGGGCGCCTGTAGTCCCAGCTCCTCAGGAGGCTGAGGCAGGAGAATGGCCTGAACCCAGGAGGCGGAGCTTGCAGCGAGCCGAGATCATGCCACTGCACTCTGGCCTGGGCGAAAGAGCGAGACTCCGTCTCAAAAAAAAAAAAAAGCTCTCGCTCTCCATAAAGGCTTTCTAGTCCAAATACCGCTCTCCCTGGCAGGACTTTTCAGGAATCTAGACCTACTTCATTCTCAGTACCTGAGCAGCTGGTTGTTGCTGGTGAGATGTAGACCAAGGGAGGTAGAGCCAGGAGAGTGTACTGATGGGTTGAATTGGGAAGATACAGGAAAATTTTCCGAGGTTTTAGTCCAGATTAAGTTTGATGATTGGCTGTGTTATTCACTAAGGCAGAAAGAGTGGGGCAAGAGCAAGTTCATAGTGGGAAAGGATGCATCAGGCTAGGAATCAACGGGTTTGTTTTGGCCAAGTTAAGTTTCAGATGCTTACAGACTATCAAGCAAATATCCAAGTGACTATTCAAATATGTGAGTTTGGAGTCATGGAAAAGGCCAGCGTTTGTGCCGTAAATATGGAAATCAGCAGGTTACATGAAGAGAGAAGAAGAGAGTACTGATAAAGACTCTCCTTGACCAAGGAGATCAAGTCAGGCTGCTCTGAGCCCTCTTCTCAAGTAGGCCTCAGACTAGGCCTTTGAGAACTTACACTCTCACCACAAACAATTTTGTCCACTCCCCACACTAGGAGGCTTGAGCAAACACTAGTATAGCTCCTAACAGCTCAAGGGCACACCCTTAGGATAAGGACCCCAGCCCCACTTAAGTCCTTGTCTGAGAAAGCTCAATGCTGACAAAATAATTTACTCTTCATTCCAGCGAAAACCTGAGTTTAGGCCCCGACCTCCATTTTCTTAGAGCATTTACTTTACAGAACTAGCAACTATAAATCTTTTCCCTGCCCCTTTGAGATATAAATCTTCTACCACTCAGAAATGGCTCCTCACAGACCTAGGAGCCGTCTCTTTTACAGGCCAACTTTGAGGGACAGAGCTCTCCTGCCTCAGTTCCTGAGGGTGGGTAGGCTCAGGAACTGAGACAGCAGAGCTAGCTCCCTCAACGTTGCTCCAGTTTACAAAAGAGCTATCTCCCACCTTGCTCTCATTTGCAAAACTGCCTCCTGTCCTTAACATATGATAAATTTGTTTTGCCTTCAGATGACCAGCAATTAACAAACACAGATGGCTAATCACGTAGCCCAGTCCCCCTTACATCCTTCGGTACATTTCCTTTAGCATACCCCAGCCAACAAACTATGCTAAGGGGAAACTAAGAAAACAATCGGGTTTACATCTGTAACAGAAAATAAAATACTTAGGAATTATCCAGAGATGTAAAAGACCTATTTAATAAAAATTATGAGACACTGATGAAGGAAACTAAAAAAGAATCAAATAAATGGAGAAACATTCTTCAAGAATTGAAATAATTAATATTATTAAGATGTCCATAATACACAAAGTGATCTACAGATTCAATGCAATCCCTGTGCAAATCCTTATGGCATATTTTTTTTACAGAGATAGAAAAAAACATCCTAAAATTCATATGGAACCACAAAAGATCCTGGATAGCCAAAGCAATCTTGAGAAGAACAAAGCTGGAGGCATCACACTTCCTGGCTACAAAGTATATTACAAAGCTATAATAAACAAGTATGGTGTTGGCATAAAAACAGACACAAACCAGTGGAACAGAATAGAAAGTGGAGAAATAAATGCACAAACTAATGGTCAGCTGATCTTATACCAGAGTACTAAGAACACGCAATGGGGAAAGGAAACAAATGGTGTTTGGAAAACTGGATATACACATTGAAAAAATAAAGAACTTAGGGCCATATCTCACACCATACACAAAAATCAACCCAAAATGAGTTAAAGACTTAGACATAAAACTTGACACTATCCTAGAAGAAAATATATGAAAAACCTTCTTGACATTGATCTTGGCAATAATTTTTTTGGAGATGACCCAAAAACAAAGGCAACAAAAGCAGAAATAATCAAGTGGACTATGTCAAATGAAAAAGTTTCTGCATACCAAAGTAAACAACAGAGTAAAAAGACAACCTACAAAGTGTGAGAAAAAATATATTCTTAAACATTTTGGTTTGTATCCAAAATATATAAGGAATTCATATAACTCAATACTAAAAATACAAATAATCTAGTTTAAAAATTGGCTAAGGAGCTAAATAGACAGTTCTCAAAAGAAGACATTCATATGGCCAACAAAGCATATAAAACAGTGTGCAACATTCATAATCATCAGGGAAATGCAAATCAAAACCACAATGAAATATCACCTCAAATCTGTTATGGTGGTTAGTATCAAATATACAAAAAAGTGTTGGTGATGATGTGTAGAAAAGTGAACTCTTTTATACTTCTGGTGGGAATTTAAATTGGTACAGCCATTATGGAAAACAGTATAGGGATTCCTCAAAATATTAAAAATAGAACTGCTATATGACCCAGCAATCCCACTCCTCTCTATAGATATAGATATAGATAGATATAGATATCCAAAGGCTTTAAAAATAGGCTTCAAAGAGGTATCTGCACTCCTGTGTTCACTGCAGCATTATTCACAATAGTCAACATATGGAAACAACCTAAATATTTTTTGACAGATGAATGATTAAAGAAAATGTGGTGTATATATGCACAATGAAATATTCAGCTACATCCACAAAAAGAAAATCCTGCCATTTGTGACAGCATGGATGGAGCTAGAAGTCATTACGCTGAGTAAATCAAGCCAGACACAGAAAAATTCTGCACAATCTCACTTATATGTAAAATCTAAAATTCTCAAACCTGTAGAAGCAGAGAAGAGGGACTTAAGGGAGGAAAGAATGGTGTGATGTTGGTCAAAGGATACAAAGTCTCAATTGTGCAACATAAGTTCTAGAGATCTAATGTACAGCATGGGGACAGTAATTTACAATATTGTATTGTATACCTGAAAAAAGGCCTCTCACCTTTTGTTATCGCAGAGTTGAGCTGAAGTTGCCCAGAGGTCTCTCCTCTACTGCAATAGTACTGAATAAAATCTGCCTTGCCATTTTAACAAGTGTCTAGTGCAAAATTTTTCTTTTATGATGCCTAGGGCTGAGCCCTAAAGTACACTAACATTTAGAGGGTTGCTAAAGAAAGAGGAATAAGCAAAGAAGACTGAGGGAAAGTAACCAAAAAGGTAGAATGAAAACTAGTAGAATGTGTAGTCATTACTGGTAACAGGAAAATGTTGAAGAAGGAAGGAGTGGTCAGTGTGGAATTATGCTGGAAGGTTAAGATGAGAACAGACGTGTGTCCAATGGTTCAAGCAGCATATGGAGGTCATTTGTGACTTTGACAGGAACAGTTTCTGTTGAATGATGTTATGTGCCTGATTGAAAAGATGACGGGGAATGTAAACATTTTTTGAGAAGTTGTCTTATGAGAACAAATAAATAAATGGGGGGTGATATCTAAAGCAGAATGTAGAGTCAAGGGAGGGATTTTTATAGATGGGAGAATTTAGGCTGTGTTTTTACACAGATTAGAGTGATATAGAAGAGAGAGAGAGATTGATATAGAACAAAGAGGAGATATTTGCAGGAATCAAACCCTAGAGAAGGCAACAGGGCATTGTACTAGATGATAGGTGGAGAATTTGACCTTTGATAAGGAAAAGGAAAACTTACCTCATTGTAACAAGAAGGAAGAGAAAGACTATGCAGGGAATTTTGTAGTTTTGATGGCAGGAAGACGAAGGTATTCCCACTGGAAAGTTTCAATTATCTCAATAGAGTATTAGATGAGATCTAATTAGATGAGTATTAGATGAGAATTGTACTAAACAATTCTCCATGTGTCTCTTGCATTTCTGCATGTCTTGTGAGCTGAGACATTAACTACCTTTATTCTGGACTAACTTTTCAAGGATGCGGTACAGCAAACAGACAGGGAAGGTAGGGATAATGTTTCCCTTTGGCTCCATAGGCAGACATACTTATTTTCCTGTATTATAAAGATAATGTCTCCTTCTGGGATATAAGACAGGCAGTCTTAAAGCCCATTATAAAACATCGAGGTTCCCTAAATTCAGCATTCTCCTGTGTAATTAAAAGCACTGCATGTGTAGGTGTCCCCTGGCCCTCTCTGCACTGCTTCAGGTTTCAGGAAAGCAACATAAATGCTGGGACTCAGGTTACTGTCATTGCTGTAAGTAACAAAGTCCTTTGTCTCTGACCCAAGCATCTCAGGTCTTTGGCCAGCATCCATGAAACACAAACTTGTAAGGTTGTAAGTAAGGTAAAATTTCAAATTCTTCAAAGTTCTTGAGTCATCAATTGAGAGTGAGGGGGAGGCAAGGGGAGTTTGAGGGCAGAAGAGAAGATACCAAACAGTTGTCCTGGAGAGCAGAAGAGTCAACTGGTTAGGAAAAGGCTGAGCATCCATTTGAGGTTTCGTGGTTGTAAACTTGAAGTGAAATGGCTCAGCTCAGTTTCATTTTTTCCCTCCAGTCACATTCAGCTGCCTCTAGTGAAGATGTGGAGAAGGCAGATGGTCATCATACTGTGGGTGACTTAACACAGTGATAGCCACGGTGAGTGGACCCTTAGTCAATTCCTCCTTGATTAAAGGGAGGGAAGAAGGAGCCAGGCAACAATCAATTTATTACTTGCAGCAAATGCCATGGGGCATGCCTCCATCCTTGCCATCTTAGTGCACGCTGGCTGATTGCCAGCTGCTGACACCTGCATTTCTTTGCCTAAAGACTTCTCTGGCCACCAGAGCCCACTTTGCCCCCAACTGTGCAGCAGGCCAGGAGGAAATAGCACCCTCGTCAGGAGCAATGACTGATGGAAGTTTGTCTCCCTCCATCCCTCTCTCTCACTGTCTCTGCTTGTCTCTGCTTGTCTGTCTGTCTGTCTGTCTCTCTCTCTCTGTGTGTGTGTGTGTGTGTGTGTGTGTGTGTGTATTCCACTTTTTTCCTTTGGATGAGATGACTTTGAAATGTGCATCCTATCCTGGCTCCCAAAGTCTTGGATGGCACTTCTAATGGGAAGTGGTCTAGGCCCCCACAGTGGTATTTGGCTTGATAAACCACATTCATTGGCTGCCTTTCCTTTCCTTTCCTATTTCTTCACTCTCCTCACAGTGTCTTCTTCAGTTTCCAAATAAACTATGTGCCCTCAAGTCCTCGTTTAAGGGTCTACTTCTGGGACAACCCAAACTTAGGCTAGTAGTTAAGGTCATGTTGTTGAAAAGATTCCAGTGTGTTGTATTCATAAAAAAAAATATTATCACATGGTTTCCCTAGAAGATAGGGAAGGGTATCAACTGTTGGTTTGGCACCATGATCTTTTGATTACTTAAGGTGTTGCCAACCTTGGGATATTTTCATGCCATGAAAGTCAGCAAACACTGAGCTCTTTAGAAGTTCTGCTTTCCTGTCTGAGGAGAGGGAGAAAAGGAAATATCCTCTCACTACCTGATGTATGGGGGTTGAGAACCACAGATGTGATAGGAACCACAGATGTGACAGGAACCAAAGAGTTTGTGTCCCCATAGAATATTAAGGGCAGTTCTGGTAGAACATTGCCTTTTGCCAGGTACACCATAAAAGCTCAATAACTATTGGGTGGGTGAGTGGATACATGGATGGATGAATGGCATTTAAGTTTTTTTTAATCACCATAATATTAAACTGCCTATGTCAGAATGGGCACCTGCATCCCTGGAACTTCTAACCACTGAGATAAACCCTATTTTTAAAAAATGAAGTCTAGGACCCAGGACTGGGTGATCAGTGATTTCTCGTGGTGGTGGCTGTGACACAGGGCCACTCTCTTAGGCTGCCAAGTGTATTTTTTAGGGCACACACCAGAAAAGCTGCCATCTCAGTCCTCGGCATTGGTGGGTTATTGGTGGCCCACGGGTAATCTCATAAGATTGATAAAATATGCTCTCTTCTTTTTTCTTTTTTTTTTTTTTTTTAAGAAAAGGAGAAGTAGCTTTCAGTGATTAGGAAGTTGAGGTATTTTTTCCTCCATTGTCTCCATCTCACTTTTATAATCTACTCATGAGACAGTATCTAAACATGTCTTAAAAGCAAAACAATCAGAGCATGTTGATTGGAGTATTTATTGAGCTTCCACAGTGCACTAAAGGAGCATGGAGGTACCATGGTGTGCCTTCTCCAAGTGTACATTGGCTTGTGAGGTGACCACAGCTGATGAGGCATGGGCAGGGCTCACGGCCTCTGTTCCCTCCCCGCCTCTGAGTTAAAGGAAGGGAAGAAGGCTCCAAGGGACAGAGGAGGCTGAGAGATAAAGAGCTGAAGGTGGAGCAGGAGCCACGCTACTGAAGGTGTTAGCCATTTTCTCTGGGCATCTATCTTCCATGAAGAGGCCCGATCCCCAAGGGACCCAGTGACTTCCGCAGAAACCTCTTGGCTCTGCCGAGGTCCTCCTGTGGAGGGTCCTCCTCGCTGTCCTCCTCAGAGCTGGAGCCCAGGGTGGGGGCTGCGGGCACAGGGTGCAGGCTGTCTTCACAGGCTGCTGGCTGCCCAGGGCACCCGAGTCTGCTTGGGGACTTGAGGCTTTGGTTAAAGGAGGCAGAGGTCATGCACTCAGCTGCCGTCTGGTCACAGGCACAGAGCAACTTCTCACACAGGCTTTGGCCCCCACCTTAGAAGGAAAGAGCAGAGTAGAAGCCATGAGACCTCTGAGGATGGCACTGGGAGGCCCCACGGCCCTGGCCACCCCTCAGCCCTTCTCCTTCCTCCCCATCTTCCACACACCTTCAGGGTATCCACCTTATATGGCTGGTAATTTTCCAACTTTCTCCTCCTGCTGGGAATGATCCCTCTGCCAGGAATGCTGTCAATGCTCTCAACTGGTGTCTGTCAAGACTAGGCTGGCTTCCCCTCCTCCAGAAAGTTTGCCTGAGCTGCCAGGCTAAGGGAAGTGTCTTTCCTGTGGGCTCCCATGGAATCCCACTTCGTGTTTTTTTCTATCACTGCAGGTTATGTGTTAATCACATTGTATAGTCATTGTCTGTTTATGTATCCATTTTTTACTCCTGGTGTTACAGTAGGTAGATAGGCAGATATGAGCAGGGCAGGATAGGGCCCCAAAGAATATCAGGCAACTGTCAGGTGACTGTCAGGCAATTGTAAGGCAGCTGGCAACAGAGATGAGAAAATTTCCTAACAAACAAGAGATACCTTGAGCTTGTGGGCAACTTCCCAATAAAAACTTAAAATGGCGAGTTTGACTTTCCTCTGGGGACATGTCCAGGCATGCACAGTAAGGGGAAAATTGGCAGCATTTGACCCATCTATTCCCTTCTTCTGAGGGTGCTAGACCAGTAAGGGGAAATTGCCCTAACAGAGTATGCACAAAACTTCAACCAGCAAAGGGTGCCTGTGACCCTTCCTAGATACTGGCAAGTCATTGTGCATGCAGTGATTAGCTAACAGCCTGCCCCGGGGGAGGGATGAAAGGAAAAGATTGAGGGAAAAAGACAGGAAATAGTAAATCTGTAAGAGCCCTGAGCCAACCATCAGGCAGGACACTCAAATCTTTCAAGTTGCCTGCTTGGCCCCTTCCAAGTGTACTTTACTTTGCTTCAGTAAACTCTTTTTTCTGCCTTAGATGTACTTCTGTCTCTTGGCTGAATTCTTTCTCCCAAGAAGAGAAGGATCAAGGACTGCAGAGCCTGTCTGGATTTGCTGCCAGTAGCACTGCTGGACAGAGAACCCTGCTGACAGAGCAGAGTCCAAGCACCTAACTCAAACCTTGAAAAATATTTCCCAAGTTAGTGCTAAGGAAATATGTGTTAGATTTGATGGTTACTTCTTCCTTCTCTGGGCCAGAATTTCCCTATTCATCATTCATATTACCAGATAAAATATAGATGATCAGTTAAATTTGAATTTCAGTTAATACGTTTGAATGTACTTCCATTTAGGACATACTTATACAAAAAAAAGTTCATTGATTATCTGAAATTCAAATTTAACTGGGCATCATGTATTTTTATTTGCTAGATCTGGCAAACCAACCCTATTTTTTTCAATGTATGAGTTGCATGCAGTGGGAGTGGTGTGACTCAAATGAAATAATATCTTTGAAGGTTCTACACATACATAAGTTTCTACAAATATTATCCTTGTTATCTGTGGTTTTCAATGAAGCTAAGGGATTTTTTTGGCATCTAATCCTACTTTGAAATGTTCATCAACCAGATTTTTTCCTATCATATACCACAGAGGCCTTCCAAGCCTCCTAACTTGGTCTCCACGTCAGCCCCAGACATGCCAGTTGCATTTCAGCAGCAGGAAGTGACAAGAAGAGGAGGAAAATGTACCAAGTGTGAGAGCACAGTGGAGACATGCAGAGGTCCTGTTCCCCAGAGCCACTCTGTCCTTCCTCCCTGCATTTGTCTTATGATAGCACAGGCCAGGATTTGAGATGCCCTCATTTCTCATCAACTAATACCTGGCATCTGGTACAGGAGGCTATCCTTAAATCTCACAGAGGGTCAGAACTGGTTTACTGAAGCTGTGAATCAGTTCAATCTTCAGATGCAGTGTTCCTGGATTCTGTGATATTGGAGGAAGGGAGAGCAAGGCTTCAGCCCAGCAGGTGAGACCTCCTGGCATGATTGCATCATGTGACAACTCATGGGCTCTAAACCCTCCCCTGGCTCCTCATCCCCTATAGGAAAAAATGGAAATGCTTCAGTCTTGCAAATGGGTTTCTTGGGCTCATGATCTGGCACCTGTCTGTCTCCTCAACCTCACCTTGCACTACAACTGGGCCTCCCACTTCCACTTTCTGTTCCAGCAATACAGAACCACAGCTCAGTTGTCCCTACACTGCCCAGCATTCCCTAAACACCACCATTTTTCCCTTTTCCCTTTGCTTGGAATATCCATGCCCAGTATGGCCATCTGGGAATGTGGTAAATCTCATCTCACACCTCTCTTGAATTTTTCCCAAATTATCCTGTTCTCACTGCCATACTGTAGACTCAAGTGCCTTTACCCACATTCCCAGGGCCCCTGTGCTAACTGTTAGTACATACTACATGAGATTAGAATAGTTAGTCGCTTGCCTACATCACTTCCGTCCAAGCTGTGAGCAATTTGAGGCAAGGATCATGAAAGTTCATTGTTTTCCTGGTTCCTGGTGAAGGTTTGTTGGTTAAGTGGATAATAGAATGAACGGATGAATGAGTGAATGAATGAGAGAGTGATATGTAAACACAAAGCTCCTGGGATGTGACAGACATACCTGATCGTACAAGGCAAGATAATATGGCAGTCCATGCACTGTGCTGAGGTTGTGTAGAGGAAGAAGAAGGGATGGAAGGTCCAGCCAGTGGGCTGCCCCAGACGAAAATGAAAATGAGAACAAACTCTTATAGGGCCTCTGTGAAATTCTAGGGCAAGTCTTTCCTTTTAAACTGCAAAGCATAAGGGAAATGCATCCACCGATATGAATGAGGAAATGGAGCTGGAGAATGCAGATAAAGTCAATTCTACAGCAAGTCTCCATTTGCTATCAGGGGCCTGCTCATGGGGATTGCAGTTTTCAGAGTGGTCCCTGCCTGAGGCCCTGAAGGGATACAGAGGAGCCTCTGGTTTCTACCATAGAGAGGAGTGGAGCTGCAGGCACGCCTTGCTCTTCAGCCAGGGCCAGTCCCCCATTTTAAAATAGTATTCCTCAAGTCTTCCTTGGGAAAAGGACTCTGTTTCTTAGAAAAAGAAAAAATTTACTTGGAAACTCACTGGTGTGGTGAAGAATCAGCTTTAGTTCTGAAATGATATGGTTTTACAATTCAAATCTCAGTTCTCCCACTTATTTCTAACTGTGTGATCTTGGGCCTCAGTTGCCTTACCTGCTAAATGGGAAGAATAATAGTGCTACCTCGGGATACTGTTTTGAGGATTAATTCTGTTAACATACATTAAGAGCTGAGAATCAGTAAGCTTGGGCTATTTACGTTAGTCCCAGCCTGCTCGTCACCGGCCCTGTGACTTAGGCAGCTCACCCCCTTGACAGTGAATCTCCTCATCAGTGGAAGAGGTATGATAATACGTGCCTCAACATTAAGAAGAGTATTGGTCGGGCATGGTAGCTCATGCCTGTAATCATAGCACTTTGGGAGGCCGAGGTGGGCAGATCACAAGGTCAGGAGATAGAGACCATCCTGGCCAACATGGTGAAACCCCGTCTCTACTAAAAATACAAAAATTAGCTGGACATGGTGGCACATGCCTGTAATCCCAGCTACTTGGGAGGCTGAGGGAGGAGAATCGCTGGAATCAGGGGGTTAGAGGTTGCAGTGAGCCAAGATTGTACCGCTGTACTCCAGCCTGGTGGCCGAGTGAAACACCATCAAGAAAGAAAAAGAAAAAGAAAGAAAGAAAAGAAAGAAAGAAAGAAAGAAAGAAAGAAAGAAAGAAAGGAAGGAAGGAAGGAAGGAAGGAAGGAAGGAAGGAGGGAAGGAGGGAAGGAGGAAGGAAGGAAGGAAGGAAAGAAAGGAAGGAAGGAAGAAAGAAAGAAAGAGAGACAGAAAGAAAGAAAGAGAAAGAAAGAAAGAGAGACAGAAAGAAAGAAAGAAAGAGAAAGAAAGAAAGGAAGGAAGAAAGGAAGAGAGAGATAGAGAGAAAGAAAGAAAGAGAGGAAGAAAGAAGAAGGAAAGAAAGAAAGAAAGAAAGAAAAAGAAAGAAAGAAAGAAAAGGAAAGAAGGAAAGAGGAAGGAAGGAAGGGAAGGAAGGAAAAGAAAGAAAGAAAAGGAAAGAAGGAAAGAGGAAGGAAGGAAGGAAGGGAAGGAAGGAAGGAAAAGAAAGAAAGAAGAAAAGAGTATTAAGTCACAGTTAAGTGCTTGGGAAACCATCCACAAGTCTGAGCTACAGTCACGATGCTGACCTCAATGAAATAATAACTCAATGTGCAACCAACAGCACTTACACTTGGGCGTATGATCCACACACACCACCGGTGACCAAGGAAGCCTCTCAAGCAGGCAGCCCAGCCTTCTCACTTGCTCTAGGCAGCAGTGATGGGACAAGCAGCACCTAAGACCAAGGAAAACCCTTTACTTCTCAGAGCTCCTGGCTTCCCTAGGAACCCCCTCAAGCACAGCCTGCTTCTCCCACATACCCTATAGTAGTGAGGGAAGCCAGTGCCTCCTTTCCAGTGCACACAGGGCTGACTCATATACACACCAAGGGCCGTCGTGTATGGTTATTCGGGTTGTATACTGCACAAAGGCCACGTCTAAGGCGGCATCACTTATATTGTATGCATCTTATTATTTAAAAACATTATTTTTGATTTTTATTGTAACTGTTCATGGCAAAGATAGGTTATTTACATATTTATTTAAACGATTTTCTAACAGATGGAAATAGAGTCTTAAGGAAGGGGTACCCTTTTAAATTTATGCAAAGGTACCATATGGGCTAGCAGTAAGCTTACTCCCTCCAATCTTTGACACAGAGGAGTTAATCTCACATCCACAGTGCACTGTCATTTGTCCCTAGCCTTAAAAAAGAGCAGAGTAACCATCCTGAGCATAAATAAAGAACTGCATCTAGAAAAGTGTCCAGCATAGATCAGGACCTCGTAAATACATGAAAATGAGTCAATGTCTTCTTTGTATATCCACCCATCTTGGCTGATACGGCCTCACAATATCCAGTGTCCCCCCTTGCCAGGTGGACATCCTTAAGAAACTTATGATGACTTCAGCCAATAGGGAGCTACAGTTGCTACCCAAATACTCCCTTTTCAACTTTTCCCTTTCTTTTAATAACTCTCACTTTGTCTGGGAGGCCACAGCTCCAGCAGGGATAAGTCGTAGGCTCTTGTGGCTTTTTTATTGCACCTCTTCTCAACCAATTATCTGCTTATTAACTTTTCCGCATTGCTAGCAATCAGAGGAACAATCCACCTTGTATGCTCACATAGCCACTGGCTAGAGTTCAGCGTCTACCTCCTTCAGCTATTAGCACAAAAGAGACACACAATCTTGTGTGTGTATTTGGCAGGGATGGGTGGGGATGGATACTTGATATAATACTTAAAATCTAAAGTCAGTGAGTGGATCAGAAATCATATATAAATCAAAATACTCATAAAATCACTGAAATTGTCCATCATGTACAGTATATGTGGTCTTGAAAATAAATTCTTATAAAAAAATTATATCAGTTTGACTAACTTTTCCTTAGTGAAGAGTTTTCTCCTGTTGGCCTCAAGTTTTTCAATTTCTTTCTGCAGATATGAAGTAGCCATATCATAACTTACCTGCCCAACTGGTCAAATTTTATATTTTTGTGAAATATGGTCAGTTATCAGGAAACACCTTCAAAATCATCCCCACTTTTTCCCAAGGGGTTCAACAGAATACAGAAACTGCTACTGGCTGTTTCTATCTGTTGCCTTGTCTCATTGAGGGCTATGTACTCAAAAACCTTGACACTATTTAAATTGTCCTCTGTCATGGAGAGCAGCAGGCATGCGGTTGAACCTCAGAATGTAAACATGCTTATGACTGCACAGTGTGACATCACCTTTGCTAGAGTGAAAACTTCTTTAGGGTCCGCTGGTGGGAGGTAAGTTTTGAAGGCTGACTGTGCAACAGAGCCTGGATTTCCTTCACTGAAAATCTCAGAGGTGGATAATGAAGCCGGGATGGCTGACAGGTAGAGGCAGGGGAAAGAAAGTGGATGGGTAAAAAACACAGCCACCCACACATCAAACCTGCAGCTGACATACTCCATATTCCTGCCATTACTGTGTCCTTTGTGTTAGCTATGACAAGCTTTGTCTTTCTGTGTTTCTAAAATTCATCAATAGCTGCTGATTTTGCTTTGGCAACCATACCATCCGAGAAGGACATGTGCCTTTTGAATGCAGGTCTCTCCATTGGCCGTGGACAGGGGCTGTCCCCATGTGCAGTCTTTAAACTTGATCAACGCTACTTTGAGAAAATTCCTCAAACTCAGGTTGAGTGCTCCATGGTTTCCTCTGTTTACCCTACTGTATTTATTATATTGGGTAGTACTTTTGTTTAATTGTCCATCTCTTTCATCAAATAAGCTTCCATTGGGCAAAAATAGTTTGTTTTATGTTGCTTTGTGAAGGTTGAATCATTGTTATATCTCTACCACCTGGCATAGTGGCTGGCACAGAGCAAAAGCTCAAGCGGTATGGGTTTGATGCATATTTAAACGAATGAATACATTAATAAGTGCATGAGGTCAACGAAAATTCTTTCAAGAGTGGTACACATGGAAATTACAGTTATATTTAAAAGGTGTTGAGAAAAGTTATACTTAAAAGGCTAATTTTAATGTGGCCTTCTGCAGGAAAAACCAAGTGGAGACCTCAATTCTACATGTTGGTTATTGCAAATTAGGTGGACTTGGGGTCATTTGAAGGGTATTTGCAGATTGGCCCTCTTGGGGTAGCTGGGCAGTATTTGTCAAAGTACTGAAAGGGCTCTAGGCCCCCAGATCAAAAGATGTGGATCTTTCTGGCTCTGCCTTTTCCAAGGTGAACGACCTCAAACAAGTCAGTCCCTGAGCCTCAGCTGCTCACCAGGAAAGTGGGCCTATGATGCTGTAGAGCCACCTGAGTGAGCTGCTGTGTGCACCAAGCATTTAGTGAGGCCCAAGTTTCAGCCTGGTGTCCAGGAGGGCTGTCACCACCCTCTGGTGCAGACAGCATCAGCACTACTACACCAGAGCTGTCACCGCTGGCTCTCCATACCTGTCTAGGTCATCCCTTGGCTCGCCTCTTCCTTCTTGTCCACAGTAACAGCCATAAGACTCAAATTCCTCCGGGCACCGGGATGTCAGACAAAAGAGCATCTCTCCAAGCTGTGGCATCACCTGCATGTTGTCCCCACTTCCCAGGTGCAGGAAGGTGAATCTGTCACAGGCTGAAAGGAACAGGAATTGTCAGGAGAGCAAGGACTGTCGGGGCAGCTGTCTCAACAGGAAGGCCATGTGAGCCTCCGGGTTGTATGTGGACAACTCTAGTCATGCAAAGGAACCCCATGTCTTACTCGTTGGCTCACCATTCTTCTGGGAAAGCTGTTATGGCTCATCCCCTGCTTGGGATGCATTGTCTTTCGGAGAGCAAGTCTTTTCTCCCTAGGCTTCTAATGCTCTATAAGACTCCTTATTAAATCCCCTTAAGGGATGGAGACTTGTCAGGACCCAAGATGCTGTTTGGGGCCACATCTTATTACTGAGTAGACCTGGCATCCTGGGAGCATCCCAGCTGAACTCTCATGGTTTCTGGTCGCATCAGGTTAGCACACCTGGCTGGGCTTGCCTTTCTCTCCTCTGCCTCTCCGTCTCCCCACTCCCCTCTCTTTCTCTGTCTCTATTTCTCTTCCTTCTATCCTTCCTCCTCTGTCCACAAATCTCAAATGCAGCTTTCTCCATAGCTCTGCTTTGGACATCATGGAAGGCACACCCAGATACTAACAAAGCCCCTCCTCTGTATGCCCAACAGGCCGTGGCCTCCTTGCAGGTGCAGGGGCTTTTTTAAGGCATCAGAGGGAGGAGAGACAAAGGGGGAAGATGTTCAAAACCCAAGTGCTTCATGCTTTCCAATAAAGCACGGTGTGGACGAAGCCAAGCTCTTTCCCTCTGGGCCAGTAAAAGTGGTGGCAGCACAAGGTCAGGGGCTCAGAAGACAGTGGCTCCTCCCCCCAGGCTCAGCCTCCCAGTGGCTGAGTGGCTACAGGCAGCTTACATCTCCTCTGAGCCTCAAGGTGCTCATGCAGTCAGGGGGATGATGTCTTCTCATCACACCCCCATGAGAAGGTCACAGTGTGAAAAGGTGGCCTACGGTGATTGTTCACAGCCTCACCAAAAGATCCCAGCAGCGGAGAGGACAGACACTGCTTCTGCTCACCTTTTTCAGTGGTCTCCTCAGGATCATTTTCAACAGATGACACTGCCAGCCCCAGAGATTTAATGCCAGCAGGGACAAGGGTTACAATTTTAGCTGTAACCCTTGTTGCAACTATCTCTGCAGATCCTGAAAATGAAAAACTTCATGATTCGGATTCAAAAAGTGGCTCAAGGAGAGATTTGCAGATGGACATACGAAAGCCAAATGCAAACAGATAGAACAACATAGTGTTAGGAGAATGTTCCTCAAACTGGGTTTGCAGATGTCCAGGCAGAGTCTTAAGAATTCTACATGAGAATTTCCATATTTTCTATGATAACCTTAACACTGTCGGGAGCCTGTGCTAGACCACCTGGATGACATCCCAGGGATGAGGACTCTGAGGCTCCCAGGCTTGTGTTTGTGTCATGTTTAGTATCACATGCCTGCCCAGTGAAGGGGCATTATGGCGCTCACAGCAAGTGAAGAGGTAAAGAAACTGATGGAGAAATTAAGGCGACTCATGATACACAACAAGGTAGGCAAGCAAAACAACTCCTGGAAGCCCTTATTTCCTTTTTCAAGTGCAGTAACAGCTTCTCTTTATTTACAGAATCCAGTGCAAGTTCCTTCCTGTGGTCTGCAAGGATTGCCTGTGACCTGGTCCTACCTGCCTTGCCATCACATCTCTTACCGCCTGCCTGACACTCTCTCTGGATCTCCCTTTGCTCTGATGTGTCAGTCTCACCTGCCCTCTTAGCTGGAGGCAGCAAAGTCTCCCATGCACAGGCCAAATCTCCAGCCTTCCCAGTACAGGGAAAGAGAACAGCAGCAGGCTCAGCCCCACCAATCTGCTGACCCAGGCTCAGTTCCTGGAGTATTGGGTAAGGTCTGGCATATTTGTGCCCGCTGGATTGCAGTCTTTCCCCAAATCCACCATATTGGTTTGCTTCGTGCATCTGGTCATCTACTTCCTCTTACTCAACTCCATTTCCTATGAGACTAAAGCCCTGTTGTAATCTCAGTCTCCTAGGTTTAACATCCTGCCCAGTTCTCCAATCCCACAAATAGAAGCAAGTTATCTAATTTCTTTCTATCATGTTCTCCACTGCTGGAAACTCACCTAGTCAGTGTAATAGAGTAGAAAGAGTTCATGAGTTAGTGTTAAAGAAATCTGAGTTTGAGTTTTAGCTTAGCTATGTACTAGATACATAACCCTGGGCAAATCACTTCACCTCTCTAAATCTTAATTTCTCCATTTGTAAAATTATATTAATAATACCTCTTTTGGTGTTTGAATAATCCTTCTAGCTAAATGCCTAGCAATTAGGAAATAGTCAGTAGTAGCTATCAGAACTGCTCAGTGAATGAGAAAATAGCCATACATCTAATCCAGGATTAAGACTCTCCAGCTAGAACGTTCTACAAGCCAAAGGAGATCCCAGAGCCCAGTGTCTGCTCTCTGCTGAGTCTGAATAGCCAGTAGCCCTCACCTCTTGAGGAGGAACTTTCTGAATTATTGGTGCTAATCTAATTTGAGATCCCCTCACTCTCTTTAGATCAGGGTGTTTGGTGTTAATCACCCTCCCTGGACCAGCTGCCACATTTGGGGAATAAATGCTTCCGATTCTTGCCCCATCACCTCCCATGCTGACAAGGTCATGGTGCATTTCATTTGGAACCCAGTTGATATCATAAATGTGTCAAGGACAAAGGACATAAATGTGTCATGAACATAGGCAGGTGGAGCCCAGTAGGCTTACCTGGAGGGGACGTAGCCCTAGCAGCTCCCACTCCTTCCTGATCGTGGCCTGCTTCTGTTCCCCAAAGAAGAGAGACAGCATGAGCATCCACCCCAGCCTGTCCCACCTGGGTTTCCAGAGGCTCTTCCCACCCACTGCACACAGGCAGCCATGTGCTCTTCACTCTGCCCCTGGCCCACTTCCCACCATGAGATTTCCTAAGAGAGCTGGTGAGACCAGGGCTGCTGCTGAGCCAAAGGGAACCCCCCAGAAAAACGCTTGCTGGCAAATGCAGCCACAGCTTGTCAGGCTGGAAGCAAGTGAGTTAGTGCAAATACTTTGGGAATGACAGCTTCTTTAGAATTCGGAGAAAAACTAAAAGAAAAGTACATTTTGGAACAGAGGAGCATTGCAGCACAGAGACAGCAGAATTGCGTGGTTGAAGTTGTTTGCTATGTGACTCCAGGAAAACCACTGAGCCTCAGTTTCTCTGTAAACTGAATTTGTTGTTATTGTTATTTGACAGTTATTAAGCTCCTACTACATGCTAGGTATGGCAGCAAGGGCTTCTTATATTAACTTACCACAGCCCCTTGAGTTGGTTCTATGCTCACCCTCATTCAGAGATGAGAAAGGAGACACACAGAAAAGTTAGGTCCCTTTTCCAAGGTCACAGAGCTAGGAGGCGGCTGCAAACCCAAGAAGCCTGGTTGAAGTTGGTATGCTTAACCACTAGGCAGACTATTTCACTTCTGGCTGTGCCACACGAAAAAATGTTAGAGATGGTGACTACTAAGTTCTTTGGAAAGACAGAAACTACCTTAAGTTTAATGTATTCAAAAATCAAGACTATGCTAGTGTTCTATGAAAACCAGGCTTTGAAATTGACTGATATGGACACAAATGCTCCATGAAAGAGGGAGATTCTGGACCATTCTAAACTGGGGCAGATTGTTCTATTCAAAAGCAAAACCTATAGACTCAGAACGAAAGGACTATCAAGCTGAACTACCCTGGGCAAATGACTCTACTTCTCAGAGCTTCTTGTTTGTCTGTAAAATGAGGATAGGCCTCCAAGGACCAGGGAAGACTAATTCAGAGGATGTTTGTAAGGGGCTTGGGAATGATATGCTGGCACATAGGAGGCCCTCAACAAGATCACTGCTCGTTAACCAAAGAACCCATTTACTTACTTATTCATTCTAAGTAATTGGCAAATAATTATCATTGATTTATGCTTATTAATAAAGGATCCATAGTTATTTACAAAAGCAGAGTAAATGGTTAGGTTAACTCTGCTGATGAAATTTTGGCCTAGATATTTTTAGGGAAGACAGTGTTCTCTATGAGCCACTATTTTATAAAGGAAAGAAATAGTCTTACAGCCTAAAGTCTGGGCTTGGAGAACAGCCCAAGTTACTTGCTGAGTGACTTGCAACTTTTATTCTTCCTGAGCCTCAGTTTCCTACATATTCTGTAAAATGGGTATAATAATATTTATTTCAGGTTCCATTAAGAAGTGGTCACAGGACTGAGCACAGATTTTTAGATATTTGAAATATTTCTCCACTGGATTCCAGGCTGTCCTTTTCCAAATTCCCCTCTGCTTACTTTTCTTGGAGAGAGTGATCAGTCTGTCAGCCTCAGTCTCTGCAGCCACTGTGAACAGAAATCACCCGATTTTAATGATCAGTTCAGCTAGGTGCCAAAGCCAAACAGGGGAAACAGATTTGGGGGCTGAGGATGTAAGAGAGGAGGCTTAGGGTAATCCGATCAGGGCATATGGCTGCACAATGGTGTTCACCAAGGTCTCAATTCAGTAGGAAAGGGGCCAGACTAGAGCCAGGCCTGTGTTTAGGCACAAAGACCGGCAAATGCCATCTTCAGGGGTGAAGGGCCATTATTTCCCTGAGGTTTGGAACAGGTCCCTGTGGGAAGGAAGCTTAAGAGAGAGTTTAGAAGGAAAAAGTCTCTAATCGCAGCTTTGCCACTCAGGTCTGTGTCTTAGACAATTCATCTCTGAATCTCGATCACCTGTCTTAAAATGGAGGCTGTAGCAATTATTCCATAGGCGTGTATAAGCATTAAATTAGATTATGTATTTTAAGCAAGCTGCCCAGTATCCAGCCTATGATTTGATAGTGTGTGCTGTTTTTTATAGCCACACCTGGGAGAAGATACTGATCTAGAATCTCCCCATGCTTGCTCTCATTTAATCCTTATGCCACTCTAAAGGATAGGTGTAATCATCCCCTTTCAGGGATTAGTGAATGATAGACTAGCTCTCAGCCTGTTTCATAAATAAAGTTTTATTGGAACACAGTCACTTGCATTAATTTAGGGGTTGTCTGTGCTGCTTTTATGCTACAGTAGCAGAGCTGAGCAACTGTGACAGAGACCCTGTGGCTCACAAAGCCTAAAATATTAACTGAGATAGTTTGGATATGTGTCCCCACCCAAATCTCATGTTGAAATGTAATCCCCAGTGTTGGAGATGGGGCCTGGTGGGAGGTGATTGGATCATGGGGATGGATTTCTCATGAATAGTTTCACACCATCCCTTCGGTGCTGTTCTTGTGATAGTGAGTTCTTGTGAGATCTGGTTGTTTAAACGTGTATAGTCCCTCCCCACTCTCATTGTGTGTCTTTGGGTTCCACACTAGCCCCTTCTGGCTCACCTTCTCCTGAAAGGGCTGTCAGGCTGGTGTCTGTGGGCTCCACAGGAACCACTGGAAAAAGAGAGTTCCCAATAGCAGTGACTCATGCAACACAGTGTCAAAACCAAGCACAGGGTCTCAAAGGAAAACAGGCTGGTTGCTGGCCCAAGGGAGGAAAGGGGCTGAGAAAGGGCTTACTAAGAAGAGCTGTTCATCCTGTCTTAGGAGTCACTTGCCCCTGTTACTCCTCCCAGAGCACGGAGTGCCCTGCAAGATCCCAGCTCAGGAGGGAGCACAGCCACAGCTGGGTTCAGGTTCAGATCCTGGCTGAAGGCAACGAAAGAACTGAAAACCCCAAAGATATCCCAGCTTGAGGAGACCTCTGTTCCAAAGGGAGGCAGGGGGTGTTGAGGATAAAAACAGTGCTGGACTCAGAAGATACATAGAGATATGACATGCACATAAGCACACACCCATACACATGCACTCACGCTCACGCTCATGTACACACATGCACACCCCCACACATGCCCATGCACACATCCATACACACTCATGCATGCACACATACACCTGCTTTCTCTTTAACAAACACCAAACACTGCATGACTAGTTCTGGGAGAGAGACTCCAGCTCCAGGAGAAGGATGCCCTGCCAAGGTGTACCTTGGACTTCTCATCCCCAGATGCCTAAAGGTGTTGGGACTGAGAGATCATGGAAACTGGTGAACAAGGAGTGGCAGGCATAAACCTGACTCCCATTTTTGGCAAGATCTATATTTTAGATTAGGAATCATCACTTGCTTAGTTCAGTGAACAGTTATTAAGCACCTACCCTGTTCTGAAAATAAACATGCGAAAAGCAGCCTCCCCATCAAAAAGCCTCTGTTGGACCCAGGCTGCCCCTTTTGCTGCAGGCGC
This sequence comes from Homo sapiens, assembly GCF_000001405.40. Lineage (NCBI taxonomy): Eukaryota > Metazoa > Chordata > Mammalia > Primates > Hominidae > Homo > Homo sapiens. The sequence continues at coordinate 132,038,337 of NC_000008.11, forward strand.
TGGAGAGTGCGTGGAGAAAGGGGAGGAAGGGAGAGGAGGAGGTAGTGGGTCTGCTCCTGGGAGGCTGTGGCAGCCAGGAGCTTACTTAGTTAGGAGAGACTTCACTCCACCTGAGCACTACGTCTTGTCCCAGTCACACTACATACCAGGGCTCTGACTACAGAGTGAGAAAGGGGAGAGAATGAACTTGGGTTCTACATCCACACTGGATTAAATTCACACTTGTCCACACAGCATGGGGCTGAGTTTGCACTGGGGCCATTTGATGTTGGGCATTTGAATTGGGTTTATCAGAAGTAACACATCTCCTAGCCAGAGAAGGCAGGACCACTTCCAGTGTCACAGTCACTCCAGCTCCAGTGAGGCAGGCCTGGTGGAGGAGGTGTATCCACCGGCTCCCATCAGCATCTGGGCCCTTGTGGTTCAAGAGCCACCAACCCTGGGAGGCCTTACCTCTGGGCAGAAGTGTTGTCAAGTCTTCCTTGATGGTTGTCTCTGAAAAGAAAACACTTTGGAAAGTCTGTTGAGAGCAGTGGGTTTGAGGGAGGGTTTGAAGATGCTGGACTTGGCATCTAGAGACATGAAGCAATAATTGATCCCAAACCAGCTGCTGTCCAGATCCTCAGCCCCACGGCTGATGCAGCCAGGTTCTTCCTACCTGGAGTCTGAGCCAGGCAGAAGGAGGTGTCCAGAAGGTTCAGGGAAGAGTTGAGGCTGGATCGAGCCAAGCACTCTATGGCAGCCTTATCACAGGTACACAGCAGGTGCTCACAGTTGTCCTTGGACTCTGCACACAGCAAGAGCATAGCCAATTGGAAAGATCTCAGCTGGAATCCCAAGAGGTAATGCAAGCTCCAAGACTGAGTTCCTCATCTCCCCTGCCAAAAATCCCACTCCCCTTGCAATCTCCATCTCATTCATGTCAGCTCTTATCTCTTTAGGGGTGTAGACCCAAACGAGGTCCATACCCACTCCTCTTCTCTCACACTTGCACCCAGGGCAGCACTATTGGCTCCACTTTCAACATGGAGTCTGACCACATCTCCACACCTCCACTGTACCACACTGGGCTGAGGCCCTCTTGTCTCGTGCCTGGTCATGGTAGTGGCCTCCTAACTATGCCCCCAGCTTCTACCCTGCTGCTCAATCTACTCTTATCCAGGAGTCAGAACAATCCTTTAGAAATTCAGGTCCAACCATGCCTTTATTCTGTTCAGAACGTCCCAGCGTCTTCCCACCTCAACCTACAAGTCTCACTGTCACCTAGGAAACGTCACATGATTGCTCCCCTGACCCACGACCCCTATTCCTTCTCAGGCCACATCCTCTTCCACTCCCTCCTCATCAACCCATTTGTGTCTCACTGCTCCCTTATTTCTCAACCACAACAGGCCTCTCAGGCCTCAGGGCCAGTCCCTGAGCTGTTCCTCTGTCTGCTTTGCTCTTCTCCCATATATCTGCAAGGATGGCTTCCTGCCCATTCTTTAAGTCATCCTCAACCCTCATCATCTCCAGGAGGCTTTTCTTGACCTTCCCATTTAAAGAGAACCCCCCCTTTCCCTCCACAGGCCTTTCCCCTGATTCATTTTCCTCCACAGCTCTTGTCCCTCTCTAACATACTATACAATTTGTTTTGGATAGCTTCAGTGTCTGACAATGGTGAGGACATTCCAGAAGGTCAGGCTATCCCCAGCACAGAAGATTGTCTTGCATTGGTGTAGGTACACAATACATATACGTTGGGTGGATGAATGAATCATGTTTTCTGGGTTCACTGTGCCTCCCACCTAGTGGTTCACACCCACCTCCTCCCCTCAATTCCTCCTTGATGCTCCATACTCCAGCCAGTCCATGTTATATAGACTTGAGTGTTAAGTCAGATCAGGGTTCAAACCCTGGCTTTGCCCCTTTGCAGCTGTGTGGCTTTGGGCAAGTTATTTAAGCTGCAAACAATGGCCCCTTTCTAAATAGGGTTGTAAGGAAGATCAGAGTTTCTGTGTATAAGCCTACAGCACATAATAAACACACATAAAGTATGGCTGTAATATAGGAACCCCTACATGCTGTGTTCTGTCTTCCCTTCATGCCTTTGCGTATTCTACCTCTGCCAGGGTTGCCTAGAGACATGAAATAAAATTCCTGGAGTCACATAGCAAATAAGGCGGGAACTGAGATTTGAACCTATGTGTTTCTGATTCTTACTGGCAACCACCACCGCACGCCTTATTCACGTATCACTACTTCCACCTCCACGTCCATCTCTGAGTTCTTAACATATGTCGCTCCCTGTGCTAACCATTTCACAAGCATTGTGTAATTTGATTTTCACAACTAATCTCTGAAGTAGGTTTCTCCTCCCCTTTTTGAGGGTCAGAGGAGTTAAATAATTCTGCAATGCTACACAATGTGTAAGTAGCAAACAATTTGCCCTTCCCAAGGTCTCAGGGTTGTACAAGTATAAAATTGTAAATCAGATAACTTGCTGATCAGCTAATATTTCAACTCAAAAACATTTATTGTGCCTCTACTCTGTGAAAGATACAGATGCCATTGATCCAGCCCTCGTGGGGCTCTAAGTGCTGCCAACGATGCTGCCAGTGGTGACGATGATGTGAGAGGATCACAATGCCCTCAGCCTGGTCCAGGCTTGGGATCCCTGGACTGTCATTTCTGGGCCCAGGCCCCTGGGACACCTGGAGATGCTTACCACATATGATCTTCTTGCTGACACAATTGACCTCTGTGCTAAGTTTGGCGGGGTCTTGGAGACAGTCCATCTCAGCGGCCTCCTCATAGCACCTGCGGTGCTGGAAGCAGCAGCTGTAGGAAGGCCGGGAGGAGGCAGGGTGAGAGTGTGGGTTAGAGTGAGGGAGGGCAGGCAGCTCATGATCTTTCTGTGTCTCTGGATGGATCCTGGCAGTGGTCTATTTTAAATATTCAGTGCACTAAAATGAAGTTTTGCATAACAGACATAACATAGGATCTTAATAACTTTTTAGAGTGAGAGCTGATCACAGATGACATTGCCATGTAAAGATGAGTCACCCAACTAGTAGGTAGTGGAATTAAACCCTCTCCTGAGTCCCAAGTCCAGGGGCTTTTCTGTATTTGTGCTCTTGCCAAGGTATCAGCCAGGCCTCCCATGAGCTCACTTTTTTTGGTCTTGCTCACCTGTGGAACTCACTTACCTGTCAGATTCATCCACAGGCAACCCTTCCATCTCAAACCTGCAGGTGCAACCATAGTCTTCAAAGTCTCGGGGGCAGAGACCAGCCACACACTTCATACCATTGACAAACTGGATCAGCACAGGGAAATTGGTGAAGACAGCCTGCAGCCAGGTGAAGTGGGGGCCCAGGCAATCTGTGGGGGTGGGGGGCAGGGCCTGATAAGCACTGGGAACTAGGACTAGGAGGGCGTCCCTGTCCCCTGGACTTCCTATACCTCAGGCTGATGGTGCCTTATCAACCTAGTAAGCACCTACTCTGTAATAAAACTGTTTTAGACTAAGCCATCATCCCTGCTGGTTTTCTACCTAACAACCATTTAAACCTTCTTCCTTACTGACAAAACTAGAAAGTTCTTAAGGAAGGTGAGCCTTCTACCTAAGTTCCTTAGGGTATTTCATAATCACTCTCAGCTGGTCATGGTAATCCCATGTTACCAACTGATTGGTCTATGGCTGTGCATGTGACCCAGATTTGGCCAAAAAACCTTAAGGGAAAGTCTTTAAGTGTCTTCTGAGAAATATTTCTTTTCTTTTCTAGCAACGAATAAAGGCAAGTAGGAAGATCCTTTTGATCTACACCTTTTTTCTACCTTGAATGTGGATGAGGATGTGCTAGCTGGAGCTGCAGCAACCACATTATAATCAGGAGGCCCCAAGTCTAAAGTTGAAAAAACAATATGTTCAGGGTAGCAGTGGAGCAAGATAGACAGAGGCTGCTGGGTCTTTGATACCTGTGTTGAGCTACCACACGCATATTGGTGCCTTCACACCACTTGAGATAATGAAATGTCTTTATTCTTGTTGTTATTTTTTTAAAAAAATCAACTTCTATTATAGATTAAAGGGTACACAGGCAGGTTTGTCACATGGGTAAATTGATACTGAGGCTCGGGGTCCCAACAATCCCCTCACCCAGGCAGCAAGCGCAGTACCCAACCGGGGTTTTTTCAGCCTATGACCGCCTCCCTCCCTCCCTGACTAGTGGTCCCAGCGTTTATTGTTCCCGTCTTTATGTTCACGTGTATTTAATGCTTAGCTCCCATTTATAAGTGAAAATAGGTGGTATTTGTATTTCTGTTCTTGCATTAAGTCACTTAGGATAATGGCCTCAAACTCCCTCCATGCTAAATGCAAATCCAAACCACAACGAGACACCATCTCACACCAGTCAAAATGGTGATTATTAAAAAATCAAAAAACAACAGATGGCGAGGCTGCAAAGAAAAGGGATTGCTTAGACACTGGCTGGTGGGAATGCAAACTAGTTCAGCTACTGTGAAAAGCAATTTGGAGATTTCTCAAATAACCTAAAATAGAACTGCTATTTGACCCAGGAATTCCGCTACTGGAATTTTCCCAAAGGAAAATAATTCATTCTGTCAAAAAGACACATGCATCTGTATGTTCATTGCAGCACCATTCACAATAGCAAAGACATGGAATCAACCTAGGTTCTCATCAACAGCGGATTGGATAAAGAAAATGTGGTACAAATATCTTTATTATTTGAGTCACTATTAGTTCACTGAATGGATCCCAAATGATACGGTGATGACAGTATAAAACTATAAGCCAGTATGGGAAGAAATGTGGTACAGATATTCACAACTTTTGAGCATCCTTTAGGTGTCAGAAGCTGCACTAGGTGCTTTCACTGGCACAGTAATTCAGCCTGGCGGAGTGTGTAATGCATTGGAAAGCATTTGTTTTGTCTGTTGTCCCATAGGCCTCCTGTTAACCCTGTAAGGCAGATGTTTTCTGTCACTGCCAATTCATAGTAAGTAAACTTGCTTTACATTTCACAGTAGTAAACCGAAGGCCAAACACATGCCTAAGGCATCAACCAGGGATAATGATTTGCCCTAAAGTATACAGCAAACAAAATTGGCAAGAAAACCATATCAACAGTTTCCAACTCTAAATCTCGCATTCTCCTCCCCATTCTCTACCTTTCTGACTAGAGGATCCTTGAGTGCTGCATGGGTTACCCCTCACTACTGATTTAACATGCACAGGGTCACAAGACGGAGCTTAAGGGCATCAGGAGTAGTTTGTGAGGACCAGTTCCACCTCATACTATTCACCTCATTCAAACTTCCTTTCCCATGTTTTGTACCCACAAGACCTAATCAGAAAAATAAAGACAGAATTCTATGCTGATTGAAAAAGCAACACTAAGCTTTATGCATGTGTGTATTTATGTAAATATGCATTTTCATTCAGAAACTTACAAGGCACCTGCACTTAGTTATACAAACAGTTTAAGCACAGCCTTATGCCCAGCATGGCCCGACCCAAAAGTAATTCTGAGTGTCTTTGTTCATGTCAATCATATTATAGTCTCTTTTTTTGGTACTTCTAGTAGTTGATGATAGGAACCATCATAGTGTCCTGATAGTCACATAATAGATTTTCAGTTGATAAATGGGATCTTTGACACACTTTGACGTTCTTAAACTTTATATTTACTAGTGAGGGAAGAAAAATAAAACTACTTTGATGTACAGGACTAAGCTCTAGATTCCAAGGAGAGCTCCTCCCTTCTAGCTGGGTGGTCTTGGGCAAGTCACTCAACTCCCTTCGGTTGAGTTTCCTTTTCTATAAAATGGGGATACCATTCCCTTCCTGGAGAGTTGTGAGTCAGGACTAATGAAGTAAGGAATAGGAAGGCACATGGTAGCTCAGTGGCTCACCCTGCAATAAAAGACACCACTACTCTCGTCGGAACTTGGGTCTCCTTGTTGGGAGGTAGCTGTGGAGGCCATGGGAGCTCCGAGGGTTGAGACCAAGGCCCTTGCAATTTCCTTAGATTTGTCCACACATGCTCTGACCTCTGGTGGATAAAAGCAATTTTAGACTTAACTTACCAAAAATTTCAGCCACACTTTCCACATTTTTAAACATCCCACTGAAGAAAGTGATATCTAAGTGTAAGAAAGAAAACAAATGAGAGTCTTGGTTTTTCCTTTTTTTCACTTCCCTGTCCACCCTCTAGGTAAAGTGTACATAAAACCTTTCTTCATTCTCCAAAGAAAAAATTGACCTTGGGCTAAGCTAGCTTTCTACTAACACAGGTTACCATGGAAACCTGATAGAGATGAAATGTGAATTCCATTACTGGGTAGCATTGCACAATGGTACAAATGACCCCTGGGTGGTAAGGTATATCTGGACTGACAGGAATTATGGGTGAACTATAAATACCTGGTAGGAAATCATCATCTTGGGTCTCATTCAGTGTGATGACTCTTATAAACGGTCATCCTACTGGGTGTCCTAGAAATTATACCCACGAGGTCATTACTAGAGATACTGATTCCTATGGAGAATGAAGCTTCTAAGCCGGGGCTGGTCATACAGCTGCTCCACATAAGTCCCATTCTCTTGTACCTGAGTTGTTTGTTATCTGGGATCCCCAGAACTGCTGTGTAGATTGCCGTGAGGGCTACTCTTGCTGAAGAGGAGTGGCTGCCATGGCCTGCTGGCATGCTGTGTTCCTTAGCTTTGATTCTTCTAAATGCCAAGTGTGGCCTGTGAGTCTTAATGTCTAATTAAAGAAGGCCTCCTGGTGGGCATTGCACTTCCTCTAGAAGTTATGCCATTTGGAGGGAGGCCACTTTTCATTTGCATCTGAATGGGACTGATTACTTTGCAAGTATGGACTCACGCATGAATAATTTGGTTGACCCAACTCACTCCTCTGAAAGGTTGGAAATGAATGCTTGATTCAGGGCTGACATCACCAGCGAATTCACTATGCATTATGGTCTTCAGCCATGCCCACCTTCAGGGACCCACCTGAGAAGTGTTTATAAACTATCGCTGAGAAAATTTTCGCTTCCCCGGGAAACAAATATGGATCCTCCTTTTTTACAACCAGAGCAAGCAATATATCATTTATCCCTCTTGGTCTTGCCTTCTTGGAAGCTCAGAGCTCATTCTGAAGCTAAGATACAATTAATATATAACCTTCACGTCAGCCCATTTCCTGCCTTCTCCTGGTTTCCCTTTTCAGCTGACCTTTGTCTTTGACAGAAATTTTTAGACTTTGTCTCAGTTGTGAGAAAAAGGTTGGGCCAGACACCAGGGGAGATTGTTGGGGAGATGCTTTTGAGTCCCACTTCAATCCCTTTACTTACAAATGCCACAGCAGTGAGTGGCTCTAGGGTGTATTCAGAAGGGATCATTTTCTCTGCCAATATCCTAGACAACTTTCTACTCTGCTCCTAAGAAAAGTTCTAAGAATCCTTACTGATATTGTTTGGGAGTCCTGGAGGCAGCTCCTGTGGAAGATGTGGAGTGTCCAGAGGATGGCCTCCTATAAATAAGGAAGAGAAAGTAGGGTAAGCACAAACACTGATACAATTCACTTGCTGGACTAAGGCCAGAAGGCGACAGCCAGACAAACAATGGGAATTCACATAAATTCAATTCCATGCATATTTCCTAGAGCCTGCTATGCACTAGATTTAGGAGGTAGTTCCTGAAGGAAATAAGGGGATGGCTGAGGTAACCCTGATGTCTTATACTGGTAAGCCTTAACAGTGGCATTCTGGTTGGGGATGGAGAGGTTGGGAGACTTATCTTGAAGCCGTCTTTGTGTATGAAGCATCCTGTTTTATTTAGATTGCAGGTTTGTTTTGGACTTTCTTGACATAAAGCATTGGTGGAAAGAGGTAAATACCCCAACCCCCAAGGAGTTTATATAATAATAGAGAATAAGGGTTTTCCCCAGATTATCAGCATCAGAATCACCTGGGATGCAGACTCCGTAAACATTCTGATTTCTGTGCTCTCACTCAAGTTTGATTCAGCCAGTCTGGACTGGGACTCAGAAAGAAGCAATTTTAGCAAGCTCCCCAACTAGTTTTGAAGCTGATGGTCTCGAAACCTCGCCTTGAGAAATGTTACTTAATGGTGTAATAACAATAGTGTCCTAGTACTACCAGTACCCAAATACAACCACCACCTTCAGCCAAGACTTCATCATGCTGGGGGTGTGAAGATGCAGCCTGGGCTAATGGGACAAATATATGGGAGTTGGAATCCCAGGTTCAACACAGATTTGCTCTCTAAAAGTTCAGAGAGCTTATAGACTTGTTCCTGCTCATATTTTTCTTTCCCCAGCAATATAAAGCTTGTAAGTAGTTGGAAATGATCAAAAGGGTTTTGTCTTTCTTCGTCAAGTGGAGAGTTATGGAGTCAGCACTGTCCATCTGACACTGTGTAGAAGCCCCATCAATCTGAAAGTCACAAAGGGCCATCCTTCACAGAAGCATGTTAGACTAAATCTGTTCAGGAAGATGCCCCCAGGTGGTGTCTGAGTTGGCCTTGCTTGGCTTAGAGCAGGTTTCTCAGCTTCACATTATTGACATTTTGGGTTGTGAAATTTTCTGTTGCTAGGGATTGTCCTGTGCATAGATATTTAGCAAGATTGTTCTGTGTTGTATATTTAGCAAGATCCCTGGCCACAGATACCAGCAGGAAACACTTCCATACACACTTTCTTCTGATAAAACTCATTCCCTTGGAGTTTCCACAACGCATAACTGAGAGAGTCACTGAGGCTCGCCAAGTCCTTCCTAGTGGAGACAAAACCACCACTGGTGAGAGGAATAACAACAGTGGGTGCTTGTCCTTGCTACCAGTACCAGGACTGGCACTACCAATATACCATCCCACAAGGTTCCTCAAACTTCAGTCACTAGCATATTGCCTCTACTATTACTTATTAATGCGTATTTTTAAGTCAGCTCACTTTTTTTTTTATTAAAGGAGAATTTGATTTACTTTTCAATTATAAAAAAGTTTGTTTCATCTGGGAGTTACAGTGAGTCTAAATTTGTATGCACATAATAACATTTCTTAATGCAACATTTTAAGCCAACTCACTTTTTTGTTGTTTTATTACAGGGTAGTTTTATTTACTGTCCAATTGTAAAAAGTTTGTTTCATCTGGGAGTTCCAGCGACTCTAAGTTTGTATGCACATAATAGCATGATCCAAAATATATAAAGCTAAATTTGACATAATTGAAAAGACTATTTTAAATCTGTCAGTGGGAGATTTTAAAAAAATAAGCCACATTGCTTCTAAAAAGGTAAGTATTTTTACTTTTAAAGGAAACTTTTATTTGTAAATGGGAAACTATGGTAAAGTGCTGACTAGAAAGAAAAAAATAAGTTATAAAAATTGTAAAACAGTAAACATTTAAAAATTAGAATTATAAAATGGTCATCTATGAATTACCCACTATCATCAATGTACCCTGCTATGGTTTGAATGTATGTGTTCCTCCAAAATTTATATCTTCGTACTTAAACCTCAAGGTGATGGTATTAGAAATCAGGGCCTTTGGGAGGTGATTAGGTCTTGAGGCTTTGCATTCATACATGAGATTAGCATCCTTCTAAAAAGGCTGGAGGGAAATAGCTAGGTCCATTTGCCCTTCCGCACTTCTTTCATTTGAGGACATAGCACTCATCCCTTCTGCCATGTGAAGATAAAACGAGAAGGCCCTCACCAGACACTGAATCATCTGGTGCCTCGATCTGAGACTTTCCTGACTCCAAAACTGTTAGAAGTGAAATTCTGTTCTTTATAAATTACCCAGTCTGTGGGATTTTGTTATAACAGCATGGACAGACTAAGCTAAATTTGACAGAATTGAAAAGAAAAACTTTCAAATATGTCAGTGGGAAAAATTGTTTTAAATAAGCCACCTCGCTTTAAAAAGGGTAAATATATTTTTCTTTTAAAGCAAGCTTTTATTCATAAATGGAAAGCCATTGTAAAGGCCCAGGACCCAGGATCCACAGAAGGAACTGAGAGCAATTTGGGATGGTTGGAGTATGGAGACTAAGGCAGTCATGGTCCCAGCTGCACTAACCCACCGTGGTCCCCCAAATATGCCGCACATTTTCACAGTATTAAGTCCTGCTTTTGCCTCTTTCCCATTTTTCCTGACTGAAAAACCCTTGTCCTCTAATGACTCTATGCAACTTTTACCAAAACCCCCTACACCCTTAGCCACACTCTGCACCTTAGCTGTTTTTCTATCAGCGTCAATAACTATCATCAAGGGAATGGACAGAATGACTGGGGTCCTCGTCCTTTTATCTGGAAAGTCTTAAGGTGACTCTTTTGTCCCCACTCCCCCCTGTTTTACAGGTAAAATATCAGAGGTTTAGAGAGGTGGCACCTGCCACGGCCACAGAGCACAGCAGGAAAGGGAATAAGGATCAGTGTTTGGCCAACTTCGTCACAAGGGATGGCTGAGGCACAGTCTACAAGAGGGCAGCTGCAACCCCCTATGACCCATCTCACCAAAGGGCCTGCCTGCAGGGGGCCTGAGGCTGAGGCACCCACAGGGTGTGTGGGTTGGGAGCCTGCTCTTCCACCTGCTAAAGGTGTCTGTGTCCCCAGAGGTAATTCCATGATGAATTTGCTCCCCAAGATAATTCCATGGTGAAACAATGAGGTTGACGATGAAGGTAATGTCCAACAATGCAACCCATTTGTTAATGAAGAGGGGAAAGGGAACAGTGAACATAAGAAGCTGTTAATGATAATAGTAACAAATAACTGGCTTAACCTTTAAACACGTGTAGCATACCTTCTGATGTTATTTCCTTCTACCTTTACAACACTTTTTTGTGTCAATGTTATCAAGTCTTGCAGACCTATGTTTGTCTCCTACCACTCCAGTACTCCAAACCTTCTGTGATTCTCTAAGATCTCCAGCTTCTTAATGAGTAATCAAGGCTCTTGGGGAAGCAGCCCAGCCTAGTGATCATGGCTGGAAAAAGATCCTGTCCAACTAGCTACCTGCCCGAGGATCTCACGCAATTCAAAACTTGCGTCCTTTATGTTTTCACAGTGGATAAGTGCAGAGTAAAGGGCTCCAGGTCAGGGTGTATGAATGCATAACAGTTATTGTTTAGAAGGATATTAGGGAACAGGAAGGAGTGTTGATCTTATAGCCATGATATCTCCCACCCTTTCATTCTCTGAAGATGTAAAAGTGTGTCTGCTTTAAAGCAGCTTTTTGTTCTCTCAGAACATGGATAGTATTTTGTAAAATGCTCGCAATTAATAGCCTGACATACCTGAGGACTGACAGCCCTTTCCATATAATTTTTAGCTATATAACCTTCTTCACACCTTCCATTCCCAAGTTATTGGTTTGAGGTTGCATTTCTCAGCTTGAGCTCAAGCCAAACCACTTAATGAACAATTACCTGTTGCCATGGCCACGTGACATGGCTGTAATGTATCACAGATGATAACGTCTTCAGCTGCCATCTTTGGACTGCTAAGACGTGTGCCAATTCCATTATTTTGAACTATTTGTATAAATGGATGTGTCATTAGCATTTTCTGTTGCACCATCTCACCTCTACGTGATTCAAATTCACATAAAATATGACTGCATTATAAGGGTTTTTTTGTCCAACAGGCCTGACTTAAAACCTTACCTCTACCATTGTGTCACCCTAACAAGTCACTTAACTCTCAAAGCCTCATTTTTCTGTTGGATAGAATGGAAGTAATAAGCCTTACCTCACTGGATCATTACAGAAGCTTTCTAGGTAAAGGGGTCAACAGGAGCAAAAGCTGAAGGGTCTGGAAGCAGTTGGCTGTGGGGAGGGCAGACTGGCAGGAAAGAAGACTGCAAAGGGAGGAGGATATCAATGATGTGGACCCTGAAGGCCTCAGAGGGGTAAGTTGTGGAAGGTTCTAAGTAGGCACAGTGACGGTGGAGTCATAGGAAGGCACGATCCATGAAGACTTGTTCACTAGGGGTGGGTAACTTTGGAATCTGTCACTCATGTTCTCAGTAACATAAGCCTCTTCCTGGGACATGGGACATGTCCTACCTCTAAGTAAGATCCCAGGGATGTTCATGAAACTCACTGAAACCACCTCTGCCTTAAGGATTCTGAGAGGCTGCAGGGGATGGAAATAGACACTGAACATATCAGGAGACCAGGTTAGAGGCTTCACTTTCCTACATGCCGGCTGTGAGACTTCGGGCACGTGTTCTTTCCTCGTTGAGCCTCACTTTGATCCTCTGTAAAATGAGACAATTGTATCTGCCTGGCAAGATGCTTCCAAACACAAAATGACTCAATGTATACAATATAACTGCATAGGCCGGGCGCGGTGCCCACAACTGTAATCCCAGCACTTTGGGAGGCCGAGGCAGGCAGATCACCTGAGGTTGGGAGTTCAAGACCAGCCTGACCAACATGGAAAAACCCCATCTCTACTAAAAATACGAAATAAACTGGGAGTGGTGGCATGTAATCCCAGCTACTCAGGAGGCTGAGGCAGGAGAATTGCTTGAGCCCAGGAGGCAGAGGTCGCAGTGAGCTGAGATCACGCCATTGCACTCCAACCTGGGCAACAAGAATGAAACTCTGTCTCAAATAATAATAATAATGATAATATAACTGCATAATTCCAGGCTCATGGAAGATCTCAACAGTCTGCATTTGTTTTTCACACTGAAGAAGGGAAAAACAACAGGGTTTAAAGAGATCTAAAGATGATCCTATTCAGCCCCCACTCTAGAGATGAGAAAACTGTTGGATAGAACTTGAAGGCAGAGTAGGAACTGCTATCTGGGATTCCTGAACCCCAGCCAAGTACTCTCACTGTTATCCCTCTTCTGGCTATGCTGTTCACTGCAGCCCTCACACTTGTCCCTACATCCAACTTTATTTTCTCTGTTCTCCTTTTTTGAAGCATCCTTCACTCACCTATCTAACTCCTATCCAATTCCTGCCTTCTCTTTAGCCAAGCTCAAGGACACCTTCTACAATTATTCCTAGGCTAATGAGACCTTCCTTTTTTGAAGCTTTGGCATTTATGTGTATCATGGCACAGAAGAAAAAGCATGGGCTTTAGAGCACAACAAATGTGAATCCACATTCCAGCTCAGTAACTTCTTGGTTTTGTTACCAGGAGCAAAGTTCTATATCTCTCTGACTCCAGTCTTCTCATCTGTAGAATGGGGCTATTTGTGAGTTTATATCACAGGACATTGTGAGATTACATGAAATCTTACCAAGAGATAACATGAAATGACACATGGACTCCTGGCGGTAACATGTGGGAAATGGGGTCCAACTTAAGACCGAGGACTGTAGACCCAAATCTTTGCAGGGATGGGCAGATAATGTAAACAAGTAGCAGTCCAATGCTGGGAAGCAATAGGGAATGGTGGGGACTGTGGAGAACCAGAGAGACCCAAGTTACAGCAAGACAGGCAGTTGTGACTCAGCACCAGGGCTTGAGAAAGGAGTCTCACCATTTTTATTTTTCAAAAATTTTTTTTGAAATGTTAATTTTTTGATAAAATCTTCCAATTTTAAACTCTTGGCTCAAATTTAAAATAAAATGTTTTGTGGCCTAAACAAAACAGGCTGATTGTGGTTTGAAGGTGAAAGGAGGGTGCTTTGCTTTGGGTGTTTGTGAGGCTGCGTGGGACGGCTGGTGCTCCATCTAGGGGCAGGGATGGGAGCTGACCACGCATTTCTCAGGTTCCAGTGCCAGCCATGTATTCCCTTTGCCAGGTTTGCGGAATGGTTCCCATGAACAGGGAATTCCCTCCTGCCTGAGAACTACAGGCTTTGAGGGGACTGTGACCTGTAAAATGTAGACTTTCAGGCAGGGAGGTAGACTTGTGACTTCAGTTCCATTTGAGCCTTTGTCACAAAGCTCATGTACTTGCTCTGGCACATTTTTCACTGGGCATAATTGCCTTGGAAATTAATCAGCGTAATAACCAGCAGCTAAGAATATCTGCGGCCCACTTCAGCAGCAATAGTAAAATTTGCCTGTTCCTTGGCAATTACTATTACTGCACTCTATTCCTTTGTGCAACTGATAATTAAGTTCCTCTTCTGGAGGGTGGGAGATAATCTTATTACCTATAGATGTTAATAAGGTGTGCTTTCTCACCCACACTCACACTTACTTTCAGGATATAGACTCCCACACGTTATTATTAGCAATTAAAATAGTCACCCAGGATGTGAAACTCTTTATCCCCGAGGACTAAGTTAGTTCACTCACAAAGTCCAACAGTGCAGCTTAGGGAGATGCATGGTCAGAGGGAATGTAAGGACAAAACTCACCAGAATGACATTGATTCTGATTCAGTAAGCTTGTTACACACAGAAGGTGATGAGCACCTGTCCTGTTCCAGGAGCAGGACACTGCACTTTGCAGGCATCACCTTGTCTGATCTTCTCCTCAGTATTGCAAGGCACATTCTGTCATTACCATCTTATAGACAATGAAACTGAGACTCTTCGATGAAGCTATAAAGCTTTTTCTCACCCGGTACGTACGGCTTTCCTTGATCTGGCCCCTGCTGCCTCTGCTGAATCATCTCCTACCTTGAACTTCATGCTCCGGAGATACTGAAAAGCTTAGATTTTCTGGACAGCAAACTACTTCTTGCCATCCTGCCTTTGCTTGTACTGCACCCTGGGGCCTGGGATGCCTTCCCCTTGTCTGTTACCCTCGCATTACTGACTCTCACTGACATTTTATGGTTCCATTCAAAGTTCAAGGATCCCTGCCTGACCCCCAATCTGGCCTGGGTCAGGGATGCTGCCCCTGTGCTAGCATAATGTTGCAGACATCCTTCTCTCATTGCACCTGTCACCCCATGTTGCAATGATCTGTTTATGTAACCATTTCCCCCACTAAACTAGGGACTTCAAGGTAAGCACTGTGATGTATGTAATATATTGATATATGTATATACTTACATTATACATATATAACAGAAACCACAAGTTCAATTGATAACTGTTTAATGAAGGACAGAACATCCAATAGTTGAACCACACCATCAAATGGCCAGTGAGTGGTGGCCTGCTAGAATCAGAGAATCTTAGTCTCACAAACTTGAAGCAAACTTAGAATATAACATCTTTAGATAGTGGAATGATAATGTCTATTGGTGCTTTAGAATGGGATTTCATGGTATTATGTATTCTACCGAAAAGATCAACCAGGATTGCACAAAACCCACCTTTTTCCTCAGGTCCCTTCTCAGAGGATCTGGAAGGAAACAAACATGCAGAGGACAAGGGGGAAATGGGAGCCAACACATGGTGGTGTGATGTGGGGGCTGCAGCATGAGCTTCAGTGCAGAGCTCCCAGACAAAGAGAGCATGTGCTTAGGTGGGAGGGCCAAGGGATCTCCCTCTCCTAATGCAAATGTGGCCACCATCCCACTGGCTGACGCCTGCCCTTGGAAGTCACAAGGCAGCTCCGAGTGAGAGTAGAGGAAGCACAGCAGTCACCCTGGCTGTGTTGAGGGAGCCAACATGGAAGCTGCTCCCCGTCCTGCTGGAGGGATAGAGACCCCTGGAGAGACCTCACCATGCACAGAGACCCTCCTCATGGTCAACACTCACAAAGCATTGTCTTGTATCTGACTCAGATTGCTACTGGGGCAGCCATGAGAAGGGACCTTGCGGAGCTCCAACTACAGGAAGCATAACTGACCAAGGGCCTACGGCTGTGCTTGGAAGTCCAAGGCAGGGTTTGCACAGAGGCCTCGTCCCCTTCATGCCTGCTCCTAGCCAATGTCCCAGGGCATGTAGGTATACCACAGTGGGCAAGGCTCCTGGGGCACACAGGACTCCTCCGGCTCCTCTTGGATGACCTTGCCAGCTTACATCCAACTGAAGTCTAGGGCACATTCACCTCCCCTCTGCCCATCTCCTTCACATGCAGAACTTTCTGAAGGTCTCTACCTTTCACAGTTGCCACTCCATGTTTTTCCTCACAGGTGTTTCCTCTACTGCAATCTGCACACTTGATCTAGTTTGGGCTTCTGTTTCTCAGAAGACCCAGATTCAGACACCACTCCCACATCTTTGAGTCAGAAGCCTCAATAACACCTTCCCTGCTACAGTGTCTGGCCCCAGAATTGGCGAATATGTTGGGCAAGCAGTCTTATCTCAGTGGTGGTCACACACTTACCCTTGAAAAAATTGGGGCTGCAGGTCAAGCATGTTCAATTCACATGTAAATGGATACGATTGCACGTAAACTTTCTATGACTGTAATTTTTTGAAAGGTAGGTGTTAACATTGGAGAATAAAATCTCTTGGGATGTACCAAAAATGTTTGTAAACACTTATAATCGTAGAGCATATAATTGTCATTTTTGTCACCACAAGGTAGTTGCAAACTAATAAAAGAGGGAAGAAATAAAGCAAGAAGACAGAGAGGAATATGTTTAACCATCTCAATTTTATAGAAAGATAAGGACATTTAAAAGACACGTGGGAAAGATGGTGGGGGTGGGCCTGTTGAAGGGACAGTATTCAAATGAAGTAATTACATGCTAAGCTGGAACTATGGTGTAAGATATCATTACTCACCGGCATGGGGGATCATCAGCACACTGGTGAGGAGAAACGCAATCATAGCAGGAGAACAAAGGATGGGGCTTAGGCAGCAACTGGAACGGACTCCTGGGAGAGAAGCCAGCAGAATAGGATGGAAGCATTTTCAGAATTCCCATGAAAGAACCCATGGGACCCCCATGTCCTTTCTTGGTCCCACAAGGCATGTGGTAAAAGGAGAAAGCCCTGAAAGGGTGTAGGTCCCAGTTTTGCCACTAACTGACAATGTGCCTCTAAGAAGATTATGTTCCCTCCTTGAGACTCAGTTTACCCATCTGTAAAATGGAAATGTAGCCATGAGCTCCCTGAAGACACAGCCGTGGGCTTCTGTATTTACTGATTGATTCCATGGTCATTTCTTCCAGGCCTGCCTCGTGTCAGGCATCAAAGGATTGAGGATCCAGGAGTGCAAAGTGAGGAGAAAACACTCCTTACCTGAGTTGCTCATAGACTAATGCGGAAGGGAGGCAAGGTAACAAGTGCTGTAGTTTGACTTTTGTTAATTGAATTTTAAATAGCCCGTACTTTATGATATACCCAGCATTCCCAATGCACCTTTGGCATGTAGGTTTTGAACCTTTCAACGATCACTTGACATAGAAATAAATCCGACAACCACATGGTGGCGCTGCATGCTAGCAAACAAAGCTTTTCCGGCAGCATCTCCCTCTTCCTTCCCTTCCTCGGCTTTTGAGTATTTCGAATACTTTGTTGAGGTCCTGAGAGTTCAATAGATACTCCTCGGAGGATGCTTTGGGGGCAAAGGGGAGAAGCGGGCAGAGTCCAGCAACCCTACTGCTTTTCAATTGTAGCTGCCGTCTGCTGAGATCAGCAAATATTTAACTTCAATAAGCCCTTAACGGACTCTAGCCAATCCATTATATGTTTAACAGGGGGACGGGGTGGGAGGCGCAGGGAAAAGACCAGAGGGATTTTAAAATAATATTTGCCCCCTTAGAATATAACTCCATAAATAATGTAAATACGGTTGGTTGTCTTGTGCATATTCTGCTTTTAGAACATGTTTTTGGGACAAAGTATGAATGATAACACATCTTGATCCATACCACCCTAGTGGCACACACAGGGCTGCTGGGTAGGGCTGTACATGTTGTGCACTGCACAAAAGCGCTTGGTCAGGAGGGTCAACTAGATGCTGAAAAAGCCAGAGCTTGACTCTGAAGCTTGTCCTCTGCAGTGTTGCATCAACCCGAAGGAAGGAGCACTTTGTAAAATTTGTTCTCCCAGAGACCAAGACTGCCCCGTATTCTGGTGGTCTTGCATATGTACCCAGGGCCGTGACGGGTCATTCTGCCTGTGAGCAAGGCTTGGTATTAGGGAAAGTGTCCCAGAGGAGAAGACATTGTAGGTTGTACAATCACTACTCTATGGACCTATCCCAGGGTCTAGCACAAGCTCTGGTGGCTGCAAAATAAATGTTTGTTGAATGAATTTTTTTAAAAAGGGTAGAGTGTGAGTTCTTTGAGATTCTTACTCAGCTCAAGAATTCTCTAGTAATCTGGTTACTGTCTCATTGGTGCAACGCTCTGCTTAGAGCCTTTTTTAGCCACACAAATTCCTAAAGCTGGTTAACTTTCAAGGTGAGACAGTCTCCCTCACTGTTTGGTGGAAATTCAGTTCTGAATGATTCCTTCTCAGGCCATGAAACAAGGCTGAAAATTAAGGGGGAGACAAGAGAGGTCTCCAAATGGAAAGTGGTATGCCCTGGAAAGTCTTGTGGTTAGCAGAAGGCACTTCAGAGGAGCCCAGAGACCTCATTGAAATGATACCCACATGAATGGGTCCAACATGAACTTGGACAATGTAGTCACTTTCTGCCACTCAGTATGTCAGGTATTTTATTGTGACCATCACACCATGACAGGTTGCCAGCATGTCTGAACTTGGAGTGGCATTGGGATCTTCCAGTCCAAGCTCCTGTTTTACAGATGAGATCATTGAGGTTTAGAGCCTGGCAAATCATGGCAAGAATGTCCAGCTTCCCAGGTCTCCTGACTCCAAGTCCAGTGTCATCATAATAACAGTACCTATCTGTGAGGCTGTTGTGAAGACTGAAATGAGTTAATCTTTGTGAGGCACATACAACAGCGCCTGACATAGAGAAGTTGCTCAAAAGCATTAAGAATTACAATGATGGCATCTGGCTCGAGGTCAAAGGCTCAATAAGTAGTAGCTGCTACAATGAAGGCCTTTGTGCTGTTCCCTAATCCCCTGTAAGAGTGGAAGGCCCTGTCTGGTGAATGAAGAAGAATGATCAGTTTTGCACAGTGGATCTCTGTTTTTCTTTTGTGACACATGTTTCAGGGGTGCATTCCCCTGGGGAGTTCTGCAGCTCAGATAAGACGGCCTGAAGGTCATGTTCCATTACCTCCTTGAAACATGTTGCTTGAATGCAAATGAGCCAAAATGACTTTATTAGAGACATAATTTTGACTATGCTCTAATTTATTTTTGCAATAAGTTATAAGGAGGTATGATTGGGTGTTCTTCGATAATGGGGAGAGTTTCAGTAGGGGAAGATGAAAAAGTCCTGGAGGTGGACAGTGGCGTGATTGCATATCAATGTGAATGCACTTAATGCTCCTCAGCTGTACACTTAAAAGTGGCTGACATGGTCAATATTATGTATATTTTACCACAACTTTTTAAAAAGTAAGTAATAATCTTCATGACCTTATTCCTTTAAACACAACATTTCATGGATTAGGTCATTCTTTGTGTCAGGTGTTCCACTGAGCATGCCCCACTTGCTGTCTGGTGACAACCCTCCAAGACTTTGGCTATCAAGACGTCTCACTTTCTAGACCAGGAAACTGGGCTCAGAGGGTGAGTCACTTGCCAGGGTGGCCCTTGCCCAGAAGGGGGCGCTCTGGCAATGACCAGACCCAGGTGGGCCAGTCTGACTTGTTCTGGCTCCAATACCCTAAACTGCTAGGCCGGTCCTTTGAGACAAACTAAGCATTCCAGTGATGACTCACTGCGTAACTGTCACAATTATCGGTAGTACTTGCTTGGGAAGACCCTTAGGGTGGCCAGCTTCTTGCTAGGGTGTGGTGAAACACAGCAGGTGACAGCTTCCTTGCTGCGCACAAAGAAGGAAAGTCAGTGCCAGCTAGAAGGTGCCAGTTAGAAGCACGTGGTCAGCCCTGGGCAACAGTGAGGATGACCCGAATCTGGGGTACGTGCACATTAGGGTACGTGGGTGGGATGGTGTGGGGCTGCTTCTGAAATCCAGTATCCTCCTGTTGGCCAAGTCAGGCGCCCTTGGCTGTGGGGCTGTGTCTACCTGGAGGAAAGACCTCCTTCTCCTAATTTGCCCAAGGAAGTCTCTGGGGCTGTCGTGGCCTCATGGGTCAGTGCTGTCCTTGTGGGCCTGAGAAGGCTCCCGAAGCCTCGCCTTGGTCTGCATGCCAGGTTTGGAGTCCCGGCTCCCCTAGCTGTCTCCCAATGGCCGGTCTCATGGCTGCATAGCCAGTGTCTGAGCCCAAGGCCTTGCTGGTCGGACAGACCTGGGCTGGGGTCAGGGAGTTCAGGCTCTGCCTTTTGCTTGTCGAGTGCCCTGAGCCAGGCACTGAAGATGCCTGGAACTCATTTTCCTGGGCAGCGAAATGCATATAATGGTGTTTTTTCATCAGGGAATCATGAGGGTTAAATCTGATGAGTCTTATAAAGGTAGAACACCATCTCCGGCACTTGCTCAGTGCTCAGTGAGGACTGCCCATAATTAATGCTGATTGTGTTTCCACACCAGGTGCCGTGGGCGGGGTCATTGCCCAGGGCTATGTAGGATCCTCACTAATGTGAAGTGGTGGATTTTTCCCCCGGGTAAATTTGCCAGGTGCTCTCTGTCTGGCATTGCATCTTTTCACAGATCGACTCAGAGCAATTTGGGTTTTCAGCTATATCCTGGAGCAACATCCAGGTCTCAGACAGCCCTGAGAGCATCCCCTACCACCTTATCCTCCATTCATTTATCTCCTCATTTCCCCTCCATTCTTCTCTCCCTTCCTCCCTCTTTCCCTCTCTCCCTCCCTCCCTTCTACCCTCTCTTTCTCCCTCCTTTTCTTCCTTCATCAATTTCTCCTACTTTTCTTCCCTCCCCTCCTTCCTCCTACCCTTTCTGCCTCTTTCCATCTCCCAACCATTTCCCTCCCTCCCTCACTCTTTTCCTCCATCCCTCCCTCTCCCCCTCCTTCTCTTTCTCCCTCCCTTCTTCTCTTCTCCCATTCATTTCCCTCCTTTACTTGCTGTCTTCCTCCCTCCCTCCCTCCCCTGCTCTCTGTCTCCCCAACCATCAGGAATAACAGATGCCTACCGTGAAGGCTCCACTGGAGTGCAGCTGGATGAATGATGCTAGGGTTTGAACAGGTGCAGACTGAGTCCTTTATACCCCAAGGAAAGACCCTTAGCCATGTGATGCCTCTCCCCACTCCTCACATCAAGAAGGAAGCCTTTCATGAATGTTGGCAGGTGGGCTGCCTCTGAAGGGAGGAGGCATCATAATACTATAGCTTGGAACAGGTGAAGGCTCCATATTAAGAAGCCCCATCTTGAGCCTCAGAGGAGACCTCAGGCTCTAATTAGAGAACAATGGGTTCCCTGTTCTACCCCACCTCACCTCAAAGGCTAGGAGGCCCATGGATTATGTCTCAGGGTCATCATGGGAACTCTCGGGGGATGAAAGACTGATGAAAGTCATGTGGGCTCTCCTGCAAGATAAAGGGCTGGCTTTGTCTGGTCTAGTTCATTCTTTAGCAAGAGGATTTCTAGCGTGATTCTTCTTATATGTTCTTGGCCTCAGATCTCGGAATTTGATGCCTCTTTCCTTTAGGGCTTTTCTGCCCAAGCTGTGGGGTAGGGTGAGGTGGGGCTTTATAATCAGACACCCAAGGTTCCTCTGCCAGCCCTGCTACTGAGTAGCAGTGTGACCTTGAGTTTGTCACTGCTCAGCTTTAGCTTCCACATCTGTTAAATGGGCTTAATCCTACTAAGATTTCGAGGCTGAAGAAAGCCATATATAGTGTGTGGTATGGGGGCTCATTAAGTCCTAGTTCTTTTTGTCACTTCCTCATATCGCCTTGTGAAGGGTTTTCTTTCCTGATTTTGAAAGGAGAACTGGCATTTATTGAGTACGTGTAATGTACCACAAGTGTTTTATAGGATTTTGCCCTCATCATCCCTGCAGCAGCCCTTCCATTACTGCTTTCATAATCCTAGGAGCAAGGATTAATTAGCTCCACTTTACAGATGAGAAAAAATGGTGTCGTTGAGGTTGAGGCATTGTAGAAGCTCACGTGTAATGGAAGCATTCTGGAATGCAGGTTAGCCTGGCTGTGAACCCTCTGAGTTGCTCACTCTATGGCCACCTCCTGAAGAAGCAGGACTCCTCAAACGATTAAATCAGGGCACAATTGAGCCTCTATGGAAGAACCCATTGAAGGGCTTCTTCAAATAAGTAATTACTCTCATTCATTGAGGCTTGTGTTTGTAGATCATTAACTATTGTTCAGCATCTCATGTGATTTGAGGAATGAAGATGCATTGTCTGTAATATTTTCTCATTAGCACCAAAGACCCACCATCTCTAAAATGACTAAGCCCGTGGGCATCTATGGCTCAGTGCAGCAAAATCCATCTTTTCAGCATCTCAAGAGCATAGCTGAGATTGTTATTATGCTCAAGAGCATAACTGAGATTGTTATTATGCCTGAGCAATACAAAGGCATAACAATCTACATAGGTATCTTGTTCGAGACATTTCATGGGGTTTTGAGAAGGATCATTTTTTCCCATAGCTTACAACAGAGTATCTTAATCTTAGCACTGTTGACATTTGGGCCAAATTATTCTTTTTTTGTAGGAGTTGTCCCGAGCATTGCAATATCGCAGGTCTCTACTCAGCTGATGCCAGTAGCACTCCCTACCTTGTTGTGACAACCAAAAATGTCTCCAAACATTGCCAAGTGTCCCCTGGGGGCCAAATCACCCCTGATTGAAAACCACTGGCCTTCAATATCCCTGGAACCTTGGCCTTTTACCATTCTGTTGGTGGAATAAAGTGAGAGTGAAGTTTTCACAAGAACCCAGACATAAGAGGATAAAGTCTGTTCTAAATGAGAGTTTAAAATTTTAGATTTAATTATGACAGCACCTAAATGTCTCGTTCACACAAACCCACAGCACTAGTGCACCTGTGCAGAAATAGGGAGCCACACGCACACACACACAAACACTTAGAACCATGCACTGGGGCCAAGAAACAAACACAATCTTTCTCCTCTCTCCCCCTTCTCCTCCCCCTTTCCCTCTCCTCTTTCCCTTCCCCTCCTTCCTTTCCCTCTCCCTCATCTTCTCCCTCTCCCTTCCTCCTTCTCTCTGTCCCTCTCTTTCTTTCTCTTGACAACTTAGCTGGTCTTCTGGGCATGAATGAAATAAACAGAAATGTGCCTGCACCTTTGCTACCTGGAAGAATGAAGTTTAATGACGTTACGCATGTAACTGCACAATCTCCTTCATCAGAACAGATACAGTCACTGTCCCATCTCTTTCACCTCATCTGCTAACCACTGGTGGCCACATACATACACACTAATTAGTAGGAGTTCCAGATCAGTAGCACCCCCTGAGGCTTTCTTATTGCCCTAGCTATCCCCTAAATCAGGACACATTCAGCTCAGAAGGGGTCAAACCTCTTATGAACTCCAGGAGACCAGTTGGACTCCAGGCAGTCGTCAGCCACTCCTGGGCCCTGTTTTCCTTCTGCCTTTGCTGCTGTTGTGGCTGATGGTATGACTGTAGAAAACTGGCCCCAAGGAGTCCTCTGAGCCTTTGTCCTTGATGCTAGGCCAGATCCTTGCATAAGCCTCAGAGGTATTCCGCATTTGAGCTTCTTAAAGATTATAGTCATGCTCAGTCATTATTCCCAAAGTATGGGGTAACTGGGTTCACATGGGTTTCCCCACAAGTGAATAGCCCCAGTCTTGGGCCCAAGCCATCCATCCATTCTTCACCTTCCTTGATGATAAGTTACTCTTTGAGGAACCTTGAGGACCCTCTCCTGTCAAAGGTCCTTAATTAATATCCACGCAAGGGTTGAATCAAATTAATCCATGCTTAATGAGTTTGCTTGGTTCCTATCCAGGTAGAAGTCCCTTTGCCTCCCAGAAAATTTGCTGTATCCTCTTCATCTTTGCAAAAGTCATGATAATATACATTTATGAGCTTGACATTTGCATAACTTGGAGAGTCTTTCAAGTGTTCTGGAGAATAAAAAGAAATCTTTCTGCATATGATTAGAAAGAGAAATGTCTGGCTGCTCCTCTCTCCAATGTCCAAGTTCTACCTCCCCAGGCACCTTGTGGTTCACAGGAGTGCCAGGGAACTCAGGGGTCTTCCAATGGCAGAAACTGTTTTCTACTTAGATGATGAACAGAAAGTGACTTTCCTCACCCAAGGGCAGCCCTAGGTCACAAAAGGGTAAAAAAAATACTCATGGCCCAGCAGAGTCCTAAGGCAAGAGAGTGGAGAAGGAGCACCAGGCACATCAGGAGAAAAACTGTCCCTGGTAATGAGAAATAAGGGGTCCGTGCAGAGCCACTGGAGAGGGCACACATGCTCTACGTGGAGACTCAGCATAGATAGGGATACTGGAGCAACCGCAAACCTGAATATAGTGAAAAAGGAATCTGATACAATGAAGGTGGCAAATCAGTATGTGGGGATGCAGAAGAAAGTTGACTCCACAGACGTACTCCACAGATGAGCTCAAATCCTGCACCTTTCAGAGGAACATCTGGTCCTTGACCAGCTCCTGGGGAATCCCCTGTAAATCCTTGGAATATCCTGCCTGATGAGTGTCTCTTGTACCTGGGGCTTCGTGCCATGACAGATAGTTTATGTTAACAATGTGATTTATGGTGGGGCCTTAGGTCGTGCAGTATCAGCTTGACCTCTAGAGGGACTGGAGACTGAATAACTAAGTTTAGCCATGCAGGCCATGAAGGCACTCCATACCTACTCCATACCCCCAAACATCCCCTGGACACCAAAACTTGGATGAGCTTTCCTGGCTGACAATACTCCACGTGTTGTTAAACATTATTTCTGGGAGGATTAGATGCTGACTGTGCAACCCCACTGGAAGCTTGTGCCTGGGCTCTCTTGGACTCTCTCTAGAGGTGCCTTTCACATTTGCTGCTTTTCATCTGCATCCTTTTGTTGTAATAAATGCTAAATGTGCATATAACAGTTTTCCCTACCTCTGAGTTCTACTCATGAATCATTGAACCTGAGGGTGCTCATGGGGACCTCTGAATCCAGTGGGTCACACAGAAGAGGAATCAAGACAAGATGTCAATAAAAACAACTCTCTAAACCTCCTCCTAATGATAAAGTTTTCATTATCGCCCACTTAAGGGGGCTTGGAAGATTATATAGATCCCATACCATGGCAAGTCTGATTGGTTGTACATGTATTAGTTAACTATCAGTATATGTGAATCTCTCTAGAGTATGAATTCAATATTAATTTATGCTTTTGTTGTCTTTCAAAAGTCTCAAGTTTAAGTCACCTCAGGTATTGTGTCAGAGTCTCCATGGCTGAACTGGTTTGTGCAGGCTAGAGTGCCCACGCATCCCCAGTTTTTAAATTGTCAGGATTGCCTCAAGCATTGTAGGAGTTTCTTGAGCATGAACACTAGATTTCCATGATTTTGAAGCAGGCAAGGAGTCTGGCATTACTGTATTAATTGTGAGGCCTCTAACAAGAAAACTTCTACCTTCAATGTTTTGCACAGATTCACAGGAGAGGGAAAAAAAATGCTACTTCCAAGAATAACCACTTTAAATTAACTGATGATCTAGCTGGAGCCTGGGTGAATTCTTCAAATGTAGCCCACTTGGGACAAGAGCCAGGGTGGATGGCGTATCCCCTGAAGTAATTGTTATGCCCTAGTGTTATTTTCAAGGCCTCACACAGACTTGCAGATATTCTCAAGGCACTTTTGCTTTAAGGCTGAAAAAAAAGCAGAAGAAGAAGGAACTCAAGGTACTGAGATATAAACACTGTAGAGACATAAATTAAACCCTGATGTCGCCAACAAGGGTCTAGCCTCTTCCGGAGAG
Organism: Homo sapiens; assembly: GCF_000001405.40. Lineage (NCBI taxonomy): Eukaryota > Metazoa > Chordata > Mammalia > Primates > Hominidae > Homo > Homo sapiens. The sequence goes on from NC_000008.11 coordinate 132,064,149, forward strand.
CAAGTGTGGGGCAGTGCACTGGACAGGGGTCACTAGGGGTGAGACTCAGAAGGTGGAAAAGACTCATGCAAGACCCCATTGCTAGTTAGCATCAAAGTCTAGTGAGGAGCAGCCCGTATTTCTCCACTCACTGCCCAATGCTCTTTTCCAATACCCAGCTGTATCTAACGCATCTCTAGAGCTTGCACGAGGCTAATTTAAACTCATTAATAAGTTGTTCAGTAAATGTAATACGTTGTGTGCATAGAGATTTTAATGTGGCAAGGACGAAAGAACTATTGAATTATGTGTTTGCAAGATTTCCTATTTCCTCTCCTCATACCAGATAAAGGGATTTCTATCTTTGATTTCTGACCACCCCACCCCCACTCCTAATGCCTATATATTTTTTGGTCATTTAATGCAGGATGAAGGTGATGATAGGAAGAGAAGACAGGAAAAGTGGGATGGTGGACTTGCATAAGAAATAAGGACCCTGTGTTTGGGAAAGAAAAAAATAATGGAGGCAGAAGGAAAGCAAAGTAAGCAGAAGAGGTAAATGGAAACACAGAGAAGAGCCAGAGAGCTTGATTTTAGGAGAGCTACTGAGTGATAAGTTGAAAAATGAAATATAAAGAGAAGTTTTAAGATGATGGTTTGTGAGAAGTGAGAAACAGTGGAGGGCAGAAAGAATAAGAAGTTTCTAAGAAGTGTTGACATGGATCCCAGGGATCCCAGCTGGTATTCTTCAGGACCCAAATGGAAAGATTGGGTTATTACACTGTTTCGTTTGTTTGTTCAAATGTAAAACATTGCCAAGACTGAGCCCTGTGAGCACCCAGCTTATATTTGGGTTACAGTAAGAAGGGATTTTCTATACAGTTTAATGTAATTCCATGATATTTAGAAGACCAGAGTCCCTTGAGGTAGTTCAGGTAGATGGCATGATAATGGCCAAACTATGGGTTTTGGGATATTTTTTGCAGAAGTGAGAGATAAAAAAAAGCTGATACTGGAATATCTGGAAATAAATGAAGTTTTGAAGCTACCAGGACAAGGAGAGAGGTACCATAATGAAACATAAATTCTAGTACTTCACGGTGCCTTCTTTTGCATGAATTATTTGTTTGCATTTTTCCTTCAGTCAAGAATTTCAGTATTTGTGGGGGTTGTCCCCCACAAACTGCTCTGTGGCCCAGGCTGGAGTGCAGTGGTGCAATCTCGGCTTACTGCAAGCTCTGCCTCCTAGGTTCATGCCATTCTCCTGCCTCAGCCTCCCGAGTAGCTGGGACTACAGGCATCCACCACCACGCCTGGCTAGTTTTTTTGTGTTTTTAGTAGAGACGGGGTTTCACCATGTTAGCCAGGATGGTCTCGATCTCCTGACCTCGTGATCCGCCCGCCTTGGCCTCCCAAAGTGCTGGGATTACAGGCGTGAGCCACCGCGCCCAGCCTTTTATTTGTCTTTTTAGCTTACATAGGAGCTCTGTGGCTAAGAGATTTGCCTGAGTTCACGCAGAGAGCAAAAGTGCTTGGTCAGGCTGACTCCTGCTGTGTTTTTCCCTTGACCTTATTGCAAACATCAAGCTGTTAGCTGAAAGGGAATAAGAAAAATCCTAGGTGCTCTTTGTCCCAAATTAATGAGGACTAGATGAGCTACAGCATTCCAAAGACATCTGGGAATCACTCAGATTTACAGGACCCTTTTGTGTAATGCATTCACTGCAAAGTTACAACATAGTCAAGCTGTGTACTTACTGTGCGAGTGGGACACCCTTTTCACCCTCTGACAGATATATGTTGCATTCTTCAGAAACCAGGAATAGTATTCAAGACAGTATCTAAAGATTTAAATCAGAGCAGGGAGCAATAACTATCCTGTGATGGCTATTAGAAGACAGCCAGAGTTTTAAAGGTAAGCACATAAACATGAACTATATGGCCAATTATTCACAGCAAGGAACCCTCTGCCCATCTTTAAAGGGTGTCAGAGGAGAGATAGGAAAGAAGGCTGGGTAGGAAGAAGTTCAGACTTTGGGGCCAGCAAGACTTATTTTTATCCCTAGCCCCACTGCGTACTAGGATGCATGACTTCAGGGTGATAACTTAATTCTCTGGACTTTAATTTTCTCATATATAAATGAAAGGCAATAATGGAACCTATACTCGCAGGTTATATAAGGATAAGATAACATATGTAAAGTTCCTGAACAGTACCCAGCATACAAGAGGTGCTCAATACATGGTGACATTTGTCTGTTTGTTTGCTTATTTATTTTAGTGGGAGATGAGAGAGAGAGTGGAGTGCTGCTGTCATTATCAATGCAGCAAACACTTTGCAAAATAACATTCTGTTCTTGGTCAGAGGTGGCAGGAGCTGCATCAGAGGGCTGTGGTGAAAAGATCACTCACCCAATTAATAGGAAGAAGAGTTCTCAGTGCAGGCTGTGTCAACTAGCTCATTGTATGACTCTGGGAATTCACTTCTCTTTCAATCTCTCACCTGATATTTGAGGAGGTTGGGCTAAACATTCTCTAATTTCTCTTCCACCTCTAACATTCTGTGATTCTAGCACACCCTAGAGAGTTGTGCAACTAATTGCTCAAGTCAAGCTGTGGTAGAGATTTTCCAAGGGCTATCACCCCCAATTTATAGGAAAGTGCAAAGCTGAGGAAACTGAGGCACAGAGATTAAATGACTTCCCCAAGGGATTTCTGGTGGTAGTATTGGATTTTAACCCAGGTAACCCACTTTATGCCAGATCACACTGTCATTCTGGTAGGCAATAAGATCAGTATTTGAGTCAGGACCCTGCCAGGAAAGCAGGACTTGGTGGTTCTATAGAGGGACTTTAATACGATGAATCAGTGATAAAGGGCTGAAAGAACCAACAGGGGAAGGTGTGGTAACCCCGCATTAGCAGCCACAGGGAGTTGCTGGGCCTGGAGGGACAGACAGAGAAAGTACTGTGGCCAAAGCACAGAGGGCAATGGCCTTGGTGGCAGCTGGGACCGCAGAGCTGAAGCTGTTATGAGGATTCCTTGTGGAAACTGGAACCACAGAGGAAATAGAGCCGCTCCTGGAAATATTGCCCAAAGCAGAAAGGGAGGGGGAGAAATTCCCTGGCTTCTCCCCTCTACTGCCCTCCAATCTCCTCTCAGTATCTTCTATGGGATGAACTCACTGGAATCTGGTTGGCAGTGTGTTCTGGGAAAGGTAGTTTGCACAAGTCAGCCCCTTCATTAAAGAGTCTACTAGAGAATGGGCAGGAAATGGAACCAAGTGTGAAGAAGCAATTGATGAACACATCCAGGATGCTTTTTGTGAGCTTACGAACCTGTACTCTTAGGGAGACCTTTCAAAACTTCCAGAGATAGGATGTCAAGGTTGGCCAACTCAACAGCTGACATGGCCACTAGATATCTGGTTAGCACAGCTACAACATGTCAAGGGTGCTAGCAATGGGATTCCCACTTGGCTGTGGGAGTGGACAAGAGAGCAACCACAACAGTGTCTTAATCAGCAACCACAAAGCGCAGCGTTCCAGGTACCATGCAGGAACAATTAGATATATTATTTCATTTCATTTTGTTCTCACAACACTGTCAATATGAGACTGCTGCTACCCTTTTACATGAATGGTGCTCCTGGAGTTGTGCAACATGTGGTCTAGAATGTAGGCAGGACTATACCCATTTTGTAGATGAACAAACTGAGGTTCAGAGATTGAATGACTAGCTCAAGACCACATAGCTTGTAAGTGGCAGAGACTAAATTTAAACCCAGGCCTGCCTGGCTTCAAGCCCTGCCCTCTCTATAGCTCACTAAGCTACCTACTAGCTTTGAGGGCCTTGGCTGTATGGTCTAATCCCATTTCTTCTTAGCCAGTGTAACAATCTGCAAGTCATACTTTCTTACAACAGCAACAAAACTTCTTAGAAAGCTTCTGTGATAGAGGATATCAAGCAACTTTGGGGCATGATCTGCTTTAGAAGTTCATATTGCTAGATGGACAACATCATCCAAACTAAGGTGCTCTGTGAAACTGCCAAGTGTGAGGCCAGGATTTAAGTTGCAGCAACCACAGAAACATGACCCACACCTTCATGAGCCAAAAAGCTGCCATTCTGTGCCTGAATTCACTTTGAAAGTGTACACCGCTCTCAGGATGAATGAGAATCTTGCCTCTATGATCAGGAGAGAAACTATTTAAACACGACATGTCCCATCCCCAAGCTTTCTGGCAGAGGCATCCCCTACAGTGATAAATGAACAATAGATAAATGCCCCTGGTTATTACTTTGTAGGGAATGGAGTCAAAGTCCTGTTCATAACAAGAATATGTATTCCTCACATGGACTGGAAGAGGCATTTCCTTGCAGAAAAGGCTAGATGGTCTTAGAAGAAAATCAGTTGTTAAGGTGGCCTATTTTGTTTGTCTTCAGTTCTTCAGGGCAGATATAAGCTGCAATGCCATGGCTAGCATGAGCTGAAACTAGTGTTGAAGCACCCATGATTACACCAGCCCCTTGTAGGTATGTCTATCTAAATTCCTAGCAGACCAGAGCTGCTGCACGCACTGTGGAGTCAGCAGCAGCCTGAATAGAAGAGGAGCCGTGGACACTTCACTGGGGCCTGAGGTAGCAAAATTTGTAAGTCACCAGGGACTGTGGCTTTGTTATCCTGCAAGGAGTGTGCCCCAAGAATGGTTCTGGGGCCCCAAATAAGAAAGATTTCAAGAGATGACCCTGGGAGGGAGATGATATGAAGAGAATGGGAGTTTAGATTATCTCAGTTTAAAAATGGACAGGATTTAGAGGGCTGCACTTCAATAATTCTGTATGTTTTATTTATTCTGAACAAGGAGGGAGTAGAAAGCTTGGAGAAGGGACAGATGGAGCTCTAGAGTGAAAGTCAAAGAGGGCATATAATAAGTTACCCAGGTGCTTAAAAGGCAAGGTAGTCCTGAATAGGGACATGCCAGAGACTTGGTCTCCCATCTTTGCTGCAGCTACATTGAACATCTCAGTGGTCCTTAGATGCTCCAGGCTACCCGTGACTCCATCTTTGCAGATGCTATTTCTTTTGCCTGGAAAACTCCTATTCCTCCATAAAGCCCTATTAGTTATTTCTCCTGGGATCCCATAGCATGTTATTCAGGTCTGCTACAGCACTTGTCAGCTGCTTTGAAATTTGTCTTCTTACATTGCCAACTTTCCCACCAGTGTTTTTTTTGTTTGTTTGTTTGTTTGTTTTTTATCACAGAGGCTACGTTCAGCAAACATACTGAGTAATGCCACCTCCCCTACTCTAGTATTTTTGGCCTATATTCAGTGTATGAGTTTATGGAAAAATGTACTATTCAGTGAAAATACACAGAAAAGAAGGAACAAGCCCAAGCAAACAGGTGCTTCATTGCTCTAAATTTAAACTCAAACTTCTCTCTGAAAATTTATGCCTTTTTCATTTATTCATTCAGCTATTATTTGCAATATGAATGTTTTCAAATGTGATATTTTCCAACGGGATATGATTAACAGGTTTTTGCCTGGTTACGTGACTTGGTTCTATGATCTATAATACTATATTTTGATTTGTGTTTATGACCATTTCTTCCTTCCAACTATGAAACCCTCAGTTTCTGAGGCTATTTCTGATTCACCTCTAGATCCCCATGGCTTGGGACAGAGCATCACAGATATACAGCAGAGACTCAATACACATTGTTGGTTAAGTTAATGAGTAAAGGATCTCCTAAAGTGGGCTTAACCTAGACAATACAGAAAGTATTGTCGTAAAAGTTTTCTTTAGAATAAACCTGTGCTTTGGGTCTACAGGTCTTGCTTATTGCCCTCTATGAATGGAGGAAATGTTCGTACTGACGGGGGGGGGGGGGAGGGGGATGAAAGATTACAGCTGGAAAGGGGTGATGGAAAATGGCTGTCCACCTGGGCTTCAGACTCAGAGGCAGAAATTTTAAAAGCTAATGGATCTTGAGAGTAGTCTTTGAAAATAACATTAAAGACAGGAGAGATTGGTATCCAGGCCACTGGAGCAGGAGTATTCATCTATGTAATTTAGTTCTGGGTTTACAGCCAAGAATAAATCCCAGAAGAAATAACAGTATGTCAGCATTGTAGGACAGAAAATGTCCATGTCTAGACCTTCTTAATATAAAACAGGTTCTGCTTTTTAATTTAAGTTTTCCAACTTATTTTGCTGGTGGATGATTGGTAGGGATTTATGAAAGAACTGGAATTTAGATAGACATATCTTCTAATTATTCTCTCCTAGCAAATCTCGCCAGGCTGAGGGCATTTGGATTAAAGAACCACTCAAGATCCTCTGCCATGATCCTCTGCCATAATTCTACTTAACATGACACAAGTTAACTTAACTCAACACAACATATCTCAATATAGCTTAATTAATCTAAACTCAACACAATTCAACTTATCTCAACTCAACTCAACTCATCTCAACTCAACACAGCTCCACTCATCTCAACTCATTACACCTCAACTCAACTCATCTCATCACGGCTAAACTCATCCCAACTCAACTCAACTCATCTCAACTCAACACAACTCACCTCATCTCAACTCAACACATCTCAACTCAACACAACTCAACTCATCTCAACTCATCACTATTCAACTCATCTCATCACAGCTCAGCTCATCACAACTCAAGTCATCTCAACTTAATACAACTCAAGTCATCCCAACTCAACACAACTCAACTCATCTCAACTCATTACAACTCAACTCAACTCATCTCAACACAATTCATCTCATCACAGGTCAATTCATCTCAACTGATCACAACTCCAGTCATCTCAACTCATCACAGCTTAAGTCATCTCAACTCAACACAACTCAACTCATCTCAACTCAACTTATCTCAACTCATCACAACTCCAATTCAACTCAACTCAACTCCAATTCAATTCACCTCAACTCAATTATACTTATTGTGTCAGGCACTGCACTTGGTTCTGGGGACCAGCTATGAATGAGATTCCATCATGAATCTCAAGGATGTGACTGTCTAGTAAAGGACTCACTGGAGAGTCCCTTACCTTGAGGTAACCCCTACTGCCTGTCTGTGGATTGCTTATTGCCTGACTGCCTTGTGGCCTGCAGAAAAGCCACACGGAATAAGAAAGCTATAAATATTCCATGTGAAAAGAAGCCACTGGGCCAAGTTACCTCATGTCCTCTGTCCTGGGACTCCTCTGGCTCATGCAGAGGCATTGCTGGAAGAATTGGCACAGCTCCATCAGGCATGGGTTGAGCCTCTGAATAGCCAGGGTGAGAGGAGCAGCTGCCATAGCTCCCACCTTGAAGAGTGGCTGAGGACACCCTAGAAGATGCAATCCCAGACCAATTAAATCAGTAAGAGTTTAGTAAGCATCTTCTCTTCGTTAAGCCCTGCATCAGGTGAATATAGTCTTGTCCTGATCTCACGTAGCTCTGAGACAGACAGGTAAACATAGCATTCCTCACCATTACCCAATAAAGCTACTGTAACAGTTTTAAGAGTCAGGTGGAAAGAAGGTGGTGATCGAGTTTCTGGAGGAAAACAGAGATAGTTTCACTGAGAAGCAAATATTAAACAGAGATCTAAGATGTTGAACAGGAATGTATCAGGTGGAGGGCATTTCTGGTGTAAGGGACAGGGCATACAATGACTCTGCGTGATGTAAGGGGGTGACTTGCTGAGGGGGATTTGAGAAAAATTTGAGTACAGGGGATATGAGGTATGTATATGCATGTGTGTGTGCAGGGTACATGTGTGTGCATGTGTGTGTATATGTATGTGCATGCATGTGAGAGCATATGGATATGTGTTTGCCTGTGTGTGTGTGTATGCACGTGCATGTGTATGTGAGTGCAAAAAGGAGAGAAAGAAGGGCAGGTTGAAAGATGAGACTGGCATGCTGGGTCACTGGAGAGTCAGGCTCTGCGTTTGTGAGTTCTGTGTTTCCATCAAGTGAAAGTTAATTATGTTTCCGTGAACCAGATTTTCAGTGTTGTTTAATTTTTAGTTTTTAGGAGGAAGGCCAAAGATAAAAGAAGGAGACAACAAATTATTTTTAATAAAAATTCCAACTTGTTGGGATCTGCTGAGACTCAGAAAGCTTCCTATGGCTACACCTACATTTCCTTATATGGAAAATAGGGAGACCCATCCCTATCATATAGAATGACTGGAAGGATTAAATGAGACAATTTATATAAAGTATATTGCATATTGAAAAGTTGTTTGCATGAAACAAACAATAAATAATAGCAATTATTATTATTATTTATTTATTAAAAATTTGTTGAGCTCCACTACATGCTAGGCACTGGTGACAGCCACTAGAGCTACAAAATGAATAAGAAGAAAAAGGGCCTTCCTCTCACAGAGCTTACTTTCTAGGGACTGGAAGGTTATATTACAATATTACTAATAATCTTCCAACAAAGGTTCACTAATCACTACCAGGAAAAATTATCTAAAACCTGGAAATAAACAAAAAGGATTACTGAATACCCTTTTAATGCAGTTTGGTTATTGTCTAGCAGACTCTCTGCGGATTGTCTGGGTAAAAATAATTGTGCACCATTAATTGACTTTCTATTGAATAGGTGATTTTACAACTAGCAAGGGGTAGATGTTAACCGATAGCAATATAAATAATTCTTGTCTAAGAGCAATGCTAATTATTTCTGTCCATAGCAATGTAAATGAATTTTGTCTGGTAGAGGTGCAATTGATTTTTGTCCAGTAAAAAAAAAAAAGAGTTTATTGCTGTGGAATATCAATTCATTTGAGAATTCCTTTGACTGACTACATAAATCTTTTCCCCTCAAATTCCCCATTGAAGCAATCTTCACATCTTTCTGGTTTCCTCATTACTTAATGAGTTCAATAATATCTTTGACATGTTGACATGTATTCATTCAATATTATTCTGTCATGTTTGAACATTTTTCAAAATTATAATTTAGCAGTAATTACTTATTTTTATTTTTTATTTCTTGTAGAGATGGGGCCTTGCTATGTTGCCCAGGCTGGTCTGAAACTCCTGGGCTCATGTAATTCTCCCACCTCAGCCTCCCAAAGTGCTGGAATTACAGGTGTAAACCACCACATCTGGCCAGGAATATATTTATTTAAGTGGAGAAGGGGCTCATAATGTTAGCAGAAGACTTTTTAAGAAGGTAGAAAGAAAATACTTTATTCTGAGTTAACTAGAAGATAAACCCTCCAGAACACTGACCAATTTCCATCAATGTGCCCATGAGTTTTTCTCTATCAGTTATTGAGCAGTTGCTATGTATCAGGCACTCTCCTAAGATCTTTGCATACATTATTTTATCTAATTCTCATAAATCTTGTGAAGTAGACATCAGAAGTATACAGAAGAGGACACAGAGGGTCTGAGTAACTCTGCAGTTGTATCAGTTATGCAACAGGGAGTAACTCCAGCAAGATCTGACTCTGAAGCCTGTGCTCATAACCATCACACTTCACTACTTGAACATAATTAACATTCCCAAGGCTTGATTTCCATGTCCCTTGCCCCAACCCACCCCATCCATCCTTCTCTAACTCAGGAAATGACACTTGGGATATTCACTTAGTTGCTCAAACTTGGGCATGATTTTTGGTTCCCTCCTGTGCTCACTCCATCATCACCGCATCCTCTTGGTTCTATCTCCTACATATCACCCAAGTCTCCCTATCCACACAGTCACCTCTACTTTCCAGTCACCATCACCACTGGCATCATTAGCACAACAGTCACCTCGCAAGTTTCCCTGCTTCCAGCTTCTCCTGTTCCTCCCCATTCTGCAGTCAGAGGAACCTTTCTGCAACACAAATCTGATCACATTACTCCCACTTGCCTCAGAAGTCTACACTCCTTGACATGGTGACAAAGTACTGTTAATCTCACTCTTGGCTACCTCTCTAGCCTCATTCCACACTACCCTCACTTTCAGCACCTTCAACATCAGTCCTTTTAAGGTATAGTGCCTTTGCTTAAGCTATGCCTTTGCTTAGAATGCACCTTGTTCAGGTGCCACATTCTCAATCAATAAACTCTTGAACCATCCCCTCACCTGAAGGTAATCTCTTCCTCTCTGGATATACATAGCAGTTTCTGCTTCTCTTAAGAATCTAGTCACTCTTTTTTTTCAATTGCAGCTTTTTTTTTTTTCACATATGGCATATCTTGGAAAAGGTGACACAGAGGTGTGGAATAAGCACAAGCTTTGAAATTAGATCTGGTGTCAAAATGGAGTCTCCTTTTATATGTAGAACTCACCATAATTCCTGAATGAGATATTACCTCTCCTGCAGAATTATTGTGAAGAGAAAGTAAAAATAGGCCTAGCATAGTACCTGGCAGTACAGTAGGAGCCCAATAAATATTTATTAAATGGATGAATGAGTGGATGCCAAATACTTTGTGGCATGATTTTTTTTTTGGATGAGCAGAATAAGTTACTGAGAAATGCCAGAACCCCTTTAATTTGCAATTATGTTTTTCATTACATAGGTAGATAGATAGATGACAGATGGATAGGCAAATATCTATGATATGGAAGTTAAGAAATAAAGATAACCAGATAGAAAGATAAATAGGTATGGATGGATAGGTGGGTTAATTGAAGGATGGATAGATAGATGGCTTGGATAAATATCTATTAGATAGATGACAGATGAGTGGGTAGGTTAATAAATAGATAGATATGGTAAATACCTATTAGGTAAGTAGATAGAGCTAACAAGAGAGACAGATAGATATAGTTATACAGATAGCTATAGATACATGGATATAGATACAGATATAGATATAGATATGGATATAGACACCAATATAGACATAGATATAGACAGAGTCAACCTGTTTTCTAAAACTTGATCTCACAACAGCCTCCATCTGCACCACTGTGTTTCTTTAGAACTCCTGGGAGAAAAGGGATATAATTTCCTTAGTAGCATAATCACATCTTTGTGTCTGAAAGGTTCATTCACTATTCACTGCAGGCTGAGAGTAAGGCTGGGGCAGATCTAAGGTGACATGAAAAAGGAGACGGGGCAGGGTCCAGCAGTTTAATAATGCCCTGTTGACATATGACTGGATGGTCCAGGAGCTGGTGTACAAAGGTATTCAGGAGTGGGAGGAGCCTGAGAATTCAAGCAGCTTTGAAGCACTCACTTTGTATCCATTTCTTTCTTATGGAATCTGGCTCAACAGAAAAGAGGAGAGTGAGATGTCCAAAAGCAAGCTGGAAAAATGCAGCAAAAACCACAGCAACTCAAGTCCTCAGCCTCTGTCAGGAGTTCTGAAAACAGAGCTACAAACTCAGGAAATGGTCTTCGTCTAGATCCATGAGAATTAACTGTGCAGGGATGGAAAGGGTAGGTATCCCTTAACACAGAACAACAGGACATCATACCCAGCAAATGAGGTTGCATTTTGCAGTCATCTTTTTTATTCCTTCCTCCTTCACTGCCAACAACCCTGCTCCTTGCAAGAGCAGCTTCTATTTGCAAAGTGCCCAGCATGCTACCCAATAGACATTCACTCGATAAAAGTTGATTGAATTAAGTTCTACAGAGCTCTATACTTCCAAACCACTTCCACAAACATTATCTTACTTAATACAAAACCTTGTGGGAAAGATAAAAAAACAGGCATTTTTAGTGCCCACAAAAATTGCAATTATTCTTGCTTTACAGTTGAGGGAACTGAATCTTGGAAGTTGAGTACTGGAGGCCACCTCACCAGTAAATGGCTGAGCTAAGATTTGAATCCCATGAGTCTGATTTTCTAAATTTACCGAACAAACCTCTCCTTATTCTACTACATGACCTTGTTCAAAATAAACACAAGCAATAGTAATGACTGGGCACTGGTACTTACTTGAAACTTGATGGGGTCTTGGGACCAGGACTGGCTCTTCACCAGCAGTGAATGGCCACTCTGCAGAGAGATCACCTGCAAAGGGCAGGAATGGCCTTCCAGAAGTCAGAATGGAATTACCTTAGGTGATACACACAGCAAGAAATTTATAACATCTTAAAGGTAAATCATTCTTGAAATCTATAGGAAAATGATAGCCAAAAAAGGGGAAGTGATTTATGGAAGACCACACGGAAATTTAGCAGCACGGCAAGGCTTATAAACCAGTTCTCCTGACTCTTTTCCTGCAGGAAACAATAAAGCAGAGTAACCTGCTTAGATTGCTTACTGGTACCCCATCCCACCACGCCCTTGTCCCCAAGCTTCCCACCCCTCCCATCCCCCACCCCCAAACCCCCACTTCCGTACTGAGTTTCTCACCTGTTTGTGGATATCTGGGGGCTGTTGCCTTGGTTGGACTCGGAGTCTGTGTGCCATGGGTGAATGCTCCTGGGAGGAGATGAGAGAGAGGTGAGCCTGCATCTCTTCTAGGGGGCCCTGAGGGAGAAGATGACCAGGGCCACCTATCCTGCCCTATCCAACCAATGTTGGTTAAGCCAGGTACCAGGCAGGGCTTTAAGAAGCAGAGATGAGTAAGAAATAAAACCCACAATGGAGTGTGAAAAAGGAAATGGGAAAATCCCATCATTACTGTGATACAGCGTGATGGTTGCCATTGGAAACCAGCTGACATTGGTAAGTTATGGTGACCCTGCACAGGAGAGCGATGGTGTTGTACAGGAAGTGTCCAATGTGGGTGATCCAGGGCAAAGAAAAAATGAGTTAAAATGAGTTGCTTCTCATTCATCTGAGTCTTAGTGTACACCTTGATCCATCCCACCCCCGACAAATTGCCTGTCATATTCATGACAGAGTACGGGCTCAGTTCAACAATTTTTGTATCATGTTCATGAAGCCTTAGTTTAAGGGTCACTTCAGGACTTGATCGTTTCTGTTAAGATTCTGGCCTCTGGCGAAACCAGCAATACAGTCTCCTTGTAGGAGACCAGTGAGAGAGAAGCTCAAGCAGGCAAGTTCCGTCATATGGATAAGTGGAAGGAAAGAGGTGAGGCTGAGAAACAGCCGAGGCACAGGCGATGGACACCCAGTTCAGCTGGGTCAGGTGACATCTACTCTAAGTCAAGCAGCACAGCAGTTCTGGAGGAGAGTGGGCTTTGCAGGCACACAAAGTGCATACATAAAGATCAGGAGATGTGGGCAGTAAGCAGTGTGCTGTGGCTGGAGTCTAGAGGAGGAAGGTGGAGGGGCGAGGTGAGGCTGAGCAGCAGGCAGGGCTCATGCCTGGAATTTCAGGCCCGGGTCCATCCATCACAGTTGTCATACTGCTTGTTAATGGACAATGAAACAGGGAAAAAGAGAAGAAATTGGGGAGTGCGATTACATAAAAGAGAGAGGAACTGGGGAATGAAAGAAGGAGCTTTCATTCATCTACAGATGGGAAGAAAGAGGTAGGGCAAAGGAAAGGAGAAGGAAGAGTTTGCTTCATGATCATTATGTTTTCTTAGTTTTCTGTGTGTGTATTATATTCCAAAAATTTAGAAAGTTTATCAAAACAGACAATGCTAAGTTTAATTTAAAACGGGAGAGGTAGAAGTGAGCACCCTCTCTTACCCAAGGTAGGGCTGGCCTGGGATGGGCTGCCAGGTGTGGCCATTATCTCAGCAGCAGGCGCCAAAAGGCTTGTAGTGTTCATGGCTTCCTCGGTCCCTGCAGTAGTCGGTGGGGAAGAACGAGTTTCCCAGAGAGACCCTCCAGGTTTTTTCTCACTGATGGTCTGAGCCCAGGGCACGGACGATATGGAAGCCCACGTCTGTCTGTCAGCTGTCAACCACTGAGTTCTGGCCACCCTCCTGGTAGCTGCACATTCAAAGTGACAGTAACAGGGTACAGACATGCTTGACCACTTCGATTCAGACATGAAATTGCTGAGACATTGAAACGTTATCAAAGGGCAAATGCAATGTGAACGTGTAATATAAGTAATCCAGGGGCTTAAACTTTACTCTGAACTGAAATAAATGGACCAAAGTAAGCATTGTTTTCCTAAGCACCAATAAACACACACACACACACACACACACACACACACACACACACAACCTCTAAATCTCTAGGACCCCAGGCGTGTGTGTTTGGGGGTCAGTTAGCTGTCTCTCAAATTTATTTAATACATTTCTAATCATGTGACATAGTGAAAAGATTGTGGGGTCTGAGGTGAGGAGATGCAAACAGATTAGTTGTGCCTCTGTCTCCTCCATGGTGTGAACTTTGGGGCAAATTGCTTAACTCCTTTTAGCTTCCTCATGAAAATGAGGATACCAGTGTTAATAATAACACCTGCCCTCCAACATCACAGGATTGTTATTAGTTAAGAAAAATCCTTGGCTCATGCTATTTAATGGAGTTGATTTATTTTCCTCTACACCACCCAGTCATCCTTGTTTCCTTGCCTGCTGACACCTATCAATTCTTATCTCTTGGGGAAGCCTGTGTCTCCTCTATGCCGGGGTAGGAGCCCTCTCTGTGTTCTCTGTGTACAATAGTTCTTTGTAGGCTGGATCATAACTATTGGTTTACTTGCCTGGGCTCTCTCCTAGGTCTGAGAGCTCAGGAAAGAGAGAGAACATTTATAGAGCTGTGTTTTTAACAGCTAGCCTCCTGTCTGGAAGGAAATATGTTTTGATGAGTAAATAAATGAATGAATTCTGATGACTGAATGAATGAATTCTGATGACAATATTGTCTCAGTGGGTCCATTGTTGGAACCCACTGAGAAAATATTGACTCTTTTTTGTTTGTTTGTTTTTTCTGCACTTTATTTTATTTTAAGTCTTAGGTTACATGTGCACAACTTGCAGGTTTGTTACATATGTATACATGTGCCATGTTGGTGTGCTGCACCCATTAACTCTTCATTTAACATTAGGTATATCTCCTAATGCTATCCCTAATGAGCTACCTCCATTTTATATTATTTCCAAATAGGAAAAATAAGATAAGCATGCCTTTTGTGTCTTTAGTGATGACACTGCTGATCATGTACGCAAGATGCTGGGGAGGCAGGGGCCTCCTGCAGGTCATTGGCGGCAGCTTTCCCACTGGTGTTAAGTCATTAACATATTCTTGGCATCATTATGAAACCAGCTACAGACTGACCTAACCATGCCATAAAATATTGACTTCACTTCACCGTTTCATGTGAATTTCAGGAGCGATATCGCTAAATGCTTTGCTGAAATATAAATACTTTTGCCACAATGTACTGTGATTATGTAAGACATTAGCATTGAAGGAGGCTGGGTGAAGGGTACCAGGGAACTCTCTATATTATTTTTGCAAGTCTTCGTGAGTCTTAAACTATTTCAGAATAAAAAGGCATCAAAATACATATTAGAAACACATTATGTCAATGGCATTTTCTGCCTTTGTTTGATCTTGTAGAACCCATACCGGCTCATACAGATCTGTTATTTAAGTAAGCTGAAGCGTAACTTCAGTTGGTGGAGAAGGGATTAAGGTAAGGATTTTGCTTATATATGTGAGCCTAGAGGTAACAGGAGCGAGACATAGCAAAGGGGAGGAAAGGGTGAGAATGCATCTTACCCAAGGCTGGGAGAGTGTGGGAGGCACTGAACCATGTGGCTGTGGCCCTGGCTGGAAGCTCAGGAGGCCTGCCTGTGTTCAGGGTCTCCTCTGTTTCTGAAGGAGCAGCTGTCTCTGTCCAGGGAGAGGATCTCAGAGCAGATGCCCAGGGTGTGCTCTGGGTCCAGTGTCCGGGGCTTGTACTTGGTAGTGTTTTCTGGCTTTTGGTTGTGGGCTTTGAAGTCCTGGCAGTTCCCCTGGTAGCTGCACCTTCAGGGAGGCAGTCAATGGTAACATTAACATGCTTGACACTTTGGGCATAAAAAAACTGAAAGGTCACTGGACTGCAAATATATGAATGTGGAGATTCAAACCTTTCTCTAATTAAAAGTATCAGGCATTTGCTATGTTTCCTGAACAGATTCTGACCCCTGTCAGAGCCTTTCTTCCACCTCCAGCCCTCAGCCTCTCCAGGACTCTGGTACATGTCTTTGGAAGAGGAATTAGTCTCCTCCATATGCCTTATGGATACAACTAAATTTCATGTGCGTCCGTGTGAAGAGACCACCAAACAGGCTTTGTGTGAGCAATAAAGCTGTTTATTTCACCTGGGTGCAGGCGGGCTGAGTCCGAAAAGAGAGTCAGTGAAGGGAGATAAGGGTGGGGCCGTTTTATAGGATTTGGGTAGGTAAAGGAAAATTACAGTCAAAGGGGGTTTGTTCTCTGGCGGGCAGGAGTGGGGGTCTCAAGGTGCTCAGTGGGGGTGCTTTTTGAGCCAGGATGAGCCAGGAAGAGGACTTTCACAAGGTAATGTCATCAGTTAAGGCAAGGACCAGCCATTTACACTTCTTTTGTGGTGGAATGTCATCAGTTAAGGTGGGGCAGGGCATATTCACTTCTTTTGTGATTCTTCAGTTACTTCAGGCCATCTGGGCGTATAGGTGCAAGTCACAGGGGTTGCGATGGCTTGGCTTGGGCTCAGAGGCCTGACATGCCTGCCTTCTTATATTAATAAGAAAAATAAAATAGTGTTGAAGTGTTGGGGTGGCGAAAATTTTTGGGGGGTGGTATGGAGAGAGAATGGGCGATGTTTCTCAGGGCTGCTTCAAGCGGGATTAGGGGCAGCGTGGGAACCTAGAGTGGGAGAGATTAAGCTGAAGGGAGGTCTTGTGGTAAGGGGTGATATTGTGGGGATGTTAGAAGAAACATTTGTTGTATAGAATGATAGGTGATGGCCTGGATACAGTTTTGTATGAATTGAAAAACTAAATGGAATAAGAGAAGGAGAAAAACAGGTATAAAAGGACTAAGAATTGGGAGGACCTAGGACATCTAATTAGAGAGTGCCTAAGGAGATTCAGCATAGTCCTGCCAGCAAAGATTATTTATTTACTTCAAGAGTTAAGAGTGGCAGTTTGGGGATAGCACCAGTAGATATCAGCTGTGATGGCTTGCAAAAAAACAGTGTAAACCGGCAGTGTAAACAAGAGCAGGGCATGTATGAGTAGTTGAGAACGGTGAATAGGTGTATGACTAGACAGAAGATAGTAGGGATGACAAGTTTTTTGGGGCACAGTCTAAGTTGGTCTGGTGTCTGGAATGAGAAGCATCTATACAGGAGCCTAAATGGGCTGTACCCTGTAGCATTCCGAGGACAGGCCTGAATTCTGAGAAGGGAAAGTGGTAAAAGTATTGTCCAGTCCTTTTTAAGTTGGTGGCTGAGCTTGGTGAGGTGTGTTTTTAAAAGACCTTTAGTCCATTCTACTTTTCTTGAAGACGGAGGACCGTAAGGGATATAAAGCTTTCACTGAATACTAAGAGCCTGAAAAACTGCTTGGCTGATTTGACTAATAAAGGCTCATCTGTTATCAGACTGTATTGAGGTGGGAAGGCTTAACTGAGGAATTATGTCTGACAGAACAGAAGAAATGACTGCGGTGGCCTTCTCAGACCCTGTAGGAAAGGCTTCTACCTATCCAGTGAAAGTGTCTACCTAGACTAAGAGGTATTTTAGTTATCTGACTCAGGGCATGTTGAGTAAAGCTAATTTGCCAGTCCTGGGTGGCGCAAATCCTCGAGCTTCATGTGTACGGAAGGGAGGGGGCCTGAATAATCCCTGAGGAGTAGTAGAATAGCAGATGGGACACTGAGAAGTTATTTCCTTGAGGATAGATTTCCACGATGGAAAGGAAATGAGAGGTTCTAAGAGGTGGGCTAGTGGCTTGTACTATAGTATAACCTGCCTTTGCTGGTGTGTGGCGATTAGGCCTGGTGGAACTGCCATCAATAAATCAAGCGTGATCAGGGTGAGGAACAGGAAAGAAGGAAATTTGGGGAAATGGGGTGAATGTCAGGTGGATCAGAGAGATACAGTAATGGGGGCCAGGTGTGGTATCAGGAATAATGTGGGAGGCCGGACTGAAGTCCAGGCCAGGAACAATGGTAATTGTGGGAGACTCAACAAAGAGTGAGTATAGCTGAAGGAGCCAGGAAGCAGAAAGTATATGCATCAGCTATGAGGAAGAAAATAGATTTTGGAAGTTATGAGAACTGTAGAGAGTGAGTTGAGCATAGTTTGTGATTTTGAGGGCCTCTAAAAGCATTAAAGCAGCAGCAGCCGCTGCACGCAGACATGAGGGCTAGGCTAAAACAGTAAGGTCAAGTTGTTTGGACAGAAAGGCTACAGGGTGTGGTCCTGGCTCTTGTGTAAGAATTCTGACCACACTAACCATGCCTAGGAAAGAAAGGAGTTGTTGTTTTGTAGAAGATGCTGGGGTTTGAGAGATCAGTCGGACATGATTGGCAGGGAGAGCACGTGTGTTTTTATGAGAATTATGCCGAGATAGGTAACAGATGAGGAAGAAATTTGGGCTTGATTGAAGTAATGGGGGCTGTCTGTGAAGCTTTGCAGCAGTACAGCCTTGGTAATTTGCTGAGCCTAATGGGTGTCAGAGTCAGTCTAAGTGAAAGCAAAGAGAGGCTGGGACGAGGGGTGCAGGGGAATAGTGAAAAAAGCATCTTTAAGATCAAGCACGGAATAGTGAGTTGTGGAGGAAGGTATTGAGGACAAAAGAGGGTACGGGTTGGGCACCACAGGGTGGACAGGCAAAACAATTTCGTTGATAAGGTGCAGATCCTGAACTAACTTGTAAGGCTTGTCTGGTTTTAGGACAGGTAAAATGAGGGAATTGTAAGGAGAGTTTATAGGGTTTAAAAGGCCATGCTGTAGCAGGTGAGTGATAACAGGCTTTAATCTTTTTAAAGCGTGCTGTGGGATGGGATATTGGCATTGAGTGGGGTAAGGGTGATTAGGTTTTAATGAGATGGTAAGGGGTGCATGATTGGTCGCCAAGGAGGGAGTAGAGGTATCTTATACTTGTGGGTTAAGGTGGGGGGGATACAAGAGGAGGACGCAAAGGAGGCTTTGGATTGGGAAGAAGGGTGGCAATGAGATATAGCTGTAGTCCAGGAATAGTCAGGGAAGCAGATAATTTAGTTAAAGTATCTCAGCCTAATAAGGGAAATGCACAGGTGGGGATAACTAAAAAGGAGTGCTTAAAAGAGTATTGTCTAAGTTGGCACCAGAGTTGGGGAGTTTTAAGAGGTTTAGAAGCCTGGCCGTCAATACCCACAACAGTTATGGAGGCAAGGGAAACAGGCCCTTGAAAAGAAGGTAATGTGGAGTGGGTAGCCTCCGTATTGATTAAGAAGGGGACGGGCTTACCTTCCACTGTGAGAGTTACCCGAAGCTTGGCGTCCGTGATGGTCTAGGGGGCTTCCGAGGCAATCGGGCAGTGTCAGTCTTCAGCCGCTAAGCCAAGAAGATCTGGGAAGGAGTCAGTCAGAGAGCCTTGGGCCAGCGTTCCAAGGGCTCTGGGAGTGGCTGCCAGGTGAGTTGAACAGTCCGATTTTCAGTGGGGTCCCACACAGATGGGACGCGGCTTAGGAGGAATCCCAGGCTGCGGGCATTCCTTGGCCCAGTGGCCAGATTTCCAGCACATGTAGCAAGCTCCTGTGGGAGGAGGTTCTGGAGGAACGCCTGGCCGCTGCGGTTCGGGCGTTTGGAAGTTCTTGTGTGCTGGAGATGTGGCTGGGGTTTGTCTCACAGTGGAGGCAAGGAATTGCAACTTTTTTCTATTATTGTACACCTTGAAGGCAAGGTTAATTAAATCCTGTTGTGGGGTTTGAGGGCCGGAATTTAATTTTTGGAGTTTTATTTAATGTCGGGAGCAGATTGGGTGATAAAATGTATTTTGAGAATAAGACGGCCTTTTGACCTTTTAGGGTCTAGGGCTATAAAGTGTCTCAGGGTTGCTGCCAAACAAGTCATGAACTGGGCTGGATTTTTATATTTGATGAAAAAGAGCCTAAATGCTATCTGATTTGGGATAAAGAAAAAGGAGCATTAACCTTGACTATGCCTTTGGCTCCAGCCACCTTTTTAAGAGTAAATTGCTGGGCAGGTGGGGGAGGGCTAGTCAGGGAACGAAACTGTAAGCCGGACCAGGTGTGAGGAGGGGAGGTGATAAAAAGATTATAGGGTGGAGGAGCGGAGGCTGAGGGAGAATTGGGACCTAGCTCGGCCTGGCGAGGAGCAGCCTGGGGAGGAAGGGAGAGGTCAGATGGGTCTGTAGAAAAGGAAGATTAGAAAGACTCAGCGACGCTTGGGGTTGGTACTGAGGGGACAGGCTGGAGGGAAAGAAGGAAGATTTGGGACGAGTTGCACTGGGCACAGGGACTAGGAAGGACTGAGTGTGTAAAAGAATGCCTGGACGTCAGGCACCTCAGACAGTTTGCCTATTTTACGACAAGAATTATTTAGATTTTGCAGGATGGAGAAATTCAAAGTGCCATTTTCTGGCTATTTGGAACTACTGTCGAGTTTGTACTGGGGTCAAGCGGCATTGCAGAAGAAAATAAGGCATTTAGGTTTTAGGTCAGGTGTGAGTTGAAGAGGTTTTAAATTTTTGAGAACACAGGCTAAGGGATAAGAAGGAGGAATGGAAGGTGGAAGCTTACCCATAGTGAAGGAGGCAAGCCTAGAGAAAAGACTTGAGACACAGAGAAGGGGTGGGGGTGGTGGTTCTTGCCCTCCAGAAAAGTAGAGAAGGGGTTGGGGCACAGAAATAAGGGATTGGGGCACAGAGATAAGAGGTTGGGGTGTGGAAATAAGCGATTGGGGGGTTCTTGCCGCCTAGGAAAGCAGGACTTGCCGCTAAGGGTGAAGGAGAAGGGGTTGAGGGGTACTTGCCCCTGCCCCAGGAAAGTGGGATGTGCCGCTAAGGGTGAAGGAGAAGGGGTTGAGGGGTATTTGCCCCTGCCCCAGGAAAGCAGAGAAGGGGTAGAGACAAGGAGAGAAGGGGTTGGAGTACTTGCCCCTTCCCCAGAAAAGTGGGACTTGCCGCTAAGGGTGAAGGACCAAGGCAGGCATCCCTGCGTGGTCTGACACCCTTGAAACGTGAGTGTATAATCAGAGAGGCATCCCTGCAATGATTAAACACCAAGGGAAGGCTGCCTTCCCAGTCCGTGACCGGCGCTGGAGTTTTGGGTTCACGGATAAAACATATCTCCTTTGCCTCTACCAGAAAATGAAAGGAATTGAAATTAAGAGAAGGGAGAGATTGAAGTGTGGTGCCAAGATTGAAAGGAGAAAGAGGTTGAGGGATAGTGAGGGAGGTTGGAGATGAGAGTAAAAAGAGGCCGCTTACCGGATTTGAAATTGGTGAGATGTTTCTTGGGCTGGTCTGTCTGAGGACCTGAGGTCGTAGGTGGATCTTTCTCATGGAGCAAAGAACAGGAGGACGGGGATTGATTTCCCAAGGGAGGTCCCCCGATCCGAGTGACGGCACCAAATTTCATGCGCGTCCGTGTGAAGAGACCACCAAACAGGCTTTGTGTGAGCAATAAAGCTGTTTATTTCACCTGGGTGCAGGCGGGCTGAGTCCGAAAAGAGAGTCAGTGAAGGGAGATAAGGGTGGGGCCGTTTTATAGGATTTGGGTAGGTAAAGGAAAATTACAGTCAAAGGGGGTTTGTTCTCTGGCGGGCAGGAGTGGGGGTCTCAAGGTGCTCAGTGGGGGTGCTTTTTGAGCCAGGATGAGCCAGGAAGAGGACTTTCACAAGGTAATGTCATCAGTTAAGGCAAGGACCGGCCATTTACACTTCTTTTGTGGTGGAATGTCATCAGTTAAGGTGGGGCAGGGCATATTCACTTCTTTTGTGATTCTTCAGTTACTTCAGGCCATCTGGGCGTATAGGTGCAAGTCACAGGGGTTGCGATGGCTTGGCTTGGGCTCAGAGGCCTGACACTAAAAACCAAAAGTGAAATTTGGGGGAATAAGAAGCTCCCAGACAGAAACAGCTTGAAAAACAGGCTCCCATAGAGTTAGCAGGAGGGCTTAATTCAGAGGGAAATCTACCCAGCATCCTTGGTTGCTCCATGAAGAAAAGAAGGAAGTGGGCTCAGATATTAGTTTCACTTTATATCTTCCCTAGGGAAGGCTCAAGAGGTGGCAGCAGTGGATATGACGATGACAGGCTCCTATTAGCCCATAGAGTCCCGTTGGGAAGACAAAGACTGGCCTATAGTCTGGTGGGCAGAGCCTGTGTTGGATTTTGGCCCTCACCTCCCCCAGAATGCATGTAGAATGTGAACTGTCTAATTGCAGGAGTGGCCTTGCAGCCTCATTTCCTCTCTCTGTGCTACTTGGCCCATTAACACCCTGCGTGCAACACCAGCCTGAGCCTTGCTCCCAGATCAACCAGACATGGGGCTAAGTACATCCAGCCAAACTATCACTCAGCCAGGTACTTGCTTTCAGGCACATCAACTTTAGCATCAGCTTGTAAATATGTTCTCTCTTCCTAAGCATTTGTTCTTGTTGAAGGAGCACAAAGTGGGACAATTAATTGAGACTGGCGTGTGTGTGTGTTGAGGGGGGTGTGGTGGGAATGTCATGGAAAGACTCTCCAAATAAATGAGATTGACTCAACCCTAAGATCTGTCCTGAGAATCGGGCAGGTGAAGGTAATCTACCAACTGCCCATTTCATCTTCTTATCAAGTAGTCTTGTCCCATACAAACTGAGGTTCCTTCCATAGCATAATCAAAAGATGCCCTACAATAAATATAAAGCAAAGTAGCCCCTGAAGTGGAGTTGCAGATTTATTGTATCCTTCATTGCACTTCAAGAGAAAGTAATGAAGAGCCCACTATGTGCAAGGCACCAAGGGGAAGGCAGGCTGTGAGGCTGAAGGAAACTACTTATTCTACCTTAAAGTTCCTTTCATTGAGGAGACACACATAGAAATGTCAACTGTGTTGCAACCTGGAGTAACGTAGAGTCCAAATGACATACAAGTGCTGTGTTATGGGACCGTAGAAGACAAAGACTGACTTTTATTGGGGGATATTTAAAAAAGAGGAGGTAGTGTCTAAGCTGGCAATTGACAGGCAAATAGGGTTCTGAAATATGGAAAAGTAGGGAAGGAGTTCCAGATGGAGACAACAGCATGCCCAATGTGGCACAGAGGGGCATGAGGGTGGGGCATGGTTAGGTAGGGACTGGGTATTACAGAGTGGCCAGGTCTCCAGCATGGGGTCACAAATTCAAATATCTACAAAACCCAAGTAGTTAATATGAGAAAAAAGTGGAAGGCAACAGGGGGCAGACAGGACTATGGAAAAGAAGGAAAAGGTGCCCTTCCTAGTGGGGGAATGAGAGTGGCAGTTACTCAGCTCCAGTTGCTTATTGCCATGTGTTGGGGGGAAGATCTAGAATTGCCAGACCTTTTGCAAGAGAATCCAGAAATTCATTTTTTTAAAATGACGAAGTTCTCTGATTTTTAATACAGTATAGCGAAACACAACACCTGAGGGCAGCTTTCAGTCATTAGTGTGCCAGGTGGGACCCTGGTCTGGAGAGTCTATGGGAGGAGTTTGGGAGGTTGGTACTCACCCAGAACACCAGACAAGCCGCTGGTAAATGTGTAATTGATAATGGGATATTTTTCTTCTATCTCCCAGAAGTCAGAAAGATTCCTTCCTGCAAAAATCACACCAACAGGGTCAGATCTTGGGTTTCATCTGCTGGACAGTTTTGTCTATTTCTCAGCCCAGAGAGCTTGTCAAAGAATGTCTAGTGGTTTACCTGACTTTCCTGTCATCACACAGATGAAGATGCAATCTGATTCATTGCTTTGATTCACTGTAAGACAAACGAGTATACAATAAGACTTAGCCATGGGTCTGAAGCTGTAAGTCTTTGATTGAAATGAAAATTAAGTTGAAAGTACCTAACTTAGGATAATATAGGAAAATAAGCCTGACTCTTTACTCTTAAGGCAGTCCTCATTTTCCAATTTCTTTATTTTATTTGGCTGGGTTTGGGGGATGGTGTAGTGGCTAAGGCAGAGTCTCTGAGGTCAGCTTCTAGGGTTACATCAGCTCTGCCACTTACTAGCTATGCAAACATGAATGAATTGCTTGACCTCTTCAGGACTCAGTTTGCCCCTTTATAAAATGGTGAAAATTCAAATCCCACAATCCCTCATTTGTAATTCCCAAATGCCCACATCTCTGTAAGACAACATGTTTTGTGTGAGCTTGGTACCCAAATTTGAAAAATGTGAAGCTATGATAGTTTTTATCTATCCTACTTAGTGTAAAGAGCTGAACGTTTTACCAAATTACTACTAACGTGTTTGATTACACTGGGCTTCTCTGGATGCTGTTGGAGAAGTTACATCAGGTAGGATGTGCACACTTTATTAGATCTTCAAAGCCTGAAAACTTCTGAATTCCTAAACATACTTTTCCCTGACGATGCTGCCTAAAGAACTGTGGACATGGGGTTGCATGTCTCTCATAGGATAACAGGAAAATCCAAGGAGATAATGGGAGTGATGCACTAGGTATGGTGCCCAGCAGATAGAAGAGCACAGTAGCCAGAGTAATCATTATTGTTATTATTAATGTATTACTATGATTATATATATTAGGATAGTGACATAAGAGCACAGGCTAAGAGCCAGATCACCTGGTTTAGAATTCTGCTTCTGCAGAGTGATTTTGAGCAATTTACTTAACCCCTCTGTGACAGTTTCCTCACCTGTCAAGTAGGGATAAATATAGTAGCTGCCCCAAAAGGTTGTAGTGAGGATCCAATGAGAGAATACATGGAAAGCCCTTACAAGATTATCTGACACCTAATGATAGCTGTTACTATTTCTCTTTCTCCCTCCCTCCTGCTTTTAAAACAGTAGCTGCTCCACAGTGCATCACACCGTCTTTCTGCTGAGACCAGTTGTTGGACTGTTGAATAGATCCTTGCTTTTCAAAGTGGGTCCCTAAGGAAATGTGATTTTCCTGGGGGTTACATGAAACCACCTTATAAATGAGGTGTATCATTCTTAACTGTACTCCAAACATGGGCTTAGGCTCCATATAGATTTAAACCTGAATTCTGGCACCAAACTTAAGCAAAATATTCAACCTCTCTGGATCTCAGTTTTGTCCTCCTTAAAATGGGGGTATATCTACTCACCAGATGTTTTCTTGAGTCTGCCTACGTTCCTTAAACTTTTGAGCTTTGGATTCTTCCTCCAACTTTGTGGATCCCAGAAATATGAAGACTTAAATATTGGTGCATTTACTGGTGTGGAAACTGGACCACACTGATTATCTAAATAAAGATTACATGAACGTTTCTGGCAGCCTGGCCTATAGCAGGGGTTGGGGTGAGGAACATAATATGCTTCATTATCTACCACAACAGATGCTAAACCTCAAAGTTGCCAAAGCGTTTTCAAGATGAACACACCTGAGAGGATGGAGGTTGACTTAAAAATCTCTGTGAGGTAGCTGGTAGAATTGCCGATGATATCTACCAGTAGAGCTGTAAAATCTGCAAGACAAATTTAGGAGGTTTAAATTTCTGCTTCAGAGACAAAAGGAGAAAAGTATACTGTGTTTGGATTTTTCAGAGTAAATTTTACAAGTTTGATTTAGTTTAGTGTATTGAGGAATATCAACAATGATACAGAGAAATACTACTAATTCTAAAAAATGAAAAGTCTTGATTTCAGGCCGGAAGGAAACTTTGGATCCACTGTTAAAATCCCCTTTCTTCTTCTATCATCCTCTCTCCCAACCCCTTCTCTGCTAACATCTAAGAGCTATGAAGGGCCACATTGTTGAATAATGGTCTTTCTGGCGGCTTTTCCCCATTGTTTCGTCTAATTGTTTTTAGAATGCCAACTCCATCTGATAGGAAGCAGCCCCACAGATATGTAATGTAAATTTACAGACTTGGGGGTTGGAAAATGAAAATGCAATGTGGAATTTAGTGGTGAGTTATAAACTATGAACAATAGAGACAAGACAAGACACTTTCTAAAATTATCACCAGGAACCTTTCCTTCTGCCCCCTTTTTAAAGGAACTGATGGTGGTGCTGGTGGGGAGTGGTGTCTGAGATAACTTTTTCAGCATTTCAGGTTATAGAATCATTGTGAACTTTCTTTCTCAGCTGGGTTTGAACAGGGCCATTGCCTGACATGGTGGGCACTATTGACTGTGAAAATTCCTAATATTCTTCTAGTCAAACAGCTGTCATCTCCTTCTTTGTTCATTTATGGCTTTCCACGATCCAGCAAATTCTTGACTTCTAAACAAGGCGAATGTGTTTGAGGAGCCCCAGTCATTTTCTAAAGAGGAAGCTTCTTGGGTCCAGTGGATGATTTCCCATCATGCTGTGTAAATGCTCCTTTCACTCATTAATGGGATCAGGAGTTTGTGCAGGAGCAAGCTAACTTGAAAATACAGAACCAAGAGAGGTAGGAAAATGTTATGTGACAATTAGTGGAATGTGTAGCCAAGACCAACAGATGATGGGCACTACTATGCAAGAACCAAAGCCATGAGGTGGTCTTACTATATCCGCACAGGCACATTTTAACCTCCTGGAGGGAGAACACCTATGCAGTATGTAGTATACCTATGCAGGTATAGACACCTGTATATGCAGAAGGTAGGCAAACATGGGCACCCTCTTTCTCTCTCTTTTTTTTTTTTTTTTTTTTTGAGATGGAGTCTCGCTCTGTGGCCCAGGCTGGCGTGCAGTGGCGCAATCTCGGCTCACTGCAAGTTCCGCCTCCCAGGTTCACGCCATTCTCCTACCTCAGCCTCCCAAGTATCTGGGACTACAGGCGCCCGCCAACACGCCCAGCTAATTTTTTTGTATTTTTAGTAGAGACAGGGTTTCACCGTGTTAGCCAGGATGGTCTCGATCTCCTGACCTTGTGCTCCACCCGCCTCGGCCTCCTTCTCTGTCTCTTTAGACCAGTCTGTTCTTAGTCATTTGTGGAAACTGAGGAAGGGTATTATCTCTTAGTTATTCCATATATTTTCTTTCTGCTTCTAAAAATTCTCCTTTGTTTATTAATCCATTTATCTAATAAATATTCATCGAGCATTTGCAGTGTGCCATACACTTACCAGGTACTGGAGAGTTGTGTAAGACATAAAGAAGAAGCTGAGGTTAGTGGTGAAGCAAGATTCATAAACAGACCAATAAAATGCAACTTGGAAGTTGTTATCAATTTTGCATAGAAGCTATGAGCATGGCTTTGAAGCCACACACAAAACATGGAGTCCAGGTTTTGCCCAAGGCTCAGAAAGATGATGTAACTTGTCCAAAGTTCCAGAGTACGTGGCAGAGCTTAGATTTCAGCTGAGGTCTGTCTTGGGCCAAAGCTTCCACTATTCCCGGTATTCTTACCACCACTCATGAAACCTCTTGCTCAATGCATTTTGTCAATTCTCCCTTTAGAACTGTTTTCACAATCTGCTTTTTAGGCTTGGAAGAAAGCCAGTTATTATTAACTCAAAGATATTCTTTGCATTTATGAAAGTTTGAATTATCTAATTTACTAGCAATGATCAAAATGAATGATTCATGACTACCTTCATACATAAATAGAAGGTAGAAGTACAAAACCCTTTTTACCTATCCATTTGGTAATGATTTAAGACTGTCTCTTAACACTCAGTGTTGGCACATGTGAGTGGGAAAACATAGGCATTCAAACATTGTTGGTAAGACTGTAAACGTATGCAAGACTTTTAGAAGACATTTTGGCAATTCAAATCATTATAATATTGTTTCCCTGTCAGCCAACAATTCTATTTTGCGGGCTTTATTCTGCAGAGGTAATTGGGCAAGTACTCTAAGTGATTTTACACAGGTGTTCATCACAGCATTGTTTATAATTGCAAAAATATGAGGAATTAGCCAAGTTTCCAACAAGAGGAGACAAATTAAATAAATCATGGTACATTCTTTCAATGAATACTAAGAATTCATGTGAAGGATGAGGCATACTTGCATTCACTGGAATGAAATGGTTTTTTTAAGACATATGGGTTAGTTTGAGAGTAGATTATAAAATTGCATAAAAAATGAAAGATACTGATGGTTGTCTTTCAATATCGATTCTCCCACCTTCCTTTAGTAAGACAGTATCAAATTTTAATTGGGAACGTGATGGTTTAAAGCAACGACTATAATTTCAAGCTTGCTTTGTGGGTGAGTGTAGCCATGAGATTAAATTCTGGGAAATAGGATGTAAGAGGGAGAAATGTGAATGGTTTCCAGGCTGTGAGTTCATAGTGAATGTGCATGCCTTCTGGGATGGTTTGGATCTGTGTCCTTGCCCAAATCTCATGTCAAATTGCAATCCACAATGCTGGAGGTGAGGCGTGGTGGGAGGTGATTGGATCATGGGGGCAGACTTCTCATGAATGGGTTAGCACCACGTCCTTGGTGCTGTTCTCATGATAGTGAGTGAGTTATTGTGAGATCTGCTTGTTTAAAACACCTTTCCCCTTGTTCTCCCTTGCTCCTGCTCTAGTCATGTAAGATCTGCCTGCTTCTACTTCCCCTCTGCCATGATTGTAAGTTTCCTGAGGTCTCCCCAGAAGCTGAGCAGAAGCACTCATGCTTCCTGTACAGCCTGCAGAACCATGAGCTGATTAGACCTCTTCTCTTTATAAATTACCCAGTTTCAGGTATTTCTTTATAGCAATGTGAGAATGGACTAATACACTTTCCAAATCCTTTCTCCTCTTCATTGTAGCTGGAGTGTGAATGTGCTGGCAACCTACCTTAGGCTATGAGAACACAGATCATTATGAAAGGCAAAGCAACAAGCTAGAAGGAGCCTGGGCCCCAAAACCATCAAACCATTAGAGCAGCCCTGGCATGTCTACATGCCCAGACTATCAGACATGAAAGCAATTAACTTCTACCTTCTTTAAACTAGGCTATTTTGGAGTCATTTGTTATAGTAGCCCACCCTGTATTCTAAATAATGCAGAGAATGGGTTCCTATATGTAGAGCAGGATGTCTACACTGATGGGTAGATATTAGCTGGGGTACATAGGTAGATAGGTAGGTTAGATAAGTAGCTTAGATGACAGGTTGGATAGATAAGTGGGTTATATAGGTAGTGTAGACAGCCTTGGATAGCATTTATTAGCATGTTAATAGTGACTACCAGTGGATGGTGGGATATCAGCTATTTCTGGTTTCTTAGTTTTCCTGTCCATGTTGCATAGCATCTTGATATCACAGTACATTATTTTTAAAATTAAGAAAACTTAAGCCAGTTTCATTTAGGAAGAAAAAAAAGGGAAAATATGCAAATATACCCTCAAAGGAGGGCTTTAGATCAGAGTTGAAAACATTAAAAAGAAAATGATCCAGATCTAAAGATCATCCACAAAGTCACCTTCCCCGAAGGTGTTGAGCAACGGCAAGTTGTTGGCCTACGTGTACAGCCTCTCATGGTAGCGCTGTGACTTCTTGTCAAACCTGGCAAAAGTTGCTATGACCTACCAGAGGAACACCAGGCAATTTTATCAGTAGATAATGATCCATGGATCATTCTTTTCATATAATTGTTGCAAGTGTGTGAAAATATGATTTGACTCATGAAATAAAATTATAAACTTTCTCCAGGCAGATTTAACTTTTTAAATCTTATTTTTATCTTTCACACAATCAGGATAGGGACTCACCCAGCACAGACTTCTATCCTCAGCAGGGGTTAATGAAATGGTGAGAAAGGCATGATTATGAAGAATTTTTTTCCTCACAAATGTATTTGTTGAAGAGATTCACAGGGTAAATTACATAAGATAATAGACATTAAGCACTCATTGTAGCATCTCGCATATAGTACTTATTATATATTAGTAATTCTTTCCTTTAATATTTTCACAATATTTGTTTTAGAAATTCTACTCAGTGGGGGAAATAATCTGAAACAGGGAAGAGTTTACGCACAAAGATGTCCAAGGCAAAATTATTTATATTAAGAAAAACCTAGATCCACTCAAAAGTCTAAGAACAGCATAGTGGCTAAGAGAATGCTTGCATTCACTGGTTACATAGTCATTACAAGTGTTTAAGAAGAGTTTGTAATATGGTGGAAGGGTTAATATTAGACTAAGTGGGGAAAAGTACAAGAGGCTTTGGTTGCCTTTAGTGCTTGCTTCCCTTACAATCTCGTATTTAACAAGCAGCCAGAAGGATTCTTTTAAAATGTCAGATCATGTCCCTTCCCTGTGCAGACAATCACAATGGCTTCCTTCTTATTCCGGGTGAAAATTAGAATCCTCGCAGCAGACCTTAAACTTCTATATGATCTGCAACACCCTCCCCACTTTGCCCTCACCAATCAGAGCTAATTTCCTATAGCTCTGTCCTGGCTAACCTGCTCCAGTTATGCTGGCTTCTCTGGTCCTCATGCTGCTGCTTAGGCCTTTGTCTGGACCACTGTCCCCA
Source organism: Homo sapiens (assembly GCF_000001405.40). NCBI lineage: Eukaryota > Metazoa > Chordata > Mammalia > Primates > Hominidae > Homo > Homo sapiens. Next base: position 132,094,544 of record NC_000008.11, read on the forward strand.
GGAACAACCACAGGGCTGGCCCCTCACATCCTGAAGGTCACCCCTCAACCCTCACTTCATTTGGAGAAGACTTTCCTGACCACCCTACACACAGCAATATCCCCCACTGTGACTTTTCCCTCCGGCTTTCCCCTGCTTCATGGTTCCCATGGTCAGGCTGTCAGCCCACACACCATGTACTTGCAGTACATTTATTTACTCCCTGCTCCCCGCTAGGAATCTATGTCCCACGGGAGCAGGAGGTGTGTTCACTTTGCTCTGTGTGCTTTCCCCACACCTAGAAGAGTGCATGGGTCATAGTGCACGCTCAGATGGAATTACTGAATGGGTGAATTAACGGTGCAAAAATTGTCACTTTTATTTTTCAGTATTCTCTAAAATAGGGAACACATAATACTTTAAAGTTTTATTTATAAAACTAGCATATGAACATACTCTCCTTGGGAAAAAAAAGTTCAGATAATCTAAGGCTCTTTTAACCAACATTCTTCCACTCCAAAACACATACTCCAATCTTCTTTTCAAAGGGAATCACCTATCTGGTGCCCACATATGTGTTCTTATCAATAACATTGTGCTCTTTGTATTTTTGTGTAACTTTCTTTTTCTAATTAAAAATCTCTTGGAAGCTTTTCCATGCACAGGCCAAATTTGAGCACTCTCACTCATTTATGTATTATCTGTGGCTGTTTTTGAAAGTTTAATTATGTGGGAGACTACTTAACCATTTTCCCTCATGATGGATATTTAGGTTGTTCCTCACTTTTGCAATTAAAACAATGCTTCATGAACATTTTCCTCCTGTTGCTTTTGCACACACAACTGTTTTTCACTGGGATAATGAATGAGCACATGGTTAAGGGTAGTGGATAGGACCATATTTTCCTGTCTTACATTGAGGAAAAACAAAAACTTATCTAAAAGGACACAAGCAAAATTGGAAAAGCTGCAAGCCTCATGGTAAGCTGTACCCACCTGATAAGTCATTGGTCCGATTGTTTAAACAGTAGCAATACCTTGTGGGGAATTTGGCGGGGTCTACTGTCTTCAGGTTAGAAACTGTGAAGAGAAAGGATTCAACAGAGATCCTAACACACAGACCAGCCCTGCAACACATCCCTACCACCACCACCATCAAGAAGAGCCAGCCAGCACTCACTGTTGTAAACAGCTACAGAAAACTTGTGGAAGGCGAAGGAACTGTAGGAAGTGACACTCAGCAAGGAGAAGAACTTCTTGCTATCTGCCAAAACATACCAGATAAAGAGACAGACAGATGCCTACTAACGTAACAATAATACAAATAAGTAAACAGTCCCTAGAAATTAACAATGCCAATAAAGAAACCAATGATGAAAATAAAGAAACAAACAAAAAAGTAATACAAATAAAAAATAATAAACAAAGTAAAACTAAACCAAAAAGCTGAAGAGTATGTATCATTTGTCTATATTTCCTGATCCATCCTCAAGCTGTGGCAACTCTCTAAGAAAGATTCCCAAGGCATATTAGGCCCCTGAGGCTGCTGTAACAAATTATCACAAACTTGGTGGCCTAAAACAGCAGAAATTTGTTCTCTCACAGTTCTGGGGGCTAGAAGTCTGAAACTCAGTAGGGCACCCTCCCTTCAAGGGCTCTAAAGGAGAATCTGTTCTTGCCTCTCTCAGCTCTGGCGGCTGCCTGTGTCCCTTGGCTTGTGGCCACATCTCTCTCTGTTCTATCATCACATGGTCTTTTCTTCTGTGTGTGTCTCCTTTGCCTCTTTCTTGTAAGGACCCTTGTGGTGGCATCCGGCACAACACAAATAATCCTGGACAATGGCCTCATCTCAAAATCTTTAACTCAATCAATCTGTTATCACATCAGGTGATATTCACTCTTTTGACATATAAAGTAGTATTCACAGATTCTGGTAATTACAAAGTGGATATCTTTGGCCATTTTCAGTCTACTACACAAAGAAAGGGGATTTTTTTTTAAACCAGGAATACTAACATAAACAATCAGGTTTAGGAATACATGCATGAGCATCTTATCTACTCTCCATCAGTGCCTGTTCTTAGTTTATATCTGGAGCACAGTGCAGCAGAGGGAGATCTTTCCAGACCTGGTCTGAGAATCACCCACCTGCATCAACACACCTTTAATAGGTGCACCTATTAAAAGGGCACATTCCTGGATGTGATCCCAGGTCTACTAAATCAGATGGTGAAGAAAGGGGAAAGGTGGGTATGCCCAGGGTTCTGAATTTTAACAAAGTTCTCAGGTGAATTTTTTTCTTTTTTAGACAGGGTCTTGCTCTGTCACTCAGGCTGGAATGCAATCGTGCAGTCACAGCTCACTGCGGCCTCCACCTCTCAGGCTCCAGTAATCCTCCCACCTCAGCCTCCCAAAGCGCTGGGATTATAGGCATGACCCACTGTGCCCGGTCTCAGGTGATTTTTATTCATATAAATTTGTTACCCACTGTGATGGTGGATGGAATGGCAGAATCATTAAACTTTGGTGCACGCAAATCACCAGTGGTGCCCATTCCCCCTCGGCTCTCTGGCTATTGCCCTCTGGAGACCCCAATGCCATACACTGAGCGGGAACCAGACTCTGTATTTAATAAGCTCCTTAGAAGAATGGGGTATACACCAAAATGTGAATACTCCAGTACTCAGTTTTTTTGATGATAAAAATCACAAATAGCACTTGGTAAAAATATACATTTGGGCCCCTTCAAAGATCAGCTGGATCAGAATCTCCAGAGCAGGAACCTGGGGAGATGAATATTTAATAAGTACATCAGGTCCTTCTTATTGTGCAACAAGTTTGGGAAACTTTGGGCTAGATCACAAACCTGGATTAAACAGTTCTGAATTCCAACTCTATGTGGCAATGGGCACGCCTCAACGTCTGCATCTAGAAAATGGGAGTGAGAGTACCACCACGTGGAGGTTATACAAGGATTAAATTAGTCATTGGAAGAGTTTTGAGCTCCTCGAAGTTATGACATTTGAGTTTCTGCAAAATTTCACAGAGCCCAGTGCAGGGCCTTGCAGAGGAAAGGACAGGATTAACAGTTCAGGGCTGGAAGGGCTAAATGTTTTGCAGCCCATCCCTCCATCTGATAATTCAGTCTCTCCACAGCACCCTCTACAGGTAGATCACTGCCTTCTTATCGTGCACCTCCCAAGGCAGCCCTATCCTCGGCAACTCTCATGAGAGCAAATTGGAGGCAGGAGCTATATCTCTGTAATTTACAGCAACAGGCATTGGGACAGGGATGGATAATAATGTTGATGGGTCAATGTCTAAGTGAACAAGTGTAGAGCCACCAAGCACAGTTGTGCAGTGTGTGTATTGCACAATCCTAGGGAATGCCATTTACATAGACCTCAACACTGAATTGGCATTCTCCATCCCCCTTATTCTAAATAACATGTACCATTACCTATTTATTATGTTTATTGTTTGTTTTTGGTTACTCCTTCACCCAATAGAATGGAAGCTCTCCCAGGCCAAAGATTTTTGGTTTTTATTTACTGCCTTATCCTCCAATATTTGGAATAGTGCCTGGCATGTGATAGGTGTTCTATGAATATTGATTGAAGAATGTGAGAATAAATAGTGAAGGCAGTGAGGAATGTACACTAGGGATCATTCAGGCTTTGCTGTCATTCACTAAGTATGTGTTACATACAAATCATTTTGCTAGACGCTAAAGAACACAGAAAGAAGATTACAATAATATTGTCTTAAAAAAAGAAATCCAGAATCATATTAACTTAATCAATGAGTAATTATTGTTAGTTTATGGCAACAGAGTTACAATTACAAACATACCATGTCTGTATTGCAATTCGCTCTCAAAATTCTTGTAAACCTTCTACGTCATTTTGAGTAAGGTAGGACAATGAATTCTGCATTCTGCTTTTGTTTTTGTTTTTTGAGGCAAAGTCTCACTCTTTCTCTCAGGCTGGAATGCAGTGGCATTACCACAGCTCACTACAGCCTCGACCTTCTGGGCTCCAGCAATCCTCCCACCTCAGCCTCCCGAGTAGCTGGGACCACAGGCATGCACCACTGCACGCAGCTAATTTTTGTATTTTTTGTAAAGATGGGGTTTTGTCATGTTGCCTAGGCTGGTCTCAAACTCCTGAGCTCAAGCAGCTTCCCAAAGTGCTGGGATTACAGGCGTGAGACACTGAGCTCAGCCTATTCTCCACTCTGAACACCGAGAAACTGACACACAGAAGTGAAGTGTCTTGTCAAGGCAACAGAAAGGTTCAGAAAAGACACTGGTACAAGAAAAAAAAATGGACCTGGATTGTGCTTTTAAAATATGATTACCTTTTAACGCTCTACTGAGCATCCCATTCACAAGCTCTGTCAGGTTAAGCGCGGACAGATCGATTGACCTTGCGGGCAGCTCTGAAAGAGATTCAGAGATAATGTCACTGGCAGGCTTTTCTCGGCAAGAGAAAAAGTTTCTCATTTCCAAACTTCAGGCAGATATTCAACTTCTTTGCACATGTGCTGAAAACAAACCAAGTGCCAGGCACGAGGGGTTCCAAGTTAAGTTAAGAGGAGGGTCTCGACCTCAGGAGGTAACAGTCAACAAAGTGACAAATATAGATAAGAGAAATTCCAATGAAGCACAGGAAACATGAACTTTTAGTGACAATTGCATCTCTGCATTTGGAGAGACTCGGGACTCATATAAAAGGTATCTCAAGCATAATGGGAAGCCCAAGGGCATTGCAGGAGTTCTCAGCAGCTCTGTGTTTGAAAATAAGTACCCCATGTAAACGTGGGGTCCACACACCCTGGCTGAGCATTGACATCACCTGGAAATATACATTTTTTTAATTACACAATTCCAGTACCTGGCCTTCATCTTCAGAAATTCAGAATTAATAGGTCCAGGATGTGACCCAGAATGGAGGGAGAAATCTCCCAGGTGTAGCAGGAGTGGCAGTGTGCAGTGAGTGGAGTTAAAATTCCCACTTCCCCCGGCTATTCCTTAATGATTTGGAAACTGGCCAGGAGCAGTGGCTCACGCCTGTAATCCCAGCACTTTGGGAGGCTGAGGTGGGTGGATCACATGGGATCAGGAGTTTGAGACCAGCCTGGCCAACATGGTGAAACCCCATAGCTACTAAAAATATAAAAATTAGCTGTGTGTGGTGGCCGGTGCCTGTAATCCCAGCTACTTGGGAGGCTGAGGCAGGAGAATCGCTTGAGCCTGGGAGGCGGAGGTTGCAGTGAGCCAAGATCGTGCTATTGCACTCCAGCCTGGGCAACAAGGGTGAAACTCCATCTAAAAAAAAAAAAAGATTTGGAAACAACAGTTGACAAGATGGAAATAGTTGTTGATGCTCCTCTTTATTCAAACATTGTCTTCTTCAACTTTTACTTAATGATCAGATAATGATTAAAGAGATGACGTTCTCGCCACTGTGGGAAAGAACAGAGGTCTAGAGAAGTGGAGGAATTGCTCTGCAACCCAGACAACCCAAGGGATTTGGGGGAGCGGCACTCACCCGTCGTAGCAAGAAATGCCACCCCCTTCTCCTTCCTCTCTTCTTCTCTAAGGCCAGACACTGGGAAGGAGACAGTTTTCATGAGAAAAATGTGAGTGGTCCAGTTCCTACCCCCAGGAATGGAAGAAGCCTTGGAAGCCTCTTTGGCCTCTGCTCTCCGTGTGAGAGTCACTGGCGGACACTGAGGAAAGGCAGATCACAGACTCTTCTGCATGGCCCTAATACAGTTTCTAATCTCTGTGGGGTGGCTGTGGCCTAGAAATGCACATTTTAATAAATCAGCTTGGCGATTCTGATACAGGGGGTCTAATTTACCCCACTCTTTAACCAAGTAGGAAAACTGAGGCCCAGAGAGGAGAAAAACCTTGCTTAAATTTGCACAACTGAGCAATGGTAATAAAGGGTTCAGAACCTACTTTCTAGAACTGTAGAGCAGTGCCCAAAATATTAGGTCTCTTGCCTACTTAACAAATTTCATGCGACCAAAGGAGAAAATGTCAAAGAAAAATTTGAAATTTCAAAGGCATTCATTCGTTCTTCATTGGTTCATTCAACAAATATTCACTGAGGGCCAAGCTATATGCTAGGCAATGTGAACTGGTAAAGGGGAATGAACCCGGTCTCCAGCTCCATGGGGCCTCCTGTGTGTGATTTGGTCAGGGAGGAGGAGACTCACATGTCGTGACAAGAGAGGAGTGTCAACACGGTGTGGGAGCACAGGGCACTAGCCTGGTGTCAGGGGATGGAGAAGGCCTTCTTGTGGAAGTGACATTAAGCAGAGACCAGAAGGATCAGTTATTTTGGATCACATGCTATAGAATCACACTGCACTTGTAACTACGACTGTTGGAGTGGTCATTTTTCATGTTATACCTGGATGGAGAAGGTGCATTATTTTACATTTTATTTTATTAAATTAAATGAGACAAGCAACATATCTTATTGGGGTCACAGAGAGGTTCAGGAAAGAAGCTGGTACAAAAAAAGCTAGTATCACATGTAACATGAAAAATGACCATTGCAACAATAGGTACCAGCAGGATGGAGAAGGTGCTGTATTTTACATTTTCATTTTGCAAATAGAAAACAACAAGCCACAGAGTCTGAAAAATGTGCCCTGCATTACAGAGTAAGTCAGGATTTAGGGCTGCCCGGGAATGTCCCATCTTTTTCCTTCTTAACATCTTTATTTCCAGACACTGAAATAAAAGTTTTCATGAATAAAATAGTAACCTGAAAGTACAGCCTCAAACAGTTCATAACATCCTTAGAAATCATCTTGTCCAACACTTTGAAGAATGGATAAACTGAAATCCCCAAACTTGATTTGATGTACCTAAATTTGATGTACCATATTGGGCTAGTGGCTAAGATAAAATCAGAAAAGAGCAATCTCAACTCTTTGTCCATGTTCTTCTCCCTCACTTCTTTCTATTTTACTTTTTAATTTATTAAAATTCATTTATAATTTTATTGAAAAACACTTAACATGAAATCTACCCTATTAATTTTTTTTTTTTTTGAGATGGAGTCTCACTCTGTTGCCCAGGCTGGAGTGCAGTGGCGTGATCTCACTGCAACCTCTGTCTCCTGGGGTCAAGCGATTCTCCTGCCTCAGCCTCCTGAGTAGCTGGGATTACAGGTGTGCACCACCACGCCTGGCTATTATTTGTATTTTTAGTAGATCTGGGGTTTCACCATGTTGGTCAGGCTGGTCTCAAACTCCTGACCTCATGATCTGCCTGCCTCGGCTTCCCAAAGTGTTGGGATTACAGGCGTGAGCCACTGCACTCATCCCAATTAACAGATTTTTAAGTGCACAATATAGTATTGTTACCTATTGTTATTATGTTGTACAGCAGCTCTTTAGAACTTATTCATCTTGTGTAACCGAAATTTCATACTCATTGAACAACGAACTTCCCATTTCCCTCTCCTAAGCCCCTGGTGAGCACCTTTCTATTCTCTGCTTCTGTGAGTTTGACTATTTTAGATACCTCATGAAAGTGGTATCATGCAGTGTTTGTTCTTCTGTGACTGGTTCATTTCACTTAGCATACTGTCCTCCAGGTTCACTCATGTTATTGCATATGGCACCGTTTTCTTATTTAAGACCGAATAATATTGCATTGTATGTATATACCACATTTCCTTTTCCTGTTTATCCGTCAATGGACATTTAGGTTGCTATCTTCTGCTTTTCTGATACCATGTTGAAACTGAGTCAAGTCAGCTGTTGCCTGCTTAAGCCAATTTGGCCTTTTGCCAATTGCCAAGCTTTTTGGTTAAATATCAAAGCTTCTGGGGTTAGAGGTAGGTGGGGACTCTAACTCCCCTTTGCCATAACAGGGCTACTGGAGGCAACGGGCTTATGTCACAAAAGGAAGTCTGAGACAGACATACTTAAGCAGGGCAAATGCTGCCAACTAGCCAGCTGTCTAGCTTGAGTGAGGCCACTGCACCCCCTCAGGCACCCGTGTGGCACTTTACCTGCGCAGTCTACTCTGCACCAGCTGCTATAAGATCTGCAGGAGGCACAATCAACCTTGCTTGTGACCTGCCAAGGCAACAGAGTCCTCCATGCAGGTGAGGGACCAGGATTATGTCAGTTCGGGGTCTCCAGGCAGCAGGGATGACCCAGGCTACCAGGCTGGCAGGATTCCTACACCTTTCCAGCCAGAATGGTGGGCCCTGTGTCATCTTCTTCACTGAGCACCATTTTTTTTTTTTTTTTTTTTTTTTTTAGCACTATTCCTTTCACCAAGGAAAGAATATTTCTACCACTCCTTGGGTTGATTTTGATAACAATATTTGAAGTCTGAACTAAACACCAGTGGAGCACAGATTTTTGAACAGGATGTAATACAGAGCATTTTTCAAATAAGTTCCCTGACAGATTACAAAAAGATATTTTTCTATTTTTGGATAAAAAGACCACCATAATAAAAGCTTTAAAATAGAAGGTTCCTGGCATTTTTTGTACTTCTTAATGCTTAGTATTTTATCACCTTTTATCCTTCATGATTACCTGTGGGGCAGGAATTGTTGTTCCCATTTAAGGAGAAGAAAATTGAAAGCTCAACTAAGAAAAATATTTATGGAAAGTTATCCTACTTACACACAATAAATTGGTACAATTGGTGCTTTCAGGAAAGGGAAGCTGTTGGCTGGGGGAGCATTTTAACTTTATACGCTTTTGTAACTTTTGCTATTTGAACTATGTGAATGTACTAATTTAAAATAAATGAGAATATAAAAATCGTCCAGGTCTGGTGGCTCATGCCTGTAATCCTAGCACTTTGGAAGGCCGAGGCAAGTGGATCCCCTGAGCTCAGGAGTTCATGACCTGCCTGGGCAACATGGTGAAACCCTGTTTCTAACAAAAGTACAAAATATTATCCAGGTGTGGTGGTACATGCCTGTGGTCCTAGCTATCGGGAGGCTGAGGTGGGAGAATCTCTTGAGCCTTTGGGGTGGAGGTTGCAGTGAGTTGAGATCGTGCCACCTGACTCCCATCTGGGTGACAGAGTAAGACCCCATCTCAAAATAAATAAATAAATAAATAAATAAGTATAAAAAGTAACACAATTTCCATCAAAACTAAAACCGAAACCAAACCAAAAAATTGTACTGCTTGTTTACTAAAATTTAGAAACCTGTTCCCAGACTCCTCTTGTCCTTTCTGTTGCAATGTAGTCACCATTGTACTGCAAAGTGAATTTCATAGCATCAAGAAGGAAAGGCAAAGAAAGATGAAATTATTACAAAGGTGATGATGGCAAGTAACGGTACCCCCCATTATAAAATCTTCTATCACCAATGGAATGTTACAGTCTTTGTGGATTTATTAAGATCACAAGGATTCAATGAACCATAAAGAAATGAGTAGCTCACAGGAACCATTGTTGTGACTATTAGAGTGTTAGATGCGGATATAATCGCTGTCTTATCAGTAGAGAAAGTCAGGCTTGGGGAAGTCAAGGAATTTGCCCAAGAACAGTGAGCTGAAAAGGAGCCCTTATCACCCACTTACCTGTTGTAGGTAAAAAGGTCATTCCCTTCTCTTTCTTGGCTTCTCCTTTGATGCCAGACACTAAAGTAAAAAAGGTTTAATCACAGAAATTATAACCAAGACATAATACCGGAGATAATTTGATTCAACATACCCATTTTACAGATGAGAGAATTATGATCTGGGGTTGTGAAGTGACATTTAGTCCCGCATCTAGTTTGTTCATTCATTTAATCATTTCGTCATCAAATATTTGTTGACCAACTACTAATGATGGATGGTGCTATTGAGTGCCGAGTGTTTGCTAGGCATTGTGTGTGCTGGAAAGGCAGACACATAGGAAAACAACATTGAATACCTTGAAGGGAACGGTGAGGGTGTGTAACAGGGGGCTGATCTAGTCTCGGGAATCTGGAAGCCTTCCCTGAGAGGGGGCGTTGAGCTGAGCTCTGAAGAATGAATAGCATTTGAGTAGGATTTATCTAATTGGGGGAATATTTGATGTATACAGAACAGCACAAGCCCAGTGTCTGAGGTAGGCATGAGTATTACTTTAAAGAATGGAAAGAAGGCCAACAGTGATGGGGGCATAAAGAATGAAGGAGGTGGAGGTGGTAGGAAGCAGGGATGGTGAGGGAGGCAGGGTCACGCAGAGCCTGAAAAGGACCTGGTACACTACACAGAGAGAAGTAGGAACTCCGCAAATAATTTGGGGCAGAGGGAGAGAAAAGAGGGAGGAACTTGGAAGATGACCTAACAAGATTTATGAAAAGATCACTCAGGCTGATTGGTGGTGAATGGGTCATGGAGAGACAAGAGGAGAAGCTGGTTTGGAAAGCTGTCTCATGGTCTGGGAAAGGGAAAATAATGTTTTGGACAAAGGTGGTAACAGTGAAGGTGAAGAGAATTCTTTTGCATAGATGGGACTTAAATGCAAAAAGTCAAGGGAACAACAGAAGTAGGGAAGTTATTCTTGCCATTTTGAACAAATTCATTTGGATTCTGGGCAGAAATGTTGGCTGCTGAGGTTCTCTAAAGCACAGTGAATACTCCAACTTATTATACAGAACAGACACTTGCAGAACTCCAGCTAGACCCACCTGTGTTCCAAAGGGACAAGACACATGCCAGGCCCATGCACAGCTTCATTGAAGGACCACGTGACAGGAAGCCCAGCATGCTTGTGATACTCTGGCCCACCTGGAATGAAGCAAGCAAACACTTAGGAAACTAAGCACATGGATGCAGACCTTCCTTTGAGAACAGTGCGTGAGGAATCATTAAAATCACAATCTGAAAAAGGCTTTGTACTAGGTTAGGAGAGGTTAGGAAGCTAAGGTAACAAATTAACTCCACAATTTAATTGGCTTAACAAGAAAAGTTGATTTCTTGTTTGCAGTATATATTCACTGCATTTTGGTGGGGAGCTCTGCTCCACATAGTCACTCAGGGACCCCAGTTAATGGAGTTCCACTATCCTATAGTTCTCCATGTGGCAACTGTAGCCTCCTTAGACTTTGATTCACTGTGGCACTGGAAGGGAGAGAGCTGTGGGATTATGCACCAACTCTTAAGTGCTTTGGCAGGAAGCAACACATTTGCTTTTGCTTGCAGCCCATACCAAAATTACTTATATGACCCTGCATTATTGCAGGAAAACTGGGAATGTAGAGGGGGATGCATACATATTCAGGGAGCATTTATATTTCTTCCATGGATTTTCTGGCTGTTGAGATGGGAAATATCCCTCAAATACAGCATCACTTACTCTCATAAATAGGAAAATATATTACCATAGGAATATGTGTGTTCACAGTCTCTTTCCTTCTCTGCAGCACTCTGTGCCTGCCATTCTCATTTTGCATTTGCCATGCAAAATCACCATGATAGTTACAGTTGCAAAGCTGAGACTAAATTGAATAATGGCTAACATTTATTGAGCACTTTCTGTGTGCCAGATGCCACATTGAACACTATCTGATGCATACTTGATAACTGTACAGTCTTTCTGTGTAGGTATTAATGTAATGACAATTTAAATACAGGCTGCACAGATACGATTTGAAAAGAGGAGAAATTTACCATTGGTAGAGGGTTGGATTTATCTGGAAGGTGAATTGGGCGGGAAGAAAAGTCAAGAGAATGTGCGCTTGGATTGGAGAAAAATGTTGCAGGAAGGGAACATCCTCAGGGCAAATTGCATGTTGAGAAGTTCTGCTGTCCATTAGGAATGGGAAGGCCCTGTGGAATTTTCTTAAAAGATCCCAGAAACATTTAAATAGCTTTTTGATTATTGATAGCTATGTGACTGGCATTTGTTCTAGATGCCACCCCAAAGAGACAGGTCTTACAAGGAAGCAAGAAGCTGGGGCTTTCGTGGAATTCACCTATTCTCATAAGTCTGGTTACTCTCTGAATACCAATTTTCCTCATCTGCAAAACAGTTAAGAGAACTCTCACAGGGTCTTTGTGAGGATTTAAAATAATGAATCCAGAGCATTTAACCCAGTGCCTGGCACATCGTTATGCTCACAATCCATACCAGGCATCAAGCTCAGGCTGGAGACACAGGGACAGAGTAGACACTGCCACTTCCCTTGAGCTGTTTAGTAACTTAGAAGATGTAGACACATGCCCAACTAATTCACACTCAAGGCTGGCTGTGCTAAATTCTCCACTGAGAGAGAGATGGACAGGGAGAGAGAGAGTGAGCACCTGGTGAAGCCAGGACTTAGCGTTCTCTCCAGCAAAGGGTGACTGGGGGTGGAAGTGGGCAGGCAATTCCTGCTGAGTGAGGATTCTTTCCTTTGGCACCTCAAGCACTGCGCAAACATTATCTCCCCTTTCTGAGCCTCGTGTGTAGAATGGACAGAGTCATAACTACTTTGAAGGTATTTTTGTGAAGATTAAATGAGAATGAAATATGGTGCTTAGTACAATCTCTGGAATATGGTAGATATTAGGAATCTTAATTTCTTTCTCATTCTCTTATCTTTCTCTCTTTTCTCCTCTTTCCCCCTTCTTCTTCTGTATCTATTTCAGAACTCAGCATCATACCAGAGAAATACGGAATTAAAAGATAAAAACTTATAGTAGAAAAACAATTATTTACATTTATATAATAGCTACAAATTTCTCTCTTTTTGACTCTTGCTTCATTATGTTAACCACCCTCTTCCATTTACTAAGAGTAAACATTCTAAGATTTATTTATTTTTATTTTTATTTTTTTGAGAAGAGTTTCGCTCTTGTTGCCCAGGCTGGAGTGCAGTGGTACGATGTCAGCTCACTGCAACCTCCGCCTCCCAGGTTCAAATGGTTCTCATGCCTTAGACTCCCGAGCAGCTGGGATTACAGGTATGTGCCATCATGCCCGGCTAATTTTTGTATTATTAGTAGAGACAGGGTTTCTCCATGTTGGTCAGGCTGGTCTCGACTCCCGACCTCAGATGACCTACCTGCCTCAGCCTCCCAAATTGCTGGGATTACAGGCATGAGCCACCGCGCTTGGCCGACATGCTAAGATTTATTACTCGAAGACTACAATTCCTACTGATACTGTTCTTGGAGAAAAATGCATTTTTACTTCTCCCTGGTTTTTTAATTCTTTGTCATTGGCCAAGTCAACTACATGTTTGGATTAAGGTTGTTAGATTTAACAAGTAAAAAACACAGGACACCATTTGAATTTGAGATAACAGTGAATAATATCTTAGTGTATCTCATGCAATATTTGGAACATCCATAGTTTGGAGAGAGTTTTATAAAGGAACACTTCAGACTGGCTAGACTTCACCTGACAGTAAAACTGAGACTATCTGGCCTTACGCTTCCCTTTGCAAGTCTGGACCACTCTGGGACAGTCTAGGACAGGGAGAGAGCCTGGGTTTAAGGTCAGACAGATCTTACTTGAATCTTGAGTTGGCCATTGTGATCTGGGCTAACTTACTTAACCTTCACTCAGTCAAAAAGCATTTGTGGAGCTCATGGCATAGTTGTTACAAGCACAGACCCTGGAGTTGGAGGACTGCCTAGGTTTATTTCCTGGCTCTGCAGTGCAACTTACTAAACCTCTCTGTGCCTCACCCAAGACTGTCCTGAGGATTAAAATATGTTACATTTGTAGACTGTAGCGGACAGTGTCTGGCATGGAGCAAGTGCTATATAAATGTATAACAAATAAGTGATAGAATTAAAGTAATGGCGAAAACCTCAATTACTTCTGCACCAACAATATAGTGATAATAATGAAAATAAGAAAAGATGTTGGTACTCCAATAGTAAGCAAGACAGATAATGTTCTTCATATGATAGAGTGAGTCCTCAAAGTTATATCTTTAAAAGACTGAATTAGATATCCAAAATTTTACCGTAAAATTAAGTTGTCATTATTTCACTACATTTCTCATGACTATTATTGGATAATTATTTATAAATCTTTGTTTCTTCCGTGACACTTGCAGAAAAGCAAGTCATGTGATGACAGGACAATAATAATTATTTATTGAAGGGGATCAAAATATGCCAGCCAAAATATACTATCCCCTAATAAGCGACTTTGGGCACATGGATTATTTTGAGTGGAAGGCCATCGAGAATCAACAGATGCAGGAAGAAGCCTTCTTGGAGCTTCTCCTACCTGACTATGTGCAGACACTTCTGAGAAATTCTCTCTCCCTGGGAGAGTTTTATGGCCAAGAAGAAGACGGAAAGTGGGTGCTGAGTGGGCACACAAACCTCACAAAAATAAACCTTAGCATCCATTGGTTTCCCCATATATTTCCTTCCCACATTATACTGCCTCTAGAAGCTCAAAGCTCTTTTCCTTTGTCTTGTCACTTCTCCACAAATCGGTCACCTTATTGTTAAAGTGATATATAAGTCCCCAAGTCTGATGGCCCTTTTAGGGTATTTTTGTTTGTTTTTGCTTGTTTGTTTTGAGACGAAGTCTCGCTCTGTCGCCCAGGCTGGAGTGCAGTGGCACGATCTCGGCATACTGCAACCTCCGCCTCCTGGGTTCAAGCAACTCTCTGCCTCAGCCTCCCGAGTAGCTGGGATTACAGGTGCCCACCACCATGCCAGGCCAATTTTTGTATTTTTAGTAGAGGCAGGGTTTCACCATCTTGGCCAGGCTGGTCTTGAACTCAGTCAAAAAGCATTTGTGGAGCTCATGGCATAGTTGTTACAAGCACAGACCCTGGCGTTGGAGGACTGCCTAGGTTTACTTCCTGGTCTTGATCTACCGGCCTCGGTCTCCCAAAGTGCTTGGATTGCAGGCGTGAGCCACTGTGCCCAGCTCCCTTTAGGGTTTCTATTTCATTTTTGTGAGGACTCCTATAAGCATATGAAAAAAAACATTTTTCTCCTGTAATCTAACTTTTGTTAGTTTAATTTGCAGGACCTCATAAACTAAACCTAAGAGAGTACAGGAAACAGGGGTTTCATCCCCTAGAGTACAATGTATTGATCCTCCCATTTTGAGCACAGTCTGTTATTTCAACTTCTCAAGCATCCCATGGGACAGGCATTGATCTTTGAGTTACAGAAGATAAAGGCCCAGGGTTCTGACGTGCAGCCCCCAGCTCCCAGTCACATGATTTCTAAGCAGGAGAACTGGGATTTGAACCATGGTCTCTCAGATACTAAAGTCCCTTGTCCACAGTGTTCTGTTTTACTCACCTGCTTTCAAAATACCATCTTGGAGTGCCAGTAAAAAGCCTGATATTGAACACAAACAGAATGGCCATTTCAAAGCATTTTGGGAGGTGGAAGGGTTAGAAATCCAGTCACACTCCCGGGAGAAGGGCTGAGAAGTGTTGCTATGACTGATGGGCCAAGAAGTCACCCAAGAGTCTTGTGAAATTAATTTGCAATATGTCTGTGTGTTTTGTCACAGCAGCCCTGGAGCCGGGAGTGTGGACGGTGAAGGCAAATGCTCCAGAGTCTTAATTAAACAGTGTGTTACCGCCAATCAACAAGGGTCCCAAATCAACCAAGGTTAGTTCAGCTTGATGAGCAAACCTGCCTTTCTCACTGAACTCTGCAGCCAAAAGGTGCTGGATCAGATATAGCATAATTACAGTGCGCTGTGGAGAGGTGGAAATACACACTGGAGTGTCAGCGGGTGTGGGCTAGCCACAGTGAGTGACACATGTTCTGAGGCATTACGACGGTCCGTTCAGCCAGTAACCTTCCATATAGATATCAGCTCTCCCTCCTTGAAGAGAAACCAGAAGCCTGGGGATTCTAGACAGTTTGCCCAAGGTCATTAAGCTGGCAGGGGCAGCCCTGGACTTCAAACTTAGGTAGTTTGGTTCCATGGGCTGTGAGAGAACACCAAAAGGTGAGGGGCTGGCTTTTAAAAAATACCTAATGACAGAAAAGAATTGAAGATCCTAATATTTGTTGACCATCTGATGTGCTAGGAGTTTTACATATAGTAACCCATTGGTCCTTCAAGCAACACTACTAATGGCTTGTTATAATTCTTATTTTATAGCTTTAGGAAACCAAGCCTCAGACAAACATAAGGCCCAAGGGAATGCATCTGGGAGAACCAGGATTGGAAGTCCAGTCTGTTTGCTGCCAAAATCCATTGCAGGTTGAACACTGAGTAAGGAAATATAACTTTTTAGCTGTTGCCTCACTGCCAGCCATTTTTTAGCGCACTCTTTTATCCTCATTCCAATGTTTTGGAGGCTTTGGATTAAAGATTATGTTTCTTTTATCATAGATGTGAGGACAAACCATCCTCCCAGCTGGTGACTGCCTTAAGATTCTAATCAATAGCTTAAAATGAACAACGGCAAGAAATAGACTGTGATCAAGCGATCAAGGGATGGAGTCTTAGCTAAATGCAATGTAGATATTGGATGATAGAAACTGCTCTCATATCTTTCAGTATCCAGGAGCCCAGAGCTCAGGATTATAGCAGATGAATTCTTTAGCTGGCTTCATGCTTTGAAGAGGAGGAGGAACCAAAAGAGTTTTAAAATACCTACCATATACTACTTACCTATCTTCTGAGCAGGATAAATTGACTTCAAAGAACTTAAACAGCTAGAAAGATTAACAGCTAGGTCAGAGCCATGGGGTTTATATGAGTTCTTAGTGAAAGATACAGTGGGTGGGGGTGGGGAAAGTCTTGATAACATTGCTTTAAATCCCCTTGGGAAAAAATGGAATAATAATCCTACCAAAAACTTAGTGTGGTGAAAGAAGATCAACTCCAAGGGAGAAAAATGCCTGTGCAATGAGCTGAATAGCATCCGTGAACAGAATGACAATGCACTGATTCAGCATGGGATGGGAAAACCTTTCTGACAGTAATTACGTGTATTGAAGGAGTAGAACAGGAGTCCCTAGGTGATGAGTTCTGTCTTCCTGTTGCAAAGGTTTGTGGGCCAAGCATCACCTGGCATGCAGGCCCGTGGGAGTCTTCTGAAGAAAGGGCTGGGGGCTGTAGTTGATTTCAGCAGGTGCCTACAGCGGGATACTTGTTTTTATACAGCTTGCAACCTCAGGATGGTTATATATTTTTAAAATGATTGAAAAAAATTAAAGAAGAATGATATTTCATAACATGTAAAAACCGTTTGAAATTCAAATTTCAGTGTCCACAAATAAAATGTTATTGGAACATTGCCACACTCATTCATTTATGTATTGTCTGTGGCTGTATTTGGGCTACAACGGCATAACTGAGTAGCTGTGACAGAGACCATATGGCCTACAAAGCTAGAATATTTATTACTATCTGGCCCTTTATAGAAAAAGTTTGCCAACTCCTGGCCTAGAAGAACTTGGCCCCTTCTGCTCCTAGGGCCCACATTCAACACTGATGGTTTTTATCTAGACACTGGAGTTGCCATTTGCTTGTCACCTTGCTACTACTCATACTTCCCTAAATAAGTCTCCATTATATCAGCCATAGTAATCTTTAAAAGAACCTTATTAAGGTATAATTCACCCTTTTTAAGTATAAAATTCAATGTAAATTTAGTGCAACCGTCACTGCATTCTAATTTGAAAACATTTCTATTACCCCAGAAAGATTCTTCCTGCCCATGTATGGTTAATCCCCATTCCCTCTACCCACACCAGGCCAAGGAAACCACTAATCTACTTTCAATCTCTGTATGCTTTTATTTTCTGAACATTTCCTGTCACTGAAATCATGCAATATATAGTCAGAGAAATAGTTTTAAAACATGAATCAAGATCATGTCACTACGTTGCCTAAAATCCTTCCATAGCTTTCGTCAGCACCTAGAATAATATCCCAATTCTTTACCCTGGCTACAAAGACTCTTGCAGTTGCCCTCTTCCTAAGTCTCTAGCCATATCACATGCGGCCTTTTCCCTTGTTCACAGCCACAGCGACTTTGCACTGGCTGCTCCTTATTGGAAGCCTCTTCCCCAGGCTTCTCAACGACTGGCTCCTTCCTATTCTTCAGTTATTCTTTCTATTTAAACAAAATCAAAGCCCTCTTGACCTTACATCTCCTACAGCTCCTCCTTCATTTCTCTTTCCCTTCATGGCAAAACTCCTCAATGAGTTGTCTCTACTTGATGCCCCAGAGCATCTCCATCTCCTCTCTCTCAAGCCCACTCCCATCAGGCATGACATCAGCATCCCTCCAGTGCAGCTCTTGTCAAGGCCATGCTGATTCTTACATGGCTAACTCCACTTCTCACTAGGCACTACAGCACTTGATGCCATTAGCCAATCACTCCCTCCTTGAGACCCTCTCAGCACGTGGCTTCCCCACACCACAGTCTCCTATTTTCCCTCCTATTTCATTAGCTGCTCCTGCTCAGCCTCCTTTGCTCGTTCCTTCTCATTTCCTTGGCCTCTTGATGTTGTAGGGCTTAGTCTTTGATTGTCTTCTCTTTTCTCTCTATACTTGTTCACTTGGGGATCTCATTCTGTCTCATGGTTTTAAATGTTACCTACAAGTCGTTGAATAGATAGATACAAAGAGTCAATCATTGCTTAATAGTGGAGATACGTTCTGAGAAATGTGTCATTAGGCAATTTTGTCATGCAAACATCAATAGAGTATGCTTACACAAACCTAGATGGTATAGCCTACTACACGCCTAGGCTATACGGTGTAGCCGATTGCTGCTAGGCTACAAACCTGTACAGACATTACTATACTGAATACTGTACTCAACTGTAATGCAATGGTAAGCATTTGTGTATCTAAACATAGAAAAGGTACAATAAAAATACAGTATAAAAGATTAAAAAATGGTACACCTGTGTAGAAGAACACTTCATCATGAAAGGAACTTACAGGACTAGAAGTTGCTCTGGATGTCAGTGAGTGAGTGGTGAGTGAATGTGAAGGCCTCGAAATTACTGCACAGGACTGAAGACTTTATAAACACTGTACACTTAGGCTATGCTAAATTTATTGAAAATATTAACCTTGCTATAAGTAGTAAACTTAGCTTACGGTAGTTTTTTTCCTTTATAAACAAAATTTTTTTAAAACCTTTTGACTCTTTTGTAATAACTTAGCTTAAAACACAAACATATTGCACGGCTGTACAAAAATTTTCTTTATATCCTTATTTTAAAAGCTTTTTCCTGTTTTTAATTTTTCTTTTTTACTTTTTACTTTTCTTTTCTTCTTTTAAACTTTTCTGTTAAAAACTAGGACACAAACAAACACATTAGCCTAGGTTTACGCAAGTTCAGTATCATCCCTATCACTGTCTTTCACCTCCCCACCTTGTCTTGCTGGAAGGTCTTCAGGGACAATCACACACATGGAGCTGTCATCTCCTAGGAAAACAATGCCTTTGTCTAGAATACCTCCTGAAAGACCGCTCTAAGACTTTATAGTATTTTTTTTTTTTTTTTTGAGACAGAGTCTCGCTCCGTCACCCAGGCTGGAGTGCAGTGGTGTGATCTCGGCTCACTGCAACTTCTGTGTCCCAGGTTCAAGCAATTCTCCTGTCTCAGCCTCCCAAGTAGCTGGGACTACAGGCACCTGCCACCATGCCTGGTTATTTTTTTGTATTTTTAGTAGAGACAGGGTTTCACCTTGTTGGTCAGGCTGGTCTCGAACTCCTGACCTCAGGTGATCCAACTGCCTCATCCTCCCAAAGTGCTGGGATTACAGGCATGAGCCACCATGCCTGGCCAGTAAATTTTTTTTATAAGTAGAAGGAGTACACTCTAAAATAAGTATTGTATAATAAGTACATAAACCAGTAGCATAGTCATTAATTATCATTATCAATTATTATGTACTGTACATAATTGTATGTGCTATATTTGTATCCAACTGATAGTGCAGTAGGTTTGTTTATGCCAGGATCACCATAAATAGATGAGTAATGCACTGTACTGTGACACTGGGATGGCTACAATATCACTAGGCGATAGGAATTTTTCAGCTCCAGTATAATCTTAGGGGACCATCATCCTATATGCGGTCGCTTGTTGACTGATACATCATTATGCGGTGCATGACTGCATAAATTTGGGTATGGATATAGATATAGACAGAGATATCTTCAGCCCTGAACAGTCTCCTTAACTCCATACTTAAATACCTGCTGGATATTTCCACCAAATGTTTCATATGCATTTGAAATTTAACGCATAAAAAACCAAACTCATGTTCTGCTTGCAAAACCTGACTCTTCCCCAATCTACCCTATCTGCATGATACCCTCCCTCATTATGGTACTCAAAAAACTTTGCAATAATCCTATTCTCCTCTCATATCTCACATTTACTCCATCAGTAAATTTTGTCATCTCTGCTCTTAAAATGTATCCAGATTTCTAACATTTCTCACTTCCTCCACTGCTCTCACTTGGGTCCAAGCCTCTCTTGACTCTCATTGAACCAATTACTGCAAATGCAGTATTGCTCCTAACTAATCTCTTGTTCTCTGCTCTTGCCTCCTTCAGTGTATTCTCAATACAGCAGCCAGAGAAACTCTTTTTAACATAAATCAGATCTTGCTATCTCTCTACTCAAAGCTTTGCAATGACTTCCTTCTTGATTCAAAGTAAAAACAAATAACCTCATAATGGCCCATGAGGGCCTTCATGGCCTGACCCCTGATACTTCTCAAATCTCCTCTGTCATTGCTCTTCCTTCTGCTAACTCCCTTGCCCTGCACTGGCCTGAGGTAGACCTACCCAGAACCAGAAGATAAACTGCTGGGAATATTTTCATATCTGATGTGGGGACAGGACATGGGACAATTGGACTTTTCTCAGGGGAGACACCTTACATGTCTTCAGTGAGGAGAAATCACTGGGTCCTTGGTCAACTGGATGCCCATGCTCATTGTTGGAAGCTGAAATTATCAGAAACAAGAACAAGTTCCCAGAATATCTGGGATGTAAGGCTATGAATGGGCTTTTGCTGCATTTGTGCAGATGAAGGAAATTTTTAGGCTTTTTCACTGTCATACAGTCACCTGAGGCTTGAAGTGGGTAAGTTTTATTTGGACAGAAATATGCAGTTGCAGAGTGGGTACACTTACCATAACCACAAAGTTGTCCATACGCCTTTGTGATGCTAGACATGGACTTTGCAGCCAGATTGTTGTGTTCTAGAAGAGCAGTCTACCCTGGTTCTCAGAGGCTACAGGCAATGTTTCCACAGTGAATTGTGTCCATGAGTGTATCACTTCCAGCTTGCCCAGTGTTAGCCATCTTTGTCCTTTGATTTACAGAGTAAATTGTGGCAACCAGGATGGGTTTTTGTTTATTTTTGTGTATGTCTGGTTTTCAAGTAGGCTTATGTGCCAGATGCTGATGGTATCCTGCAAGTGTCCTTCCTCCCTACTTCTGAGTTCACCTGCAGTTCATAGATAATTCTCAGCATGCTGGCAGCTCTCCACCTTCATTGGCAGTGCTTCTGTTTCTCTATCAGAGACTTTTCTTCCCCCTGTTTCATCTCTCCACTCTCTAAGTTGTGTTTTCTGGGAATGCTTTCTGAATAAACCACCTACACTCAACATCTCATCTCTATTTTTGTGGACGCCCAAATTAAGACAACTTGTTGTGTGGGCATGGGATGGAGTCAAAAGCTATCACTCACTGAACATTTTCTGTGTCCTAGATCCTTTGCTAAGTACTCTACTGACATCATTCCAGATAATGACCTTTCAAGATAGGTATAATTCTCCCCATTTTACAGATGCTTACCATAAAAGGGTTAAGTAACCCTCTCAAGGTTCTTTCTCTCACATGAAGAAACATTCCTTCCCACTGTACTGACAGTAGAGAGAGGAAAACTTATATAAGCTTTACTAATTTCCTCTCCCATCAACTCACAGTGTTTTTGATTCACTTATTCTTTCTTCAGCCCACGTGGTCTGAGAAGTGAAGTTTCTCCAAAGGAAGTAACCTGAGACTCAGGGGTAGGTGGTCCTGGTTAAGTTCAAATTGTGACTCTTTCCCTTATTAGTGTTTGACCTTGAGCAGATTTCTTTATGTTTCCGAGCCTCAATTTCCCCATGTATAAAATGGGAATTACAATGACTTAAAATTTTAGTGACTGAATAACACTTTAATTAGGCTGGGCATGGTAGCTCACGCCTGTAATCCCAGCACTTTGGGATGCCGAGGCAGGTGGATCACTTTGAGACCAGCCTGGCCAACATGGTGAGACCCCATCTCTACTAAAAATACAAAAATTAGCCTGGTGTGGTTGCATGCACCTGTAATCCCAGCTACTTGGGAGGCTGAGGCAGGAGAATTGCTTGAACCCAGGAGGTGGAGGTTGCAGTGAGCCAAGGTTGCACCACTGCACTCCAGCCTGGGTGACAGAGTGAGACTCCGTCTCAAAAATAAAATAAAATAAAAACATTTTAAAACACTTTAATTAAACCTGTGTAGTGGCTGGTACCAAGGAGGTGTTCAATTCCCATTGTGTTGTCTTTGCGGCTATGGGTTTTATTTTGTATTTGATTATTTTCTTCCCCTGGGTCTTTATGCCATCGATTACCTATTTTCTTTCTTTTGTCTTTATTCTTTCCCTCTCAACCCTTCTTTTCTCACATTTTATAAATATACTCAAGCCTCCCCTATCATTCCCTCCTGCAACCGATAACAAACTCTCTTTACTTGTCATTGATTTCGTCAACACTTGGACCTTCATTTTTCCTGCAGCTCTTTGCCTTTCTTTTAAAAGAGTTCCTCAACTTTACCTATATTACATAAATTCAGTGGGCTCTTTCCTATCCATATCCTGCGTTACCTCAACATCTTGGTATTACTCTATATGATGGCCACCCCCTCTCATTTCTCCCCCTTTTAATTCCATGACCCTCTTTTCATTTCTATCTACATTGATCATGGTTTCTTGGACGCTCCTTACATTTTCCTCTTCCTCTGCATACCTTTCAAGGCAGATCTTTCCCAAAGTTCATGCTTTTCCAAGCTTTGCTTTTTTATCACAGAGCCCCTTGGGTGGTGAGCTCACTCGTGCCATGATTTCATCCTAGTTACTTTTCTGTTTCCTAAAGCTATGTAGCAGTCTTCCTTCCTCCCTGGCTTTCTGTTGGGTTCAGGCAACAGTAGATACCAGTAGAGGATCAGAAGAGGGAAAGAGAGTGAGGTTGCAGTCTTTATTCCCTTAGCTCCCTCCCTGCTGGTTCACTACCAGATTGCTGTGTCCAATGCCCAAGGTCATAGTCCCTATCACATGGCCCTCTCCATAAAGCTCCATCTGGGTTCTGGCCCTTGTCGGGCTGTTGCTAGCTTTGCAGGACTGTACCATGCCAATTTGATTTAACTAAACTATGACCAAATCTTTGTAAGCAAACCCTTTATTAAAATCTCCTCCACTTACGTAGTATGTGTATGACTTTCTTATTTCTCCACCTGGATCTTAACTGAGACAACCACACATTATATAACCCCTGGAGAAGCATGCAGGAAAGGAACTTGAGTGAGAAAACTTAGGTAAATTAAATGAATATAAACATATTTATCCCCTGCTTAGCTAGCAAGGACTTTTATTCAAAATAAAAGATTCTAATGGATTAGTAGCTAAGAATAAATGCTCTGGAGTCAGACTTCCTGCTCTGAATCCTGGCTGTGCCATTTACTAGCTATGTGACCCTGGACAAATGACTAAATTCTCTATAGTTCAGTGTCCCTATCTATAAAGTAGGGATGATAATAGTTCTGAGTGCCAAGATTTATTGTGAAGAGTAAATGAGATGATTCACAGAGAATACTAAGTAAAATGTCTGGCACATGTAAGTGCTCAGTAAATATTAGCTATTATTCTTATGTCTCACAGAACTGAGCTTGGGAGAGGCTGATAAAGCCTAGGTCCAGAGATTAAGCAATCACCCTTATTAGCTGGAGGGAGGTTTCTGAGCTCTAATATTTGCTTCATCAGTCCCTAAAGACAATACCATGTTCATGCTAACTTTGAGAATGCCCTAGTTACCTAGTGTGGCAGACAGGTTTTAAGATGGTCTCAATTATATCTTATGTAGTAATACCCTCCCCTTGAGCATAGGCAAAATCTGTGAATTCCCGTTAATCAATAAAATATGGCAAAGGTAATGGGCTGTCAGTTTTATGATATGTTACATAAGATTGCAACTTTCATCTTGCCAGCAGACTCTCCCTTGCTCATTTTGATGAAGCAAGCTGCTATGTTGTGAGCTGACCTATGGAGAAGGCTATGTGACAAGGAACTGAGAGCAATCTCTGCCCAACAGCCAGCAAAAAACTGATGTCCTCAGTCTAACAACCCTCAAAGAACTAAATTGTTCCTAATGTGAGAACAGAAGTGGATTCTTCCCCAGTTGAGCCTCAGATAAGACCACAGCTCCAGCCAACACCTTGGTTGAATCTTGTAAGACCCTAAAGCAGAGGACCCAGTTAAGCTGTTCTTGGATTCCTGGTCAGCAGAAACTATGAGATAATAAATTTGTATTGTTTTTAACCACTAAGTTTGTGGCAATATTTGTGTAGCAATAGATAACACACCTAAAATGTAGCGCATTTACTCATTGTTTCATTCTTTAGCACTTACAGTCACCATGATAGTTTCTGAGGACAAAGATTAGATCGCTATGTTGGCCGGTGCTGCAAGTCCCCAAAATGGGACCATGGGAGGGAGTGGAATTGTAGGGAGTGGAAGTAGGAGGGTAGGACATGAGTTCTTGGGCGATGGCATTAGTTACCAATAAAAAAGGCAGTATGATTCTTTCTCCTAATGAGAGGAACTGAGACCAGGCAGCTGAGAGAACCTTGTCAGTCTCTAGATACGAGAGGAATAGTTTCTTTGAAAGGAAAAGTTCAAAATTGAATTCTGAGAACCATGATCAGGATGGAAGGCAGAAGTCAGAAGGGAGGGTGCAGTTTCAGACCGTGGATCTGGGAAGAGATTTCCTCACTGCACCGTGATCTCCTTAACTTAAGGACAGAAAGTTCCAAAGAGCCCTAATATACCTTCAAGGCCTCATCTGCCTGGATCAGTCTCCTTCTTGCTTTCTGCATTCCAAGCACACTGCCTTCTTACTACATCTGGAATGCTCCCTGTTTACCCAGGGCATAAATCCCACTGAGTTGCTTGCCAGAGGCAATGGAGACCATAAGAACAAGAATGTAAAAATGCAACTTTGCTTTGAACAGAACTTCTAAACTGAGCCTGTCTCATGCCTCTTTGCACATCCTCTTCCCAATGTCTGGCAGGCCTGTCTTCTCTACTTCCTTCTTCATTTTTGGCTTTGTGAAGTCATCCTTAAATATTCCATTCATACCTCATGCTCTGCATGAAGCGTTTTCTATACCTCTAATATGAGCCAGTGCCATGCTTTGTGTTTCCACAGAACCCTTGATTATCTCATTCATCACGCTTCTCACAGAACTGAAATGATCTTAAGGCCAATACCACATTAAATTGTAAAATACTGCATCTCCGATGCTTGGTATATGGTAGATATCCAATTAATATTTCTTAAATACATGTTTCTTGAAGTGAACTGAATAGAAGAAAAAAAACAAGAATTCTAATCAATACCCAAATGTTTAAGGAAACAGAGTTGGCAAACTGGCCTATGAAGGGATTATACCCACCAATGGTCCAATTGATAATAGAGAAATATTTAGGACATGTTCTTGTTTGCTGCATTTGAAATGTGTACCACTAGTAGATAACTCTTGCCAACACTTTATGCTATTAAACTGCTGCCACATATATATTTGTAACTCCAATGACTCCCAGGGGAACTTTGTGGTTCCCTTACTTTATTCCCTGTGCAACAACTACACTTGGGTTAGACGTAGTCATTACTCAATACTAACAAGGAGATCTACAGGATCAATCATAGTATTCTTGTGGTGAGCAAAGAAATATATTCAACACATTTCCTCATGCTGGGCATTCATGAAGACTACATTTCCCAGCCTCCCTTGCAGATTGCCCCATACCATGTGACTGAGTTTAAGCAATGAGTCTGTGAGTGGGAATGATGAGTCACTTTGAGTCCAAGGCAGGAAGATGTGGGTATGGCTTTTCTAGAGCCTCTCCTCCTGGCAATCTGGCTAGAAGTGAAGGACTCCAGCTCTTCAGTAGCCCAAATCCTTGCATCACTCTTTGAAACTCAGACAATCTACACTGGACTGTGATTTGAGCAAGAAATAAATCTTTGTTGCATTAGGCCGTTGATATTTAGAGCTTTTCCGTTAGCAACAGTCAGTGTTGTTTATGATAAATAATACAATCTCATAAAAGTTGTTCTGAAGCAAATAACATTCCTCCACATAATCACTGAAATGTCTATTTATTAATAAGTGGTGCAGTATTTATTTAAGATAGAACATAAAAAATCAGGTAAGAATTATTTGCATAATATATATGGAAATCAACCTATTAAAGTTGTTCAAATATTGGACAGAGCCAGAATATAAATTACACATACAGTTTAAAAATTACAGGAAATCATATTATAAAGAGCACTAAAGGCCACTTGTGGAATAGTTGTGTTCCCCTGTAAGCCAGAATGTGAAGAAAGCCTACTCGTAGCACAGAGACAAACCCAGGGAGCAAGGCACCAGAATTCTATGCCATAAAAAGGGGTTAAAAAATACAATCCAAAATCAAATATAATGGATTCATGTCACTGGGAACCTCCATTTGTTCTTCAAAGACTGGTGTTTTCCATCACTGCTACATTAGAAAAAGAAGGAAAAAAAATAGCCATATCCTATCTGAAGCAAGGCAGAGATCATTTTTCTCTTTAAAACAAGGAAGGACTGACAAATCTGATGAAGTCCACCTATCTTTCTAAGTTGATTTTTCAGGATGGCACAGAGCCGACTTCACCTCTCCAACAGCAAATCTCTGATCCTTGGCAAAATGGCTGCCCCAAATCTTGCAACTTGGCCACCACCTGGACTCTTAACCCTCAGGGGAACTATGGGGGTGGGAACTGCCCCCTCCTTGGAAAAGTATTCAGAGGGGTATAGAAGGGCCCAATTACCAGATCAGGTTGGCTTCCATGGGAAACCTTGATCTTTTAATACTGAGAAAGAGAGACACAACTGTTCTGAGCTTTTGGCCTCCCACAGAATGTTTTTATAGACTCACCTGTTTCTGCAGAATTTCAGAGCTCAGAAATAAAGGTACAGTCTAGAGACAAAAGACCAGAGTCAGCAGAGACGTGGAGATATTTGAACTTGTTTGGTTAAAAACAATGACAGGAGCTCCTTGGGGGCAGAGAACAAGGGGCACTTGTGGATGATCTGCAGCCACACCAAGCCCCGAGAGCTAATGGATTCCAATGTGAACCAGGTGAATAATTTATGAGGCATTATTTTCTGCCACTGACAGCTGGATTGTGAAGCCACTCAAAGGACCTGCTGAACAGACAAGAGGAACAGCTGACCCAGGCATCACTCTACTCTCCAGGGAACTCATGGGTCTGTGATCATTTTACTGTAAAGCTGAGTGAACGTAGAAGCCCGAAGCATTGTGGAGGAGCTAGGGCCTGATTTGAGAGGAAGAAGGGGGAGAGAGAATGAGCTTTCCAGGTACACGGGCTTTGGTTGAATATGCAGCTCTACTTCTTACAATGTGTGACCTTTGACAAGGTCTTGTCTTCAGTTTCCTCATCTATAAGATGGAGACAATAACATCTCCCTCATGGGGTTGCGATGAGGATTGCATGAACTTTAGAGAGAGCTATCATGTCACAAGCAACTCATAAGGAGTGCTTAGGATAAGTTTCTCTCCCCTTCCCTGACCTCACTTTTGTGGGCAGAGGAAGAGAAGGGAACATTAACATAAAATATGGTCTCATTTTTTATTACTCTTAGGTATCAAATTGCAGTCCATTCGACAAGTCTAAGAGGAATTACAAATACATTCCTGAGCACTGAGCTGGGCTTTTGACTACCTCATTGTAAGCCATTCTCAAGTTATTCTTATATACAGCCGATTTTTGGCGGTGTCAAAGAAATTCATTATTTCCCTTGAAGCTTATTTTAAGCCCATAACAGTGCTATCTGGAGGATGAAGGCTTAGGTAGAATGACAATCTTTAAAATTACTGGGCCAACTATTGTTGTTCTAGAACTTGACCATCCTTCTTTCTGAATATCTCTTAGGAGCTTTCACTTCAGCCTGACTCAGGAGAACTGAAACATCCTACCACAGGGATTCACAAGGACTGCTGGGGAGCCCTGCCAAATTCTGGCCGATTTATCCCGAGAACAATGTAAGTGGAAACTAACAATGAAGATGTTCATTTGAGCCAACAGAGGCCTGTTTACTTCCTAAAATAATCTCTTAGTTACATAACCATAAGATGTCCTAAGTTGAGTCCTGTCTGCTTCTTTGTAGCTTTTGGTGAAGGCCCTAGAGTATCTGCTTATGTCCTGACAACATGGGGATTCTCTGGGACAAGGCAAGAGGACCCAAGCTGTGTTCAAATGAGACCCAGAGATCCCAGTGCAAAGGGACACCTTTGGTAAAACTGGCCACTTTGGGTCATATAGATCCCAAAAGAAATCATGCCTGACTTCCTAAAATCAAAACCATAGGGATTTATCAAGAAGAAACCCTGTTTAATTGGCCTATAGATGAGGATGCAACCTAAGGCATGACTGTTGCTGAATGAGCCCAAGTGATGGGCCAAAAAGGTGAACCAGTCCAAACATGGCAGGACCAAGAAGGAACAAGGTAGGAGAGGGCAGAGGGGTGGAGGGCAGAGAGGTGGAGGGGAGGAGTGCCTGCATGGCCATGGGATTGTTCTTCATTCCCTTTCTCAACTGCACCCAGCAGCAGTGGTTTTTGCTAGGCCTTTTGAAGACAGCAGGAATCTGGGAGAAGGAACATCATCGTCTTTCACAGCATGGAAACATCAATCTTATTCCAGAGAAGGGAAGAAGTCCCCAAAGGTATGTCCGGTTTAACAGTTTCTCAAGTGGGCCAGGAAGTTCTTTTTCATGTTCTGGGCTCAATCGTGATGCTTTGATTTCACTTGGTATTTTACTTTTAGTTTTGTCTCTAACATCTGGAGCAAAGATCAGAAGACCTGAGTTCCAGATTTATTCTGTGACTCAATCACTGCTTCAATCACTGAGGGACGTGGTGTGATGTTCTTTGCTCTGAGCTTCTGCTTCTTGATCTAAAAAGACAGGTGGTTGTTCTGGGTGATCAAAATCTCTTCTTGCTCTGTGTATCTTAGAATCCATGAAATTATGTCTCTTTGCATCTATGATAACAAATCAAAATATGAATCACAATTTTCTTACAGGGTTGCTGAGGTTAAAGCCGTGAAAGCCTGGGAACAAATCTCCCCAGGGAAGGTTTAAGCAAGCATTAACTCTTTCTTCTGCAAGTTCCCCCATTCATTGCTAGGGTGTTGTCTGATAGCCACCATGCACAGTTGACTTTCCTTGGGAAATCATGAGTCTTTTATTTTTGCAATTTGGCTTTATCTCCTACACATCATCCAGATGGTGCAACATCTGGTACTATATGTCCAATGGAATTGCCACAACTCAGCCACTGAGATCCAACATTCCTGCCTCTCTTCATTCCAAGATTCCTTCTGTTCTTTATTGTGGTAGACAAGAGCAAGCATTTTTATTTGCAGAGATGTACTTATTTAAAAAGCAATTGTGAAAGCATTTGATTTAATAATTAGGATTGTTTCTCCACGATTCTTTTTCTGAAAAAAAATTTTTTTGGTGTAAATTTAGAGTTTATAAGTAACACCAAAGACTGAGACAATGAAGTCCATGCATACTGTAAAAAAATAACATAAATAACAGTCCCTAGTATGCATCAGTCATTGTACTAGAGGCTTTGTGTGTACATTGATTGTCTCACTTGAAAATCAAAACACGGCAGAAGAGTCAAATGCTTTTGAATGTGCTGAAACTCAAATTTTCTTCCAGGTCATCTCTGTATGATTCCTCTTTTACACTGCCATTACTGGCTTCTAAAACCACTAAAGCTATGCAGATAGCCTGGTCCTAACATGTTCTAAACTGGGCATTAGTGAGGGGCTGCCTGCTGGCTTGTTTAGGGGCCAGTTGGCTCAGTTTGGAATGGTTTAATATCAGCAACAATAGCATTGGGTTGATTTGAATATAAACAACTTAGACTTTAAAAGTTCATCCTGAAAAACAAGCCTTCAAGGACAAGTGAGGACATGAAGCAAATTCCTAAGGATGCCTGGGGTTCAGGAAGCAAAGAAGAATCTTTGGTTATTCATGAAAACCAAATACCAGCTATGTGGCATCTTCTGGGAAAGCACAGGGGTGGGAGAATCCTGGGGTGTGTTTGGCAGCACTGTCCAAAGTACAGTTGACTTCTTAGGCTGCTGAACAAATTTCTTCTCTTGCCCCAGGAGAATTTGATCTGCAGGTTCCCATAAGTAGAGTAACATCTTTCTCTTGAAATAGGTGCTGTGTCATAGTCTGTATCATAAGCTTCTCTTGGTCAACATAATGAAATGAAAGTAACTCAGCTCCTTGACTGGTATCAATCTTAGCAGGGATTAGGAGACAAGAAGAAAGCTGGTTTCTCCAACAATCTTCCTCAGATTCCCTAGAATCCCCCCTTTTTGCACAGCTTCTCTGGAGCTATGAAGTTCAAAGCATTGAATCCAAACTCGAAGTCCCCATTCAACCCACTCAGCCTTGACTGGGCTGATTGGATCATTGCCATTTTGATGTAGAACCTTTGCTCTCATTTTCATGTTCAATTTTCTATAGTTTCCAAGCTAGGAAGCATTTCTGTCTGTATAGAGTTGTTTGCAGGGATGAAATCAGGTATTTTATTTTCCTGGTAGACATAGTTTGAAGGGACCTCTGATGTTTGAGACCTCTAGATTCCTAGCATTTTGATGGCAGAAACTGTGGTTTTCTTATCTCTGAACTTCCAGTGCACTGCAAAGTTCTGGGCATATATTGGTGCTTAATAAACCCTGTTAAATGAATAAACAAATGATTTTTTCTTTATTACACCCCCATTTCAGTAGCATGGAATTATGAGGATGATTTTGCCAAATTATGAGTAGGTCCTATTAGATTAGGTTTTTCTACAGGAAATTATTCTTTCAAACTACAGTGTCTAGGAAGTACCTTGCACAAAATAGACACAGGATGCATAATTGTTGATTAATTAGTTCATTTTAACCTATACACCTTGGGGTTATCTAGTTATGTTTTCATGAAAACTAGGGCTTTGTAATATCAATGTCATGTCTAATAAGCCTAAATTTCCAGTTCTAAAAACAAAGTTATTCAACAACACTTTCTCAATTTGATGTGTTTTTCTTTTCCTGAAATAATTTTTTTCTTAAGCTTTTGATATTTGCTTTTGTGCTGACATTTGATAGTCAAAACTCAAACGATCTCAAGTACTTCTTTCTCAGCTCAATAGGATCATGTTTCGCTTAACATTTGTGAAGTTGATTTATCTAATTCATTTTGATCTTGCTAAAATATGACCTTTAAAATTTTTCATGTCACATTGTGACCCAGAAAGACCAAATACATACATGAGATCATAGTTTTACCTGATAATATCACTCCTAGTTTGATGATGGAATTAATTTGTCAATATTTCATGGAGTTCTGCTGAAACGATTGCAATTTCTTGGGCAAGTTTCAGAACGACTAGTATATCTGTGGTCATGTCATCTTGGGTCATGTTAACCAGTTCCATTGGATTATCATGCTGTTCCCTTGTCTGACAAAAGGATCTTTGTGAAAGCACACACTGTTTCTTCCCATAACTCACATTCAATTCCAGACCCTGAATTTCTGCTTGCTCACTGTGAGCCATATTGTTGAGATTGTCTGTGCATAGGCAACTTGAGCAGGTTTGGTTTGCCTTTCTGGAATATATTTTTTGGGGAACAAAAGGAGAATATCAAAGCAGAGTTATTCCAGAAGATCATTTTTCTCTTTTCCTTTTTGTTTTCTTAAATGGGAAAAAAACAGCTCTTAAGGTTCTTATTATTTATTCATTCATAAAACATGTATTTTGTCTATGTCTATACTGATAAAGACAACTTACTAGATGTTAGACAATCAATACTTCCCTACTACTGATCAATACAAACCCAATCTCTGCTGTCCTGGTCTTATGATCCAGCAGGGAAGCTAGACTGCCTGCCTATGGTTTAGGAAATAATACAAGCTCCAATCCTTTCTAGGTTATTAAAAGAATCTAAGGTAGTTCCTCCAATTTTGGATCAATGGTAAATACTTTAAGGTAGAACTCCATTGAGTTGCTGGAAAATGCATCATCTATTGGTAAAATACTTAAGATAGTAAGTTCTTCAAGAATACTAATAAGTAAGTTAAAAAATTAATTGGCGCATATGTGGAGAGTATGACTCACTCTCCTTTATTGTTGGTTTCCAGTAACTCATGTACATAAAGAAGAGCATAGTAACATGTTGGATGTTAGGCAGGTGATCATCTCAAGTGAAAGATTCCAGGAAGATCAGGATTCAATAATCAAGCCCTCAGGAAGGGGCATAGGGTTTCTTAGGTTGTAATCCCCACTGGCACTTTCAGCCATATTGAAGGAGTGGGGAAAAGGCCCAAATAACCCATGCCCTTTGTCCTTCAGATTGCCAGCATGTCAAATGGAAGCCCGTGGGGCTTCATGTCTGATGCATTGAGCATTCTGGTATATTTCCCATCTCAGACTTCAAGGTCTACACCCATCCATTTATGGGGCTCTCCATAAAAAACACCCTTCTGCTGCTCACAATGTCTGCCCTTGGCCTGGGACTTTGGGCTTTGGTTCTAAGTTCCTAAAGTCAGGGGTCAAGCTCTAATCATTACTGTATTCTGAGCTTTTTGTACAGTAACTGTTGACATGTGAGTTGAAAGGAACCTATCTCTGAGGAAGTGATTCCTCTCTCCAACATAGTGCCAGACTCTCGTATTAGGAAATGATGAAACCATCAACCAAATGTCTGCCATAGCTACTGTGGCTCTTGACAAGACTGTGAGGGAGAATAGCAGTGTCAGCTGCATACAGACATTTGTTTAGGTCATCTGGATTATCTTGATTGTCACCATGGCAACTATCCACAACCAGTGCCTAGGTGTGTGAGAAGAGTGATACAATAATACTGTGGCATGGTCATTTAGCTAATTCAGTCTAAGCCTAACAGAAACCTTTTCCATCAAAGTTTTTCAGAGAATAACAACATCTCATAAGAGGCCAGAGGATGGCTTGTGCTTAATATCACACCTGTACAGTAGGGCAGTGCTTCCCAGGCTGTCTGCTTACATTTTAGCTTGTCTTACGGTTACATATGGTTTTAGTATTTTCATTTAAAAAATCTGGGTTGGTTCCATAAATTTGGAAAAGTAAAATTGGACGGTTCTGGAAATTTTGCCTGTTTACACATCTGTAAATGTAGCTTGCTTGCATTATTTTTTTCTAGATCTGAAATGCATTGCATCAAGCAAGCATGTTTTGCAATAAAAGTGGAAATCCCCCTCCTGCTGGATAAACTGGGTGCTTTCCACGCGACACAAAGTCATATATCTTGACACAATCTCTAGGATGCATTATATAAATGGAAGAATGGTGTGGTGAGGGGAAACAAGGTCAGGGAGAGTGGGCAGACCTGACTTTTGAGTCCTGGTTCTCTATGGGACAACTGAGTGACTCTGGGTATGTCACTTTACCTGAGCCTAAGATTCTTCATTTATAAAAGGAAGTCCTTGGACTAGAAAATTTCTGTGTGCCTTCTTGACTTTAATTTCTATTTTAGATGGATATTTTGTACTTCAGTATCATGGGAAGAAATGAGAGTTGGAAATTCATTTTAAAGGCACTGAACTCAGCTCCTGCCCAGAGGGGCACTTCACTTCTGATAAATTCCATTGTCCTTGGCTACATAAATTGGAAACTATTTTAACTTTGTGTATGTGTGTGTGTGTGTGTGTGTGTGTGTGTGTGTGTGTGTTTTCTCCCTGCCAATTCATAACTCATCAGAAATGCTACACTTGGGATTACCACCACTTTTTACAGATAAGGAAACTGAGGCATGATACTAAGTAACATCAGGCCAAGTGAGGTCTTTTGGAGAGCTTTTAAAAGGTTTTGCCTTAAATATTTGTTTAAATTCTTTGTTTTAGAGACACAATGACTATCTCATTCCTTTCCTAATGTTAGCTCAGTAGGCAGCCCCACTGATACACAATGTGGTTTTGTTGAGAAAATTATTTCCTTGCTTTCAAAAACAGTTAATTGCTGGAGCGTTTTACACAAGAGGGCAGTGATCCTAGAAATAACTTAAACTACTTTCTCTGCTTACCAAACCAAAACCCAAACCAGCCAACCAAACAGACAAATAGCATGGCTCATCAGTAATTTCTCCCTGTACTGGTCCAATCGTGATTAAAAGTAAGAACAGCAGATAAATGTGTATCCTAGAAGAGATTAGCGGAACCATTTATATAGTGTAAAGTCATGCAAACCATGCTGAAAA
Organism: Homo sapiens; assembly: GCF_000001405.40. Taxonomy (NCBI): domain Eukaryota; kingdom Metazoa; phylum Chordata; class Mammalia; order Primates; family Hominidae; genus Homo; species Homo sapiens. Next base: position 132,129,072 of record NC_000008.11, read on the forward strand.
GGAAGCACTTTGTTGTGGTGACATGGGGAGGAAGAGGCTGTGGGAAGCCCCTGCCTGGGTGGGGCCACCACGCACACGCATGCATTTGATGCAGCCATTGGTGTCCCCGCTGGTAAGCGTCGGGTGTAAGAGTAAGTGAACTATACAAAGTCTGTCTACATTACAAGGAGGGGTCAGCCAGTGACCTCTTTTAAATGGGCTTATTGGAAGGGGTCCATACTGAATCAGAAATCCCATCCCCTGTGGACGACAGAGGCATGGAGCCGCTGGGCGTGAAGGGGTCCGTGTCTGTGTCCGTCTCACCCTCGGCGAGGTACCGCTTCTCCCTCATCCAGCTCGACCCCCCATTGGGGCCGAACACATAATCATCTCTGTCCTGGGAGATGCTGAAGCCACTTGGAGACCTCTCCAGCTCCTCGTGGTTGACCGACATCAGGGACAGAGGTGTGTCACTGTCTCGCGTGATGCTACGTCTCTGCCGGGGGGAGATTCGGTCCGAGTAGGGGCCCTGCAGGTCAGCCTGGGAGTGGCAGCTCACTCGGGAGTCGAGAAGAGTCAAGATAGGCAGGACCGTGGGCCTCTCCACATACGTTGTTGCTGAGGAAGGAGGAGTTGCCTGAACCTTTCCAGAACTGGGTCCCCCTCGGGGCAGGTTCACAGGGTCATGTGCAAAAAACCCATAGGGGCTGACTTTGTCAATGGTCACCTGGTGGAAGCTGTAGGGTGGTTCCGGGGGGCCTGTCTCAGAATAGTTGCAGATGATGGTTTTCAAATCGGAATACCTGTTGTCCTCCTTCTTCTCTGCTTCAGCTGGCGAGGAGGTGCCCTTGGTTGGGTAATACTCCGTGACCTGCACCTGCAACCGTTCCATGTGTTGCATGTGCATATCCACGAGGAAGTCCAGCTTCTTCCCCATGTCCTGAACCTGGAAAATCAAAGGAGCTGTGAATTACCACTTTCTCTGAGGGTGGGGATCGTTGCTATTGGTTGGGAGGAAATATTCTTTTTTTTTGTTTTTTTTTTTTTTTTGAGACGAAGTCTCAGTCTGTCACCCAGGCTGGAGTGCAGTGGCGCGATCTGGGCTCATTGCAACTTCCGCCTCCCGGGTTCAAGCAGTTCTATGCCTCAGCCTCCCAAGTAGCTGGGATTACAGGCACCCGCCACCATGCCAGGCTAATGTTTGTATTATTAGTAGAGACGGGGTTTCACAATCTTGGCCAGGCTGGTCTTGAACTGACCTCGTGATCCACCTGCCTTGGCCTCCCAAAATGCTGGGATTACAGGCATGAACCACCGCGCCTGACCGGAAGGAAATATTCTAATACTGTATTTACTTTTCAGAAGGGAAGATAATTCTTGCAACTCTTAATAATAGAAACAGCTAATAATTTATTTTGTGCCTCCTACTTGCAAGCCTTGCACACCAGGTATTAATGTTAATCTAGAGAAAACCTAGGCAAGGTCTTCTAGGAAGCAAAGGCGGAAAGCAGAGAGATGCTTTGAAGTGTTACAGGCCTGCTGTGTCCCCTAGAGGAGGAAGTGGCCTTGCTAATGTTGCCCGGGTCAAGGAGCAAGAGTTCTCAATTTAGGAACATTTCCTTAGACAGAAGCATGTGGACTGTTAGTCTATGTTTCTTCTACATGGTGATTTAAGCCCTAAAAATACAAGGGCAGTGGTTAGCAAGAACTGAGCTTCTCAGAACTGAAGACCCTACCTAGCAGCTTGCTCTTGCCTGCCTAAATTGGCACCTTACTTGAACTTTTGTGAATGAATATACATGAGTGTATGTGCACACGTGTGTGATGTTCTTGCTTTGACAATTCACAACTCACCAGGAAACACTGTCGTCAGGTGTATCACCCTATTTTACAGGTGAGGATATGAGCACCATGATCAGCAGATGCCAGGATAGCATCTGAGCCTCAATAATAACTGACAAGGGTCAGTTAGAAAAGTTACAATCTGACTCTGTCTTATGCACTTTATTGACTTTTGTGAATTTTATGACAATCCCCCAAGATGGATACTATTATTATCTCTATTTCACAGGCAAGAGAACAGACACTGAGAAATAGAGTGGAAATTATAAATTAAAATTTAAAATGAAAACAAAATTCTTGATACAACAAAAAGGAATAATTCAGATTTGCTTCTACCTCTCCTGCACGGGTCCCATTTAGGGTTTTGAATAAAACAAAAGGATTACTATGATCCTTGAAAAACTGGCAGTACCATTTATCTAATGTAGAGTTAGGCAGATGATGCTAGATTATGAGCTGTTTGCTGTGAAAGCAAGAGTGAGCTGCATGGTGCTGTGAGTGAGCGGGTTTCTCTTTCCACCTTGAATGGATCTCACCTGTGCCTGCCCTCCTTCCGGCCTCTTCACGCAGGCAACCCACTGCCTGGACATTGAGAAAAGGAGGACACACAACATGCAGTGGCAGGTCACTAGCATTTCCTAAGGGTTCACCATGAAATGCTTGATAATTGTAGCTATTATCAAGTGTCCACTGTGCCCGCTAATATTATGTATCAACTCAGTCCTCACAGCAACCTAATAGGGTATTATAATCCCCATACTACAGATGAGGAAAACTGAGGCTCAGAACAATTAATTAACTTGCACGTGATCACTCAGTAAATGCTGAATCAGTGATTTGATTTCCATATCTTTTTTGAATGGTAGGTAGTAGTACTCAAGTATCTTATCTCCCTTTGAAAAACAATGGTGGGGACTGGGCGCAGTGGCTCATGTCTGTAATCCCAGCACTTTGGTAGGCCGAGTTGGGCAGATCACCTGAGGTCAGGAGTTCGAGACCAGCCTGGCCAACATGGTGAAACCCCATCTCTACTAAAAATACAAAAATTAGCTGGGCATGATGGCAGGCGCCTGTAATCTCAGCTCCTCAGGAGGCTGAGGCAGGAGAATCACTTGAACCTGGGAGGCAGAGGTTGCAGTGAGTCAAGATCGCGCCATTGCACTCCAGCCTGGGCAACAGAGTGAACCTTCGTCTTAAAAAAAAAAAAGAAAGAAAGAAAAAAAAGAAATGGCATTTGAAAATAAATGTCACAGATCCAGTTTTTGGTGAGAGGAAGAAAAGACTTACCTGTCTTTCAACTTTTACAAACTTCCCCATCATGCTTTGGTCTTCGATTTCTGATGTGGATGGTCTGGCTACATATGGTTCATTCCTAAGAAGAAGCGAACACTTCTATAAGATCATTATATCTATTTTTGCTATGCAAGGTAATTTCGGCTAGGCAGGCCATGGCCAACAGAGCCATCGTTCTCACCCTCACACTTGTGTGGCATAAAAGAGCACCAATCAACTCTGGAGGCATATGTGAGTCAGGAAAAGTCAGAGTTTTTCTGCATTCAACACTGGTATCTCATGTTTACCTCCACTGTAGGAAAATTTGAAGCCAAATATCAAGCTGCTATTAAGGAGGCTTTGCTTTGTGTTAAACATTATAAAGCACCTAACAGTACCTAGAGTATCTAGTTCCTTTAAATTAAATTCCTTAGCCTTTCATTCTTAGATTTGAGATCTGAGACTTTTACTCTGAGTGTGTGTGTGCAGGTGGAGAAGGGGTCATCTAATGTCTGAAATTACTTACAGTGGGTATAAATATTTCATCTGGCCAATTTTAATAAGAATGAAGAATCCCAAATCTTGAACATGATGCAAAAGATGACACTGGTGAGGAATGGAATTGAAATGTGTGCTGAATTTGATTTTTGGTTATCCACTGTTAATATCTGCTTAATTCTGGTTAGTTTCAACATTTTTATTTTTTTTGCAGATAGAACTTTCAGGGAGTCTAGCTATTTGCTAGAAACCATTCATGCTAGGCACTTTCTCAATAGTTGATTTCTCTCTCTCATAGGCTGCTGAATCCTGCTTAGTAGGATAGTCTTTGGCTGCGAAGCCCTAAATTTTAAAAAGATGTCAGAAACTGGTGGTCCATGTGCTAAATCCAGCTGGCTAGTGTTTTCTTTGGCCTGCACGGGGTTTTAAAACATGTAAGCCATCTCAAAAATTGAGAATTTCATGTAAAAGCTGGATATTCTGTTTTCTGGAAACAGAGGATCTGCATCCCTAAAAGAAGGTAGGGCGCTCATTTCTAAAAGAAGGTAGAGACTTCATTCCTACCTCTTTTAGATGGGGCACGCATTCTCCAGGTGCCCACGGTCCCATCACTCCCTATTCTATCCCCAGGACTGAGGTTAAATATTAAAATATTAAGTTGCTTTCTATCATCACGTTAATGCTCTCGATTCTTTTTTTTTTTTTTTTTTTTGAGATGGAGTCTCACTCTTTTGCCAGGCTGGAATGCAGTGGCATGATCTCGGCTCACTGCAACCTCTGACTCCCTGGTTCAAGCGATTCTCCTGCCTCAGCCTCCCAAGTAGCTGGGACTACAGGCAGGCGCCACCACGCCCAGCTAATTTTTGTATTTTTAGTAGAGATGGGGTTTCACTATGTTGGCCAGGCTGGTCTCGAGCTCCTGACCTCATGATCCACCCGCCTCAGCCTCCTGAAGGGCTGGGATTACAGGCGTAAGCCACCATGCCCGGCCTCTTGATTCTTTTATAAGTGGAAGGTTCATAATATTTCTTAAGCCTAACTCCCTCACTCATTGTGTTACCTGCCTTGAAGACATTTGGGAATAAAGAGATGTAAATTTAGGCAGTGGACTTTCTAAAGAACATCTTATTCAAAATTTTGAAGCTTTGGAAGGAGAAGAGCTGCTCTGTTAAGGGACAAAGCTCTCTGTGTTACAATGTTGTCAGGGGGCTGATATCTGAGTGTCTTCTCTGGCTTTGTCCTGGGAGGGGTATCAATCAACTCAAAGGTAATTATGCAGGATGGAGAATGCTCTGGGTTCTGCTGATATGAAGTTTTCTTCCTGTTTCAATAAAGCTCATAAGTCTCCTCTTGTTTTGTAACAGTGTGAAACAGGTGGGGCTATTATCACTTTCAAAAGTTACAGGAAGAAATGTCATCCACATGGTCTGGGAAGAGGAGTGAGAACATTTTTGTACAGAAACCTTTCAAATGGCCACCAACTGAAACAAGCTTCAAACTCTTTCTTCATTTTACTTAGGAGAGTGACAACTTCACCCACATAAAGGACCCCAGCAGAGGTTTGGGGGTGGGGATGCTTTACAAACTTTGCACCCCTGGCCCATCAGTCCATGTCCACTGGCCCCACCTGGGAGATTGCTGGGATGGGAAGGTGAATGCTGACCCTTTCTGAGACTTCTTGTGTTTTGGCGTGGAGGGAGGTCCAGGGGTGAAAATCATATCTATTCTGAAAGAAACAAACAGAGCAGGGATTAAATTACACAGAGCTTTGTTTTGACAGGAAAACAAATCATTCTATTCTCTCTAGAATGAGATAAGGGTTTGGAATATATAAGAGGAGAGGAGAGGAGAGGAGAAGTGAGGAGAGGAGAGGGGAGGAGAGGAGAAGTGAGGAGAGGAGAGGGGAGGAGAGGAGAGGAAAGAGAGAGTGCATACTAGCTACAGAGAGAAAGACAGAGCCAGAGAGAACCTATAACCTCGGTATATTCTTCCGCTTGTTTTGATCTGGTGATACTGAAAGCATCTTTCTATCCCAGGAGAGAGGGAGGCAGACAAACCACTGAGAGAGGTGACGGCTGCATCTTGTTATTTTTTTTTTTTCATAGGAAATGTCATAGGTGGACTGCAAACCTGTCTTTTCTTCCAATTCTTCTATCCCTTCCAAAAACATCTAGTTAGGGAGCTTTACAGACAAATCCTAGGCTACATATTCAGCTGCACACATCACTGCTGCTCTGTGGGCATCTCTGGCCAGTAGAAAGATAGATCCAACACCAGCTTCCATTCCTATTTCTATTTCTGCATGAGGCACCAGCTCCTTTTTAAATAACTTTTATTTTAGGTTTGGGGGTACAGGTGAAAGTTTGTTACATAGGTAAACATGTGTCATGGGGGTTATCTTTTCTGCTACTCTCCCTCCTACCACCTTACCCCAGAACCTGTTGTTTCCTTCTTTGTGTTCATAAGTTCCTAACATTTAGCTACCACCTGTAAGTGAGAACACGCTGTATATGGTTTTCTGTTCCTGCATTAGTTTGCTAAGGATAATAGCCTCCAGCTCCAACCATGTTCCTGCAAAAGATATGATCTTGTTCTTTTTTATGGCTGCGTATTACTCTGTGAGTCATTGGTTCCTGCTCTATGCCTGGACCAATAGGAAAGAAATGTTGCCTATCACGCTGTAGGTTGGGACGGGGTGGGAGGGAAAGCAGGCTTGAAGGCTTATCACAGGTCCAGGACCATTAAGACTATGCACCCTGAAACAGTCATGGCTCCTTCCGTCTCCTCCTTGGAAACCCAGCTGCTCCTCCACTGACGGCACTTTCTTTCTCTCTTGCCCCGCAAGGTCAGCATGGCTGGGGATATGCAATCAGAGGTCCAGATGTTCACCCTCCAGCCACAAATGCTAGAAACACATTTGCTTAGTAAGTAGCAAAAACTATGCCACTGTCATAGTCCACTCTATGCTTATTAAAATTGGCTGGTATTTTTGGAGTCTGGCATGCCTTAGACATCATGCTTCATCCTCGTCTCTCGGAGAGCCATACTTGCATAAATAACAGCATGTTAAGCTCAAAATTTGTTCACACATCTATTCATTCGGCAGGCAGTGAGCACTGACTCTGTGCCTGCCACTATACTAGGAAGTCAAAGTTGATATTCCAGTTAGGGATAAAGAAAGGCCTGCTGGGTGCAGTGGCTGACGCCTGTAATACCAGCAGTTTGGGAGGCTGAATCACCTGAGGTCAGAAGTTCGAGATCAGCCTGGCCAGCACGGTGAAACCCCATCTCTACTAAAAATAAAAAATTAGCCGGGTATGGTGGCACACGCCTCTAGTCCCAGCTACTTGGGAAGTTGAGGCAGGAGAATCACTTGAACCCGGGAGGCAGAGGTTGCAGTGAGCCGAGATCGCGCCACTGCACTCCAGCCTGGGTGACAGAGTGAGACTCCATCTCAAAAAAAAAAAAAAAAAAAAAAAAAAAAGAAAAGAGAAAGGCCATGGAGAATTACACCTCCAAGCTGACAGATAGCATCATTAACTTCCAACCCAGTCAGTGTGATGTTCCTGTTCTCTAGCAGGACACTCCAGTGGGACAACATCACTCGGACAGGGAAGCTGAGGCCCAGAGAGGACGCGTGTCCATTGGAAATCTCACACATGTCAGAGAGTGAACTGCAATAGGATTTTGGTTTCCTGACTGTTATTCCATGGCTATTGACATCATAACTGCCCGTTTTTACAAAATGCTTTTTCAAAGGGCATTTTTACAGCTTATTAAAGATTTGATACATTTTAAAAGTAGAAAAAAAAAATCACATATGGAGTCATCATCTCAGTACAGCCACTGCAGTCTCTCAGGGGAAGTCTTACTCCTTTTCTCCAGGCCCTGATATGGGAAAGTGTGTGCATGTCCTGTGTGTTTCTGAATAAGCATATGTGTGCAAGTGTTTAGAATCATATCATACCTATATATTAGTTAACATCATCACAAGGTCTAGGCAGAGTATATTTATTCTGTGACACACATGACATATAAACATACATATGCACTATAGATATATACATATGCATATATATGTGTACACACATGTCCGCATGTATTATTGGTAATTATATCATGCATATATATCCACAAATCATATAATTTAAAAAATCTCATTATATACTTTTTCTAAATATTATTTTACGGCTGCATAACTTTTTTTTTTTTTTTTTTTGAGATGCAGTCTCACTCTGTCACCCAGGCTGAAGTGCAGTGGTGCAATCTTGGCTCACTGCAACCTCCGCCCCCCCAGGTTCAAGCGATTCTTCCGTCTCAGCCTCCCAAGTAGCTGAGATTACAGGCGTGCACCACCATGCCTGGATTTTTTTTTTTTTTGTATTTTTAGTAGAGAGGGGGTTTCACCATGTTGGTCAGGCTGGTCTGGAACTCCTGACCTCAACTGATCCACCTGCCTTGGCCTCCCAAAGTGCTGGGGTTATAGGCATGAGCCACTGTGCCCAACCAATGACTGCATAACATTTTAATGAGAGCAGGTACCATTCTTTCCTTACCCATTGTTTTATAATTAAGGAAATATGGTGTATTAGAGAGAATAGAGACTTTCTAATCAGTTGGAGCTGGTTTGATTCCCAGCTCTGCTCCCTGCTAGCTGGGTAGGTCCTCTGTCCTTTCAGCTTCAGTTTCCTCATTGGAAAAATGGCACTCTAATGCAATATCTTGTGATTTCATAAGGGAGTATAAACACGCAGGTGGAGTACTCAGGAGTTCAATAAAAATGATGGCAATTATTAGTTAGGCATTGATGCTATTTCCATATCTTTCACTATTATAAGTAATACCTGATGAACATTTTTAAATATGGTAAAGAATTGTATTGAGAATTAATTAGGCAGCTGGATTCGGTTTAATTCGGATGATCCTGTTTTGTTGGCAACATCGAAAGCATCACAGTCAGAAGCCATTTAAATGTGTGCTTTCTCCTCTCTGACAGGCCTGATCAGGGTGCTGACCTTGGCCATGGCAATGTCATACAGCTATTTCACAGTCTGTCCGATCTGGTGCTTTGTTGGCCTAGACATCCACAAGGCTTCGTGGATATTTGTCTTCTTAAAATCTCTCCCTGCATTTTGAATTATTTCTGAATACCTCTCACCTTAAACTCTAAGGTTCATAGGGCTTTGAGGGGAGCGCAGTCCCTCCAGATGTGACTGTCTCACCTCGTCTGAAGGTACTTTATCCTGGAAAGCATGTCGAGATGCCCGGCAGAATACTGCTCAATCACATCCTTCACATCGTAAGGCCTCAAAGTCTCCTTGAATTTTTTTTTATAGAGACGGAATTGTAGAATTCTGCAAGGCAAAGTAGAGGCATTTGTGCATCCCATGTGGAGAGTGCGGGGAGCTATAACAGAAGGCTAGCAAACTCCAGGGCAGGGGGAGAAAAGAACCAAAGATAAAAGAGCTTGCTGGAAGAACTTCCAACGTTTGGTTCTGGTTCTACCCCTTGGAACACACAGAGTTAGTACATCTCCATCAGGATTACTCCCTTCAATCATTTGAATAATAAGTAAATCATAGTATTAATAAGAGCTAACATTTATTGAGCATTCACTGTATGCCAGACCATGAGCTTAATTAATGCTTTATGAACAATCCTGATAACAGATCCATTTATAGATGATGTGATTGTGATTTGAACCTTCAGCATCATCCCAGGGCCATATAGCTAATAAGGGCTGAGCTGGTCCTCAAACCCAGACAGGGTGCTGACAAGGCTGGTGCTCTTAATCACTGTCACACTGCTTGCTATTTGAGGACAGCTGATATATCTCATCCTCAAGAGCCTCTTTAATTATTTTACTTGTGAGCTCCTAGAAAAGAAAACCTGGTTTCTGTTCCCTGAGTTTTCTCAGGTTCCTTATAAAGTGGGGCACCCAGAACTGGTAGATGAAATCAAAGCCTCACCTCCATCCTTTATTGGTTCCTCCCTGAGCCTCATCATAAAGTTAACTTCTGTTGAGCACAGAGTTTGTTCAAATCCCTAATCACAGGTCAGTGTCAGGAGGTCACAGCCCTTCCCAGGCCCTTCCATCTGGTGCTTGCGCAAGTCGTTTTAATGGTGCATTCAAAGTTCATTTTGTTTGTCATAGCTCGTGGCTTCAGCCTCTAAACATTATTTTTGGTATATTGATTATGGTACTATCTAATTTGCTTGCCATCCTTCCCATCTTTGTGCCACTTTATAAGCCTTCTCTTTACATAGTTCCATACAGGTGAGAATCTATAAACTAAGGCTCACAGGCCAACTCTGGCTCACTGCCTGATTTTGATAGTAAGGTTTGACTGGAACTCAGTCACACTCATTCCTTTAGGCACTGTCTATGGCTGCTTTTGTGCTACAATGATAGAGCTGAACACTTGCAGCAGAGACCTATGGACCAGGAAGCCTAAAACATTTACTATCCGACCCTTTCAAGAAAAGTTTGATGACCTCTGAATTAAGACATCAATGAAAATGCTAAAAGAAGAGAAGAAGACGGCAGAGACTAGACTATGCAGCGTCCCAGCAGAGATCACCCTCCAGGTCAACACAGGTTTATTAACTGGTTTTCTCTGAATAAAGGCTTTCAGCCAGTGAGGAATCCAGATAGCTGTGTTTTCATACAACCACATTTCTGTCATATCCTACATAAAGGTGTCAGGAAAATCCACGTCCAAGGCTTTGCTGAGGTCTACACACTGTAACACTACTGTGCTTCCCTATCTATTGGACTGGGAATCTTGCGGAAAATACCATGATCAGTTGGAGAATTCACCTTAGTTTCTAGAATTCACTGCTACCTTTATGAAGTGCTTACATGCTGATAAAGTTTAGGTAATAGCATACTTTTTTTCATTTTCTTGCAGAATTCTAAAGCAAAACAGAAATAGGTAGAATGGATTATGGTCTCTGCTGATACAGACAAAAAAATACTATAATTTATTATCTTGTTAAAAATGCGAACTAATTAAAACAAACTATATGGATGAAGTTAGGCAGAAGAAAAACCATTTTGAGCAAGAAGCCTCTACAGGAAGAAAACCCTCCACTCTGACACCCTTTAAAATACATGGTAGTTACAGACAGAGCAGAACATAGCAGGTGGAAATACTGTCAGGAGGGCTGTGGGGCGTGTTTATAACAAGGCAGGTACCTACGAGTCACCCATCATGACTTGCTAACGTCTGGATCATTTTTTCTGGGGCAGCATACAGTATTTACATACTTCAGGGACCTAACTCAGGGTTAGTGGAGGGGCTTCTCTTCCCCCTTCCCAAAGTGCAAGATAATTTTATAAGCCCCTTCCTGTGGGAGTTGAGCTGGAGCGGGGGAGGCACACAGGCACAGGTGGGACCGTGGGGGCATTACCTGACGGCTCGGATGGCGGCCTTCAGGGTGGGGATCATGTCTTCGATGGGGAAGTCATTCCCATAGCCCCTGTCTTCCGCCATGGGGTCACCTGTCCCGGCATCTGGGAGGGAGACACACATATGAACGGCAGGCCACAGACCTGGAAAAGGCTTGGGGACCCCACTGTTCGGTCAAAGCCTTCCACGCCTCTGGATGTGTCAATCCCCAGAGTCTTTATTTCCACGTTGCAAGACTCCACGGTATTCTCAAGCTGTGATGCTGTTCAGCCTTTCTTGGCACCCTCATTCTATTACCCAGAAGTCCAAGTCAAAAGTGTGCGCAGCTCATGACTGGTAGTGAGGGAAAAGGCTAGCAGGGAGGAGAAGTGAGCTCCGCAGTTCCAGAGTGGCCCCCAGAGCCAGAAGCCAGCAAAGGACACAGAAGCCAGCAAACAACACACACTGTGCAGGCCTCAGCTGGGACTTTTGCTCTGTCAGTCTCTATCCTGGTGACCTTGGAGAAGTCACTTTCTGAGCCGCACACATCAGAGGCCTTGGAGAGAACTGAATGATACAATGAGGATTGAGGGCCTGGGTGGGCTCAGACACTGAGGAAACAGGCTTTTCTGCATGTCCTCCCTTTGCATAAGTAAAAGAGGCACATGAGGCCATGGCTCCTACAGCCTCCAGAGGGCGCTTTTCTGCCACTCTTCCCGTGCCCTGGTCTCTAAATTGCTTTGCACCTGGCACCGCCCCATCCTTCAAGTTGACCTCCATAACAATCCAATCATGGGGCGGGGGGTCGGGGCGGACCCTTAGAAACCAAGGTGACAGGTTTCCAGGCTCCTAACTTGGGAGCCTGCAGCCCTAGACTCCTGGGAATACATCACAATGCCTCAGCCCAAGGGACAGGAGGAGTTAGGGAAGCAAGAAGTTGGCTTGTCGAGGGAAGGGAGAGAGTTACCTTGTGGAGTCAAAGGTTCTTAAGTGGGCAAAGGGAGAGGTGAGGAAGGAAGTGGACTTGGGGGAGGAAGAAGTGGAAGAGACAGGGAGGGAGATAAAAAGGCATTACCTTCAGAACTCTGCCAGAAAGCGTAGGCTTTCATGCGGAAGGCCGTGCGGAAACGCTCTTTATTGTTTAAGCCAACAGGCTTTGGTTCTTTAGAAGGACTTTCTTCTATGGCATCTACATTCAGAGGGGTAAATAGCTTTCCTTTAGTATTGCTACCACGAGGATTAGAAAGGCGAACCCGATCCAAGAGACCCAGCTTTTGGCTACAAAATAAGCAAAAGTGAACAATTTTCCTCCTTCAGTGCAGGCTCTTAAAATTTCCCATCCCTCCATAAAGACTCACACATTCTCCTCCAAGGAGAAATGGGGACCGTGCATTTCACAGTGCTGAATCTGACTCAGCAGCTTGGAATCGGACAGGGCGTGGTTCAAATCCTAGCTCCACAGCCTGCTAGCTCTTATACCCTGGGCAAGACTTCTCTGAATGTCAATTTTCCCATACGATTAAATGTAGCTTACATGAGGTGCCCGCTATAAATTGCCTAGCTCATCCTAGTATGCTGCAGAGATTCATCTTTCCCCATGCCCATTTCCTGCATCAATAACTTCCTGCCTTTCCTGTGTATCATCCCATGGTACCCAGATAGTGATTTACACAGACAAATCCTTATCAAAGGATTCCTCCTTGAAAAGAAACTGACAACACAAATGACGTAAAGCAGCACTCTTAATTTGGTGTCCACAAACAGACCCTCATGGATAGAATTTGGCAGTCCGTGAGTTTGGATGGGGAAAAATACATTTTTAATTTACTAACTTCTAATGAAAATTTAGCATCTCTTTCCAGTATGAATGTGGGCAACAAACTCCAGTAATATCCTAAATGCCTGAGACTTGCCACAACAGAAATCACAGATAATTTTATATCCTGTTATTTCAAGGTACTGTTTATGCTCATGCTGGCTTCCAAATTATGGTGGTATTCAATCTGCCACCAGGTTCATCACAAAGATGCACATATATGACTACATCTCAAAATTTTAAAGACTTTGATAATGCTGTTTCCATATAATCAGCTTCTTTTGTATATTGTATTTTGTTTATAGATTCAAAATTATTCTGAGAAGGGGTCCATGGGCTTCATGATACTTCTAGAAGAGTTCCTGGTACAAAGAAAATGGTTAATAATGCCAATATAAAGTTGCCCTGGTGCAAAAAGCCAGTTGCACCTTGACTTAAGCCCAAGTCCACCCTTCCCATCTGGCTGACCTTCGGCAAATCTGTGACCTTTTTGAGCCTCAGTTACCTTGTCTGTAAAGTAGGGATAAGCATTCCCTGCTTTATCTGGTTGCTATGAGATGATGTTTATCCAGGATTCGGCATAGAGTGTGACACAGAGCAGGTGCTCTGTACATGTTAATTTCTTCCATTTCTCAGCTTTTGCCCCCTTACCCTAGTGAGCACGAAGGATAAAGTCCTTTTTTGTGGTACTTTCCAGAGAGTGCCACATTGCGTGTTTTCGCCCAGTGGTATACTCAATGCAGCAGCTTCTGCTCCCTTACCCCACACAGAGCTTGGCACACAGGAGGCATTCCCTCATGTACTTGTGAAATAAATGAGAGAGTGAATGAATATGGGTGATCAAATCAGCTCTGCATGGGTTTGCGATAATTTTGTGTTTTCTGAAGAGCATGTCTGGTTAGGCTAGTCATGTGCCCCTGCCAGAAGCTGCTGCTACCTTTGAAGCTGGGTGCAGTGTGGAGGTCATGGTGTTGTGGCTGCTGGAAGGGGAGTGAACACTCCTTCTGCCACACAGTCACCCTGTGCTTTCTGAACACCAGGTCCTCGTCTGTCATGGCGGCCTAACAACATCTGCTTCATAGAGGGTTAGGGAGTGTTACATGTGATAATTTCTGTAACATTTCTTGCCTACAGTCCAGCATACGGAAGGCATTAAGAAACCTTTGAAAAACAAACGAGTGAATGAATGAATGAGTATATGAATGAGCAGTGAGCAGTTGTTATTCCTGACTTCCTCTGGATCTGTTCTCTCTCACCCAGCACTGTTCCAGCAGTTTGATTGAGGAACTCCATTAATAACCAGCCCAGGATAAATTTAGAAAAACGCCAATGCTCAGCCAGCTCCATCTTCCTTGAACTGAAGTCAACATTTTTGGAATTGCTTTCCTGGCTGCTACTAGATAAATGACTAATAGGACAGAGCCCATGGGCTAAAAATAGTGAATGAAGCAGGAACTGAGCTGAACACACATTGAAGTCTTTCTGGCACTGCGCTGTATGGAGACAGTACATTTCCATGCCTGCCCGCCCCACTGGACTATGCAGTGCTAGCAAGGCAAAGACTCTGCCTGGCTATCTTTGAACACAGCACATTTCCCTGCTCAGAACATCTGAATGTTCAGTACGGCAACTAAGATCATGGGCAAAACCAGCCTGGTGGAAGCATCCTGACAAACCATGTGACCTAGGACACATCATTTGTGCTTTCTGGTCTCCAGTTTCCTCATGGGCAGAATGATGACCATAAGCCCATGCTTTTCATAGATGTTTAAGGGTTAAATGAGGTAATGCATGTCGAGTGCTCAGCCAACTGAGATTCAGGAAGCGCTCAATAGATGCTGGCTGTCATTATTAACTGAGTAAGTAATCCTTTTCCCACAGAAGCAGTAGAAGGCTGACGATGTGTGTGAAAAGGATGGATACAATTCCCTGGGCCACAAATAAAGGTTTTTTTGGTTGTTGTTGTTTAAATGAACTGAAATGAGTTTGGGAGATTCATATATTATTTTACAATACTTCTTAATGCTAGTTTAAAAAGTTCAACATTGTCATTCTACTCCACTTCCGTATGAGATAAGTATATGAGGAGCTTAATTCCAGATAAACTAAGCAAGACAAAATTAATAGCAGCCACTTTTTCCTGAATTGAAGTTTCAGTATAATTGTTGAATATAAGGAAGATAATGAGAGGACTCTCTTGGTTCTATCTGTGCTGGGATTTAGGATTTGCTTGTTAGATATTTAAATGCTTCACTGCCAACCTCAAACGGTCTGGATTGTTTTGGCCACGTTCACTTAAAACGCCATTGGTCACAGATGGCAGTTTAGATGGTGTTAGGAATCCAGATGCGTGGAACAAAGTCAGAAGTCTCGGCTCAGAATTGCTCACAGCCATTGCACCTAAGAGGCTTATGGAATTCTTCCTCCAGCAAAGTGGATGATCAGCTTACTTCTTAATTGTGTTGCCTGAAATCCAAGACCCCAAAGGATAATCAAATGCAAGGCAAAGTTCACTGCTGAAACTCAAAACCCAACTCTGTTCTACGCTGTATGGATTTCCAGTGCATAATTAAGGTGTTGTTCTAGGAGGGCACTGCAGATCTTGCAAGAAAAGCCTTCCCCAGAGATGACATCAGATTTTCTTCGAAAGCTAGGGCTCTTGACATGTTAAGTGCAGGCAAACAACTTCCAAATATGAGTTGTAAAAACTGCAAATAGGTGGACTGGGCATGGAAAAGGAAAATCAAGGTTGTTCTATCCTGGACAATATGGCTCTTGTCCTGGGCTCCTCCTTCAGGTATCAGCATGGGGAACTTCAGCCATGTTCAACTCCGTGTAGTTTCTTCACATTCAGTGTTTTGCATGTGCTGTGAACTCGACCTGGGAAAATCTTCATCCCTTTTTTTCATCTAAATGACTCTTACTTTTGCCTAAAACATGGTCCAAGCATCAGCCCCACATCTGGACGTTCAGTCTAGTGGCTACTGAGATCCATTAGACATCCATTCTCTGTGCCCCTAGTCCACTTCAGGCTTTTCTCATCCATGGCACTCGGCCACTACAGGGAAATATTTCACTTAATAGGGACTCCCTTACTAAATCAGTGGTTCTCAACTAGGGGTGATTTTGAACCCCCAGCCAGGGCACATTTGGCCATGCCTGGAGACATTTGGTCGTCACAACTACTGCTGATATAATAATGGGGAGCACTATTGCCATCTAGTGGGGAGAAGCCAGGGATGCTGTTAAACATCCTGCAATGCACAGGAAATTCCCAACAAAGAATTATCTGTCACAAATATCAATAGTGCTGAGGTTGAAAAACTGAATGGTAAGCTTTTGGGCCTGAAACTACCATGTTCAACTTGTATATACAGGATCTAGCACAGTATCTGGAATGTCGCAAGCACTAAAAGTATTATTACAATGTTGAAAGAAGGAAGGAAGTAATAAAACATTCAATCTTCTGATTAACAAAATGTGTCTAACCTCAGCTGAGAAAGGGACTGCTGTATAGTGGAAAGAGTGTGGACTTTGAAGTAAGAGAACTGAGTTCCAATCTCTGCTCTGTAGTTTATATTTCACTTAGGAAAGTCATTAACTCAGATTCAATTTCATCTGTAAAATGAAGCTAATATTTATTCATTCAACAAAAATGTGTTCCACACCTAGTAAATCCCAGGCTCAAGGTAACTTGTTAACATACATTGGTGATTAAAACCAATGTGGTTTTCTGTCTCTAGTGAGCTTATGATAAAGTCGAGAAGACTTCTGTCTCTAATGAACTTATGATAAAGTCAAGAAGACATATAATAAGTAAACAGACACATTCATTGCTAGAAATCTGACAAGGAGACCAAGAGAATGCAGTAATGAAGAATGGGAGGTTGACAGGTAGGGTGGCTCAGGAAGGCATCTTGAGTAAATGGGAAGATGAATTAGGAAACCAGTTTCAGTAATCAAGGATTAAGATGATGGTGGTCCGGAGACAGAAGCTGAGATCTGAAAGGCAAGAAGCTGGATTTCAAAGAAAGGAGGCAAGAGCTCTCCAGGCGGAAGCACTGCATGTGGGTGCGAGGGGCATGAGGACTGGACTGTGGCACCAAAGGGAGGGCATGTGGCCAAAACATTCTAAGTGAGAGGCAGAGTGGCACCAGATGAGATCAGAGTCCAGATAAGTCAGAGACTTTAGAAATGAAATACTATTTAAACAGAAATAGAAAATAGGAGTTTCAATTGTATTCTAAGTGTACGTGGGGCCCACAAAGATTTTTGAGGAGAAAGTATTTGAAGTTTGCATTTTAAAAAACACATACCTGTTCATTGCAGCATTATTCACAACAGCCAAAAGGTGGAAGCAACCCAAATGTTGTCCATCAGTGGATAAGTAGATTAAAAAATGAATGGACATACAACGGGATACCATTTGGTATTAAAATGGAAAGAAATCCTGATACATGTTGCAACATGAATAAACCTTGAGGACATTATGCTAAATGAAATAAGCCCTTCAGAAAAAGACAAATACTATATGATTCCACTTATATGGGATATCAAGTGTGGTCAAGCTCATACAAACAGAAAGTAGAATGGTGGTTTCCAGGGCCTGGGAGCATGGAACAGGGGAGCGTTGTTTAATAGAAATGAAGTTTTAGTTCTGCAAAGTAAAATGTTCTGAAGATTGGTTTCATAACCATTGTGAATACACCAAATACTATAGACCTGTACTTTTTTTTTTTTTTAAACAGGGTCTACACTCTGTCATCCAGGCTGGAATGCAATGGTGTCATCTTGGCTCACTGCAACCTCTGCTCCTGGGTTCAAGCGATTCTCCTCAGCCTCCCGAGTTACTGGAATTACAGGTGCTCATCACCACACCTGGCTAATTTTTGTATTTTTAGTAGAAACAGTGTTTTGCCATGCTGGCCAGATTAGTTTCAAACAAGCCTGGCTAATTTTTGTATTTTTAGTAGAAACAGGGTTTTGCCATGTTGGCCAGATTAGTTTCAAACTCTTGAGCTCAGGTGATACGCCCGCCTCGGCCTCCCAAAGTGCTGGGATTAGAGGCGTGAGCTGTTGCCCCTGGCCGAGATCTGTACTCTTAAAAATGGTTAAGATAGCAACATTTTATGTTATGTGTATCTGACTACAATTTTAAAAAAATTTAAAAAGAACACAATGGGCTTTTTGGTGGAGAAGGGATCCATGGGAAGCAAAAACAACAGAGAGAGACTGAAAAGGAAGCCACTGAAGATATCCAGGCAAAAGATGCTACTGCTGTGGAGTAGGGTGATTGATTGCAGTGGGTGGAGTAAGAAGACTAGAACTTTGACATCAATTTTCAACTAGTACACCAATATTCCCTGACGGGTTCTAGATGGGCTGTGAGGAAAAAGATTGATAAATAACCACCCCTGGTTTCTCGTTGCACAGATAAGTTGTGCAATCACATAGGTACCCGTATTATAACCATCATAAGCTATTTTTTTTGGAGTTGGGCAAGACTTCGAACAAGCAAGTGTGGAGAAAAAATCAAAAGTGGAGTTTGGGACATGTTACTTTTAGGAAGACTGAGAGGCATCGTGTCAAGTAAGAAGTTGGTGACTGTGTCTTTTTTATTCATTGCTATATTCCCAGACTCTATAATGGTTTCTGGTACACAGGAGTGTCTTAATAAATATTCATTGAATGGTAGATGAATGGATGGATAAGTGAATGGATGATAGAGAGATGAATGGATGGATAAATAAATGGATGATAGATGAATGGATGGATGAAGATGGGTGCATGGATGATAGATGGATGGATAATGGATATATGGATGACGGATGAATGGAAGCAGTGTGACTAGAGTCAAAAAAGAGAGATTTCGAAGAAAGGGTTAATCTGTCTTGCGCCATTTTGATATGAGTGCTCAGTACAATGGTGCAGACTGAGTGCCCAGCACAGAACAGCCAATCCCATTTATAGGAGTCAAGGCCTTCTCTCCTTCATTCTTTCATCCTTTAATCTTTTCATGTGGAAAGGGTGGGGACTAACAAAAGATCTGCAGTTCCCTTTAAGAGTACTTTTAGAGGCTTCCTAACACATGGTCTATCCTGAGAGAGACAGAGAAAGCAGACAGGTAATAAACACCTGTCACCTTCCATATGCCAAATTTTTGAGGCTTTGGTGTCCTATTTTTCTCTCTAAGAAAAGACTATAAATGAAAGTTGCTGTCAGTGCTTATTTCTTAAGATATTTTATTCTTTAAAATAAAATGGGAAATGCTAACTGGAGATGAGATGATAATGAACGTGAAGTGGCCAAAAGAAAGGGGGTCTGGAACTTGACGGGCCTTCCTTAAATGGTATAAACATTGAAGAAGATGATGGTAATTTCTTTTTCTTTTTTTTTTGGAGACAGAGTCTTGCTCTGTCGCCCAGGCTAGCTCTTGGCTCACTGCAACCTCCGCCTCCTAGGTTCAAGCGATTCTACTGCCTCAGCCTCCCGAGTAGCTGGGATTACAGGCACACACCACTACACCCAGCTAATTTTTTGTATTTTAGTAGAGACGGGGTTTCACCGTGTTGCCAAGGCTGGCAATTTCTTTACAGCTTTCACACTGTTCGTGGTAGAGCTGGGAGAACCAAATAACTCCTATCCTTTGTGTGATGGTTAATTTTATGTGTCAACTTGACTGAGCCAAGGGATCCTCAGACAGCTGATAAAACTTCATTTCTGGATGTGTCTGTGAGGGTGGAAGAGATTAGCAGTTGAATCAGTAGACTGAGAAAAGATCAGCCTTCACCAATGTGGATGGACGTCATCTAATCCTTTGAGGGCCCAAATAAATCAAAAGGAGGGAAAAGGGTGAATTCACTCTCTTTGTTTGAGCTGGGACATTCATATTCTCTTGCCCTTGGAGATTGGAGCTCCTGGTTCTCAGGCCTTTGAACTCCAGGACTTACACCATTTGGGCTCATGGTTCTCAGGCCTTTGGACTTGGACTGAATTAAACTGCTGGCTTTCCTGGTGTTCCAGCTTGCGGACAGCAGATTGTGAGATTTCTCAGCCTCTGTAATTATGTGAGCCAATTCCTATAATAAATCTCCTGTTATAAACCTCGCTATATTCCATTGGTTCTGTTTTACTGGAGAATTCTGACCATACACTTTATTTCTCTACAGAGGAATTTATTATTTTGTAGCTAGAAACAAAGATTTGCCGTTCATGTAGGTTTTCTGTGCGTTTTTCTTGGGACATGGTTGTGCTTCTTAGCTGATCTAACCAATTGACATTTCTAGAGATTTTTCATATAGAATTGATAGATGCAGGAGGCAGATGAGGGGGAAGGTCCCAGGGAATCTCTAACAGGCCTGTGCACTGGGAGGACAGGGTGGGGCCGCAAAAAGTTCCTGCTGCTTGCAGCGGGGAGGAGCCTGGCCTCTCCTGTTCCTGGGTGGGGACTTGGGATGCTATCTGTGAGATGGCGGCCTGTTAATAGGAACCCTTCTCGCTTTGCTGAGTGGTTTTTCCTTTTTCCTTTTGCCCACTAAGTTCCGTAACCCCTCTCCCTTCAAAGTGTCTGCATGCCTAATCTTTCCTGGTCATGTGACAAGAACCCGGTTTCTTCCTACAACATTTTTTTGGTGCCCAGAACATGGGATCTGAGGAAAGGAGGGTGGAATGGGGACCCAAAACCTTTAACTTTTGCTTCTGAGCCTTTTGGTTCTATGGCATTTATCTTCTTTGTTTTGGAACAGTAATGACAACTATCTTTCCTTTTACAATACAATACTGGAGGTGGTCCACACCCACCCCAAGGGCCACAGACACGCGCGCGGGACAGTTGGGCCAGGCAGCTGCCTGTCCCTGCTTCCCTACCGACTGGAGTGCATGGCTGTAGTGTGTGCCTCATGTGTGTGCAGTGTCCAACGGCCATGCAGGGTAAGTATGAGCCACAACTGCTGCCTGGGCCCCAAGCAACTGGCTGGCATTCCCTGCCACGTGTCCACAGAGTTCCCCCCTCCCCCAGCCAGAGAGTCCAGCTCTGTCCCACAATAGTTTAGCTTCTCTCCCTGGTGCAGAAACCATTTGCCATAAGAATAAGAGGTTCTTCCCCCAGTCATCCTTTTCTCTTCTCCACCCTGTCAGCAGTTAACACAGCCCTGGATTTAACCTCCTTTTCTCTACCCTGTCAGCAGACGACTTTTAAACAAAGCTTTTTTTTTTTTTTCCTTTTGGAAGACATTTTGTTGGGCTGGGAATGATGGGGATCACTGTATTTTTGGTAGAGTTTTAAATGTGAGAAAGTATTTGTGAGGTTAGTCTTAAGCTGTAGCCATTCTGGTGTGCTTTGCACGTCTTTCTGTATGGCTGGTAGCAAACTTTGCTGCAGGCCTCCATCTTGATTTACATCCTTGAGGGCGTGGCCTGTAACCTCGTGGCAGGGCTTTGTTTAGCCTTTGGGTGGCCTAGATTCAATCCTGGCCTAGGGAATTAGTCCTTTCTGGTTTGATATGTGAGCTTTTGTGGTTTGTTGATTCCCTTACCCTCCACGAACCACCTTGGATTTTCCTTTCTCTGAGCCTTTAGTAAAGTTTGAAAGCCAGAAACATTGGCTGCTTGGTATGGCTAAAGTTGGCTAATAAGGGAATTAAAAGGATTTTCTTAAGGAGTGCTCACCTTAATTAAAAGTGGATTATCCAAGTTATAGTTATATTTACAAGGACTTTATGTTTTCCTTTTCTTGGACCTTGTTTTGCTGGGAAAAGGTTTTTTTTTGGTTGACTGAAATATTTTTCTCCATTTTTGCCTTGCCACTTTTAATGCACATATGAGAGGGGAGAGACCTCTGTTTTCTTCATGGAACCCCAGGAATTAATAGTACCTGGAGGTCAATAATCCAAATAGGAGATTGGCAAACAAAAGATCTTATGGGGACTGGGTTTTCTTCTGCCTGTCTGTGTAGTTATATATGTGTTGTGTGTGTGTGATGTCTGTAAAAAGATCTTTAATTAATTGGCCTAAAAGAAGGTAAGTGCTTGGATCAAATATTTTTTAAAGGGAAGATAAAAGCTGTGGTAATTTCACGTGGCTTTAATCGTTGAAAAATAAAAACATTATTGTTGGTTATAAAAAATAATTATTGGTAAGAAGCAGATGTCATCAAAATATAAATAGGTGGACTAAATTATGCAGGTCAGATCCTAGGTTGGCTAAATGTTTTAAGGTTATAGGCTGCTTTTTTGGCTTTTGAGAACTTTTCAATTTGCCAGCTTCACAACTGGTAAGGCCTGGGGACATGTGGAACTAACCACACCCTTAGTTATGCTGGAAGGAGTCAAACCTTGGCTGCATCTAGCACATAATCAAAACAAATTACCAGGTTCTACATTAAAAAATTGCTAACTGTTACCATTATGACATGTAATTGAGACTACTGGAAATAGATTTATGTGCAAGGCGTGTAAGAACAGTAAAATGTGTTTTTAATAAAAGGTTAGAAAAAGGCATAAAAATATAAATTCTTGCCTAAGGCTAAATAATTGTTTTAAATTAGATATAATAAAGCTAAAAGTTTAAACAAATGGTGGAAGGATTGTAAAAATTAATCTTACAAAATTCCATGTGTGAATATATTGATTAAATACAAAAGGGTATTATATGGTTTTTCTGTAAATTGAGCATTAAAATAAAAGCACAACAAGGTATTCTCAAGGCATTAATCTTCTCTTTAGCAAAATTTGTAAAGGGTTATAAAAGGTTTTTGCTTTTTTAAAATTTCTGAGTCATCATTTTGGCAAAATAATTTATGGTAGTATGTAATTCTATTTCATAATGTCAAGTGTTTTAAGCCTCTAACATATTTAACAGGCTTGCCCAAATCAAACTTCAGTTTCAAAACTGTGTTTCCTGATATCTGGATTTTTGGATGTTTCAGAGGGCCTCTGGAGTATCCAGAAAAGAGAAGTAAATAGGATTATTTGACATGTTTACGTACATGGGATTGCTACAGTGGTATACAATCTTCTTTAGGCTATATTTTGGTGAATAACATCAATATATGTTCCAGAATTGTATGGGATTTCTAAAATTCTAATGTCTAAGTATATGCTATCATAATTAAGGTTATGTTAAGTTATTGGATACCATGAGATAATCAAACTTCGTTGTCAATTGTGTTTCTAACTCTAACGACCCCGGACATTTGATAATTGTTGTCTTGTTTTAATCTCTTTCAAAAGACGGTTTATAATAAGCTACAGAACTTTGGCAGACACTCTCAAATACAGGTTTCTGATAACTTTGGAGATTGTGCCATTGGAATAAGGAAAAAATGTACAGGACTCATGAAGAGCTAAAATGTTCATGAATATCAAGCAAAACAAGAGCTAACCGAATGAACTCACAGAAAACCAAAGCAATCTTTTTGACTTTTGCTTGGAATATTGCTGGGTTTTGTTTTGTTTTTCAGAGTCAAGGAAACTTATTTTGAACTATTTACAGCCTTTAACAACTGAGTAAGGTATACTCTGTGAACAAAATTTGGAGCATGTTTCTTTCTGTCTGCCTGCTTGTCCTAGAATTTGGAAACTAGTTGTGAGTATTCTCTACTCATGGCAATACAATTGTTTGCATCACTGCAATAAGAATCCATTTTCTTTTGCAACAGGAAACAATTGTAGAAACTGGTTGTTTTACCAAGGCTTTGACTGGAAGGGTATTCTTCTCTTTAAGGAGTCAAGCTTGACTTGCAGAGCCAATACAAGCCCCTTGGAAAAAAACTGGCCTCATACCTTTGCCTACACAGTCCCTGTACAGGGTTCCTGACCTGTGGTCAGTAAAAAATGTCATTTTCTAACAGGCCCAGGAGTTCCAAGTTTATCTTGGGACCTTAAGAGGAGAGGATCACCCAACTCACAAGTATTTGAGGATACAAACCCATGGCTGGGCTCTGCTTTAAAAGGTCTTATCTGAGATTCCTTGTGGGACAGAGTTCCCTCAAAGCCAATCTAAAAGGCCTATGTAGACATAATTATTCTAGCTGCACTTTATGCAAATAATCAGGCCAAGTATAAGACTAAAATGTATTTTGCAAACAACTCTATCCCATCATGATTTTTTTAAACAAAAATGAGTATTGGAGAGAGAGGAATTATGTTTCAAAACCTGTTATAAGTTTGTCATTAAATTCTCAACTCATTAGTTGTTTTTAAAAGTTTTTGCCTACATTTTAGACTAACCCTGATTGTTCCTGTGAACCAACCAGCAATCTCTGGCTGCAGCTCAGAAGAAACAAGAGGGATGGGTAATGTAAAAATCTGGATCAATATTCTAGTTCTGAGCCATTATCTTGCAAATCCCGCCAGATGACAGGAATAAATAGAGTGCCCCTAACCCAGAGGTTTCCTTTTTGGGAAAGTAAGACCAAGAGAGAAAACCAAAGCCAAGCACATGCATCCAAAGAGATCCTTTTCTCTGCCTGTATGTGTCATAAGACATCCTTTTCTCTCCCTTGTTAGAGAAGGACTCAATTCCACAGCTTCACTTTAGTATTCAGCTTATGATAAGGAGTCCATGCAACCCCCCAAGACACATTTTTGTTCCAAACTCAATTCCAAGCTTTGGGTCAAAGCCCTAGGAAAGAAAACTGGATCTGAGGGATCCAGAGGCAGATGATAACAGCAGTTAAAAGGCACAGCACAGGTAAGCATGACTGATTCCTGCTGATTAAGCCAAGCTTCCCATTTCATGGATAAAAACACCCTCTTATATCACACTAGTATTCATGGCATAAATGAGGTCTAGGTAATTCAAGGCTGTTGACAGCAGGAGAAAGAGGGCATATGTGGGTAATAGTGGATACTCCTACCCCGCAAGCCCCCCCCCCATTAACATGGGTGAAAGCCTCTTTAACACCCATGGGTGGCACCCTTCATGGTCACCAGGACTCAGAGATAGAAGGAGGAAGGAGAGAAAAAGGAATGCCTCATTTTCCCTCCCTTATGTACCCTAGGTATTTGCTAGGAAGAGAAAGGAGCCAGGGACACCTATTCCCCTCTTTCTAGATGAGTAGCCATTCATCTTCAGTCTGTACCCCTTTCAAATGCATCCTGAACCCCTGGGACGCCTTTGAAAAAAAATGCCATTTTTTTTCCTTTTTCCTCCTGTCCTCTCTTCATTGATAGGTAATTGTGTCTCTGTATTATGGGACACTCCCTTCAGATGGATCCTCCAAACTGGGAAAAGTTAATGTCCCAAACCTTAAGCTGGTTGGCTTAGGACTAGGCTCAGCGGAAGGGAACCCAGAAGCCTGATGTACCATCAAAAGGGTAAAAGTTTTTTTTTTTTTTTTTTTTTTTTTTTTTTAGCCAATCAGGCTTTTTGCCCCCTTCTCCCCATACAAACTGGTAAAAGCCCCTGGGATTTTTGAGCTGTCCTTACCACACACTCTTATTTCATATTTATACGTGTTTTCTAATAACTCAGTTTGTCTCTTCTTCAGGCCATGAAACTCCAGTCATGCAACTGGAGCCTTGGGCAATGGCCCCTTCTCGTGGGAACCCTTGGATAGGCCCCTGAGGGCAATTTGACTGCCGTTTTCCCAAAACAGCACCCCCTGTCAACAGGAAGCAGTTAAGATCTGTCTTCATCCTTATCCTTATCCTTATTCTAATGGCAGTTAGATGTACTTCTTTAGAGGAGGGAATGATAGATGCAGGAGGCTGGTAAGGTCCCTGGAGAATCCCCAACCAGCCTGTGCAATGGGATGATGGGGTGGGGCTGCAGGAAGTTTGTGCCGCTTGCAGGGAGGAGGAGCCTGGCCTCTCCTGTTCCTAGGTGGTGACCTGGGATTCCAACTGAGAGATGGAAACCTGTTAACGGGAACCCCTCTCACTTTGCTGTGTTGTTTTTCTTTTTTCCTTTTCACCCAATATATTTTGTAACCTCTCACTCTTCAAAGTGCCTGCATGCCTAATCTTTCCTGGTCATGTGAGAAGAACTCATTTTTTTCCTACAACAGAATCAGGTGATTGGAGAAAAGATCACAGGCCTAGGCACCCAAGGCTTGAAGGATGAAAGAATGAAAGATGGACGGAAGAAAATTAGGACCTTAATTCTTTGTTCAGTTCAGTGTAAATCTACTTAGCCCTTGAGAGGACAAAAGAAAGGTCTTCAGTGGATTCTTCCCTGTTCTCTCGTTTCTGGTAGAGCTTAAGAGTTTCCTTCCTTTGTGCCTGTTTCACCTGCCCCTGTGTCTCTAACATCTCCCTGCCAGCACCCCCGACACTACATTGTTCTTTTCAGCTGACACATCTGCTCCTCCCATCAGATTGTGAGGGCCTTTCCCGTTAGGATATGAGTTACAATTCCCTGAGAATCTTCAGGGCTGACAAAAAGCAGAGCTCTTAATGCTCAGTGTTTAGGTTAGGGAAGGCAGAGGATAGAATGAAGAAAGGATGGATGGAAGCAAGGAGAAAAGTGTTGCAAAGCCAGGATTCAAATCTAGGTTGATCTGACTCCTAAACTAGCTCTACGCCATATGGAAATAACCCCGGGCCAAGAAAACCTGGAAATATGGTTGCAAATCAGGATAACAATGATAATAAAAGCAAACCTTTAAATAATACTTACCATGGGCCAGGCTCTATTCTAAGCATGCAATCCTTACCACAGCCCTAGGAGATAGGTACCCTTATTATAACCATCATATAGATGAGGAAACTGAAGCACAGTGAAGTCTGTAATGTGCCCAGAATCACATAGCCAACATTATTAAAAGTAATCTGTAACGTGCAACGTCTAACGTGGCAAAACAACATGGTTCCAATTCTACTATTGTGGCTGGAAACTTATAGCACAAAGGACCTGAAGCGGCTTGGAAATCACCTAGCTCAATCTCTGCCTTCTAGAGATAAGGGACCTTGGGCTCAGGTGGCAGGTGATTCCCAAAGGACTGGCTACTCTGGGGAAGGGGAAGGACAGATAAAGCAAGGAGGAAGCAGGATTGTGATTGGACTGACCACTGGATTGGAAGGAACAGCATCATTATTTTGAAATAACTCTGATGTGTTAATTGGGTTCTCTCAGTTAAACAGGTTTGCAAAATTAGTTCTGCTGAACTCGAAGGCCTGTTTGGTTCCCTCTAATCCAGTGAGTCTGAGGATCTATGAGGATGATTCCAGGACATTTGCAGCTGGTACTCCAATGACACTGATGTGAATGTGGAGAGCGACATATTATTTTCTTCCGGTCTCATAAGAAATGTTTTCTCCATTTACCCAAATCTCTTGTCTGAATAATACACCAGTTGATCAGCACTGATCTCTAGTGAGCACCTATCATGTCTTGAAGAGAGCATTTACTACAGGCTGAGCTCTCTTCAAGACATGATAGGTATGATTCCAGCCAGCCCATGTGGTCAGCATTATTATGATTTCCACAGACAAGAACATGGAGACACAGAAAGTTTGCATAAGTTGCCAAGAGCACACAGCTAATTACAAGGGAAGCCAGGTTTTGAAGTCTAGTAGTCTGACTCTGGACTCTGTCCTCAGTCCCTACGGCTATGACTACCTCCTAACTCTACTACCTAGTTATTTTTATTCCCTGGTTAAAGAGAAGAAATGACCATAGATCTGGAGGGATCCAGGCAGACACAGGTTCAAATCTCAGCCCCTGTGTGAGTTGTTTCACCTTGCTAATCCCTAGTATCCCCAGTGGTGTAGGGGGATAATACAATCTAAATCTTTCATAAATATCTATCTCAAAGTCATGTATCCTGGATCTGCTGAGACAGGTTCCCACCATATGCAACCTACCACACTTGTTTTTGGCAAACACAGAGGGTTAAATTGTGTTGCCCCACACAAACATGTAGTATCGCTAACCCAATACTTGGGAACATGACTTTATTTTGAAATAGGGTCTTTGCTGATGGAATCAAGTAAAGATGAGGGCATATTGAATTAGGGTGGGCCTGTAATCCAATGACTGTTGCCTTTATAAGAGAAATGAGAGGGAGTTTGGGACACAGACACACTCAGAGGGAAGAAAGCCATGTAAAGTGGGAGGCAGAGATTGGAGGAATGGGTCGAAAAGCCCAAGGATCAGCATGAACTACCTGAAGCTAGGAAGAGGCAAGAAAGGACTCTGGTCTAGAGCCTTTGGAGGGAGCATGGGCAGGCAACATTTTGATTCCAGACTTCTAGCTTCCAGAACTGTGAGAGAATAAATTTCTGTTGTTCTAAGTCAACCCATTATGTGGCAATTTGTTATGGCTGCTGTAGAAATCTAATAGCAAATGAGGGCTTGGTGAATGTACTTAGTGGAAAGTTCTATTTTCAGACTGATGAAGCCAAGTCAGGGAGCCGAGACACATTCTTGTGTGCTAAGGGATACCATGCTCATAGGTAGAGAGAAGGCCACATGAACCATAAGGAGGACCATCTTTTCCCTATTTTTGAAGTCATAAAAATGCAATGTCAATACTTTCAGAAGAATTTGGAAGAAGCTGATAGCTCTACTAGCTTCTCTACATGGAAGGAGGTGAATTATCCAACTGGGTTATGGTGTGTGCAATAGCCATTCACCCATGTTCTTTGATTGGGAGAGTTCTGTATTAAATGTCAGTGTTCAGATATGGTCTTTCTCTCTCTAGCTCTCAGTGCCCAGTGGCTGGCTGGGAGAGTGTCTGCTCTGTCCCTGTGCTGTTTCCAAGGACACACTTGGTGAGGAGTGTTGCCCCCAGAGCCAACCTTGCTTTACCCAGAAAATGTAACCTGTGTTTTATTTTATTTTATTTTTTTATTTTTATTAATTTCACTTTAAGTTATGGGATACATGTGCAGAACGTGCAGGTTTGTTCCATAGGTATACATGTGCCATGGTGGTTTGCTGTACCTATCAACCCATCATCTACGTTTTAAGCCCCACATACATTAGGTATTTGCCCTAATGCTCTCCTGCCCCTTGCCCCCCATCCACCGACAGGCCCCGGTGTGTGATGTTCCCCTCCCTGTGTCCATGTGTTCTCATTGTTCAACTCCCATTTATGAATGAGAACATGCGGTGTCTGATAACCTGTGTTTTAATCCTTTGACTTCTAGGTATATTTCTTAATTGGTTCATAATTCAGAGGGGAATTACATAGCCCTCCACACCCCATTATCCCAAGAGGAAAACTGAGACTAAGTCTTCAGGACATATCTGGGATCCCTCTGAGGTTAAATAAAATTGGTCCAAATCTCACCTCTGCATCTGTTACTCTGCAGCCTGGGATAATGTTGCAGGGTCTGGATAGCAGGAGAAAATACTAATAGCTATGGGGTTGTGTTCAAGCCTTTTGTTTTGCTCTGGTTAACAATTTCCTCATCAGTAAAATTAGGGGATTGGATTGATTGAGCTCTAAATTCATGTTTACCTTTAGTAGTCATTGATTTTGAAGCATGGAAGGTGTTTGATTGCCAACATTGTTCATGACTCTGTGAGATAAATTTCATGTGGCTGATGTCACAGGGAGAAGGCAAAGCGTGAATTATAGTGTCTGACCAAATGTTCTTTCACACCACAGATGACCCTGGCTCTGTGCCTTTTCTTGCCTCTATAGCCTCCTCCTGTGTCAGGGACTTCAGCTAGGTGGGCCAAGAAAGGGTAGAAGAGAACAGAACGAGCAAAAGGGACACCTGCTGTGACTGACTAGGTAACTGTTCCCAACAGCTGGAAGGAGGAGCATAGTGGTAGGAACC
This sequence comes from Homo sapiens, assembly GCF_000001405.40. Classification (NCBI taxonomy): domain Eukaryota; kingdom Metazoa; phylum Chordata; class Mammalia; order Primates; family Hominidae; genus Homo; species Homo sapiens. The sequence goes on from NC_000008.11 coordinate 132,158,603, forward strand.
ATGAACTACAGAGCTAGACCAACTGGATCCAAGTCTTGCTCTTGCACTTTCTAGCTTTGTGACCTTCTGCAAGTCACTTATCTATCTGACCTCAGTTTCTCATCTATAAAATGGGGATTAAAAATAGTACCTATCTCTTAGGGTGGTTATGAAGAAGAGTTGTGCTTACAACTATGCCGGGGAAGCAGTCAGCATTCTTTGTAAGTTACTATTGGATTCTTTGATCCAAAGAATGATTCTCTACTAAATTTGACCACTCTGTAGTGGGAAAGACATAATCATCACATAGGAAATAAAGATGGTACCTGGGACAGATTTTTTTCCCTCTCCAAATATGAATACAGAGGAGAAGATTCCTGAAGGCTGCTGTTCAGATTGAATTGGTAGAAAATACAGAGTGAACCACTGGGCTCAGGCAAGCAACTGCTGTCAACACAGTTATCTATTTTGAGAATTTAAAAAATGCTAGTTTCTATCAAAAAGATGTCCATAATTATCAGCACTGTTGCATGTCTACTGAATAGTTATTATTGCTGTTCAAAATGATGGACCTAACACAAAATGCCAGTCTTAATATGGTTAACTGTTCACGTTCTTTAATGCAATATTATTATTAGGAATTTGAAAACTTACAGGTAGAATTTATGCCTGCAATGAACAATTATCGTGTTTTGTCTACTTGATGTTTCGTCCCTCATTCTTTGAGGAAAAAAGGGCCCTATTCTTTTCAAGAACTGAGTATCCCACTTCAATCATGTGACTCTAATGGGGGTTGCTAAGTATAGTATCTTACACCACACCCACTCACTCTAACAGGTGGAAATCTGGTCCAGAGCTTAGACAGTAGCGGCTTTTACTCTTCAAGGGGTAGAGATTGTCCAGGGTGTGAATATGTAACTCAAACTGGGTCAATCTGAGTGCTTCTCTGGGATTTTAGAAACTGGTGTTTGGTGAAGGGTAGGTGGACAGAAGAGAGAGGAAATATATGTGATTTTGGAGCTGTTAGTATCTACTGCTTCACTGATATGGAGAAAGTCGGCTGAGAGTAAAATTATCACAAAAAGAGAAACAGAGATAAGAGATAAAGAGAGAAAATCCTGGGGTCCCAGTCCTTGTTTCTTAGGGGTTCCCACCCTCTCTGATGGCTGCCTATGTGAACCAGTACACCTCCCTCAGTTTAAGTTGGGTGGAACACTATGACACTTGTAGAATAATGAGTCCATCCATCCATCTATCCATCCATCCATCATCCACCCATTCATCCATCCATCCATCTATCCATTCATCCATCCACTGTCTCACAAAGTTAATATCTACTGAAAGCCAACCATGTGTCAGGCTCTGTTCCAGGCACTGTGTCAGGTGTAGGAGATAATGCAGCGAATAAAACAGAAAAGAGCTTAGCCCCTTGGAGGCAACTGACTTAATATATATAACAGGCAATCATCATAGGATCATGGGGATAGAGACAGGGTCAGGGGCAGAGGGTCAGGAAAAATCTCTCTTGGGAGGTGACATTAGGCAGGCTTGCAAAGGAAGTGAAGGAGGGGGCTACATAAAATGTGAGATAAGACCTTCTGGCTGAGGGAAGACAAGAGCTGAGATCATGCGTCCATTGTATTAGCCGAGGTCATTCTGCACTCATGGATAACAAGGGCATGACAGCCACCTGTGTTGCAGGCAGAGTCCAGCTGATGCGGAGGAAGGCTAATGGACTCCCTATGCATCTGCAAGGTCCATCTTCAGTGTTTGACTTAGTTGTAAGTTATGTAAATGCTTGAGATCAATTTCCTCATAAGTAAAACAGAGGTACAACTCATCCCTGAATTAGGTCATTTTTTATAGTCACTCAGCAAATACATGTGGGGTACATCTTACACTTCAGGCAGAGTATTAGCCTTGTGGAGCTCATGGTCTAGAGAGGAAGAGAGGATTTAACAGGTGTATATGTAAATATGTATTATATTTATGTCATATATAAAATAAGAACCTTATTATATTTGTATAGATACATAATAACTTTCAAATCAGTTTATTGAAAAGAACTCAAGCCCATAGTCAGTTATAAAGCTGTCGCTTATGAGGGCTGTCTTGACTGTTTTGATTTATGAGGATTTGTTTGAGGAATAAAAGCTCAGTTGAATTCTTACAATGAGTGGGAGGTTGGCTTTGATAATTTTATGCTTCCTTCTCAGGCTTTCTGATTCTAAGGTTAATCAGAAAGAAAAGAGCCAACTTCTACCGTGGGCTTACTAGGGGCCGAGCGTTATAAAGTATATATGCTTTATTAGGGAAGTTCTGAGTCCTACCTCAGGGCATCATGAGTTGGGCATCTAAACTAGGTGAGAAGGGATGGGAGGGTGTCAGCTGCCTTCACTTTCATGAGAATCAAATAAGATGACATATGTAAAATGCTTAGCATAAAATTATCAAAGCCAACCTCCCAGTCATTGTAAGAATTCAGCTGGGCTTATGTTCCACAGACAAGTCCACGTAAATCAAAACATTCAAGACAGCCCTTATAAAGCCATAGCTTTATAACTAAATATGGACTTGAGCTTTTTCCAATAACCTGACTGGAAAGTCATTTTTCTTATCCCCAATATAGCACCAGCATGTTAAGTTACAGAGAATATAATTCTTTCATCAGCCTGACAAATAAACAAGTGTATAGGCTACCTATGCTAGAAGGAGGCGATAAGATAAACTCCAAATCTGACTCTATTTAGAAATATGAATAAAGGGGCTGGGCCCGGTGGCTCATGCCTGTAATCCCAGCACTATGGGAGACCAAGACGGGCGGATCACCTGAGGTCAGGAGTTTGAGACTAGCTTGGCCAACATGGTGAAACCCCGTCTCTACTAAAAAAGATACAAAAATTAGCCGGGTGTGGTGGTGCTCGCCTATCATTTCATCTACTTGGAAGGCTGAGGCGGGAGAATCACTTGAACCCAGGAAGCAGAGGTTTCAGTGAGCCGAGACTGTGCCACTGCACTCCAGCCTGGGCAACAGAGCAAGACTTCATCTCAAAAAAACAAAAAACAAAAAAGAAAAAGAAAAAGAAAAAAAAAAGAAATATGAATAAAGGAAGGTTGGAACACCAGGTGGCTGTCGGCCTGTTGAAGAAGCTATTGTAAGGTGGAAAATGCATACCATCAAGTGTGACCCTAATGCACACATACATTCCTGACATTCTGTAGTCACTTGGTTCCCCGCCTCCTGCGTAAAGGAATTGATTCCTCTGTTGGCAATTCTTGCATCCCATCTCCAGGTCTCATTTCCATCTGTAGGCTATGCAGCTATAATCACACCTGGCATCTCAACTGCTAATGCATCAGCCAGTCTGACTCTGTCCCAACCCTGGATGAAGGAGACTGAGTGACTTACATAATGACTTTGCTCTTCTTCTCTGAGGTGGGTGAGCCACCAAACACCCAGCAATAATGGGATAGATTTTCCCTCTGTGCTCTTGGCAGAGTGGGGGGTTCTTGAAAGGGACATGAGCAAGTTGATTACAAGATATCAGAAGCCCCTTTTCTAGGGAGGCATCCCCAGGAAAGCCTCAAAATGCATCTATCTGAGCCCTAATTAAACCGGAAGTGCTGAATCCAGGGCACAGTGATATTTGAATGCAGATTTCAATGAATTTTCTTCATGTCTGTATAGAAAAGGCTCTAAAGGTAGATTTAATAATTCACTTGCAGTGTCAAAATCTGCACGATTTATAAACCTGTTGGTCATGAAAGAAGGAAAGCAAAGAACACCCTGTTGGGAGTCTTGAGACCTTGATCATCTACTCCTGGTGCTTATGGGGTGTGTGATGTGGGATGAGCCTGTCCTCTCCAGGGACCTTGGTTTCCATAGAATTATCTGCAGAGATCTCTGTGGTGTCCTTTCACTCTGCCTCTGGGAGCCACGAGCTGCTGAAGATTCTCTAGTGAATGTCCTGACACCATTACTGTCATTCACCTAACCCTCCTTTACGATCTCCTCAAAGGCCCTTACAGTCCTAAGTGGGTCCAGGAAAGAACCACGTGGTTCATTTGAAAACACACCCAAAGGAAACAGAACTGACACTGTCAGTAATTGTCTCTTCCAAGTGGGATTTTGTGTGGATAGGGCTTCATGGAAACACTTGGGAGGATTTGACTTGGCCTCCCAAAGGCCACTGTTCTCAAGTGGCTCCCCTATAAGGTAGTCCAGGGTCCTCTCACCTCCTCTGCCCAAATTCTGTCAGCACTAGGAGGAGAGCATTTGGACTTAGTGTCCAGGAGATTGATTGTGAGGACTCACAAATGATTGGTCAATAATAATCGTTTAAAAATGGTTTCTACATGTCATATAGGTATATAGATAGATGTGGTTTACTGGGAAACCTCCACAGTCATGATGATCATGAATTACAGTCTCGAGTCAACTTACCATCTGTGAGCCCAAGAAGCAGATGAAATGATATATCATGAAAATAACATGGTCTTAATATTTGCACCTGACTTTGAATTTTGGTCTTGCCACTCAATCTCAACCCAACCTCTCTGAGCCACAATCTCCTCATCCACAAGGGATGATATTAGGGCCTATCTTACATTGTGGTTATGAAGACCAAATGAGATAACATATGCAGAACTCCTGACACAGAACCCAGACCCTCAATAAGAGGCTGCTGCCATGATTCCTATTAAGTTTCCCTCAGATCAACCAGAAGGAAACCAGGCAGAGGACTATGGTGGTCAGCAACAGTGTGACCCCAAAGACTCTATCTTGGGACCAGCATGACCTCCCATGGGGCCCTACACCATATGGAGCAGGATGCTCTGTCTTGACACAGAGATGTGAAGAAGGGAATTCATAATCAGAAACTTACCTGGATGCTGCCTCCAGCTGTTCTTTCCTAGAAAGAGAAGAGGGAGAAAAAATAAAGCATAAATTACGTGAAACAGCTGTATCCTTCCTCGAAAGATTGCTGCAAAGCTTCTCTCTGAAGATGATGGAGCAGAGTTGAGCTCTAGGACAGGATGGTCAGTGTGGAGGGAACCAATGAAGGAGGCGGGTTTACCCATCCAGACCCCAGCCCATGCTACTCCCGTTGGCTCTGAGGTTTTCAGGGCTCTTTTCAGCCAGTCATTCATTCATTTATTCATCCAGAAAATGGTTGCTGAGCACTTACTCTGCCCCAGCTCTCATGTTGAGCTCAGGAAATTTATTTGGTGGTGGAGACAGACCAGGAAACCAGGAATGTCATAATGTAGCAGTCACACACCCCCATAACTTTGTCACTACCATTGTCATCATAGCGAACATTGTCTTAACTCAATTAATCCTCATAACAACCCTATGAAGTACTATTATCATCCCATTTCCCTGAGGAGAAAATTGAGGCACAGAGGGATTAAATGAATTGCTCAAGGGCTCACAGTTAGGAGGCAGCAAAGTCAGGATCCAAACCCAGGTGATCTGGCTCTGGAGCCCTCACTCCTAACTGGGAGGTGCACCAGCCGTGCTTTACACATATTCATGACTCCAAGCCTTTTCTCAGGCTCTCCTTCTGCCTGGAACTCCCTTCCTCTTTTCCCTGCTTGGAACAGTCCTACTCATCCTTTATGTACACCTGGAGGGGCCCTCCTAGGGGTTCTTATTCAATTGCCCAAGGTCTACACTGAGCAAATCCCCTCACAAGTGGAATGGTACTCTGTCATTATTACGTGGATCACATTGTAGTAGAATTACATGTAGTCTCGTTTTTTTTTTTTCTTGTCTAAAATATGAGCACTCTGGAGCCCAGCACGTGAGAGTGCTCACTAAATGTTGAAAGAATGACTGGCCTAACATAGGGATCCATGGGTGGGAGGGATGAAGACAGAACAAGAGAATCATGGCAGAGAAGTAAAAGAGTTAAGAATTTCTGCTTTGAGGGTCAGCTCAGCATTTAGTTACAGTGTGGCCTTGGGCTGGCCATACATTCTCTGGGCCCATTTCCCCGCGAGCACAATAAAGTGATGAGTTAGTTGATCACAAAGCAGGTGGACACAGAAAGCTGTGACTCTCTAGGATGTTCTGAGTCTCTGAGGCCAGGAGAAGTAGGAAAGGTAGTAAGGGGAAGGAAAGGGCAAGGGGGCAGCTGAAGAGCATATTGGAAGAGAAGGCATGGTAGGGAGAAAGTTTAAAGGATTAGCACTGTCCATTCCTCTTTCACTCTCCACGATGAGTATTTCATGCTTCCTCTTCTACCATCAGACTTCTCTCACTTCTCCACCTTCCTCCCAGCTGATGACCTTGACTCCCCTCTCACTGAGATCTACCCATGGTCTCACCATCTGGCTCCACTCACCGGACTTCTGTTTTGTGCCAATGGATGAAGGGCCCATGCTCTTAATGAAGGCCCATACTCCACAGACCAGGCCATCTCTGCTTCTCTCTCCTCTAGTCTTTCCCCTTCTCCCATATGCACATTTATCCTTCTCTACTAGACCCTTTCCATCAAAGAAAAAAATTCTTGGCCTCACATCCACTCCAGCTGTCACCTACACTCACTGAACCCACTTGCTCATTTCCTCATCACCCTTCAGTTCATGTCATCTGGCTTCTGTGTCCAGTACTCCACTGAGATTGCTCTAGCCAAAGCCCCAGCCAACTCCAAGTCACAACATCCCATGAGCACATCCCTATCTTATCTTCACTACCCTTATGATAGGAAAGGACCAGTGCAGTTGACCTGTCCAGTTAACTGTTAGATCCCCAATACCAAATAGAGTGCACATAAGGGATGATCAATAAATATATGCTAAATGAATGGACTAAATGAATAAAAGGGTTTTAACAACATTCCAGAGTGTTCTAGATCATGGTTGCTAACAGTGGTTTCCCAGGGCAGTAATTCGGAGGCTTCCTTTCCCCTTCGGCATCAATACTCCCTTGCAGCCCAGATTCAATCAGCCGAGACTGAACACTTGCTATGGGCTAGGGACTAAGACAACCACTCTCACACATTTTACTCAGTTTGACCATCCAAACAACAATCTTCAAAAATGGGTCTTATTATCCAAACAACCCTTGTGTCATCTTACTTTTATCCAGTTTTCTCCCTAAATAATGTTTTCTTCCCAGAGATACAATGCAAAATAAAAACATAGGTTTTGGCACAAGACCTGAGTTCCAATCTTTGTTCCATCACTTATCAGCTGAGCGATATTAAGCAAGCTAATTAATCTCATTGACTCTCTTATTCTTTACCTATAAAAATGGGGTTATGAAAAATGGAGTTACCCCTTCTACTTACCTTCCAGGACATCCTAAAGCTTAAATAAGATAGTATGTATGAAAGCAGATCCAATGTTATTTGGCCATAGGAAATGACTAGTGCATATAGTCCCCTTTCTCCATTTCTAAGCACTCCAATAATCTTGACCCTGGTCGTAAAAGGAACAAGTCCTGGTTACACAATGAACTACCTGTTCTTGGTCAAGTATTTTCTACATCGTGGGCGAAGTCTTCTTATCTCCATTTCAGTTCTCATAGCTAACAATTCCAGAGCTGTGCTGTCCAATAGAGTAGTCATTAGTCATAGAAGGTTATTTACTTTAAAATTAAAAAATCTGTTCCTCAATTGCACTGCTAACAGTCAAATTCTCACTAGCCACATGAGGCTAGTGGCTACCATATTGAACGGTGCAGCTATAGAAAATGAAAAGCCAGACATAATTCCACTCTCCCTACCAGGAATAAAACAATGCACATGCTCTGTTTATAAAAAGCAATGTCTGATTTTTAACAGCTTCCCTCATCCCTGCTTGTATATAAGAACGTATAATCTGCCATCACTCCTACCCCAGCATCTTCCTGTACCCCCTCGGACCCTTATGACCAACTTGTACTAAGTCCATTCAGTCTCCACTGGTCAGCAGATCAGAAGACCTGGGTTTGCCCTCAGTTATGCCCAGCATGGTATGTGGCCTGAACTTCTTGGGGGTTCCTGAACTTCTGGGGGCTCTCAGGTTTTTCTCATAGAAAATTGGGTTTGGACTTGAAACTCTTTGAAGTTCTTTGCAATTCCAAAACAATGAGTTTATAATTATAATTTGTAATAAAAAAAATAAGAACAGACCACCGTCATCCATCACTGCTAGCCCCCAAAACACAGATACTTGCAAATTAACAAAGAACTACACTAAGCTGAAAATTGTGATATGGCATCATGTTGCAGATGGGCTACGCAACTTCATCCTTCCAAACCTTTGGCAGGAATCTAAAATGGTGCAGCCACTATGGAAAACAGTCTGGCAGTTCCTCAGGAAGTTAAACATAGACTTACCAATCCTACTCCTAGGCATATACCCAAGAGAGTTGAAAACATATGTCCATAGAATGTGTATGTGAATGTTCATAGCAGCATTATTCACAAAAGCCAAAAAGTGGAAACAACCCAAATTTCCAACACCTGATGAATCATTAAACACAATGTGGTATATATAATCAAATATTATTTGGCTATAAAAAGGAAAAAGGTTCTGATAGGCGCTACAACACAAATGAAACTTGAAAACATTATGCAAAGTGAAAGAAACCATGCATAAAAGAAAGACAATATATCATATGATTTCATTATACTATGAAACGTTCAGGATAGGTGAAAGAAAGACAGAAAGTAGATAGTGATTGCAGGGGCTGAGGAGAAGACGGAACCAGGAGTATCTGCTCACTGGGACAGAATTTCTTCCTGGGATAATAAAATTGTTCTAGAATTAGATAGTGGTGATTGATACCCCACTTTGTGAATATACTCAAAACCACTGAACTGTTCACTTTAAAAGGGTACCTTTTATGGTATATAAAATCCTCTTGTGAGTTTTGAAATGTATCTCAAGAAAGTTGTTATTAAAACAAGCATAAACAAAAGACAAGAAAACCTTTAGGAGGTAGGTAAGAAAACACCAGTGTGTCGTCAGCTACTTCTTTGCCATTAACATACAGAGTGGGTTGGAATTCAGGGACATTCTTTTCCCAAGGGACTGCCTTGCTTCAGAATGGTTGCTAAATGAATTTCTCTAGGGACATTATACTTTCGTCCTTGAAAAAAGAAAGAAAGAAATATATTCTCTTAGTTTAAAAACCATTCTCATATCACAGCAGCTGTCTGCAGCACAATGTATTCCTCCAAGTCTCTGACAGCTAGGACAATGCCTTATTTATAATACATCAACCCAAAAGAATGGGCCCATTGCCAACACCTTGGGATGCATACCAAATGGAAATTGTCTTGGTTCTGCATCCAAAGTGTTCTTGTTTGAGTTCAAGGTCACTGTGGTCTCTTAAGGGGAAGTCATCTGCCCATTCTAAGAAGACTCTGCTTTATGCTATCCCAAATCTTCAATGATTATAACAGGGATAGCATTTTAGAATCAAATGGAAACATGTAAGTCATGTTCTGAGCAAGTAAGTCTAGTTACAAGTAAGTATACCCAAACTTTCCCATTCTTTTATTGAAGACTTGCTTCCTCTGACCCCTCTAACTCTCCCACCAGTCATGGGTCCCTTTTGCCTGTTCTCTTTCAGGTCCTCCTTCTACTCCCCCTTCGAACTGCTTTTACCTTGGTCTAGGCCCTCATTTCCTCTTACTCTGAACCCTGCAATATTTGCTAGCTGATCTTCTTGCTTTGACTTGAGTCCATAGATCCATCCTCCACACTCTTTGCTATCATCTTCCTGAAAAGTAGATCTACTGATGTCATTCTCTGGCTCATCTAGCTTCTCATTGCCTTCAGGATCAAAGTTAGATTCCTCTGCAAGTCACCCGTGACCCTCCATGGTTGTCCCAGTGATTAACACATACAAGGGGATCAAAAATATTAGTGGACGGAGTGCCCTGAGTGCCCTGAACAGAAAGTGGCACCTGCCACCAGAACCTTTTGAGGAGTGAAAGCAAGATAGGAGGTGTGTGGCGGTGGTGATCAGGGGCCCAATCTTTCAGGGTCCTGGAGGTCATGGTCAGGTTTTGGACTTTCTTTACTTTGTCATGGTCACTGACTGGAAGGTTTTATGCCGGAAAATGAGTTGCAATTCTCTTCTATTTCCATAATCTGGAGATGGGAGTAGAAAGAGAAATTGAGGATAATGAATATGTGTGTGTGTGTGTGTGTGTGTGTGTGTGTGTGTGTGTGTGTGTGTGTGTGTGTGTGTGTGTTTGCAGAGGAGTTGTGGCTGGGCACAGAGAGAGCCCCCTATCTAGTAGCATTGGGTTATATGAGGGTCCACTGAACCTGTAGACACAATGACAGAAACTTGCTTTGAGGCAGGTTCCAGCCCCAACTATGAGGCTAACTGTCCATCTATGTTTCTTTCCAAGTCAAGGGTTCTAGGAGTCCAGCACACTACCCATACGCTTAACAATCTGAGCTCAGGCCCCTAGTATCAAAAACAAAAAAATGCACTCTGTTCTAGAAGCTCAAGTAGTGAAAAGACCATGGGCTTTGAAAGCCTCCAGATGTAGCTGACATTGGTTCAAAGTGTCAGAGCCTGACTCTGCTAGCTTCTCTGAAAGTAGCCTGGGAGTTTAAACCATTCAGCCTGGCTCCAGGTGTGGACTCTGGGCCACTGGCTCAGCCCCACCCCAGGGGCTCCTGTTCAGGATGCATTTACCATCACACTTCCATCAGAATTGCTGAAAGTGGAGGCCAGATCTACTTTGCACAATACCCCCATTAAGTCTGATGCACCTCAAATCTTCTGACTTATTTTATAGGGTACCTGTGGGGAATAAATGAAATAATGAACTCGAATGCCTAGAGCATAGTGGGCATCCAATGCATATTAATTTTGCCTTCCCTTTTCCATAACCATAGAAAAAGGTTCTTATTTTTCTCTGAGATCTTTAGTTCAATCTCCCACCTCTGAGAACACGAAACAGCGTCTCTGGGTGGCTAGAGGACTCTTCCTGCTGTCCTCTTCCGCATTTCCTTTCCTGGAGTCCAGAGTAGTCTGTGGGTGCAGGCCATGCCCAGGTTGGAGGAACATCCAAGATTTCAGGGTGGCTCATTGTGTGGGCTGCCCACTTCCTCAACCCACTGATCCTGCTCACACATTGATCGGACCTTTCCTTATCAGCTACTCCATGCCACTCTGTGCTGGCTAACTGGGAAGCCCTGGCTGCACAGAGGAATCACCTGGGGAGCATCAAATATACTGATGCTGCGGCCCCGGCCCTGGGGATTCTGACTTAATTAGCTTGAGGTGTGGCCTAGGCATCAGATTTTTTTTTTCTTTATTTTTATTTTTATTTTTAATTTTTTGAGAAAGGGTCTCACGCTCACTGTGTTGCCCAGGCTGAAGTGCTGTAGCACAATCTCTGGTCACAGAACCTCCATTTCCTGGGTTCAAGCAATTCTCCTGCCTCAGCCTCCTGAGTAGCTGGGATTACAGGCACACACCACCACGCCCGGCTAATTTTTGCATTTTTAGTAGGAACGGGATTTCACCATGTTGGCCAGGCTGGTATGGAACTCCTGACCTCAGGTGATCCACCCGCCTCGGCCTCCCAAAGTGCTGGGATTATGGGTGTGAGCCACCGCGCCCAGCCAGAACTGTTTAAGCTACCAGATAATTCTAGGGTGCAGCCCAAATTGGGGAACATTGCCCTGAAGAGTGTTCTCCAGGGACCCGTGAGGCCACAGACACGAATACAGACCGCAGGAGAGATGGCTGGTCACGCCCTGAGCATTCAGGTGAGTCCCCACTTGCCTGAAGAAAGGAAAAGAGACGACTGATTCATAAAATCTCCATGTCGCCACCAGGTCAATCCTGTTGGGGTTGGTAGCATAATACCTCCAGGCAGCCTGAGGGGCAGAAAAGAGGGGCAACAATGAGTGGGCACCACCTGAAACTTTCGCACAGACTCCCACACCAACAAAACAATGTTTAAGCCCTGGACTCCTAAGAATTTGAATGTGCATTGAGCCAACATTCAGAAAAACCGAGATTCTTGGCTTTTTGAAGCTGCTTTGGGAAGAAAAACTTCCTTGACCATCTTGGAGCTATAATTGGTGTTGTGGTGAGTGGGGGAATGGAGAGATGAACTGGAGTGGAGGGAGAGAAGAGAGTAGTAGGCATAAAATCCCTGAAAGGAACAAGTACTAAAGGCCGGTGCTATGGCTCACGCCTGTAATCCCAGCACTTTGGGAGACCAAGGTGGGAGGATCACTTGAGGCCAAGAGTTGGAGACCAGCCTGGGCAACATAATTAAACTTCATCTCTACAAAAAAAAAAAAAAAAAGAACAAAGCTGGGCTTGGTGGCACGTGCCTGTAGTTCCGGCTACCTGGGAGGCTGAAGTGGGAGGATAAATTGAGCCCAGGAGGTTGAGGCTGCAGTGAGCCGTGATCGCACCACTGCACTCCAACCTGGGTATAGAGTAAAAGACCCTGTCTCAAAAAAAAGTAAACAATAAAATATTTAAAAATAAACAGAAACAAGTGCCACTCTTTCCAGAAGATTCCCTGAGACTTCTCAGTCAAATATATAGGAGAACAGAGTCTTTTGTACCATTTCTGGGTGCAAGAGAAAGCCTACCAGATGAGGTTTTGACATAAATATCCTAGAATCTCTAGGATTCTCTGATGGTTTGGGGTGTGGGGAGTTAATGGGTCAGGCTCTTGGAAACTGGGACAGGCCTAGGAACCACAATATGCGGGATGACATCATGCACCATCTAGAGTCAGGCACACAGACCCACAGAGACACTCACTACAACTGGAGAAAGCTCACCAGTGGGTGGCCATGCCCTCGCACACAGGCAGCTGTAGACAGGACACTCTGCTTTCCTATTCACTGTGCCCTCATCCTCCAATAACCCATTAAAACAAAGCAGGAACTCCCTCTGAAATATAAGAGGAAACACTTCTGCCTCTCTCATCACCTCTCACTGCTCCCTGCAACCCCCAGCCCATGTGAGGCTAGTGATGGAGATGGAAGGCTGGCAGGTGCATGTCCAACATCCTCTGGTCCATGGTTGTCTACTGGGCAGCACAAATGGGAAAAGTGTTTAATATTTTGCACATGTAAGGCATCTCTTTCTCTCTTGGCTTATGGGCTCTCTGCTTGGCAGATGTGACAGAGACTGTTCTCCTTGTAGCTGATTGGCTAAGTACCTGGACTTTAGGCTGACTCTTCCCTATGGGTCCCTAGGCCAAATCTGAGGGGAAGTAGAAGGAGAAGAAAGCCTAGTGCAGCCCCAGGTCCAAGCCAAATTCTCATCTCCAACACACCATCAGTAAAAAAGCTGAGGCCACGTGCCACAACTCATGCCTATAATCCCAGAACTCTGGGAGGCCAAAGCAGGAGGATGGCTTGAGTGCAGGAGTTTGAGGCCAGCCTGGGCAACATAGTAAGACCTCATCTCTACAAAAAAAAAAAATTAAAAAAATTAACCAGGTCTAGTGGTGTACATGGTGGTACGTGTGGTGGTGCATGCCTGTGGTCCCAACTACTCAGGAGGCTGAGGTGGGAGGATTGCTTGAGCCTGGGAGATGGAGGCTGCAGTGAGCTATGATCGCACCCTACACTCCAGCCTGGACAAGAGAGTCTCAAAAAAAACTCAAAAAACCACCGTATCAAAAAAAAGCTGATAGGTTGGTCCTTGAGTTCTGTGTCTATTTCTTTCTTGGCTTAGAAACTGAATGAGAGAGTGACAGGATTGTCACCTTCAGTACACAGAAGAACAGGTGAAATAGATACCCATGGAAACTCCCCATAGCCATCCACAAGTAAGCATGTGCAAGCAGGCCTGCTCCTGCCTGGGCACATTAATACACACACACACACACACACACACACACACACACACACAGACACACAAGACACACAGACACACATGGAATCCTGGGTCCTGTCCCAGTTCATGAGTATGTCCCCTCCACATGTGCACACATGCACACATACACACACACACACGTATGTACATATGCATGGATCTTAATCCCATTCCAGTTCATTCCCAGGCAGACAGACCTGAATGAGCTCAGCAGCTGGCTTCCTCCTTTTCTCAAAGTGCTTCTGACGGTGTTGCTCCTGCACCTTGAGGGCCAGCCCGGACCCCAGGATGCCCTGGAGGGAGAGGCAGGCAGGCAGTCAGCCCCCAGCTAGACTGTCCCAGCATTCCCGCTCCATTGCCAGGGTAATGGGGACTGTAGGGCTCAATTGCACTTCAAGTCCTTGCAGTGACAACACTGTACAAAGAAGGGAAGGGGGAAAGAGCCCTTCCTTCTCTTGAAGAGAGTAGGGAGCTTGGTTAAGTGAAATGAGCCTTGAAGTCAGGAAGACCTGGGTTCCAATTCTGACACTGCCACTTTCCAGGTGTGAGGGCCTGGGCAAGCCCCTTAGCCCTGTTGCATATTGGTTTTTTCTATAGGGATGTGGGATAATAATACCTAATGCATGATTAGAAAAAAGTGAGATAACCTTTATAAACTGCCAGTAAGGGGTACTGCACAAAATAGATGCCCAGTAATGTTAACTGAGTTTTAAAAATATTTTAGCTGCTTGAACTGTCACGTGATACTTTGACTATAGCCGGAACTTCCCAGAATTGGGATCTGTTTTGATTTTCAGGTCAGACTTGCCAGTGGATTAAGTGGCCAGAAACACACACTTTCCAAGCTGAAAGAGAACTTGAAGATCTTGCAACATTCCTATGGCCCTGACTCATCAATGAGAAAACTGAGATTTAAGAAGGTCATTTGCTCAAGGTCAAATAGCTTAGGAAAAAAACCGACAAGGTAGGGCTGCAAATAGAGAAAGAACATCACCAATGAAAGAATGGAAGAGGAAGTGGGTGGCAGGGAGATTGTTACTTAAAAGTTTTTTTCAAGCTTCATGATTAAGAGCCAGGTTTTAGAACCAGTGGACTTGGGATTCCTGGCTCTACAACACAGTAGCCTTGTGGCTGTAGAAAATTTACTAACCCAATTAAGTCTCGGGTTTCACATTTGAAAAATTGAGATAAAAACAGCACCCGACCCATAATGTTGCCATGAAGATTAAATGAGATGATGTGGGTAAAGCATTTGGCATGATTCAGGCACACAGTGAGTTCAACAAATGCAATCTGCTTTCATTATTATTACGTACCTGGACACTGGGCGTTGGGGAAGTTACTCTATCATAGGTCAAGGCTTATTCTTGAGAGACATGTATTTTTTACATAAGCCAGTAAGTAACAGGACAAGAGAAGGGAACTCACATAAATGAAGGACCTGCTCCGTGCAAGGCACTGGGAATGCATGAATGAAAAATATAATCCCAGAACCCAAGGAATTCACAGTCCTCTGGGGAAGGCAGATCTAGAAATGTGTAATCCTAGCATAGGGCCAGAAACTCCTTTACAGAATTATTCCCAGAGTTATGCCCAGAGCGACTAGCTCAGCCTAAAGAAGGCAGCATTGAAAGAGGAGTTGATGTGTGAAGAAATCTTTGGCAAAGGAAAGCAGCAGGGCCTGTGGCAAAAAGGCAGGATCATCATGCTTAAGGGAATGGCTAGGGAGTTGGTAGGGTATAAGAGGATAGAAGATGA
Source organism: Homo sapiens (assembly GCF_000001405.40). Classification (NCBI taxonomy): domain Eukaryota; kingdom Metazoa; phylum Chordata; class Mammalia; order Primates; family Hominidae; genus Homo; species Homo sapiens. The sequence continues at coordinate 132,174,159 of NC_000008.11, forward strand.
CACTGGAAAGTTGAGCTGGCACCAGGCGGTAAGGGGTCCTGCACGTCACATTGGGGATGTCATATATCAAAGGTACTTACCGCTGGAAGGGCAAAAAAGGAGACGCCAATTAAGGAAAAGGTGGCGGCAATCAGACGGCCTTCCCACGTTTTGGGTGTCTTGTCTCCATAGCCAATGGTGGCCAGTGTGATCTGAAGAGAGAAGAGTTCAGACATGGAGTACCACATGGAGAGGAATATCAGGAACGTGTTAACTGAGCTCTACCTGTAAGCCTCTCCATCAGCTTGGGCAATGCTCCCATTCATAACAAGGTTCCCTTAGGAGAAAAGACACCAAGTACCTACTAACTTATATGGATGCCTTGAGACTTGTTGATAAGTTAAGGGTTTCCTACCTTAGTCAGTCAACAAATATTTCAGCAATTGCAAATGTGTATGTACACGAGCATTCATGTGTGTGTATATTTGTGAATTTGTGATTTTATTTATAGCCATGTTTGTGAATATATGTGTGCTTGTGAGTATATTTGTATGTATTGTGTATATATGTGTGTATGTCTAATGTCTGTGCATGTATCTGTTCTGGTGTGTTTAGTATATTCTTGTGTGTGTTTACATGTTTATGTTATCAGTATACATGTACTTATGCATGTGTATCTGCATGTGAAAGGCAGGATTATCAGAGCAGTTGACAGTGTGGCCTCCGGAGCCTAACTATCTGACTTCAAATCCCAGGTTAGCCACTTACTGGCTGAAAGACCTTGAAGTTACTTAACTTCTTCATGCTTCAGTTTCCCTACTTTTAAAAAGAGCTAATGATAGAAGTTGTTTGAGTTTAAAGTAGGTTAGTGAAAGTAAAGCACCCAGAGAGATGCTCTGGAGCAAAGAAAGCCTTCAGTGAATGCCAGCTTTAGTACTGTGTGTCCTTGTGGGTGTAGGGTTGTGCACACACAGGTCTGTGTGAGCACACATGTGTATCTGTCACTGGGTTTGTTTGCACATGCATGGCTTGGCTGAAAATAGCCTATGACTAATAAGGCTAAGTCCATAAACGACCATGCAACCAGGCTGTTCCAAGCCCTGGCTTCTTATAAACGCTAGAGAAAAGTCAATTCCAAGTGCCCACCTTGAAGGAGGGTCTTCTGTCAGCAGGTTCTGAGCTGAAATTGGTCTAGAGCTTACCTCTGACTGCAGAATGCAGCTGCCTGGCTGAACATGCTCATGTGATGCCCTCCACCTCTCTCTGACTCTTGACAGTCAATCTCACAGAATTGGCCTCCAAGGTAGTGACTCACCAGGCCCCACCACAGGGCATCTGCATAGGTCTCAAACTCCTCTTTCATCTCCTCTCCTTGTGCATCCACCTCTGGGACGTCTTTCTCAACCAGGTAGACAAGAAATGAAGAAAGGATGAGTGTCAGGAAACCGATGTACCAGGCCGTGATGAGTTCCTGAAAGAATGAACAGTGGACATGAAAAGTGGTCACTGGGGAGTCGTTGAGTGGATGCTGGAGCCAGACACACCAGAGTTAGAGTCCAAGTTTACCAGCTCTGTGACTGTGGTCAAATCACTCACCTTCTCTGATCTTCATCTTCCATCACTGTAAAATGGGATCATTAACATGGTAGTTATTTCATCATTAATTAACAGAAAAAGTGTATGGCTCCAGGAGGAGAGGAAGATTTCTAGCTTAGGGCCACTTCAATATCACAGCTCAAGAGGCTTCAGAGGAAGGCAAGAAGGCAGGAGGAAGTGGCTCCTTCTTCTAATACAAGGCTCAGGACTCAGGAGACTTGGGTCTATGCAGGACTGCGTAGAGCAAGGAGAAAGCTCGGTACAACCAGGAAAGCAGGGTCTCTGTCCAGAGACCCAGCCCTGACACCAGTTTATGGTGTGGCCTTGGGCAAATTCTCCTCTTCTCCCAAATCTCAGTATCTTCATTTGTTAAATGAAGGGACAGAGCCACAGAGTTCCTGAAATCGTTTTGTGTACCACTGGTGAAATGCAGCTTTACATTAAATATTGATTTAGAGCCTATGCAAAAGAAGGTATCAAGCCTGTAATTTCATGGATATTATCATATAATAGACTAGGACATATGACTAAGTAAACAAGAGTAAGGTGATTTAATGAAAAGTGTTAAGTAATAGTCAGGATGGTATGGATGGAAACTTCACTGAAGTTTCAAAACCCCTAATGGAGACAAGACCTAATGCTCCTTCCAGCTCCAACTTTCTCTCTTTCTCTCATTCTATTCCAGTTTCAAGATTTATCATAGTAGGTTGGGCAGGAAGAAAGGCAAGGTTATTGGTGAACACAATCTGGAGATTTAAGACTGTCTGTCATTCTTGCTGAGTCATCTCAGAGAACAAAGTTGTTCACATTGATATCCTTCCTGTATCTGACCATCTGCGGCCAGTCAGCTGGCCCTTCTGGGCCAATAGAATCTTCCTGACAGGGTTGCTTCCTGCCTCCCTGCAGGACTTGGCTCACATGGGTCCTGCAGTCTGAATAGCCCTCCCACACTGGGACCAACCAAAGAGCATGGAGTCATCTTCAGACTCATGTCACCTCCACTATGAAATTTTTCTAGATGTTTGCTCCCCCAATGAAAGATAGAGTTCAGCTGTGGTTCCTTTATTCCCTCCCCATTTTCTAAACATACTTCTCCAAGCCTCCAACATTTTATTATGCTCATTTGCTATTATGCTCTGGCCTTGCCCACAGCATCACATACACATTGTACGGGTGTGAGTTTGGTCTATAGCAGAGGGGTTCACTTAGATAATACAGGCGACCCAGCCAGCCATTCTCTTTGGTGAGCGAGGTTCTGTGCTGCAGGGAATTTGAGGACGGAAACGTACATGGACTAGTCCTTACCCAGTGATTGCCTGGGCATAAGCCTCTCGCCTATGGAGTGTGGTCCTAGTGCTTATATGTTTTTTCATACTCTCTGGCCCCCAAATGCAAGTCAGAAGTTTCATCTGGCACTTAACCAAATCAACAGTTGTCTGTTTCTGTGTGCACATAAAAACTGACTGTTCTGGATTAATAAGAGATGGTATAACAGTCACCATTAAGGAGTGAAAATGGGTCCTAATTCTGTACTTTGGAGTCATTTACTTTGCAGTTATTCCAAATAATTCTGACTTTATACAATTTTTGCTAGCAGCTCTGTGGCAGAACCTGTGACTGTTCCCCAACAGGTAGCTCCTCTACCTGCTGAGGCTCCCCTGCAGTCAAGTTGAGGCTAAGGGACTGGGGTCCAGCCAATATGGAAAAGTGATGGGAGTGAATCCCTCCTTGTCCCTTAAATCCATTCTGCAGGATTCTCCAGGTTCCTTTCCCCTGCCTTGGTGACTCAAGTCCTCATAATTCAAGACGAAAGGGGCCCACCCAGCACACATCGGATACACTGTAAGCCAGAAGACGTCTAGGTTTTTGTGCTGGGTGGTGGGAGCTCTAGGGCTCATTTATTTTGGGAGGAGAACCTGACCTATCCTAACTAGTGAAAGCATTAACTTTGAAAGTTTAACCCTGTGCAACAGAGCCTCCCACACTTGATCTTTGAGTGCCCAGAAGAGTTAGCCATAGTACCCGGCCCAGAGTACAATGAATAAATGAATGAAGAAATGAATTGATAAATGTCCATTTGCCAGTACTCTTGGTGATTTCCTTGGGGAAGAGCTTCCTCCCAGCTCTGGTAGCACAGCTTTCGGGAGGACTCACAACATGTACTTTGGAGTCTAACAACAGCCTGTAAATCTAAGTCTATGTGCAGAGAGCTCTGCTCCAGAGCCCATTCCCACCCCTGGGAAACAGTCTCTGCCTCACTGGCGTCTGGCTGTTGTGCAAATCCATATATACTGAGGAATTATATCACAAACTTCCAATGGTCTCTGGTAATTACATGGCAAAAGCCAGCAGGCACTGGGGATCTATTATAGTCTAGAGGAACACAGGACAAGGGCCTAAACCAGCAATTTTTAGCACCAGTGTTGACCAGAACTGTGAATCAACTCAGCTCCATGGATACAGGTTATGGCTGAACCCATAGGGGTTTTATTAACGTGTCCTTTGATAAAAGATAAAATAGAAGGTCAGGAGAAAGAAAGGGGCCTGTAAAGCATGCTCTGACCTCACTGATTCTGCAGCCAGAAGTAGCACAGACAAAAAATAAAACACAGATGGCAAGAAATTGCATTCTAAGCTGAAAGATTCCCAGGTATTTTATGCTTTCATTCCACTTTATGTCTATGCTTATGTGTATGGTATGTGAGGAACAGCATATTCAGAATAAAAAACACTACTATTAATGAGCACCTATGACTTACCAGGCACTTAAATGCACATTTTCTCGCATGAGCACCCAGGAGGATTCACATTTTTACCATTGAGGAGGCTCATTAAAATAGAATGACATCTTTAAGGCCTTCTGGCTGGAAGGTGGCAGAGCTGAATTTTGAGCCAAGTTGCTGTCTGACTCTCAAGCTCATATTCTACTCCGAGATGCAATCTCATAGGAAACCACTACCCCTTCAACGTATCTAGGTGCATCCTTGAGATAGAGAACCAGGGGTTGTGAAGGTATGTTCTGGAGCTGTCCAGCTACAGGTGGCATGGTCACGTTAACATGCATAAGGAAAACTCTAAGCTCCTTAATGTCAAATTGCCCAGGGCTCACTGCCTCAGGTCCAGCTCTCCAGAAACAGAACCCAAGAAAGGGATTTCAGTGTATGTGACACATTTCCATGTAATTATTGAGGAAATGGTCATAGGGTTCCTATTAAAAGAGACCTAGGTGGGACAACAACAGCATCTAGTATGCCTACCAGGGTGGGTGCAAAAAGATACTCTCTTGGGAAGCAAGGCAAGCTTGGCTTTGTACCCCCAAAGAACATCCATCCCAGGGATTTCTCCTGATTTCTCCTCTCGGGATTTTTTTTCTGCCTGAGCTGAGACACAGGGGTTTTCCTTCATTCCTCCAGAATCCAGCTAAAGCAGCTAGATTAAAACAAAGTGCTACCAAAGACCTGGGTTAGGAATAGGAAGGAAACACAAGCAGTACCATGAATCTAAATGAACTGGATTCTGGCTGCTTGGGTTCCATACCTGCTCAGCCACGTGGGACTCTGGAAAAGGAATGGACTGAGTTCCATCCCTCCTGGATTCTGATCTACCTGGGGGAGGTGAGCACCACCACCCCAGCAAACCAGCAGCAAACCACTGGACACAAACCCTAGAACTGGAATGCCAGGGTTTATATCCCACTGCGTGACCTTGAGCGGGTACTTCCTCTTTCTGTGTTTTCTTTCTTGTCAGTGTAATGGAGTGGCAATAGTGCCTGATTCATGGGATGAGCTAGTCCTTGTCAAGCACTAAGTTGTAGGCACTGTGCTTTGGGCTTTACATAATAATTGCAACTGAACAATCTCCATGAGCTTGGTACCTTCTAAGTGCTCTTCACATATCAATTCATTTCATCTTCATCTAACCCTATGAAGTCAATGCATTATTATTCTAATTTTATAAATGCAGAAACCAAGACGCAAAAAATTCCCAACGTCACAGAGGCAGAGTTCAGATTCAAACCAACCTGTGTGATCCCCAAGCCTTCTTCTCCCACTGCATGTGGCCTTGAATGAGCTCATTCCATCCTCTCAAAAATCTGAAGGAATAGGCATTATCATTCCTATTTTAAAAGTGAGAAAACTGAGGGCCAAAGAGGGCTGAGCAACTTGGCCAAAGTCATTTGCATATGGTGGAGCCAATACCTAACCTCAGTTTCACCTGTTCCTGCTCCCTGAACCACACCTGCTCCTGCCCCTACCCCAGCCCCGCCACTTCCTGTTTCTCCTCCTCCTCTTCCTCTTTGTCGTTATCATCAAGGGTGGCAGAATGACTGCCTTCTGGGGACACTGCAAAGGAAGGGATGTCATGGAAGGGCATAGGTGGGTGGGAAGCCCATGTGGTCCTGCAGTTTCTCCACCACACTTACTTTGCTGTGGGCACAGATGGCTGAGCCCAGAAGCTTCCAGGTGCCACCTCTCCGGTCCATCCGCAGCATGCGCAGGATCTGCAGGAAGCGCAGGCTTCGCAGGGAGGTGGCCAGAACATTGCCTTGGTTTCCCACAGCAACCACTGGCACAGAGGCAATCAGCACAAAGATGTCTGGGAGAGAGGACAGACAGAGTGGGAGGGAAGAGGGAAAGGAAGGTCATGCGAAAGCAATGGCGTCATCATAGGTGCTGTTTGCTGGCAGATCAGCATGTGCCAAGCAGTGGGACAATCTGAGCACTGCTGTTGAATCTTGCCACCAACAACACATGGTAAGTGGGATTATTCTCCCATGACTGATGAGGAAACTGAAGCTCTGAGCCTGAGTGACTTTCCAAGGCCACCTGGCCAGAAGTAGCATAGGCCTACCACACTTTAATGCTGGCTCCAGAGCAGCAATTTACCAAGGCCCCCCGCAGTGTGGTCCTTGAGATTCACTCTGGGGCCCAGAGGACAGCTGCAGCTGCTCAGCCTATGGAGGTAAAGCCTGACACTCAGACACTGTTTCCATATGTGTTTCTCCTAAAAGCATCACCTGAGGTAGGAACTTGGGTTCAAGTAATTTATTGGAAGATGATGTTAGGAAGCAGAAGTGACGGCAGAAGGAGAGAGAGAATGTTAAAAAAAAAAAAAAACCAATGTTGGGGGTGTTATCAAGGCCACTGTTGAGTCCTTTGAGCTGTGGACAGACTTCCCAAGATTATCCATCTGAAAAATGGGAAGCTGGGACATCTGTTTCTTGCCTCCTGCTGGTTGAAGGTCATCCCTAGCACTGTCAACGCCCCCACACATCTGAGCTACACTGGCCTAGTGATCTCCCTAAGCTTGAGAGAAGGCCTTGGGGTAGATTTTGGAAAGATGTAAGGCCCACCCATGACATGGGATGCTGGTATCAGGAGATGGCATGAGAATGTCCACTACAGACATTTCAGAGATGGAAAAAGGGGATGAGACACTTCTGAGATGGTTAAGCAGGCTCTTGACATCAAATCCTCTAGTATGGAAGAGGGAGGAACTGATCTGTTTTCTATTTCCTTGTAGTCAATTCCCATGTCAATTATCACCCCACTTTCCTGCAGAGTTACCAAGTAAAAAAGACCATATGGCCAAGTAAATTTGGGGAAAAACTCCATTAAATGGGTTTTACAAAATTATTAGTGTTATTTATTTTTAGTGTCACTAATTTTTTTATTGAAACATAATAATTGTACATATTCATGGGGTTTGCAGGGCTTCTCAGAGTCTTTAATCTGCAGATATACACTGTGGTTCTCAACTATACAAGTGAAGTATAGTCTTTCCCAAAATATTTTGACCACGGAACTATTTTTTGCAAGGGCTCCAACAGTTCCAAGGAACACACTTAAGGAAATATTTGTCCACTGGGAAAAGTCCAAGCTCTGCAAAGCCCTCTGTGTTCTGGCTCCTGGGAATCTGCCAGAAGCCTGTGTAGCTCATTGAGCACACATCTCCATATCTTTGTGTGTTCTGGTCTCTCAGCTTGGAATAACCTCCTCAACTCATATCAAGGCACATTTGCCAAAAAAGCTGATGCCGGCCAGGCACAGTGTCTCATGCCTGTAATCCCAGCACTTTGGGAGGCCGAGGCGGGCAGATCACGAGGTCAGGAGATCGAGACCATCCTGGATAACATGTCTCTACTAAAAATACAAAAAAAAATTAGCTGGGCACGGTGGTGGGTGCCTGTGGTCTCAGCTACTTGGGAGGCTGAGGCAGGAGAATGGCGTGAACCCAGGAGGTGGAGCTTGCAGTGAGCCGAGATCGTGCCACTGCACTCCAGCCTGGGCGACAAGAGCGAGACTCCGTCTCAAAAAAAAAAAAACCATAAAAAACAAAAAAAAAACACCAAAAAGCTGATGCCTTTCCTACCTTATTAAAGTGTCCTCCAGGTGTACCTAGCCTTTGGAAAAACCTGGGGGTCAAACCTCTGGATACTGATACATCTGCATCATTTGCCAGGCTTCTCAGATTATCTGTGCAAACCTATCTATCTGTAATGCTTGCAGAGAAAACAAAAGAACACCAAGATGTGTAGTAAACACTATGGTCTAAGACGCTCCATGAGGCAGTTCTGACCCATCTTCACTCAAAATGGCAGGGTCCGAGGCTGCCTTGAATATGAAAGCCATCATGTTCATGGGCGTGATAACCATCCTCTTTCCCATAGGGCCACATTGTGGAAGAATTGGATATGAGTACAATGGAAAACATGGCAACACTAAGTAAGGACCGTGTGATGCTGAGGCCCAGCCTCATCTCCCCAGGGAGGGTGGAGGGGGACCTGGAGCTCTGTGACCGCAGCTGATTTTAAAATAGTGGATACTTCCCCAAGGGGGATGCACCTGTCCAGCAGGGATCTGGGCTCCCACTGTCGGGATGTTCTCAAACTGAGAAGGAGTCTCTTTGAATGTGGGCACAATCCATCATAAAGCTACCACCCACACACTCAGAACTTCTGGTCAGCCTTGGATAGGTCATGCAAAGAAGAAAAATAAGTCTGCTTAATTGTGCTGCACTTGCAAAAAACTTGGAGGGAAGAAAAATAGAGAGGAAAGAAAGAAAAGCGGGGATTAGATACTGAAAGAGGGCAAACGAAGAGAGAAGAAAGAAATATGAAAAAATCATTAAAAAAGTCCTCCAATATCGCACACACACACACACACACACACACACACACTCACATACCTTCCGTACATTCAAAATTCTGAGAAAAACCCCAAACCTCAGAAGTCCAACCTTAGCATCAGGTGGGAATAGGGCAGAGATTTCAGCTAGGAGTGGGCAAGACAATGCAACTCCAGGCTGCACAGACAGAAGCCTGGCACCTGGGACAAAGGACATGGTCCAGCTCTTCTCTGAGCTGGCTGTCCATCCCCGAAGGACTGTGTTCAGTCCTGGGAATGACTTTTCAAAAGTAAAGTGAAGAATGAGTAGCATGCTCAGAGGAGAGGGAGTATGATGCTGAGAATGCGTGATGTAAGGTAAGTTGAAGCCACTGATGACGTTGTTTCTTGGTAAAAGAAGACTCTTCTGGAGTAGAGAGGGGGAATAACATGTCTAGACTCAAATACTTGAAGAGTGTCAGAGGAGTTAAAATGAGATAAATGCCTGGATGAGTGGTGAGCACCTTGTGACTAGGGGCATGCAAGCAGAGCCAGGTGACCACTTAATGGCTGCTGCTGGGGACTGGAGCATCAGACACGATGGCAAGCTGGACTAAATGCCTTTGGAGGTCCTTCCAGCCCTGACACTCTATGATCCTGTAATTCCAACCTTCCCATGGATTTGAAGCTCCAAGACTCCTACCTGTCACTCAAGGAGATTTTGTCCTGCAACTCCATGGATTTTAGTCCACACTGGACCAATAGGTTGGTGAGAGTTTCCACCTCCTCTACTATCAAACTGCCTGCACACAAATGGAAGGATTCCAGTGACACCTCTCAAGGCAACCATTGGATTAAGAAGCAAGACCACACCTGGGTGTTAGGACAGAATCCACTGTTTCCTGCATGACTGAAAAATGACTCAGATCTGTGATCCTCTGTTTCTATTTCTGTACAATGGACATAACATGATGCTGTAGAAGTAGATTCTCAGCCAGCAACGGTGTCACGCCTACAGCTTCTGTCCCAACCCGTCTGGAAATGTATGGGTAACTTTGATTGTCACAGTGACTGGGGGTGCTACTACTCCAGGGACTGGGGATGCTCAATATCCTGCAACCTGCTTGCTGCTCCACAACCCAATTGCCAAGAGTGACACCCTACCCTGCCAAATAAGAATCCCTGTCCTGTGCAGTCCTTATAAGGACCAGTCACAGAAGGAGGAATTTGAGGACCCAGAAGGTTGACACTGTCCCTTCTCATCGAGGCAGCGTCAGGGGCTGAGCTGGCCTCCACAGTGCCGCGTGATTTCCCAGAATAGCTGCTTAAACTTTTCTCAGAGAAACAATGCCCCAAAAGAAGGGAACTGAGGAGGCTGGGAGGCTCAGGGTCAGGACTTACCCAACATGCACAGGGGCTTCCTGGCAAACTTCAGTCGGCCCCGCCAGCCTTTGTATCGGCAGCAACATCCAGCAGCCCAGATCCTCAAAGCAAACTCGGCTCCAAAGATGAAAATAGCAAATGTCTCCTGCATGGAAGAGCATATGGAGAGGCACTGATTAACCGAGATCCACTTGTCGGGAGCTGGTGATTTCTATTCGGAAGTTCTGAAGAACTCCATTTTGTGCTGTTGCTGGTTGTCTGGTTGGCAGGGATGGCTGGGGATGGGGGTGGGGAAGGGGAACCGGGAGAACAGGTCCATCACCGCCATTCAGTTTGGAGGCCTCCCATCTTCATTCTGATGTGCTAATTGTCCTTAATGCTGTTAAACCTGGCACAGTGATTACTCGTTCTTTTTTCTATGTTTTTGTTCCAATAGGTCAGCTTTAAAAGTCCCTTTAATGAATGAAAAGCCCCCAAGAAGTGCAGTTGGGTTGAAAAGAGAGATATGAGTGAAACACAATCTGTTAATTCCACCCAGTGCCTGTACCCTGGCATTGCTAATTGTGGCTAATGGTTATTAAGCCTGGCTCCTGGGCCAGGCAGCCCTGAAAGTGTTTGATAATATTATTCTCATCTTACATTTTGAGAAACCAAGGCACAGAGTAGTTAAACAAGTTTTTCAAGGCAATGAAGTGGAGAAGAAGGGATCTCAGGCTCAAGTAACTAGGCTGCAGAGCCCAGGAGCTTAAGCACTCTCCAGGACACAGGGTCCCCCTTTCCTCCTGCAACTCCCTTGATGATCAGACACCAACACCTCTGCCTCTCTCTCTTTTGTGACCTCCCTGGGTGCCCTGAGGCATTGCTGCTCCACGACAATCCCTGGAGCCTAGTTCCTGGAGTTGGATGGTTTCCAGGGAGTTCCACACTGAGGTCTGAGCTCTGGGACGTGCTGTTGCAAACCCCTGCTCTCAGAAGGAAGAGCTGACTCTGGTGCCTCGATGGCTTGCCCAGTGTGAGAAGAAGGCTCCACTATTTTAAAAGCCCTAACTAGGGGGCCACACCACTGCCCTGTGTGCAGGATGGGGCCTCACCCCATGCAGTCGGCATTGCCCTGAAGAGGCAGGACTGACTCCTAATCACGGCAAGGGTGTGGTCATTCAAGGGGCCAGTTGACCAGTGCTGTCCTGTGGCTACAGAAGGAGCAAGCCCTTGTTAGAGCCTCCTCTCAACCAGGCACTGAGACTGGGCCCAGCCCATGTCTGCATTTGCTGCTCATCTGACCTTACATTTTTTAGGCAAGGACTTGAGCAAACAGAGTCAGGGGTACCTTAGCTGACTTGCCCAAGAATTCTAATCCTGCTCTGTTTCCATCACACCACCTGATGGAGGACAGAGAGTGAAAACAAATGCAGGCCCCAGGAGGGGAGATTTAGAGGTTTCGTGTATAAATGGAATTCTGTACCTGGCCTTGGAGAGAATGAGAGATCCTTGGAGTTTAGATTGTAGGATACCAGGAAGAAAAAGCAGAGACAGGTTTTAGAATGAAACATGCCTTTGTGTTACCTTTCAGAGGATTGGGAAGCTGTATTTTATAATTTAATAACATGCATTGGTTTTTGCTTTGACTTTATTTCCCCTTCTCTCTAATGTGGAATAGCAAAGCTTTACCAGGAATGCCATTCTTCACCCCACATGTGCCCATGGCGGGCCATACCAAGTAATGGAGGCTTTGCTTTTCCTTGGGCCTGGACTTGACTGGAGACTACAAGAAGCTGCAACCAGTCAGGGAGGAGTGCACCCAAGGGCAACCTCCTTTTCATCACTCTGGAAGCCCAACCAGAAGCATTTACCCCAGAATGCAATCTTACCAGTAACAGAAGCCAGTCTCCCGAGACAGTCTCATACTCCTTGAATGTGGTCAGGACAGCCAGAATCAAGCACCCCAGGACAATCAGGAACCTAGAGGGGAAGAAAGAAATGGACTAAGGAACCTTTGAGTCATGGCTTGCTTTGAGGCTAAGATGGGGAAAGGTGTCTTCCAGGATGAAGCTGCAACTTCTGCTGGACATTGACATGTGCTTTATATGCTATCCCATTCAATCTTCACGACAAACCTGCAAGGCAGGCGGAAACAATCATCCCAGTTAAATAAAACAATGTGAGAGAAGTTGACCAATGTGCATACTTTTACTTAACCAGCTAATTAGTAGAATCAGCTAGTTAGAATTTAAACTAGATCATCTGGTTCCAACCTCGAGGACATTGCTGAAAGTCCAAAAGTCAAGACAACTTTTCACAAGTCATTAAGTATATGAATTAATTAATAATGTGTTCTACACACATAGGACTGATTTAAAAATATATGAAAATGTTTTCTTAGAATGAAGAAAACACAAATTTATTCCAAAGATTGAAAAATTCAGCAAAGGCTTCTGTGACCAAGTATGAATATTGTCACCAAGTATGAATATTGTTCATTTTTACAGTCAATGGAACCTCTTTCAATTGGGGATCTTTGGAATTGTTTTTGAAATGCTAGAAAGAAGAGGAACTACCACACTGAAGCATGCAGAATGCTGGTCCTTTAAAATTCACAGAGAGGTCACCTGGTTCATGACCAGGCTCAGGCAGGAGTGAACTACAAACAATTTTTTAAGATTGTTATCTTTATAAACTGTGAGGTGCGTGTGTGTGTGTGTGTGTGTGTGTGTGAGAGAGAGAGAGAGAGAGAGACAGAGAGAGAGAGAGAGAGAGAGAGAGAGAGAGAGTGAGAGACAGTCCCTGTTTCATTGTTTTACCAAGGAAAATGGTTCTCCCTCTTGGTGGAGAGTCTTTGGCTTAGTTGTCAGTACCAGGTTCCCTGGGTGTCCAAAAGGGAATTTATAAGCTAGGGTTTATGGGTGAAGCTTGGTAGTACATACTCTAAGCTCTCCTACTCCAGGTACTCTGGTTTTCTACTCTACTTAGGTTCTACCCATGCTTTTTTGGCTTTTGTTCATTCATTCATTCAATATTTAAATGGCAGACGTTGCGCATACAGAGCTGGAATTCAATGATGAATAGGCTGGATCTGTCCTCACGAGCTCACAGTCCAGATAAACAGAAAGTTGTCTCATGGTGTGACCATAAGGACCATGATGTAAGGCGGATGGAAATGTCTCCTTCTGACCTTGGCTGGGACCAAGTACTGCCTCTGACCCTTAGTGATCCTGATCATATTTTCTGATCTATAAACCTGCTGATCTTCAGACCTGAATCTTTGTGTCTCCAATCATGCCCAGGAACCTAAACAAGATCCCCAACTCCTTCCTGTGTTTGGACATTTTATGTGAAATTCGACTTTAACCCATGTTTGATATCTGCCTCCCCTAAGCCCCATATCTTCTCAGTTGACGATGATGATGGTGGTGGTGGTGGTGATGATGATGGTTGTGATGATAGTGGTGGTGGTGGTGGTGATTATGATGGTTGTGATGATAGTGGTGGTGGTGGTGGTGATGGTGGTGATAGTGATGATGGTGGTGGTGGTGGTAGTGATGATGGTGGTAGTGATAGTGATGGTGGTGGCGGTGGTGGTGATAGTGATGGTGGTGGTGGTGGTGGTGGTGATTGTGGTGGTGGTGGTGGTAGTGATGGTGGTGGTGGTGGTGATAGTGATGGTGGCGGTGGTGGTGGTGGTGATGGTGGTGGTGGTGTTGGTGGTGATAGTGATGGTGGTGGTGGTGGTGGTTGTGATGATGGTAACAACATCAGTAACTGTTACTACAACCTCCAAAGTTAGATATGACCATTCCCATTTTAGAGATGAAGACATTCATCAAAAAGAATCACTACCATCAGGATAACTATGTTGTCAGTAAAATGACCAGAAAGCTTGGAGTCTAAGCTTAAAAGGAAGCTCTGGTGCTTTTTATGTGATTTTGAGCAGCTCATTGACTTGGCAGATCCCGGTCATCTCATCTGGGGAATGAGGATAATGAATCTGCCTAGAGCTCACCATGATTCTGAAGACTTCAGGAAATAATTGATAAAGGATATTGTTGAGTCAATTGTTGAGGATCATGGTGCTCTCATACAAACATGCTCATCATTGGCCAGTCAAGCCCTTGGCAACATGCAGGGAACTTAATCACTCTCAGAAGATTCTGCAAGTCCACATTATGATTCTCTCAAGACTTTATTTTATTCATTCATAGGCTCTGTAGAGAAGACCTTGCTTAGAATCATTTTCTTTCTCTTATGACCTGCGTGTTCTTAGACAAAATACAAAACATTTCTGCATCATGGTTTCCTTCTGTGTAAAATGAATCCAATTAAATGTCCATATCCTCCATTATTCAGTGATGTAATCCATGTCAGGTGCGTGGAAAAGCCAGCCTTCAGTAAGAGTTAACTATCATTTTATTGCAATTTAATATCAATTTATTTGGTGCCTCTTTTGTCCCAGACATAGTACTGGTTTTAAGGATACAAACATGAATAAAACCTATTCCTCATTATGCAAGGACTCCTTAGTTCAATGTGGAAAACAGGACAAATAATTACTGGAGAGTGTGGTTGAGGTTATGACCCACGTGTTCACATGCTTTGGGAGCATCCAGGAGGGGCTGCAGCCAAGAGGTTGGAAGGAAATTCAAAGCTATGCTACAGTTGACCATATGTCCAAGTTTATCCAGGACATTCCCCATTTTACATGTTGACCTGGAGTCTGGACCCCTAGGCCTCATGAACAACATGTACACGTGCAGGAGGTGCAAAAGTTCATGGACAAAGAACCAGGTTTGATTTTTCTTAACAAGGGATGTGGGCCTTTTATGATCTAGCCTTGCCCTCCTCACAGCCTTGTCATCTCCCGCTGCTTCCCCACATCCAGGCTGGTCGTAGGAATGACAGAACTTCCTCAAATTCTCTGAGCCCATGTGCCTTCTGTCTTGATGGTCCTCTTCCCTGTCCACTTTTGCCATGTCCCCATCATTAACCTGCTAATGTCTTGGCAGTGCCAGTCATGCCTTGCCTCCAGAGCCTTCCCTGACCCCAGCTGCTCTCTGCAGGCTCCCTTGTGTGATCTCATCCCTGGGATCCCAGAGCACCCTGATTCACTTCTACTCCAGCATGGACAACAACCCGTTATCATCTTGTAATTGTTTGCGCACATCATGTGCTAAATAAAACATACTGTCCCAACACCTGACAATAGGACTCCCTTAAGGGAAGGAACTGCCTTTGCCTGGAGAATACTTTATTGATCCGATTGAGGTAGAAGTTGCAACCCTTAAAACATGAGACTGCTAAACTACTTAGCAATAAAAATTAACCAAAAATGGCTGGGCACAGTGGCTCATGCCTGTAATCCCAGCACTTTGGGAGGCTGAAGCAGGTGGATCGCCTGAGGTCGGGAGTTCGAGTCCAGCCTGACCAACGTGGAGAAACTCCATCTCTACTAAAAATACAAAATTAGCCAGGCATGGTGGTGCATGCCTGTAATCCCAGCTACTCGAGAGGCTGAGGCAGGAGAATCACTTGAACCCGGGAGGCGGAGGTTGCGGTGAGCCGAGATCATGCCACTGCACTCCAACCTGGGCAACAAGAGCAAAAACTCCATCTCAAAAAAAAAAAGTTATCCAAAAATTAGAGATGGGGATTGGTGTTGAGGGCTAAAAATGACCAAAAAAAAAAAAAAAAAAAAGAGAGAGAGAGAGAGAAGAGGATATGGTCTAGCCATATGCTGAAGGATTTTTAAGAACAAGATTGTTTAAAATCTTAAGTTCTTGGTCCAACAATGCAAGCCATCAACCACAGCCTCATAAGTGACTTTGTTTTTAGTTGGCATCGATCCTGGCGCTGGAACCCATGGCTGGATCAGTGCATGGGAAAAGGAGACAGGTTGGTGTCCCACAGCTGAACTAATTTGGCAGGAAAAGGAGTCCTTAGCTGGACTCTGAGACTTTACACAGCTCCCTGTACCTCGGATATGTATATATGAAAGATTCAAGTTGTGTGTATGGTGGGCATGCCCTAAGGTAATCTCCAATGAGTCAGGCAGTTGCATAATTGTCTTTTCTGAGTGCAAGCAGAACCTGTGACTTGCTTCTAACAATAGAATATGCCCAAAGAGATAAGATGTCACTACTCTGTGTATTTTTTTTTTTAATATGGCAAAGGCAACTGGATAGTCATGCCTGTGATTGTTACATTATATAAGACTCTGCCATTGCATTCTGGAGCTAGAGATTCTCCTGCTGGTCTTGATGTGAGCTGCTGTTTTGAAAGGCCTGTGAGAGCTATGTGGCAAGGAACTGTGGGATTCTTGGACTTGACTGCAGCCACTGGCTGATTACCAGCATGAGAGTGGGACCTGTTCTGGAACTGCAAGGGTCAACAATCATGGGATATTGGGGAGTCCTCCCACAAGATCCAGAGAAGAACAAGTCCCAGCCAACTCCATGACTGCTGCTTCGTGAGATGCTCAGCAGAGGACCCAGTTAAGCCATGTTCATACTCTTCATGAAAACTGAGATTAAAAAATTGTATGTTGTAAGCCACTAAGTTAGAGGCAATTTGTTATGCAGCAATAGAAAACTAATACCATGTGGAATGGGAATCTGCACCAAATGCATCTCACTTTTATACAGCAGGATAATCCAAGGGAGGTCTGGGCTGCATGTGTGCATTTGCTCTATTAGACTCTGCTCATGGAGGGCAGAGACTATGTCTTGTTCCTCTCTGTATCTCAGTGAATAGCTCAAACCTGGCACTTAATAAGAACCAATGTATGTTTAGAGAATGAATACAAACAATTTCAGCGATTAGCAATGGCCTTGTTGAAATTAAAGGCAAGGGATATAAGGTGAACTTGGAGAGACAGGCTGGGAGCACGACATGAAAGATATTGTAGATCAAATGAAGACTTTGAGCTTTATTCTGCAGAAGATTTTTTTTAAAGATACATGGTCTCATTCTGTCACCCAGGTGGGAAGGCAGTGGCGTGATCATAGCTCATTGTAACCTCCAACTCCTGGGCTCAAGTGATCCTCCCATCTGTAGTAGCTGGGACTACAGGTCCCAAGTAGCTGGAACTACAGGTGTGCACCACCACTCATGGTTAATTTTGTTTTTATAGAGATGGGGTCTCGTTATGTTGCCCAGGCTGGTCTTGAACGCCTAGACTCAAAAGATCCTCCTTCTTTAACCTCTCAAAGTATGGAGATCAGAGACATGAGCTTCTGTGCCCAGCCTAGAAGATCTATCTGCCTATCTACCTATCTATCCACACACATACATATATATGTATCTCTCTCTCTATATATATATATAATATATGGATGGATATATATATAGATAGATGGATATATATCTAGAAAGATGGATATGTGTGTGTATGTGTGTGTATGTATATATAATATATATAATTAATATATATAATATATATAAATCTCCATATCTCTGTCTCTATCTCTATCTGTAATCTCTATCCAAAGACAGGTCTCTGCCAGGACAGCAGTCAAGACGACGTTATCATGAGCTGACCAGAGAGGAGGAGGGTGCGCTGGAGAGATGACAAGGGTCCCATGAGAGAGCATCCTCCTGTGTAGTCCTGGCAGGAGTTGTGACTAATGGGATATAAAGATCGAGCAAGAGGAGCACTGGGAGGGGTCTTGGGGTGGGAAGAAAGTGGATAATGTGCTGTTCGCAGACATCAAGAAGCTGTGCAGTGCGGCCAGCAGGACCGCGAAGATAAGAAGCTACTTGCGGACCTGCTGCACTTGAGGTCCAAGTGGAAATCTCCATCCGGCTGATTGAAATCTAAATTTAAGGCTTAGGGGAAAGGTCAGGGCTGAATATCTAACTCTCTTTCAGCTCTCGTTGTCTGCTTTTAGAGCCAGGAGAAGGGATAATTTCGCCTTCGCCAACCACCAAAATGCAGTTTCAGCCGATTCCCATCCGCAGGGAGCCTGCGGAGCCCATCTTTGGCCAGGAGGGGGCAGCAGAGGCCCGGCGTAGCCCCGCGCTTCTCACGCCTCACCAGCAACCGCAGGAACCCACTTTCTAAGACAGGAGAACAATCATTAATTTATACAGCTAAAATAAATACGGAAACCCTCCTTAACCTGAGAAGAGGAAACGCCCCTTAGTTTCTTGCATATTTCAATTTACCCTTAACATATGAACTTAATTTCAGACGGAGACCACGTTATCAGTCCCACTGATGGACAAGGATGTGGCGCTGAACGTGGGGCTAGAGATTCTCCTGGGGGTCTTGACGTGAGAGCCGCCCCCAGCTGCTTTCTTCCTGGTTTTCTGCTTCTCTTCCTGCTTTGGTTTCCTCTCTCTACATTCTCACCAATTATTCCTGTTCTTCCTTTTCGTCTGTCCTTTGTCACTTCAGTTTCCTTCCCTATAGTCTGGTGTTTCTTGTGTTTGTTTGTTTGTTGTTTTTTTATTTTCAAGACGGAATCTCGCTCTGTCACCCAGGCTGGAGTGCAGTGACGCAATCTCCGCTCACTGCAACCTCTGCCTTCCGGGTTCAAGCGATTCTTCTGCCTCAGTCTCCCAAAGAGCTGGGATTACAGGCATGCAGCACTATGCCTGGTTAATTTTTGGGATTTTTAAAACGAGATTTCACCATTTTGGTCAGGCTGGTCTCGAACTCCTGACCACAGGTGATCCACCTGACTCGGCCTTGGAAAGTGCTGGGATTACAGGTGTGAGCCACAGTGCCCGGTCTTTCTCTATAGTCTTGACTGTTTCCTTTCCTCTGCTCTTCTCTTACTGCCCTGGCGTTCCTGAGTTCTTTTCCTCTCCTTCTCCTGCATCCTTTCCTCCACTGCTCCTCTCCTCTCTTGTTCCTCCTTCCTCTGCGCCTTGCCCACCACTTCTCCCTCCCTTCTACACCCTGCAGGAGTAAGCAAGGGTTTGCGGCCAGGAGTCTTGGGGAGAGCCAATAGCAGCCTTCTGTCTGCAGCATCCAGGCTGTCTTTGCAAACAATTCCAGTCAAGGTCAACAGTCACGAATATGCCCTTAAATCAGTCTCCATCACCTCCATGCTTCCACCTTCAGTATTCTTTCCTCACCTTCGGCCATCTTCCATCCAAGCCCAGGTTGGGGAGGACAAAAGGGAACTGACACAAGGAAGCCTGCTTTGTAGCTGCACGTGGCTCTAAAGCGGCAGATGCAGGGGCCTCAGGACAGGAACCAGTGCGAGCTGTCCAGGCCCACTGGATACCTAACCTCTGTCAGGCAGCAGGCAAGGAAGGCTTTTGCAGATGCAGATGTGAGGGATGACCACAGTGGTACCAGGAAAACCCTGCCGCCTCTTCTCACCCATGTCTGGCATCCATTTATAGACTCCAAAGCTGAGCCTGCTGGAAGTAAGAGTTAAGGTTGCCAGCCAAACATCCCCTCACAGGCTTCATTCACAGTGAGACAAACACGGTGAAAACATTGATGCAGGAATTTTTTCGTACATCATTTTCTCTTTTACTCCTGAGAGCAACACTGCGAGGAAGGGGACTATCATTTTATTTGTATCCCCATTTTACAGATGGGGAACTCAGCCTCCAAGCTCAGGCAGGAGGGACACAAAGGGAGTGAGAAGTCAGACACTGTGCTGAGAGCACTGGAGCCTTGGAAGAGAATCTGCAGAGAATGAGGTGTGGTCAGAGCCAGAGGGAGAGCAGGGAAGGCAGCCTGGCCTGCTGCTCTCAGTTCAGCTGGGAGAAGTAAATGTCTTCCCTTCTCTTCCTCTGGAGTCTGACATTTGGCAGAGAAAATCTCAGTAACATTCCAGATAGCTCCCAGATACCCCTGCTGGCTCCTGCTCTAATTACAGCTGTCAATGGACAGCTTTCAGAGCATCTGTAGCCCTCAAAATGTCCTAGAAGGTAGCACTAGACTCTCTTTCTTAGAATCCTTGTCTGTCTGCCATTGAATAGCGATGCATAGAAACATTTTTCCTAGCTAGGTGAAGGCAGAATTGAATTGTCTAAAAGACAGGCATTGTTACGTCATAGTTAGCTGCACTTGTCCTAACCCTTGGCCACCATTACTGATCTTCGATCTTAAGAAGGAGACATAACCTTAAAAGGCAGTGACAGACCTCAAACTGCGTGAGGATCCTACTGACCCTCAATTGAAAAGCCTCAGATGTTAAAGCACCCACTGTGTGCCAGGGGTTTCTTTATTTTCTATGAGTCAGCCCCAAAAAGGATGTTTGAGTCATCTCCTAATGAGAACTGTTCCATCCACTAAGAACAGGGTTGACAAATCATTTTTTATCTTGAAAACCCACTAGGATGGATTGGTTAAGGCTGCCAGGAATGCGTTATTGAAAAGAATCCAGATTGCAGCCAAGTTAACTGGGGGGAAATGCCATTATTGATTCGTGATGTCTGTCACAGGTGCAGGAAAAGACCAACCATTTGCCATTCCCTTGGAACCCAGACATGAGAACATAAGTCAGAGCTAAAATCGTTTTTCTAAATCTTCCTCTTCCTGATTTGACTCATGCCAAGCTCTTTCAAAAATTTGATTAGCTGGAAATTTCAGGAAACCTTAAGAAGGACCTATTATTCTTTCATCTAACAGAAAGGAAATTTGTACATCAGAGTTCGGAGTGATTTGCTTATGGCTACAAAATAACTCCCTGCAGAGCTAGAAAGAGGATTTTGGTCTCTCAACTCCCAGCCTGCTACATCCTCCACTGTGCCACTTTCTACTTTATCTCTGGTAAATCAAAGAGTGAATCTTTATGGACATTTGTGCTATTCTTTTACCTGATTACAACCCGTCCACTTCTGCCAAACCCCACCAACATCAGGGCAAAAGGCTAAATACCATACACCAGGGTCATTCAGGGAATTAAAACAAAACTGATGTGTTCATCTTCTCTTTTGAGAGTTGACCACTGTTTTTCTTCATTTAACATTTATACTTTTTCTCTCTCCAAATATGCCGTGTGCTTATTTACCTATGAGGTGTTAGGCACTATAAACCATGTTGGCAAATGTCAGACTTTTATAAAACACATAAAAAAGTACAAGGAATAATTTCGAAGTCATTCAAAATGATTCCATCTCTTAATACTATCTTAATACAAAACTCACAACTATTTAATAGAAGAGCACGGGAGGCAAATAAACACCCTGTGTTGTGAGGCTGCGTTTCAGGGTCAGCAACTTGACGCAGCTGAGCCAGGCAATGGCAGATATCCTCATGTCCCCTTAGGGGGCCTTCAGTGCTACTCAGCCCTCTGAGCTGGAAAGAGGCAGCAAGAGCTGTCAGTGAGGAGAAGAAAGCACAGGAGAGGGTACTGGAAGAGTGTGCCCTTCACCATGTAGTCATCGGTACATGCCTTCCAGTACCATTTTTCTAAGCAAGGATACTGATTATGCCAAACCCCTGTCTAAATACAGCTATGGGCTCCTCATATCCATTACAGGGTAAAGTTCCAACTCTTTAGAAAGGTAAACCAGGTTCCCCCCAAATCAGATCATGTCATGAAAGAAAGGATAAATAACATGATTCAACTATATGCTGTCTACGAGAGACTTACTGTAGATCCAAAGATACAAATAGGTTGACAGTGAAAAGATAGAAAATGCTATTCCTCGCAAACAGGAGCCAAACTAGAGCTAGGGTGGCTATAGTAATATTAGACTTTAAAATGGACTTCAAGACAAAAATTGTTACAAGACCCAAAAGAGTACATTATCTATTGATGAAAGGGTCAATCCATTAAGAAGACATTATAATTATAAACATGTGCATACCTAATATGCACCTAATAGATCTCCAGATACCTAATAGATCTCCAAAATATATTAGTTTTCTTTCCTAGGCTTACTTCTTCATTCTTTCTCCCTCCAGTCACATCAAACTTACAATTTCATCAAAATGTGGCAGGCCTTTCAAAATTCCGTTCTTCTCCATCATATGCTTTCTCTCCCTCATCCAAATGACTCCTCCTTTCTACTCTTTAAGGCTCAGCTCAAATGTCACCTCCTCTATTAATTCATTTATTCAATAAAATATTTACTTATCATTCATTATATGCCAAGAGTTAGGAACAGACATTCCATTGTCCCCTAGGAGCTAATTGTTCATCCTCTCTTGTTCACCAGTCAACATTAGAAAAATCCTTTTGTGCATTCCCATAGGATTTCTTCTTATCTCCTCATAGAATCCACCCATTCCTTGACATGCACTTACCATTCTATACCCTGGGCATTCAATGATGAACAGAGCACATCACTTTGTGCTTGCACCCCGTGCCACTGTGTTCTCTTGTAAGCCAATCTGGAGAAGCAGAGATGCTACAATTTTCCTCTTGGGATCACAGTGACCAACCCAAAGGATTGGCTGAAGAAACTACACATCTCAGATCTATTTCCAGTTCTGCCATTTACTCACTGTAGGAGCTTGGAGAAGTTCTTTCCTCTCCTCAGATTTCAGTGCCTACATCTGTGAAATGAAGGAATTAAAGCAGATGGTCCCCAAGGCCTGTCAGGGCTATTATCATGGGTTCAGACTTTCAGCCAATAACCCTGGTGGGAGGGTCTGGAAAGGCTTTCAAAGATAAATAGACTTGATTTCAGACCTCAGCTTTGCCACTTAGCACCTAAGGGATTGTTTCCTCATCTGTAAATAGGGATGAAAATAGCTCCTAATTCAGGGATGTTGTGAAAATAAATGCTCACAGACTACACAGTACTGATATGTCTTAACTATTGCAAGAGTGAATTTTAGCTTAGATGGGTGAGGCCAATGACTGTGTTCCACCATGTCTCATGGATTTTTTTTTTTTTTTTGCCATTTTATGAGACCTGGGATTCCTTTATTTAGAATGAGCAAATCAACTAAAAATTTGTAGAACCCCTAGCAAGATGATATCTCAGTTCCCTCACACACTGTCCCTTGCCCCATTGATTCCAGTCTGAGTAACCATCTGTCTGTTTCTGAAGACCTCCTTTTTGTCAGTATTCCCAGATTCATCCAACCTGCTCTACGCATGCCATATTTGGGTGGGTGATGGTTGTGGTGGAGGCTTCTGCCTAGGATAGAGTTCTCAGCCTTCACCAGGCCAAGCAGCTCTGTTCCATGCCTATGTCCTCCTCCACACTAACACTGTCATCAGCTAAAATATACAACAGCCCCATTAACACTGCCTCCAACACCTTCGCTCTATCCCTGTTCTCGTTTGACACTTGCATATAAAAGCAATGCTAGTGAAGCTCTGGCAAGTCACATTCCTTTCTCCCTGCAGGCTAGAGACAAGCCATTAGCTAGGAACTTCCAGGTCCACATGATCCTCTGGCCACACTAAGTGGGCAGGCACAGTGGGAATCTGAGTCAAGCAAGAAGAGAGAAACAGTCCATCTCCAGATGTTTTCTCTTTCTTCTCCAGGACAAACCATGTCTCTGATATATCCTGGATGCTAAGGTCAATCTGGTGACATTTAATTTTTCATTTGTGGCGTGTATTCTATGTATCAGGCATGCTACGGACTGAAGTATTTGCCTTCTCTTGTGGACTGAGGTCTCATCACTAACAAAGCATTTTATTAAACATCCAAAAGTTTCATGCCAGGGTAATAGGTACTACAAAGTGATGTGAGGTTTCACTTTAAGTATCTTCATGTTGCAAGTACCTGCCATGTTTCCCTCATAAACGGGTACCAAAAAGGAAAAGATTAAATATTTCAGAGTCCAGCTGTGGCAAGTACACTCTAAAATGGCTCTCAGTGATCTTTGCCTTCTGCTCATCACATTCTTAGGTAATTCCCTCTGCTTAAAGTTGGCTGGGACCTGTGCTTTGTTTCCAGTCAATAGACTACAGTAAAGGGTGTCAATTCTGTGATTAGGTTACAAAAAATTTCAACTTCTGTCTTACAAGTAGACTGTCTCTCTTGCTGGCTTTGAAGTTGCTGTGCTAGAGAAGCCCGTGTAGTATAGAACCAAATGTGGCCTCTGGCCAACAACCACAAAAGAAAGCTTGGAAGAGAATCCTTCCTCAGTTGAGCCTTTGGATGAGCCCCCAGCACTGGCCAACACTAACTGTAGCGTTTGTGAGGGACCCTGAACAGAAGACCTAGGTAAGCTATGATTGGACTCCTGATCCACAGAAAGTGGGAGATAATAAATGTGTGTTGTGTTTAGCTAAGTTTTGTGGCAGTTTGTTATGCAGGAATAGATAACTAATACTAGTTTTCCAGGATCTGAATCTTAGCTCACCGCTTAGCAACGTGATGATATTTGGCAGGTTTATTTTTCCAAAGTTCAATTTCCTATCTATAAAACAGGAGTAACGGCTGAGCACAGTGGCTCATGCCTGTAATCCCAACACTTTGGGAGCTGAGGCGGGTGGATCACGAGGTCAGGAGTTCCAGAAGACCCTGGCCAACACAATGAAACCTCATCTCTACTAAACATACAAAAATTAGCTGGGCATGGTGGCGGGTGCCTGCAATCCCAGCTACTTGGGAGGCTGAGGCAGGAGAATAGCTTGAACCCGGGAGGTAGAGGTTGCAGTGAGCCGAGATCATGCCACTGCACTCCAGCCTGAGCAATAAAACTGGACTTCATCTCAAAAAACAAAAACCAAAAAAACAGGAGTAACGAATTAAGGTATCTCTGTTATCTTAATATTCCTTATTTCAGTCTTCTTAGTTAAGAGATTGCACAGGACAGCAAAAACCTTTATAACCAAAGGCACTACCCTAATGAAGTCTCCATGCAAACATCCTTGACAATATCACAGCAACCTATACCCTGGGCATGTCATGGCTTTGCAAGTCAGTCTCTGCCTCACCATCAGATACACCATTCAGTAGTACAACATGAACCACTTGCAAAGCAAAAAGGCAAAGTTTACAAAAGATGCAGGATTTCACAAAGTTGATAGAAATGATGATGGAAAGCTGTTTTAAATACAGCAGGGTCATTGACAGGTGACGATCTTGCAAGAAAAATAATAAAAAAAAACCAACTGATACTTTAAAGGATTAAAAACTTCAACCAATCCTACCCCTAAATGTTGGGAAAATAAAATGTAAAGTCATATTGTATTATATAATTTGGCATTAAGAGCATATCCCCCAATTAATACCTGAGTAAGTCTTGTTCATTCTAAAAATTAGAGCACAGTTGCAATTATAACCTAACTTTTTGTTAAGTGTGAGATACTATAAACACATTTTTGTGTTTTAATAGTTTTTTAAAGACAAAGTACTAATATGATATTTTTGTCTTCCCTCTTTGGTATGAAGTATTGGTTCTTGTTTTCAATAGGCTCCCCTTAAGTAGGTTTTTATTGATTCCTATTAACTGTGGAATAAAAGGTTTCTTCTAAATCTACCTCGTGGGATAATCAAATGGACTTAAAGAGTATCATTTAAAGTGTAAATGTGGGTGAGGTGCGGTGGCTCACGCCTGTAATCCCAGCACTTTGGGAAGCCTGTGTGAGTGGATGACCTGAGGTCAGGAGTTCGACACCAGCCTGGCCAACATGTTGAAACACTGTCTCTACTAAAAATACAAAAATTAGCCAGGTGTGGTGGCAGGCATCTGTAATCTCAGCTATTCGGGAGGCTGAGGTAGGAGAATCACTTGAACCTGGGAAGCTGAGGTTGGAGTGAGCCGAGATCGTGCCACTGCACTCCAGCCTGGGTGACAGAGCAAGACTCAGTCTCCAAAAAAAAAAAAAAAAAGTGTAAATATGTAAAAGTGCCTAAAAATTCTAGTACATAGTGGGCACTTATCAAATGCTAGTTTTTTACCTTGTTCCTTCTTATTGTATAATCATAGAAAATACCCCAAAATTGACTTAATACTTGTAGGAACAAAAATAAACTGTCTTTAAAAACTTCCATATTCTGGAAATGGGGAAAGAAAATCATACCTATAAATAACACAGACAAATCTATATCTATTTCTAGATCCATATATATGTTTATATCTATATCATATCCCTATCCATCTATAAATCCACAAAGGTATAAAATAGAGGTAGGTTTTGACCACCTAACCCAGGTGTTAGCAAACTATGGCATTCTGCTCATTTTTGTAAATAATTTTTTATTATGCCACTGTATTTGTTTAATTATTGTCTATGGTTGCTTTTGTGATGGAGCAGAAGACCTGAGTAGTTGCAATAGAGATGGTCTGGCCTATAAAGCTTATAATATTTACTACCTTGAGCATTAAGAACAAGTTTGCCAACTTCTGATGTAAACTATGAGCCAAAGGCAATTTAATTCACTCAGCACCACCTGAGGACATGTTACGTGTCTAATATTGTACAGAAAAAAAATATTTAAAACTTAAATATATGGGACCTAATCTTAAAAACACCCCTGTCGTGTTAGATAATGGAGCATTTAAAATGATTAGAGGAATAAAATAGGGGAATATACACGTTTTATGGAGGTCTCTTTAAAGAAATTAATATAAATTACGAATAAAATTAGCTTAGGGCCTGCAGTTTAAGCTTCTTTAGTACTGTGATAAATCTGCCTCTGGAAACATCTATTTAAGTTTCATGATATGTTATCATGCGTTTCTTCCTGACTGCCTTATCTTCTCCTTAGTGGTTTTTAACTAAGTCAACGGCTTGTTTGAATTCACTGTTGCTGCCCCAGGTGCATGTTTACAGATAGTGTGTCTTAATCCTTTTTCGGTTGCTATAACAGAATATCACAGACTGAGATTATTTTATAAACAACAGAATTTTATCTAAGAAGCCCATGAGTGTGGTGTGAGCATTTGGTGAGAGCCTTCTTGTCATGTCATAACATGGCAGAAGGTACCACATAGCTAGAGAGCAGGTGAGCAAGAGAGTAAGAGGGGGCCAAACTCACATTTATAAGAAATCCACTCTTGCAATAACAAACAGACACCCCTAAGATAATGGCATTAACATATTTATGAAGGCAGAGCCGCCCTGACCTCATCACCTCGTAAAGGTCCCACATTTCTCAACACTGTTGCATTGGGGATTACATTTCCCAAACAAGAACTTCTGGGGACACATTCACTTCATATTGTGCCACCCTTTACTTGCCAAATTCATGTCCTTTTCACATGCAAATTACATTCATTCTATCCCAATAGCCCTCAAAGTCTTTAACTCTTTCCACTATCAACTCAAAAATCCAAAGTCTGGAGTCTCATTTAAATCAGACATGGGTGAGTGAGACTCACAGCACAATTCATCCTGAGGCAAATACCTCTCCAGCTGTGAGTCTGTGGAATCAAACTAGTTATCTGTTTCCAAAATGCAATGGTGGGACAGGCACAAGATACGTACTCCCATTCCGAAAAGAAAAAATAGGCAAGAAGAAAAAAAAATAAAGGCCTCAAAGAAGTCCAAAACTCAACAGCACAGATATTAAACATTAAGATAAGACTCCGGAATAATCTTTCCCTCCATATGCCGCCTCCTGGACACACTGGAGTAGAGGACAGACCCTCCAGGCCGTGGCCCCTATGTCTTTGCTGCACTCAATCCATCCAGCAGCTCTCCCAGGTTAGAGCCTCATGCCTGCTAGAGTTGCATGTGGGTGGTCCTATAGTTCTGGGGTCTCAGGGGCTGCCTACTCTCATGACTTCACTGGGCACTGCCCTAGCGAGGTCTCTCTGTAACTCTGCACCTGTGACAAGTCTCTGCCCGGGCCCCCAGGCTATATGCAATATCCTTTGAAATCTAGGTGGAGGTCCCCATGCCCCCACAGCTCTTGCATTCTTTATGTCTGCAGAATTAGCTCCACGTTTAAGTTTCATGGTACGTTATCATGTATTTCTTCATTAATACTGCCAAGGTCCAGGGCTTGCACATTCTGGAGCAGTGGGTTGAGCCACAACTTGTTGACCCAATTGGGTCATGGCTGGGGTGGCTGAGGGGTGCTGTGCTGGACTTTGGGGAGCAGAGACCTAAGGCAGGGAATAGCAAATGCTGAGGCACCTCTCTGGAAGCCTCTCTGGAAAAGAGAGGCACCCAGGCACCTCTCTGGAAATCTTGCTCTCAAAGTCCTAGATTTTGAAGATCTGAAATGCCTTTCAGTTCATTTTCCCATGGTTTTGATGAATAGAACTAGGCTTCCTTCTATCTATATTAATATCTTTATCAAACTGTGGCTTGATCACACCTTTGGTATTCTCTCTTGAACATGCTTTTTTGTTCTTTACATGGCCGGACTGGGAGCTTCCTACATCTTTCAATTCTACTTCTCTTTTAATTATAAATTCCTTTATAATTTGACTCATTTCTTTTTTCTCTCATTTTATTGCAAGAAGGCCAAAAGAAGCCACGCAGCACCTTGAGTGCTTTGCTGCTTAGCTATTTCTTCTGCCAGATATCCTAGTTCATGGCTCTTAGGTTCTGCCTTCCCTAAAGTCCTAGGGCATGGACACAGTTTAGCCAAGTTCTTTGTCACTTTATAACAAGGACTGCCTTTACTCTAGTTGCCAATACCTTGTTCCTCATTTTCACATAAGACCTCATCCAAATGGCTTTTACCACTTGTATTACAATCTCGGCTCACTGCAACCTCTGCCTCCCGGGTTCAAGCAATTCTCTGGATACAGGCTTTTTCTAGCCTGCTCTTCCAAATTCTTGCAGCCTCTGCCCATTACCTAGTTGCAAAGCTGCTTCCACATTTTCAGGTATTTGCTATAGCAACAGCCCCACCTCTCAGTTCTAATTTTCTGTCTTTGTTTTGTTTTGTCATAATAGAATACCACGGACTGGGCAATTTATTTTAAAAAAAATTGTTTCTCAGAGTTCTGGAGGCTGGGAAGTCCAATACCAAGGTGCTGGCCTCCTGTGAGGGTCTTTTTGCTGGATCATCCCATCCCAAGGTGAGAGGGAGAGAAAGAGAGCAAGAGAGGGCCAAACTCACTTTTATAACAAACCCGCTCTCAGGAGAACAAACCCCTCCTGAGATAAGAGCATTAATCCATTCCTGAGGGCTCTGCCTCTTGAAGTTTCCACTTCTCAACACTGTTGCATCGGGGAGTAAGTTTCCATCACATGCACTTTAGGAGACACATTTAAACCATAGCATGATACGAACTGTGTGTTACTTTAGGCTTTGAGGCAAACTTCCCTATGACCTGACCAAGCATCATGAGGAGCTCCTGTCAAGGAAGACCCTGGGTCCCTGAACTGGACACATCAGGGTCTCAAACCAGTCTCAGCAAACGACTTCTGGTTCCTCATCTCTAAAGTGAGAATAAAGTGTCTACCTCATAAGAGGATTCAATAAAATAATGGATATAAAATCTTTACTGGCAGGCAGTCGTGACTCAGTAAATAGTACTTTCTCTCTGTTTTGCTGACAAAGGCATGCTCCCTTGCAAATTATTTATCATTTGAAACATAAATTCAGGAGTCAGACAGGGAATGAGTTTAAATTTTGACTGCATTATTTATTGCTGTGTGACTCTGAGTAAGTAACTTAACCTCTCTGGTTCTCCAATCCCTTGTGTTTATTATGGGGATAATCATTTAAACTCAAAGGGTTGCTGTGAGAACTAAATATGCCTCCATTTCTCCATCTGTAAAATAGGGATAATAAAATGTTTAGTCTAGTGCTTGATAGATTTCAGGGATTATTATTAATGATTGTTATTTTTATTATCACATAACATGGTGCCTGGGGAATTTGTAAATTCTTAATAACTGAAAGCAACTGTCACTATTACAATACATTTGGATTTCGTCAAACATATATCTTTGGGGACCTCTACCAAGAGACACTATATTTCATTGTCTTTCAGATACCATCACTTGTAACACACACAATAATTGTACAAACTACTAAGAAAGGAAAACTGACAATTACCTTATGACAGCCATTGATTGTGTCTCACATCCTCATTTTAGAGACGTCAAAGTGGGAAAAATGTGCATCTTAGAACTGATGAAACGGAAGTAGGTAAAAGTTCTTTATAATCAAGTCCTTGAGGACAAACCCTTTTAAACAGGAGGTGACTCTGGGCATGTCTGAGCTGCGCCGGAGGCAGATCCTGCATCTCCAACACCAGCAATGGCAGGTGCATGAAGGCAGGGTTTATTTGGCCTAAGCCTTATTCTATGTTTTCATATTCTTCCCCTTCCCACACCACAGCTGTGCACTATCCCTGCCTAGCCTCTGGCACACCTGATCCACTAGCAAATGGTGTCCATTTTTCCTTTGAAATAACATCTCACATCTGGTCTACCTCTATGACTAAGGATGGAAAAGGCTCATCTTTCTCCAGCCTCATTCTGGTCCCCCATTCTCTGCCTAACTCCTGGCCTTGGCTGGGCATCAGGGCAATTGTTCTGCTCCCTGTCTCCTCTCTCTCCTCCTAACCCACCATCTCTTCATCCTCCACCCTTCATACACACAGAGCCACTTGGCATTTGGGCAACTTGATTTATTAGAAAGTGAAGGATCTTCTCAGGAGTCAGGTAGATCTAGGTTTAACTTCTGAATCACATTTCTAACCATGTGCACTTGGTCACGTTGCCTCATCTCTGGAAACTTCAGACTTTATTTATGAAATGAGGCTAATAAAATGACATTGTAGATATTTACATACCAGAGCGCTGCTATTCAAGTGCAAATGAAAAGCCAGCATCAGTAAAAGTTGGTAAATTCAGACCCTTTCTCATCATCCTCCATGCTTGAAATGCAGATCACCCCCTCTCTGTTTTCTTCCTTAATTTTCACCATGGTGATAAGATTATGTCCTCCTACAGAGCATCTTACATGCACAGCACAGCCCTTCTCTAATGTCCATCCAGGAAAGCTGATCCTGGAAGCTTGGACAATATACAAAAATGCCTGAGCTTCATTTCCAGTTGGCTCACTCTCATCAGGATCATTTTTATTGATGTCTTCCTAATTTCTTCAAGAGCTTGTCATAGGACACATTGTATCTGAGAGCTGGATGGGGTTGTGTGGTACTCACCCTCCAAAAAGATAAGAAGGTAAACCTTGAACAATCAGAAGAGAGAAGCACCAAGAGAGAAGCTTACTTCTCTTCATTGTAGGAATCTGCATGATCTTCTAAGGTGGGAGAAACAAAAGTGTTACTAAAAATCCATAAACCTCAAACCAAAGTCCATTCAGCTTTGTAAACAAAACACTATTTGCTTGCGCTATGGATGGTATTTGTTGAGGTCTGAATTCATCCTTCCATGGACACCCACTTTGCCATGAAAATGATGCCAAATGTCAGGAGGATGTTTAATTTAACAAACACTTACAGAGCACCTACTATAGGCATTTATACAGCACTGTCTGTGTACAAGGCACTAAACTAAAAGCAGTGCAGACTTGGGGAAAGAGCGTGAGCTTCAGAACCAGATGCTATCTTTGATCCCAGCCTCTTATCCTCAAGTTTTTGTGACTCAGGCTAAGGTATTTAATTTAATAAGGTAAATGATCTTAGCCCTAGCCTCCTTATTTGTAAGTTGGTGACAGCAGTGTCCACTATGTGAGACTATAGTAGAAACTGGTGAGAAAGGATGCAAAGTCCCTGGAAGACCCTCTTGTAGGTGGAGATATTCAATAGATTGGTTCAATGACAGTCTTGCTGTGACTGCAGGTATTGGGGACAGCACCCTGCTTCTAGGAAGACCAGGGCAGGAAATATCTAGAACAGCTGTATTAATAGATGTGCAAGGCAGAGCATCACCTCTCTCTCTAGCAGAAGTCCCTCAGCTGCTCTTCCCTGGACCCAGGGAGAGAAGACTTTGGTATGTGAAGGTGGAAGGTGAGAAGGTGGTATGAGGAATGGAGAACAGGTTGCATGGCTCCCCTCGACCTCTCACACTTTCCAGAAGAAGAGGACATATCTATAACAGGCTCACAGTAGATACAGGCATTTTCTCGTCAGTCCTGCCCCATGTCTTTCCAGCCATAAGGATGTCTCAGAATGGCTTGGGGCTTCTAGTCCAGAGCCTACGATCTAGAGCACCTGCTCTGGGTCATCCCTGTCCTTCCACCCTATATCACCTGGGTTTCCACAGCCTCCCAGCCCTCTAATTCTGCCCTGCCAGGCTTTTCTTCAGCATTTCCCACTGCAAGTCCAAACTGTTCCAATTTCTGATTGGTTCCTGGTCACTTTGCATGTCCACTGACAGACACCTTGGTCCTATGCATTTCTAGTCCTCTGGGTTTAAAAGAATCAATTCACAAAAGACAATTTAAAGCAAACAATGGAAATCAAAATAAAAGAATCTTTATATTGAACTCAGAACCTAATAAATCAACTATTTTCATCTGTCCCCTTTCCAGACCAAGGACACAGTCATATACGAGGTTTACAAAATTGCACTGTTACAATGTGATAGTCCACATTTTATATTATTAAAGCATATCTAGAAGTTTGTCCATTTCTTCTAGATTTTAAATTTATTGGCATATAGTTGCTCATAGTAACCACTAATGATCCTTTGAATTTCTGCAGTATCAGTTGTTATGTCTCTTTTTCATTTCTGATTTTATTTATCTGCATCTTCTCTCTCTTTTTCCTAGTCTGGTTACGGTTTTTCATTTTGTTTAACTTTTCAAAAAACCAACTTTTTCTTTCATCGATCTTTTGTGTTATTTTTTCATTTCAGTTTCATTTATTTCTGCTCTGATTCTTATTATTTCTTTCCTTCTACTAATTTTGGGCTTGGTTTGCTCTTGCTTTTCTAGTTCTTTAAGATGCATTCTTAGATTGTTTATTATTAAAGCATAAACAGTCTTCCACTTAGTTATAAAATATTCAAAACAATCATGTTTAATGAAAAAGCAACATTCTATGACATCAGTGCTCTAAAATATGTATAGCCATTGTCTTACTGCTAGATATTTGGGTTTAGATTCTTCCAATTGCATGTTATTATAAATAATACTATGAGAAATACCATTGTGCATACAGATTTTCTTTAAGACCAACTCTTTATAATAAGTCTTTGGAATTTCTGGGCTTTGAACATCTGTATGGATTTTTGCTCCATTCTGCCAGATGGCTTGACTAAAGAGTGACATGATTTTACACGATCTCTAGGGTAAGGTATGAGGACCTATTTTCATCCCAATTTCACCAGCATTGGTGATTACTATTTGCTAGCTGTATTGCTGCTTTAACAGGTATAAAATGGCACCTGGAATTTGCATTTTAATAGCGAATAAAGCATTGTGCCAAAGGACTAAGCCACTTCTTATAAGATTGCCAGCTGAGGAAGAGAGGTTCTAGGAAAAACGGAAACTAGAATTCTCAGCAGCTCCAAAATTACCTCAAGTAGGCATTTACCTTCTCCACCTCCACAGCAGCCAAATCAGACTCCAGCCTTTTCAACCACTTCCAGGCTGAAGGCAGTGGGGAAATTACCAATGAGTAATTGGCATATTACTTACATTTCTTACCATGCCCTGGAGACTTTTTTCACTCAGATATAAAAATTGGTCCTCTCAGACTCAAACTGAAAGGTGTAAACATCTCAGACTTTTTTTTTTTTATCCCATTAGCACCTTTCTACAAATGGCCCCACTGTTTCTTTTGAGAGCCAAACACATAGACACAAAGTCAGATCTGAGTCCTGTGATGTTTCCCACCAGCATGACACAAACATGGATTATTCTAGACTTTTTTCTTTTCCTTTTGGAAATCTCATTAGAATGGAAACATTTAGTGGCTTCAAGTTTCCAAAATGAGAGAGATTAAAAAAAAAAAAAAAAAAAAAGAACGTGCATCACACCAGCATTAGCATGGCAGAGACAGCTTCTGCTTGCTCAGCTGTGTTTCTAGAGACAATAGCCATGATGGCTGATTGTTGTAGACATTTCCTTCCCTCCCTGGGCTCCATGTTCATCTCTAAATGCTCCTGGATTTTATATTTACTTTCACAGTCCTTTGTTCAACACATGTTTACTGAGCAATTACTCTGTACCAAACCCTGTGTCAAGGTACAGAGGTGACCCAAGAATCAGTTCTGCCCTTAAGATATGCATGGCCTTATAAGGAAATCAATTACACCAATTACTTTAATCAGCCTTAAGGTAGGCATGGCACATGCTACTCTGCTGGGAGAAAGGGCGGTCAACAGTATCCTACTAAGCTCTTGGTGGTGACCAGCTATTGGCTGCAATTAAAAAAAACCGCACAGCATTTTGTGGCTTTGAGACCCCTAAGTTAAGGCTAGTCACTTAACTTAGGGGAAAGAAATGCAAAAAGGTTATTCACTAGCTGCTGGTGTTGTGAGCCACATCCGCTTCAGTTTTGTTGGCCCTACTATTCCCAACTCCTAGGACCAGCATCAAACTTTGTGAAATGAGGCACAATATTAATCTAGGAGAGCCTTGAGAAAGTAAGAACAGGCTGCATATGTTTTGATATGTAGAAAAAGAGGGGTAGTAAGGGAAAGGAATATCAGGGTCAGAAAATATGATTTTAAGTTTTTGCCACCAACTTCCTGGGCGATACTGGACTAGGTTGACTCTGAGCCTCAATTTCCTCCCCTGCAAAACGGGTCTAATCAATAGACTTCTAATGGGTCTAATCAAAAGACTTCTTAGAGCAATTGTAAGATG
This sequence comes from Homo sapiens, assembly GCF_000001405.40. NCBI lineage: Eukaryota > Metazoa > Chordata > Mammalia > Primates > Hominidae > Homo > Homo sapiens. Next base: position 132,208,790 of record NC_000008.11, read on the forward strand.
TTGGGTGGGAGAAACAAGTGAGCTCATACACAGAAAATTCTAGTACCATACCTGGCACATAGGAGGCTTTCAGCTCAGGCTCATTCCATACGTCTCCCTCCTAAAACACCTCCTGGATCTAGAGCAGGTTTGTAACTTGTATTTGTATCAGGGTCTGGGAGGGGGAAGCAGGGAGCATTTTGGCCTCTGGGCTATTGCAAAGGAGGCAGACAAGCTAGTATGGCTCAGCACAGGCCCCAGGGGTTCAATTATCTGGGAATAGTGATGAACAGGAAGCAGACAGGCCCCTTCTCACAGACTGTTTATTTGCATGGGAAGAGAGACAGGTCACTTGTGGGTATTTGGGCTTCTAGACACACTGGGAGCAATTCTAACAGGGTCCATCTTCTCTGAGGATAATGGGTGGTCAGACTTCCCATTCACTAGCCTCTGCCTGTCTCCTCCATCAGTAAGTCTCCACCCTCCCTGAAAGGAGCCCTCCTCATTCTCTAAACCTGTGCTCCTCCTCTGTGCCTTTCCTTTATTTCTCTCTAGCAGACTTGTCAGAGTACTTGGAGAAGATGGTTGGTGCCAGCCTAACACAGACTGAATGGTGTCTTGCCCTCCTTAGGCAAAAAGAGCTGGATGTGGAAAAAAATGTTTGTGTTTCAATGGAAAATTGTGCCTGCTCTGGGTTATCAGGTTCTAGGCCTGTTCATTGTCATTAAGCCATTTTTTTGTATAATGTACGTAATTCACACCACACACACACACAAACACACACACACACACACACACGTATTGATGGTCCCCTACTTACAATAGTTTGACTTTGAATTTTTTTACTTTATAATTATGTGAAAGTGATATGCATTCAGTAGAAGCCATTCAGTACAGTATTCAATAACTTGCATAAAATATTCACCATTTTATTACAAAGTAGGCTGTGTGTTAGATGATTTTGCCCATCTGTAGGCTGATGGAAGTGTTCTGAGCATGTTTAAGGTAGGCTAGGCCAAGCTATGATGTTCAGTAGTTCAGGTGTATTAAATGCATCCTCAACTTACAATATTTTAAATTTATGATGGTTTTACTGGGACATCACCCTGTCATAATTCAGTGGGCCTCTGTGTATGTTTGTGCATGTGTGTATATACATGTGTGTGTGTAAATTGTCTTCTATCTGTATAAGAGTCATGACTGCATCTTTTCTAGAAAATTTTATTTTAACAAGGATATTCTTCCAGGATGTAATGATGACTTAGACTTCCTGGGCATCACAATGTCCTGGAACCCCAGTCTGCAAAGCTAGCTGTGAATTAAAATCACCTGTGCACCTTAAGAAACCAAACACCAATGTCTATCTTTAATCCACACATCTTCTAATGTACTAGCTCTGGGTGGGGCCCATGCTGGTCTGGTTTTTAAACTTCCTCATGTGATAGTCATGTGCAGTCAGGGTTAAAAGTCACTCTCCAGAAGGAAGAAATCACCAGCTCACATCGTGGGCTCTGGAGTCTGACTGTGTGGATGTGAGCCATGTCTCTTGCTGGTCACCTGTCAAAGAAACACATGAGCCTGCAGTGAGTGCCTGCCATGGGCAAGGCTGTGTCCCTGCAGTCAGAAAGAATGGGGTTTGAATCATGGTTCTGATACTTTGAGTAAGGAGCAGTAGGCAAGTCACTTGATAGCTATATACTTGCTATTTTCTTGACATTTTTACACTGTGTAACAAATTACCCCGAACATGGCAGTTAAAACAACACACAGTTATCATCTCACAGTATCTATGGGTCAACTGACTGCCACAGCTTATCTAGGTCTCCTATTTAAGGCCACAAAGTGTTGGCCAGGACTGGGTTCTCATCAGAGGTTCGACTGGGGAAGAACCTACTTCGAAGTTCACTCAGGTTGTTGGCAGATTTCATTTTATTTCCTGTGACTGTAGAGATGTATGGCAGCTTGCTTCTTCAAAGCCAGAAAAGCAGAGAGAAAAACTCTAGCAAGATGGTGCTGTACTTTGATGTTATATCAAGAGAGAAGATCATGGAGGCCACCTTAAAGTCTGTCCACCACAGTATTCTCATCTGGAAAGTTAGTATCTACATCATGGGGTGGTTGTAAAAATTCAACAAGACAGTTTATTAAAATGGGTTGGCACATAATCACTCAATGGATGTTATTAGTAAAGTCCTGCACAGAAGTCACTTTTGCATACCTTCCCATAGCAAAGAGCATTGGGTCTCCCTCTGGGCCCCCACAGCACTCTGCACAGGCCTGCCTTGTCTTCTATCACAGTGTGTCTTCCATGTACTCCTTGAGCCTACTGGGCCCTCACTGAAATCTTGCCATGTGGCCAGCTTTGATCAAAGATTTGATCAAAATGCAAGTCATGCATCATTTTTTGTAATCCTCACAGCAAACTATTGATATACAAGTATTGCCATTTCCAAGATGGACAAAAATAGACTCCAATACATGTGAGAAAAAATTGTGCTTCAGTAGAAAACTGGACATTGGTTAGATTACACCCTTCCAGGTGAACTGACTCAAGTTTTGTATTGTCTTTGAGCTATTTTACAACTCTGTAAATTATAAACAACTGATAGCAATGCAAAAATAATTCTTGCCTTTAGACATGTGAATTCTCTCCTGTCTAGTAAAGTTTCAATTGACCTTTCCCCCTCCTCCTGTGTAGAATCAGAATTGGCTCCATTTGCCTGTTTAGTTCAATACTCTGATCTATAAATGTGTCACTTTTTCAGATAACCTTTTGAGTCCTTTATAAGATCTGCCTGGTTCCCTCACTGACTGATGAGTTAAAGAAAATCTTTAATATGCATTCATTGTATATACATATGAGAGTCATAAGTCTATTTTTTTTATTTAAAAAATATCTTTTGGACGGGCATGGTGGCTCATGCCTGTAATCCCAGCACTTTGGGAGGCCAAGGCGGGTGGATCACGAGGTCAGGCATTTGAGACCAGCCTGACCAACATAGTGACACCCCATCTCCACTAAAAATACAAAAAAATTAGCCAGGCATGGTGGCGGACACCTGTAATCCCAGCAACTTGGGAGGCTGAGGCAGGAGAACTGCTTGAACCTGAGAGGCAGGGGTTGCAATGAGCTGAGATCATGCCACTGCACTCCAGCCTGAGTGACAGTGCTAGACTCCATCTCAAAAAAAAAAAAAAAAAAAACTTTTAACAAGGTTATGTATATTTCCCAAGCCACGGCTAATAATTGGTAGAGCTGGCCTTCACCTCTCACTTCTCAACCCTGACCCCCTGGGCTTAGCTACATCAGGATTCACATTTTTTGCTACTTGCTGTAGTGCTAAACACAGAGCAGGTGCCCACTGATGCATTATTTGCATCTTTGCTCAGCTGACCCTGATTATATTTGACTCATCACACACAGAACATAGGCTCACACACTCACTTTTCCAACTCAAGAATTTAGCTAATTCCTGCAATTCCTATGGCTTCAGACAAAAGGCCTTCACCACTGGCTTCAGCACCAAAAACCTCTACAAATCCTTCCCTTAAAGGAGCGGGCACCTGTCTTTCCATAAATTCCCCTCAACTGTCCTTTTCTCTCCTCTGGAAACATATGGAATACCACCTTTCTTCCATGAAAAGCTCTTCAAGCATTGGGAGGCAGTTCTTTAATTTTTCTCTATTCTTTTTCAGAATCATGTTCCTTAAACCTGGTCTTCTAGGACTGACTTTCAAGCATCTTTACCATCCCGATCATTCTCTTCGGGACATGTCCCACTCTCCCTGTTTATTGAATAAGTGATCTTTAAATCTACTCAAAGGCTCATCAGGTCCATGTCAAGCAGAAGGCCTTCCCCATCTGTGTGTTCAGCCAGGTTCATTTAAGAAGGGGAATCCTGGCTGAAGACTCAGGCACCCCGCCATGCTTCAGTCATTCAGCTGCCGACTATGTGCTTCCTCCCACAGATTACATCTTCCCCGCCTCACTCTGCTTCACCTCCACTGCTGTCACTATCCCCCTAGCCTGTGACTTTGGCTTTTTCCCATATAGGTATTAATTACTTGATATGACTCCCTCCAGGCCTGAGCCATCCCTGGGATGCCCTTCTGCAAACACAGACCTGTAGGCAGGTGCCGCTGCACTTCCTGACACTACCCACGGAGCAGGTGCACTTCTTCCAGTCACACCAGGAGCCTACGTGTGCAGCCTCTGTATTCACTAGAGTTCAGGACACCTGCATGACACTGTTGACTTTTCAAAGTGAACTTATGGAAAACTAAAACCAAGACTTTTTTTTTTAAATATTATTTTGAAACCATGGATCATTTATCAATGGTGTCTAATGGACTTCTTCCTGGACCTAAGCACAGGCCTTCACATTGATCTTCATTCAATTTCTTCTTCTTAGACCCAGCCCATAACGCCAGCCACTGCAATTATTTTGGAAACTCAGTTCTGCCACCAGAGCTTAACTGTCCCTTCCAGCTTTGTCATCTGACAGTTTGATAGTCCCACCAGTGGCACCAGGGGCTCCATTTCACTGACCAAGGTGCCGCTCTCCTTCTGCAATTTCTAATTGCTTCCCCTTTCTTTACTTCCCAAACTGCCTGGGGGGAAAAAGGATTCTGGCTTAGACTTCCTACTCCCTCTGCCCCAGAGTTGGTCTCCTTGAAGGAGTTTTCCCAGTTTGGCAGGACAGGCTATTTCATTTTTCTGTGTCCAAGAATGGCTGCTGACAACTTCCCAGGGTCAGGACCCAAGACCCAATCCAATCCCAGTTACCCTCAGCTACTGCAGAGTGCATGTCACCCCTCTCATGCTGAGCTGATGGCAGAGCTCACCCTTGTTCTGTTCCTCCCTGGCTCAAAGGCCACAGGCTTAGAGGATGAGGAGAGAGACAGCTTTCTGAGTGGGCCCATCTAAAGGCCAGCCATCACTTTAGTAAGGTATTGCAAGCTCTGGTTTGAAAACCATCGCAGTCACAGTAACAAAGACCCCAAGTCCACTTATCAAGGTCCCCTTGACCTCACGGGGCTCTAATGGGAACTGAGCAAATCAATGCTTCTCAAGGCTAAGTTATGAAACTGCATGAGAAATTTGTCATGAGTGCAGCATTTCAAATGGGATGTTTTTTTCTCTCTCTCTGTAGAGGTGAGGACACTAAGTTTTCTCCTTGAAATGAGGACAAGAAAAAACCACGGAAAATACACAGAATGACTCAGAACATACCTAGCTAAGGCATTGTAGGTACCTATGTTCATCTTCACTATAAAGATAAATAAAGTTCTAGAGCAAGGAGGCAGTAAAAAGACCTAAGACTTGGGTTAGGAGACCTGGGTTCTAGTCCTGGCTGTGCCCCCAAATCACCTCGGTGCTGTAGGACAAGAAACTTTACCTCTCTGAGCTACAGTTCCCTCCTGGTAACTGAATAATTTCCATAGGTCTTTTCTAGTTCTGATTCTGAGATACAGACCGCAATTTATGCAATAGATGTACTCCTGAAAACAAGCAGGTAAATGTTTCCTCCTGCAACTGAAGATGATTTTAAATGAACCAAGCCAATATTTCTCTCTCTCTCCTTTCTTTCCTTCTTTCCTTCTTCTCAACTTCCTTCCCTTCTTTCCTTCCGTTAGGAGCAGAATTCTTTATTCAAAATAAATCTTAGGTACAAGTCCAATAACTGTCGTATAATAGAAAAAAGGTTGGTGGCGTTATGGGGTGGGGTGGTGAGGGGCAACCCTGCCTGTTTGTTCACCCTTGACATCCTCTCCTCCCTCCCCTCCCCTCTCCCCTCCCTTCTCCATATGCACAAATACAATTGGTAGCACTTGCAAAGCACAGATTTAGGAGAATTCCTTTTTCAAAGCGTCTTCATCTTGATGAATACACTACCTGAGAAAGCAAAAATGACATTGCCACATGGCAAAACATGTTTATGTCATTCCTTCATTAACTCTCCCCTACAAATCTGCCAGGCTGGGTAATCAACCGCATGCCACAGGTGAGGAGACTTAGACAGATTAGAGGTGGAATGTATCCATTTTGATCACTGCTGTGTTTGGCACCTGGGGCATTGCCTGGGATTCAGTAGGTGCTCCAGGAATACTTTTTGAATGAATGGTAGGAGTTTTAGACCTTCCTCAATCAACTCCTGCCAGGGCTGGGGCTCCAAACCCTCTGACTTCTGCCCATCCACAGATGCCGGACTCCTTTCTGGGACATGTGATCACTTCCAAATGTCACCTTGTAAATGTGGATTGTCAGTCAGGCTTCCATGAAGTGGAGTGCACCTGTCGTTCCCCCTGGCTGGAGAAGGCAGATGGAGCCATGCACTCGGGCAGCTTGTAGCTGCAGCACCATCACCCACACCTGAGTCTCAATTCAGCCAATCCATAGCTGTGGGACCTTAGGCCAGTCACTTAATCTTTCTGAAACTTAATTCCATCACCTGAAAAATGGGATTAATAACAATATTTATCTCATACAATGTTTACATGGGTGCCCTGAGATTATGTATGGGAAAGAAATATGGAGTTAATTCTAAGTGTATGGAAGAGAGAAAAATATTTAAAGTCAAAATTAACTATAGCTATTTATGCTGCAGTTAACCACAGGGACAACAGCAACATAATATGTAAGGGCAGTGCCATAATTCACAGTAGAAGATGCATCTCTATTCTGTTTTCTTCTCTCCATAAAGACGATTAAGGAGGAAAAGAGAAAGAAATGTGTTCTAAAACCTTGGGCAGTTCTGTTTTGCCCTGAAAGACTGTAGCAGATGCTGTCCATGCTCTGCCCCATTTCTCTCCTCAAGGATCTTTTACTGTTTCCCACGCTTCTGCCTCTGAGGAGCCTGCACCCACTGCTGTTTGTTGAAGGAAGTAGACCATGAGTTACTGGAATTGCTTTCTCTGTGGTCACCAGCAGAGGGCAGATGTGCCTGCCAGGTGAGGGTTGGGCTTAGCCCATGACTGATAGGTGAGGGTGCTGGTGAAGGCACGGCTTCCCTGCCCTGGGTGGGTAATTCATGTTCCAGAGTTCCCCTGTGGGCAGAGGCTCAAGTTCCCTTCCATGGGGTGGGACTTTGCTAAAGTTGTCCCTTAGACTGTGCCTCTCTCCTTCTCTTCTCTGCTCCCTCTTGCTCAGGACGCCTCATCTTATAGTCCAGTTTTTGGGAACTCAACGTAAGATAAAGGGGAGACTTGGACCTGAGAGTCTATGATTATCAGTAAATATAAATGAGTCTGAGAATATGCAGAAAAGTAAAAAGAGCCACATTTCTCTGCATAATAATCTCCTCTCATAATATATCAGGAGCTGTATTATGCAGTACTTGGAAGAGCCACAGAATAGGGGCCTAGAGAAAGAAAAAATGGAAGGCTTTACAGAGAATAAAGGGCCAAACCACATGGGAATGTAAAACAACAATGATGACAACAGCAACAGCAACTATGACCACAACAACAGCAACAAAACACAACTCTGAAGTAGCCCAAACCTCAGCGAAATGTGCTACATGCGCAAGTGTTTTGAGCGCGTGATATTCTGAGGGACATCAGAGAGAAAGTGCTGTGCACCAGGGCTGGATGCCACAGGCACTAACAAGGACATAATGATGATTCCTTTCTGGGATAGGAAGGAGTCACCTGCAGGGTTTCACAGTCAGGGGACAGCAGGCAAACCTGATCCCTCCCCAGCCCTGTCTTTGGGCAGAATGGATGGGAGGGAGGGACGCAGCCTCCCACCAGTGGCACAATGCGTTGGAACCAATTCCACTTGGATCCCAAAGACAGAGAACTTCAATTGACATCTGGGTTTCGAAATTTTGATTGCATAGACCCCAGCCTAGGAGACAAGTACACAAATCATTCTTAACACACATAGGAAAAGTGAAAAATGCCACAAAAAAAGGGGTGCAGAGAGTTGGAGGGGCTGCACAGAGGGATGGTACACACACTATCATTTGGTTATTTGCATGTTAGGAAGCACTTATTAGCTCATAGTCCTCTCTGACAACACAGAGAGGGCAGAGTGGGCACCTGTTAGAGTCATGTTACTCAGAGCTTGCATATGTTCAATGGGCAAGAAGAAGTGTGCTGGTGCCAATTCCTAAGGAGTCCTGTGAGGCCACTCTTAAGAGTCTCTGGAATTTTGCAAGGCTGGTAAACTTATTAAAGAACAAATTATATATATTTACAATAAAATAAATTATGTTAAAAACAAAGGCAATAAATGCTCAAAACTCATCAGCACCTAATGATTTTTCATTTCATTATTATCTATGACCTTAAAATTATATCTTTTGCATCTGTATCTTGGAATTACTATACAATGGCGCACCTCTCTGCCCAACTCTATGTTAAGTGAGGTCAGATTGGCAGGTTGAAATTTACCACGGTGGGAGTATTTATACCAGAGAAACCGGCAAACATGACAGGTGATTGTTAAACATTCCTCAGCACACCACGGGAGAAGAGTCCAGACAGATGGCAAAGGAAGAAAATCAAACTACTTCATTCATTCATTCAACATTTTATTGATTACTTACTATGTGCAATTTACATTTAGTCACCATTTCTTCATGGCTAGCCTTCAAAGCTGATTCATGGAATCTCTACCTCATTGAGGTAAAGGCCCATATAAAACACTGAGAGTCGGCCGGACACGGTGGCTCACGCCTGTAATCCCAGCACTTTGGGAGGCCGAGGTGGGCGGATCATGAGGTCAGGAGATGGAGACCATCCTGGCTAACATGATGAAACCCCGTCTCTACTAAAAATATAAAAAAATTAGCCAGGCGTGGTGGCGGGTGCCTGGAGTCCCACCTACTTGGGAGGCTGAGGCAGGAGAATGGTGTGAACCTGGGAGGTGGAGCTTGCAGTGAGCCAAGATTGTGCCACTGCACTCCAGCCTGGGCGACAGAGTGAGGCTCTGTCTCAAAAAAAAAAAAAAAAAAAACAAAACACTGGGAGTCTGAACTATTGAGTATCTTTCAATAAGTGCATTTTGATGACTTTCCAGCTCATGTGCAGCAGCTCCAACTAATAGCTAACAAAGAGCTGCCAAGGAGAGGTCTGGCCAGGCCTACTTCAATAAATAGATAAGGATCATTTAAAAGCAGCCCATTAAGTGTTTGCATGCAAATGGCCCTGCCAGGCTCCTCGAAAAACAGTTTGTTCTCCTAAGGAGGTTAAATATTTTCAGTCTTGTTTATGTTATTAATTTGCTTAGCCAAGTGTGCGGTTGTGGGTGTATTTTTAATAGAGGATGGAAAAACCTTGCAAAATGAGCTTTATCCCTGAAACATAAATGAAGGAGGCTTTGTGAATTCTATACAAATGACCATGGTCCTTGCCTGTACCCCACGGAGAAAAAAAAGCTCTGCTCCATTCATGTCAGGTAGCCCTGGCATAGGTGCAACCCACAGGGGAGGACATAAAGTAGAAAAATAATACATCCCACATGTGCTGCACCCCTAGCACCTGGGACACTACCTAGCACAGGTGTAGCCCACAGGATGGATGGCGCATAAAACAGAAACGTAAATGGACAGAGTCATGCTACATCCCAAGCACCCAGAATGGCATCTGGCACATGTGGGCACACAGTACATTTTGGTTGAATGAATAAATGAATGAGTGAATGCTCCTATGCTATAATTCTAACCACAGTTTTGACCAAAAAGGATCTTCTAATAACAATAGACAGAAACAATCATAGAATAAAAGAAGGGAGAGATGGAGATTTATAAAGAGAATAAGGCTTTTTTTATATCACATCTCATTTAACCCTCACAAATACCTGGAAAGTTTTATTATCCCCATTTTACAGGTGAGAAAAACTAGAAGTAGGCAGTCCACTCAGCATTTGCACAGATAGGAAGTGCAGAGGGAGGTCAAAATCTGGTATGTTTGGATTCAAAATCCAGGCTCATACCTTGTACTATGTAATGGTAGCAAATATTCCTGGAAATAGTCAATTTAAAAGGAGAAATCTTTTCTCTGCTTCCAAAAAAGCTATGATAAATTTCCCTTACTGTGGAAGATAGAAAATTGAAAACAAAAAATTCATAGCAGAAACACATGGAGGCCCAGTCTCCCTTCCTCACTTCCCTTCTCTCCTTGGCCACAGAGGAATGGAGGGATGACTGTGCATGCTTTGTTACTGTTTTTCACTATTTTCTACAACATTGACCTTTGGCTAGGCTCAGGGCTAAACTCTACTCATAGCATCTCTGTCCCACAAAACTCTCTGTAAGGTGAACACTATGACCTCTGTGGTGTGGAAGAGAAAATTCAGAAAAGGAAAGTGATTTGGCTAAGGTCAATACCGGCAAATGGAGCATCTCAGAATCTGGTTTATCTGTTTCTAAAGTGTTTTTCCACTGACAGTTTTCTGGAACTCCAGTGTGCACTGGAATCCTTGGGGACCTTGATGAGTGCAGATTTTGATTCAGCAGGTCTCAGGTGGGGCCTGGCAAGCTCCTGGGTGATGCCAAGGCTGTAAGTCTCAGACCACCCTTGATGAGCAAGTCCCTGCACACGCTGCCTTATTCATGCCCAGTGAGCTATAAGCAACTCTTAACTCTTCTCCTTGTGTAGAGTCAGTTCTCAGTTCTTCCCGCTTTGATGAAGGTCCAGCTAACCAACTACACTGGTGACTTGGTAAACCCAGGTAGACCCTCACTATCCCCACTGGACCCTGGCTAGCTACCTTCTTCTCTACCCGCTCTCTGTCCCTGGGACATCATACTGCTTACCCTGGAGCCCCCAAACTTCCCTGCTGTTCTCTCTCAGTCTGGCTTAAACAATAATACCTAAAAATGGTCTTTGCACCTGCAATTCTGCCTCCTTGAATCTTTTTTTTTTTCACAAAACAATCACTTTGAACTATTTAAATATAAATGTAATGATGTCACTCTAGTTCTTACACTCCTTCAAGAAAGGACAAGCCACTAATCCTCTTGTCCTGCCTCAAATCCTCTTTAAGCAGAGCTTATTTTGTTTGTTTGTTTTTATCTGCTGTGGATATTGTGGTGCAACACAAGCTTTAAAAGAAAATACAAGATTTTGCTACTAAAGAGAAGTAAGAATCCATCTGATCAATATACTCCATGTCTTCCATTTTACAGATGAGAAAAATGAGTCCCAGAGAGGTCATACCTCATTCCTGAGGTCCCCCAGAAAGATAACTGTGGCGTGAGCATGAATCCCAAAAACCTTGATGATATATTTTTTTAATTCTGATTCTCTTTCCATCGCACCATGCTTCTCATAAACAACATTCTTTCTATTTTTTCATCTACGTCTTCCCTAAGTTCCATTAGGTGGGTTTATTTATTGGCAGAGAGCAAAGTACTCATGTCTGCATGCCCCCTCCAAACCTACCCCCTGCAATTCCAAGAATAAAGAAAGGCATGCAGACTGGGTGAGTTCTTACAAGCAGTCTGCAGCAGACTAGACTGACTACTTGGCCATGAGATCCTAAGTGTGGGGGCAGTTACAGATAAATAAGAAAAACTGACCACAGCCACCTCTGCCCCTCAAAACTGAAGGAATACTCTTTAAGGCATCATGGCCAACTTAAGCTGGTTCTCCAGACATGATAAAATGAATGCAGAAGCTGATCAAAATTAGTATATTGAGCCTCGAGCTGATGGACTTTTTCCCAAATAATTATTCTTTTTTAAAATATGGCCAGGTGTGGTAGCTCATGTCTGTAATCCCAGCACTTTGGGAGGCCGAGGCAGGTGGATTGCCTGAGATCAGGAGTTCGAGGCCAGCCTGGCCAACATGGTGAAATCCTGTCTCTACTAAAAATACAAAAATTAGCTGGGCATGGTGATGGATGCCTGTAATTCCAGCTACTCAGGAGGCTGAGGCAGGAGAATTGTTTGAGTTTGGGAGGCAGAGGTTGCAGTGAGTCAAGATGGCATGACTGCTTTCCAGCCTGAGTGACAGCGTAAGATAAATAAATATATACATAAATACATAAATAAAAAATTAAAAAATAAAAATAAAAATATCAATGGCATGAAACTTTTTTTTATTTTTTTTATTATACTTTAAGTTCTAGGGTACATGTGCACAATGTGCAGGTTTGTTATATAGGTATACATGTGCCATGTTGTGTTTGCTGCACCCATTAACTCATCATTTACATTAGGTATTTCTTCTAATGTGATCCCTCCCCCTGCTCTCCACCCCATGACAGGCCCCGGGGTGTGATGCTCCCCACCCTGTGTCCAAGTGTTCTCATTGTTCAATTCCCACCTATGAGTGAGAACATGCAGTGTTTGGTTTTCTGTCCTTGTGATAGTTTGCTCAGAATGATGGTATACAGCTGCATCCATGTCCCTGCAAAGGACATGAACTCATCCTTTTTTATGGCTGCATAGTATTCCATCGTGTATATGTGCCACATTTTCTTAATCCAGTCTACCATTGATGGACATATAGGTTGGTTCCAAGTCTTTCTATTGTGAATAGTGCCGCAATAAACATACATGTGCATGTGTCTTTATAGTAGCATGATTTATAATCCTTTGGGTATATACCCAGTAATGGGAGCACTGGGTCAAATGGTATTTCTAGCCCTAGATCCTTGAGGAACTGCCACACTGTCTTCCACAATGGTTGAACTAGTTTACAGTCCCACCAACAGTGTAAAAGTGTTCCTATTTCTTCACATCCTCTCCAGCATCTGTTGTTTCCTGACTTTTTAATGATCACCATTCTAACTGGTGTGAGATGGTATCTCATTGTGGTTTTGATTTGCATTTCTCTGATGGCCAGTGATGGTGAGCATTTTTTCATGTGTCTGTTGCCTGCATAAATGTCTTCTTTTGAGAAGTGTCTGTTCATATCCTTTGCCCACTTTTTGGTGGGGTTGTTTGTTTTTTTCTTGTAAAATTGTTTAAGTTCTTGTACTGGTACCAAAACAGATATATAGACCAATGGAACAGAACAGAGGCCTCAGAAATAACACCACACATCTACAACCATCCGATCTTTGACAAACCTGACAAAAACAAGAAATGGGGAAAGGATCCCCTATTTAATAAACAGTGCTGGGAAAACTGGCTAGCCATACGTAGAAAACTGAAACTGGATCCCTTCCTTACACCGTATACAAAAATTAATTCAAGATGGATTAAAGACTTAAATGTTAGACCTGAAACCATAAAAACCCTAGAAGAAAACCTAGGCAATACCATTTAGGACATAGGCATGGGCAAGGACTTCATGACTAAAATAACAAAAGCAATGGCAACAAAAGCCAAAATTGACAAATGGGATCTAATTAAACTAAAGAGCTTCTGCACAGCAAAAGAAACTACCATCACAGTGAACAGGCAACCTACAGAATGGGAGAAAATTTTGCAATCTATCCATCTGACAAAGGGCTAATATCCAAAATCTACAAAGAACTCATCTTCATTTTATGATGAGGTAAATCCGTCTCTAAATCAGAAAATCAACTGAAGAAAAAGCTTATCTTTATCAAGTTCATGTGAGCAAACAATGATACTTGGTATCTCACATCCACCCATTGATCTGAAAACCATTCAAGACAGTGGTTAGAAAACATATTCACAGCAGGTTAATAAATATTCCTTGAGTGAGTGCGTATATAGTAAGAAGCTTACTGTTCTCAGAGAAAATAATGGATACTTGGCATATAATTCCTTGCTAAGTTGAATGGTTTAGTTAGATTCTGAGAAGAGTGAGTTTAGGGTAGGCTTAAGGCAAGGGAAGGTATTCTAAGGGGACTTTGGGTTGGTGGAAAAGATAACATTCCATGGAGATTCTAAGAGGAGCCAATTCAGAGGCAGGGAGATGTGTCTATTTGTTCTGGGTACACTAAAGAGGACATCAGGCTGGAAGAGAAAGCCAAGAACCAGATGTAGAGGAGCTTAAAATCAGAACTGAACATTCCAGTATCTAGTGCAGTCAGTCACAGGAAGATGAAGGACAGTCAGTTTCATAGCGTGGGACACACACGTGGGTGGGATGCAAGGGCACATTTAGTAGTGCTTACATAGTTATGTGCTTAATGTGGATTTGAAGAAAGCATAACTTCACACATCAGATACATGACTTCACAGATAGTATTGCTTACTTAACGAGAAAAATATTAAATCAATGCCAGCTTGGATGTGACAAAATCCAGGGGAGCAAGAATGATTGGAAATTAACAAACAATTTGGCTAAAGCTATAATGTATCCATAATCATTACTGGTTGTCCCAGCAAAGGCTACAGTGTGGGTGGAAGTGCTTTTTTATTCATTCTTTCATTTTCAAATGTGTAAATTCATACATTCAACAAAACTAATGAAGTGAGATAATACAGAGAATAATGACTAATTTCTCCTCATGAAAGGAAGGAAGGAGGGAAGAAAGGATGGAAGAAAGGAAGAAAGGAAGGATGGAAAAGATAAGGGAGGGTGAGAGGGAGGATTTTTAAGGACCTAATAAGAATCTAATAATGTGCTAGGTCTGGGGACTCAGACAGGAATGAAGCACAGTCCTCCTCCTCAAGGGGCTTGCTGTCCAGCAGGGAAGCAGACAGCTGAGCAAATCACTGTAATCCCACGTGAGAGGAGGCACAGGTATAAAAATGTGCACAAAGTACAAAAACTTGTGGGAGCCTGTCAGAGCAGGGGTAGCTTGGGAGAGGTGCTGGTATTTGAGTTTAGCACATTTTGCCAGGTGGGGCTATCAATTTGTATTAGTTATAATTAAGATTTGTAAGGAGTTACAGTTCATGGATCCTAAAATATGGCACTATTGGGAAAGCATGAGTGCAAGCTATTACTATTATTTAGTGCAATGAATGGCATTAAACTGCATGAGATGATCAGTAAAACTTATTTAAAAACATGCATTTTGAGACACTCCCTTACGGGGCCATATAGTATGCGTGGAGTATGGTTGGATTAATCTTAAATTTTTATAAACTCTGGGAGGTTCTGATGCTGTAGACAGGTACTCATAGAGAGACTAAATTAGAGAGGTCATGGATCTTATTGACTTTGGATTCCTTAGTAGGGGGCACAATACCTGGCATATGGGAAGTATTGAAATAAATGTTTGGTAAACATGAACAAATAAATTATTAAAAATCCAATAACAAATCTAACCACCAGGATCATATTTTTGAGACAGAATTTCACTCTTCTGCCCAGGCTATAGTGCAGTGGTGTGATCATAGCTCACTGCAACCTCAAACTCATGGCCTCAAGCAATCTTCCTGCCTCAGCCTCTCAAGTAGCTGAGACTACAGACACACACCATCATGCCAGGCTATTTTTTTTTTTTTTTTTTTTTTTTTTTTGCTTTTGGAGAGACAGGGTGTTGCTATGTTGTCAGGGCTGCTCTTGAACTCCTGGCCTCAAGTGATTCTCCCACCTCAGCCTCCCAAAATGTTGGAAATTCTAGATGTGAGCCTCTGCACCTGGTCAATATTTTGTTTTCAAATAAATTTAATTTATTGATTTAAAATTTATACTTGCATCCTTCCAGAAAGTGATGGAGTTAGCCTGTAATTAAAAATCTAAACAGGATTAATTGCTTTTTAAAATTTAATTTTATTAATTGATTAACTCAGGCTCATTCTGATGGGTGCCTCCTGGTGGTGGAAGCACTGAGTGTCTATATGTACTTGAAAGTAAGGAACTGTCCTTAAGAACATTCTTCCTTGTTACTCCCTAATTCTCACTGGTCACCCTACTGATTGGTCTCCACTGGTGAGATCTGACTCACAAACTTCTCCATCAGCAGGAACATAATGTACTCTCAAGAACCAAACCCAAGGCATGCTTTCACATTTTGCAGTACTCTCTATTCCTGAAAAGCGTTAAAATTAGATTTATTATGGCTCATTAAGTTAAAGGGAACAGGACAATTCTCTTTCTAAGCAGCTGAAAAATAAGCCAAATTTTCTAGTCCATATTCAACTCAAATACCTTGATTTTGATACTTTTTTTTGAGTTCTCAGCAATGCTCTGTCCTAACTTTCCATTCTGCTCATTGGAATCTGTTGTACTAGCATCAGCTACATAATGGTTATTCAACTAATTGGAAGAAGAAGGGAAAATGGGAGAGGGGGCAGGGAAAGGGTCGGGTCTTGTTACTGAGTGTATACTGTGTTCCAAGCATTATACTAGGCACCAGTAGAATGATTAACAGAGCAGACATAGCCCCTTCCTTCCCTGTGCTTACAATTGACAGAATGATGCTACATTAATCAATCATTTATAGTAAAGAATGAGACAGAATAGACCCACCAGTTTGTCCCCTGTTTGCAAATCAGGAAAAAATCTGGAAGTGATTTCCAGCAGGACTTGCCCCAGTAGGAAAAACTGCACTCTGTTGGCAGAATAACAGTAAAGAATATTGTGCCCAAATGAAAACGGCTTTTAAAAATTAGCTTCATAATTCTAATAGGGATGTGATAAGACCAATACAAAAGTAGCTTGAGTTGAGTTCCTGCTCAAAGGTAGAGGGCACTGAGTTCTTAGCCAGAGTTGAAAGTATTCAAGGGAAAATCAGGTAGTCCACCTGGAAAGATCACTGGAATCATTTTTAGGGAGTGAGAAGGAGATTGTGGCTGGGAGGCAGTATAGAGCTTGAAGTTCTTCTAAAAAGTCATAGAAAGCAACTGGGATCAAATGTGAATTCAGATACATCAGAAGACAGGATGGGTGAGTACATGGGATTTGGAACCAAGAACTGGGACAATATGAAAGATTTTTATCCTACTTATATATGCTACCAAGAGGGTGACAGTGATGTGCTGCAGCCTGCTAATACCATCTTGCAAAAGCCAATTATGGACACCTCTTCCAAATCCAATTTCAGTCACTTCACATGGGCAGCTTGAAATGGGTTATCATGGGAGTATTTACACCACAGAAAGTGGCAAATGCTATGAATCAGGACTTCGCTTTAAGAGAAGTTATACAATATTTACCAGCAGGTCACTACTTACAGAGTCCAGGCTAACAGCCTCCAGGACCTGCATGCAACCAGAAATTTAGAACTGGATCTGTACCCAGTTAGCATTGGTTGCCTTGGAAATAATGCATTTCTCCTCAACTGATATGAACAAGGAGATTCAAGTGTCAGAGAGGTGCATAGAACAAATGAGCTTGAAGCCTACTCCCTACTTTGAGATTCTGCATTCTTATTCTAAAAATATTTATGGAGGATTTTGGCCAGGCATGGTGGCTCAAGCCTGTAATCCCAGCACTTTGGGAGGCCAAGGCGGGTGGATCACAAGGTCAGGAGATAGAGACCATCCTGGCTAACGTGGCGAAACCCCGTCTCTACTAAAAATACAAAAAATTAGCCGGACATGGTGGCAGGCACCTGTAGTCTCAGCTACTTGAGAGGCTGAGGCAGCAGAATGGCGTGAACCTGGGAGGCAGAGCTTGCAGTGAGCTGAGATTGCACCAGTGCACTCCAGCCTGGGTGAGAGAGCATGATTCTGTCTCAAAAAAAAAAAAAAATCATGGAGGATTTTAAGATCATCTCATGGTGATAACATACACATGAGAATTAAATACCACACTGTATAATGTTTCTATCCCCTGCTGATGGAAAAAGGTGTATATGTGTGTGCATGGGTGTGTGTAAGTGTGGGCGCGCATGCGTGTGTAGGGGAGTGGAGGCAGGTAAAGGGATTCAAGGTTTTGTGGTATATCTAAAATAAACTAAGAAATTGACAAGTAGCCAAGGTCCAAATTATAATAATTTCCAAGAAATACAGAGCCAGAATGACATAATATTACACACCAGGAATGGTGTTCTTAAAAATAAACCTGAGTTGTAGCTATTAAGGACCATGCTATTTTGCAGAAGTATGAAGAAAGGCAGGTTGAGGCTAGCATGTGGTCACCCCGGGAAGACAGCAGGGTATCAAGTGTCAGTGAGCTCCTGGAGCTGAAGTCTGACTGAGCAGAAGAAAATGGGTCTTCTTGTGGATCCTGCCAAAACGAAATCAATGAACATGGCCTGGCTGGGGAGGATATCACTGTGTCCACATTTTGGCAATACTCTCTGAGGGATAAAAACAAGAAATGACACTCATATAAAGGTTTAGAAATATCACATCCATTATCCTGTTGAATCATCCCAGCATTTTTGGAGAAAAATATCATTGACTTCATTTTTCAGAAGGCAAAACTGGATCTCAGAGAGCTTAAGTCACTTGTCATAGTTACAGGGAAGGAAGTGGCACACACAAGACAATATATAATTAAGTACTTAAAACATATCTCACTCTTTTTTTTTTTTTTTTTTTTAGATGGAGTCTCGCTGTGTTGCCAGGCTGGAGTGCTGTGGCGCGATCTCGGGGCTCACTGCAACCTCTGACTCCCTGGTTCAACTGATTCTCCTGGCTCAGCCTCCCAGTAGCTGGGACTACAGGCACGTGCCCCAACACCCAGCTAATTTTTGTACTTTTAGTAGAGACGGGGTTTCACCATGTTGGCCAGGATGGTCTCGATCTCCTGATCTCATGATCTTCCCGCCTCGGCCTCCCAAAGTGTTGAGATTACAGGCGTGAGCCACCACACCCGGCCCCACTGGTGTCTTTATAAGAGGAAATCTGGAGACACAAAGAGGCACTGGGGTGTGTGTGCAGAGAGGAAAGGGCATGAAGACACAGTGAGAAGCCGGATGTCTGCAAGTCTAAAAGGAAGGCCTCTGGGAACCCAACACCTTGCTGACACACTGATCGTGGACTTCCAGCCCCCAGAATTGTGGAAAAATAAGTTTCTGCAGTTTAAGCCACTCAGTTTGTGTTATTTTGTTATGACAGCCCTAGCAAACTAATACAGAGGGCCTCTTTGGCCCTTTGTGGAAACCTGATTGAAGGTGACTACACTGGCGGTGCCGGGGGCAAATGACACTCTCCCGGGGCTCCAAGGAAAAATCCATAGTCCATCTCAGTTCCTCATTTGTTCTGTTCTTGCACTTCCAGTGGTCACACCAGTTATACGAGTTCAATATGAATGCAGAGAAGGAACCAAATGGCAATTAGAACCACGATCAATGGGAAGAGGTAGTCTTTCACACAGAGAATCTATTGTGTGCTAGAATGTCTTCACAGAACCTGAGTTCTGTGAAGTTGGTGCTGTTATACCAATTTTTTCAGATAATGCTCAGGCTCAAAGAAGTGAAGAAACACACTCAAGTTCAAACAGAAGTTAAAAAAAAAAACCCAATAAATCCAACATGATTGTGTTTAGTTCCCTCAACAGTAAATAACTTGCTTTTGATGAAAAGTCCTTTGCTCATGCAAAATGATGTTAATAAAACCAAAGCCGCTGCAATTAGTCAGATGGTGCTCATATTAATTTGTCATAGATGTAAGACCCAAACAGTTTTGCCTCTGGGTAAACTTTCTTGATTTACAGAAATAAGTCCATATGATTTCTCAAATAGTGGGCCCTTTTTTTCAAGAATCCAAAATATTCAGGCATCAAAGTGACAAATGAATAATTGTATTAAGCAGTATGGACAGAAAGGCACTGTATTACATTGAATAACTCACTGATTCATCCATCCATCTATCCATTCACTGAGTTATTGAGAGAGAGAGAGAGAGAGAGTGTGTCCCTTCTATGTGTCTGGTTTAGAATTAGGCACTGGCAATACCTAATTGCGAAAGAAACAATCCACAGTCCCTGCTTCCAAGGAGCTCAAAATTTGGTACCTACTTCAGAGAATTCTTGAGAGTTTTAGATTAATTACTACACGGAAATACTTAGAAAAATGCCCAGAACATAGTGAACACTCAAAAAATACAGTTTTAATTTTTATTGCTATCTGATATATAATCAGACAACAAAACATGTTTTCAGTCCCCCGTAGTAAAGGTTCAGTATGTTTTTGGGGGAGGGTGCTGGGAAGAAGTTCTATCTCAGTCTGGGGGTGCCTGAAACTCTTCCTCCAGAAGTAGCCCCTCAGCTGACTCTTGAAAAAAAAAAAAAAAGAGGCAAGCGAAGAAAAGGAGAAAGGAGTTCTATGAGATAGAGCCAGGAAGATGAAGGCCAGAGCTTAAAGAGCTTCATGCATTGTGTTAGTGAGTTGAGCATTTATCTTGCAGATAAGAGGGAACCATTGAAAGGTTTGACACAGGGAGAGAGGGAACAATCAGGATCACATTTGTGTATCATAAAAATCTTTCTGGAGGCTGGGCATGGTGGCTCACACCTGTAATCCCAGCACTTTGGGAGGCCAAGGCAGATGGATCACGAGGTCAAGAGATTGATACCATCCTGGCCAACATGGTGAAACCCCGTCTCTACTAAAAATACAGAAATTAGCTGGGCGTGGTGGCACATGCTTGTAGTCCCAGCTACTTGGGAGGCTGAGGCAGGAGAATCACTTGAACCCGGGAGGAAGAGGTTGCAGTGAGCTGAGATGGTGAGATCATGCCACTGCACTCCAGCCTGGTGACAGAGTGAGACTCCGTCTCAAAAAAAAAAAAAAAAATTCTGGATATGAGGTAAAGAAAGCCATGAAAGGTGGTACCAGTGCAGTTTTTCCCAGGAGAATGTTGATGACTCAACCAAGCCAGTGGCAATGGACAGCAAGAGGCTGTGGGCAACTCAAAATATACTGAGGACTTCAAGTCAACTTGACTTCACAACTCCAGTAAGGAGAAGGAAGAGTCGGAGGATGGCATGGCTAGCTGGTGCCCTTGTCTGAGTTTTGGTACATGAGCAGGTTCGGAAGAAAGTTGATGAAATTCATTTTGAAGGTGTGTTCAAGGTGTCTGTGGGGAGGCTTCTAGGTGGTGATGTCTAATCAACAAACACAGGTTGGAACTCCTAAAAGACTATTACCTGGGGCTAGAAATTTGGAGTCATAAGCCAAAAGCTGGGCAATTAAACCACAGGAGCCAAGCAGGGGACCAGAGACAAGCAGAGGGCGGTGAGTGGGACACCCCAGGGCCTTCCAAGAGGCATGTTCTTGTCAATAAATACACTAAGCAAGGGAGCAACTACAGCATCCCCACCAAGGGTGAAACATAACAGGTGGAGAGAAGCCCTAGGCTGAATGCATTAGGATTCTAATGACATGCCACAAACTCCTATCAGGAGACGTGGTGGAAGGGAGCTGGCAAATATATCAACTCACATAATTGGCATTTTTGCAGCACACTTCTGGTGCAGAAGAGCTGCTGGCTTTCAGAAGGAAGGGCAGGATGGGGTCTGATCACTCACTTTTTCAAGTCTACTCTTAGGATCTTCTGTCTGGGAAGCCAGCTTTGTCAATAACTGTTTTTCTCTGCCTCAGGGCCATGTTGGATCTACCTCAACAGTTTTCAGATGACAGCACCAAACAACCCTCCCAGCTTCTCCCAAAGGCTGCCTCCAATTTGGATGTAATCAGAATCCAAACTGGCTCCTTTCCATGTCTCCTAGTAGGAAGTGACCCTGGAAGCTGCAAAGTCCTCATTTGCAAACTGACAGTCACTTTTTCAGTTTCCTAGGCCAAGATGAAAAAGGCTCCTTACCTTCCAAGATAAAGCCCCCCCGCCCACTAGAGCAAAGAGAAATCACACCCACACCCAGCTGACATTCATTTTCCATTTTCCCAGCCTGTCACTGCTGAGAAAGAGACAGCTGCTGCTGCCACCACAGGCAGAGAGAGAGAGAGACAGAGAGAGAGAGAGAGAGAGAGAGAGAGAGAGAAAATCCTTTAACCTCTTACCATATTAAGTCACAGAAATTTTCTTGCAATGTGTCTTCCTGTCATTTACTCAGGAAGGTCCCTATGACATAGTTTTGAAAGATTTTACAGACAGCAGAAAAACAAGAGTGTTATCCCAAACCTCAATCAACTAAGCAATGTAAAGACATAATTCCTGAAATTCTTGCCCACAATAGTTTTTGGAAAGAAAGCACTACATTTCACTGGTTGTTTCCAAACTGATTTTGTGTGTGTGTATAACACTTTGCTGTGGCCATCTCCAGAACATTAGGTTGTCTCCCATAGTGTCAATCCCTTCTGTCCAAAGAATTACATCCACTTCTTACCCCCTTACTTAGTGTAATAAGCTCAACTGTGTCCTCCTCAAAAAAATTTATGTTGAAGTCCTAATCCACAGTACCTCAGAATGTGAGGTTGTTTGGAAACAGGGTCTTACCAGAAGTAATTGAGTTAAAATGAGGTTATGATGGGCCCAAATCTGATATGACTGGTGTCCTTATAAAAAGGGAACATTTGGACACAGAGACAGACATGCACAGAGGGAAGATTATATGAAGACACTCAGAGAAGATGGCCATGCGACCAGAATGATGCATTCACAAGCCAAGCAATGCCGAGGATTGCCAGAAAACAGCAGAAGCTGGGAAGGGCCAAGGAAGGATTCTCTCCTAGCACAGTCAGAGAAAGCATGACCCTGTCAATACCTTGATTTCAGACTTCTGGCTTCCAGGGCTGTGATATAATAACTGTCTGCTGTTTTAAGCCACTCAGTTTGTGGTAAGTTGTTATAGCAGCCCTGAGAAAAGAATACACTCATATAGGTGGGTTTCTTCACAGATGCCTTTCTAGCTTTTCCTTTGATTTGTGATGTTTTCTCTGTTAAGGACTGAATTGTATTTGCCCCAAAATTTATATATTGAAGCCTGAATCCTCAATGTGACTGGATTTAAATATAGGGATTTGGGGGGCAGTTATTAGGGTTAAA
Organism: Homo sapiens; assembly: GCF_000001405.40. NCBI lineage: Eukaryota > Metazoa > Chordata > Mammalia > Primates > Hominidae > Homo > Homo sapiens. Next base: position 132,231,487 of record NC_000008.11, read on the forward strand.
TAAAGACACAAAGGTGATCCTCTAATCTGATAAGATTAGTATTCTTATAAAAAGACAAAGAAACACCAGAGATTGCTTTTTCTCTACACACAGAAGAAAGGGTATATGAGAACATAGCAAGAAGGTGGCCATTTACAAACCAGGAAGAGAGTCCATCAGAAATCAAATGTGTATTTTGATTTCCAGACTATGAGAAAATAAATTTCTGTTGTTTAAGCCACCCAGCCTATGATATTTTGTTATGGTAGCCAAAACTAACTGATACACATGCCAATCCTCTGCCATGTTCTAAGCCACATTCATGCTTTGCATGATGGCTCTAAGTCACAATGATCATTAGGTCTTTCCTCGAATCCTTGGCAAGAGTGACTTCAGACCCTAATAGTTGTACGACAGTTCTAATTTTGAGTATTCTTAGAAATGTGCATTGATTGAGCCCCCACAACATTCCAGGCACTGTGCTTAACACTTCAGATATTCTGTTCCTTATACCTCCCTACTGGAATAGTGACTACCATCCCAGTAATTTCCAGGAGAGTTAACGGAGCATCAGAAACTAAGTAATTGGTCACCCACCAAGGAAATGGAGACACCTGGATTTAAGTCCTAGACAAATGACTCCTCTGAATATGCTCATTCCCCTATATCAGAGGAGCATCTACTCTTGCTCTTGTCCAAGTTTATAGTCTTGGTTCTGCAAATATGATCAAGGCACTTCAAGCATTACTGTAGCACCAGAGCTTCTTAATCTTTAATGGGCACATAGATCACCAAGGGGTCTTGTTAAATGGCAGACTCCAATTAAGTAGGTCTAGAGGGAGGTGCCTGATAAGCTCCCAATGGTGCTGATGCTGTAGGTTGTTGGACCATTCCTTGAGTGGTGAGGATTTACACACAGGACTCAATCGTTGATAATTTTATGCTTTCTTTTCTAATTGTCATGTGGATGAATTCTTTATCACACACATTCAGAATCTACTATGCTCCTAGCTCTGTGCTAAGTAATGTGGACCCAAAGAATAATTAAGAACTTAATTTTAAATTCCTTAAAAGCATTGGCTGTTATTTTGACTATTTTTTATTTGAACAACTAACACAGTGGGCACATAGTAAGCACTTGGTCAACATGGCTGTACATCCTTAACATCTAGAACAGAGCATTCAAATAACAAAATCAGATTGAGATGTGTCCTGTGACAGATATTCTTAGTCAACCACTATGACTCATTCACCCTTTTCTCCTTTACTAATGAAGACCGGTTTCATTAAAAAACAGCCCCAAATACTCACGCCCCAGCTTCCCTTGTGGATTGGGGTGTTCGTGTGACTTTGTTTTGGCCAATGAAATGTGCTAGGAAGTCTTTTGGTTTTTCCTCATAAAAAGGTCTCCATATCTTTCTTCTTCTTTCTCGTATACAGATGGATTAATGCACACAGATGCCGTGTTTTTATGATGATGAGGCAACTAAGGTGAGAGGAAAGCTAAGATAATCATTTAGATATTGTCTCTGGCATTGCTAAGCTGCTGAACAAATATCAGCAGCTGCCTGCTTCAAATATCTTGCCACGTGAGAAAAATAAAATTCTTTCCTTTAGCCAATCTTATTGGTGACCTATACATGCAGCTCAAAGTGATTTTAACCAATAGTAACCCTTCCTAATTAGGACATTTCCGTCATGACACCAGCTGAGGTAAGAGTAGTCTAGTCAAAAGTTGGAAGCAAAACTGTTAGGCATGAAAAACATGTTTTCAAAATTAATTCCAGCCAAACACCAACCAGAAGCATATTCCATGACTTGATCCAGATTCTGTTAGATGCAAATCTTCTTTTCTGTTTTTATTTTCCCTTGCTATCTAATCCAAATTCTATAGGTCCATTCCATAAAATTATTTCAACTCAAGTGCTGGTATGAAAAATGCTAAATCCCAAGTTGACCTAATAGTTGCCACCTTAACCTTGATATTCCACCAGGGTGTGTGGGAAGCCTAGTGCTTTTAGGATGCATTTTGGGTTATCTTTGAGCTGCAGCCTTAACATTAGCATTGACTCATGGCTAATATATCACCAGGACAGCCTACTCTAAAAGCATCAATGGAAGTTTGGTTTCCTCCTTAGACTTTCAATGCCAGTAAGAAGAAAAAGCAGAGACCTACATCCTGCTTTCTTCCATTCATCTCACACACAAATACATCAATTTTCTTCACTGCTTAAGACAGACATCAGCCTAAACGGGTCCCTCATTTCACTTTGTTTCAGTTAGAGGACATAGAAAAAAGTTTGTTTTCATTAATATTTTACAGAAACCTTATATAATGGAATTAATCACATCTTAATGTTAACTTTAAATTCTGAAGGTGGAGAAGCGGGCAAAAAAAAATATTCAAAGCTCTTTGGATATTTCAGCTGAAGCAATAAAGGAAAAGGTCTAATTTGACCTGTGGGGAAAATGACAAAGTAAATAAATCAAGTGAACACATAATTTATTGTCCAAACCAGACCACTTTGAACAGTGAAAGGAGAAGCTATTAATAATTATGCTGGGGCAGTAGGCGTAAACTAGAACATACCAGGACAAACCGGGACATGTGGCCATCCTGTAAATAAAGGGTTATGTCTGTAGTTTTTTTGCAATCGAGCCTACATAGCTCAACAGTGCACAGAAGAAATGACTCTGCTCTGTATTTACAGATAGGAAATCACACAAACGCCCCTCTGCCTTTGCACAGCCCCTTGTGTTTTTTATGGAGCCTCATATCAGGTCTCACTTAGTCTTTGCTCTGTAAAGTGGGTGTTCAGATCCTCTTTTGGTAAGAAAGAGCAAAAACTGTGCATAATTCTGTCCATGAAAAGTTTTTTTTTTTTTTTTTTTTTTTTTTTGGCAGGTGAAAGGCCAAGCAGTTCTTCCAAAGGATTCTTTCCAAATTTGGGAAATTGGCTCAGGGAAAGCCTGCCTGCACAGAGTTCTGGAAAGCCAGTCCTATGATGGGGCTACCTTCTGCGGGTGGGTGGAGGCAGGGGGCAGAGAGGAAAGAAGATTCAACCTGAAAAATCTCAAAACAGAAGAAAAACAAAGTTTATGAAACACACACTATATACTGGACACTGTGGTAGACACCTATGCATTCTATCTTACTTGATTTTCACAACAAACACACGAGGTAAGTATTCGCAGTCCCATTTTTCAGATTGAGAAACTAAGGCTCAGACCAATTAAGTGATTTGACTCTGGTTAGGCAGCTAGTAAGTGGTAGACAGAAAGGGAAGTTGTCCAGCCCCATAGCTTGTGCTCTTGTCACCACATCAGGTTGCCTGACTTGGATAACTGGGAGTTTCTGGACTATGCACTCCTCTCCATCACCACGGCTGCCCTGGCCCAGCCCCCATCCAATATTCCCTGGGCTGCTGCAGGGTCTTCATTGCCTTGCCTCATACAGTCCAGAATGTAAATCACATTCCGTGGTGATGGTTGCCCAACCTTATGAATATATTCAAAATCATTGATTTATATACATTAAAATGGTGAATTTTGTGGTATGTGAATTATATGTAAAAAATAAAAAGATGCTTGGCAGCCAACACAATAACAAATCATAAAAGTTTTTAAAATGTGAGTCAGATCCCACCATTCTCCTTAACCCTCTCTGGTGTCTTCACATCACAGTGCATCTGGAAAAACACATAGCCTTCTGGGTGTCCTAGGAAGCCCTAAGTGATTTAAGAAACTTCCTGGCCGGGCGCAGTGGCTCACGCTTGTAATCCCAGGACTTTGGGAGGCCAAGGGTGGGGGGGGAATCACCTGAGGTCAGGAGTTCGAGACCAGCCTGACCAACATGGTGAAACCCCGTCTCTACTAAAAATACGAAAATTAGCTGGGCGTGGTGGCAGGTGCCTGTAACCCCAACTACTTAGGAGGTTGAGGCAAGAGAATTGCTTGAACCTGGGAGGGAGGTTGCAGTGAGCTGAGATCACACCACTGCACTCTAGCCTGGGCGACAGAGTGAGACGCCATCTCAAAAAAAAGAAACTTCCTGTCCAGCCACTAGCTGACCACCAAGCTAACTGGAGAGAGACTTACGTGACCACACATGAAAAACAATACAGACATTACAGAATTAATCCAGGAAATTCACTAAAGCCAGTTACCTGCCTCCTTGACTAGCCTTCTCTCCTTCACTCAGTCGGTGCCAGTCATTCCCTGAACACACCATATAACCTCCCAGGTCGGAACGTCTGCCTTTACTCCACTTTGTGTCTCAAATACTCTGCTCACTTCTGGAGGGCTGGCTCCTTTGCATCATTTAGATCTCAGCCAAAATATCATTTTCTTAGAAAGGCCTTCCCTGACCAATTAGAATAAGTTAGCACCTTTCTAAGCGGCTTTCAGTAACATCACCAAGTCCATTTCTTGCTAGCACTTAACCCTGTCTGAAATCATCTGACACATGACTTGGCATGTGCTCTTGGCGGGAGTGGGCTCCATGCTGGGCTTCTTCACAGCTCAGTCTCTAAGACCCAGCACATGCCCTGGCAAGAAACAGTTGATAAATGGGCTTCTTTTCTGGATAAATCCATCATAAAAACTTGCTTCTCCTCCACACAGTCACCTATACCAGCATGGCAGTGGGACTGGGTAAAACTAGAAAGAGTGGAGAGCTATCTATTCTACTCTTGTTAACTCCACCACTACTGGAAAGAGTTTTCTGAGCCCAGTTATGGGATCCAAATTGCAAAGGGCAAACCTTTTTCATTTGGAAAATATTTAAATCTTCCAGGGAGTGAACATTTTAAAAACGCTTTCCTAGGAACAATTGTTTTCCAACAATTGCAGCAAACATGACCTCCATCAGGTTATTCTATCCAAACACACGAAGCAAACAACAAATCTTTGAAGCTCGCAGGGATTCAAATGCCTTCTTTTGTAAGTTAAAACAAAAGGCAAAGGAGGTAGTGTTGACAATGAAAAGACAGAGGCCTAATTGAGAATGACTGAGATTAATGCTAATAATTAAAACAATAAAATATATATGGACACTGTCAATGAATGTCTGCCATGTGCCAAGTCTCATGCTCGGAAGTTCACCTAAGTTATCTCTTTATAAACCCATGGTGGCAGGCAGAATTCTAAGGTGGACCCCAAGATTCTCTGTCCCTGCATAATTCCAAGCAGTGTGGTTATGATGGATTTCACTCCAGTGACTGTGTTTCCTTAGATGGCACAGTTGACTTTGAGTAAGAAGATTAACTGGGTGGGTCTGACTTTATCACAAGAGCCCTTTAAATCTGAGTGTAGTGGTCAGAGACAGAGGAGTAAGAAATTTAAAATAAAAGATTTGACACAAGTGAAGCTGTCCATTGCTAGCTCTGAAGATGAAGGGGACCATGGGTCAGGGCACATGGGTGGCCTCTAACAGCTGAGAATGGCCCCTAGCTGACAGCCAGCAAGGAAACAGAGACCTCAGTCCTACAACCACAAAGAACTGAATTCTGCCAACAACCTGAATGAACTCGGAAGAGGATGCCGAGATTGAGGTGAGAATGCAGCCTAGCTAACACCTTGATTGCAGACTTGTAGGACCCTGCACAGAGAATCTAGCAATGTTATCCCCAGATTTTTGACCTATAGAGCATGAGCTAACAAAAGGGTCTTTTTTAAGCCACTAAGTTTATGGTAATTAGTTATTGCAATGGAAAACTAATTCAACCACAATAACCTTACAAAGTAAATTCAGTCTGATGACACATGGAGACTGGATAAGAGTAATGATGATGATGATGGTAGCTATGATGATGATGATAATCATGATGATGATGATGATGGTACAATTGACATCTACTCTGTGTTCCAGGCATTGTTTTCAGTGCTGTGCATATAATATGTCAGTTGATTCTCATACCAACATTTACAAGACAGGAACTAGTATTTTCATCTTTATTTGCAGCTGAAGATATTTAGGAACAGACACCTTAATTATGTCATTGGCCCAAGGTTACAGCATAGCCAAGATTCTAACTCAGAATCCATCTGGCCCTAGTTTTTTGCACTTAGCCAGTGCACAGCAACCCACTTGGTGCTGGCCCAGGCTTGGCAACAGGCAAGGGCTTCACAGAAAAGGAAGAAACTCAGGCTGGCAGCACCCACGAGGGCAGTCCAGGATATTGCAGCAGTGTAAACAGAGGCCAGGAAGCTTAAGGCTGGATGAAAGGTGTGGGAAATTGAAAGCTGGGTGGTTTGTTGGAATTTGCGCTTTAATAGTATTTCTTGATTGCAAATTACAGAAACTCAAAGTAAAATCACCTAAAATATAAAAGAAATTTGTCATTAAGATAAAAACAAGAACAAAACAAAACTAGAGCATCCCATGGTATTAGTGAGTTGAGTCTAAGGTATTAATAGAACCAGGTTTAAATGTAAAGAGCAGGAGCACCATCATCTCGGACAAATACTACCACTTTAAGATCCAGCTCCCTTTCTAACCTCATGCATTTCAAGGAAATCACTTCTCTTCTAACAACAAGCAGCCAGAAAGAGAACACAGTAAAGCACAGATAAGACAGCTCTGGCACAGAAAGAGGGGAGAAGTCTCTTGGGTAACCACCAAACTTCACACTTGTACAATGGGCCCCAGTAAAACAGGGGGTCCCAATAAGCACATTCCTTTCCCTTTCGGTGCACTAAATTAGGGAAGCTAAGAACAGACTCGGCGGAGGGGGTATGCTTGCAGCTGCAGGAAGATGTATGGGAACAGACACAAAAACTCTCCCTCCTAGATAAGCAAGACAAAGAGACAAAGACTAAAAGTTGGCCTATGTGGTCTTGAAATGGGGTGAGAGCTGATAAAAACTCTGCTCTATACAGATAGCACACCTGGTCCTAACTGAACCATTGGGCCCTAGAAGGGTAAGGCATCCTCTCCTCATGAGCCCCTGAACCCTGAAGTACCCTTAGTCTGTAAGAGAGCAGGCTCCTGACCTAACTGCCCAGAAGCCTCTCTCAGGTTTATTCTTTAAAATAAACCTGTCTTTGACTGTAGATCCGCTTTTTGTGTTTCTTTCTTCCTTCTTCAACTCTTATGCAAACACTATCTCTCTCCTTTTTGGTCCTTCCTGTGCAACATTCTCATTCTTCTCTCATTTCTATTTTTCTCTCTCCCTATCCTACTTCTCTCCTTCTTGTCGCCTGGCTTCTTTGGGTAACATTATTGCCAATAACTTCCCAAATATGTCATACTCTAAGCATGATGAATGATGGGGTCTCTGAGGCTCACGAGCAAATTCTCAGTGAAAGAGTCTGTTTTCCCAGCTTGGGTTAGGGGTCCATCCCCAGCCCAATGCTGTGTACATGAAGTCATATGGTCCTAACCTAGACACTCAGACTGCAACCATATGAATGAGGGAGAGAAGAAAAAAGTTAATAGAAGGATAATGAGAAGGCTACCCTGTAAGTGTAAACAACCGTGACATGGAGCAAGAGAAGGCTCTGGAGGTAAAGACAGAGGCAAAGTCATGAAATACTTTATGGGCTGGCTTACTTAATAACTCATTAATTGATGGACCCAAAGTCTTGGCAGAATCTTATTTGGACATTGACGTATTACCAAGAAATTCCTGGGCCCCTTAATTCATACAATTTGTAGGATCAGACACTCTTCTGTAATTAAGCCCAACTCTGAAATGAAGCTAGGCTTTGGAAATGCTGGAGGAACCAAAGCTGCAAATTCCAACACATGCCCTACTCCAGCCCTCCCTCCTGTTTAATTTGATTCGATGGGCTGATAGCTCCTGCAAATACATCCTGCTCCTCTTTGGCAAATTGCTAAATCCAAGAAGATGTAATCAACCACATTCTCACACATGAATAAATAAAAGCTGAGTGAGAGATTGAGGAAATTTAACACCTCTGTAAGTACCACTAAGGTTACTGCTTGGAGAATTAAAGTGCATTTCATGACAGCCACTGATTTAGGAAGGTGGTGATGTAGAAGAAGACAAAATGAAACTCAAAGTAATTTGAGAAGGGAGGAGACCAGAAGAAGATTGTTAGTACTCCAGGAAGCCTTGTATGTTAACGTTGAAACCAACAGACTGCAAAACCTGGAAGATCACGCCCATGCTGCAATTTGCCAATGCTATGTGTAACCCTTGCAATGATTTCCAGTGAAATGTGACATTTAAGACACACTTGCATGATGGAACCAGACCCCATATATGACCAATTTTAGATAGATTGTAGAAAATGCTCAGTTAAAGATAGCAGAGCAATTCCTGGATTTGATTCTTAGCTGTATCCCACGATAGTTGAGTGATCGTGCACAAGTCATTTCAGCTCTCTGAGACCCAGTTTCTATGTTCGGAGAAAAATTCCCAAGTAGTTGTGAATATTTAAAGGTCCGATGACAACCTTTGACACAAAGTAGATAATCAAATGTATGTCAGCTTTGCTATCTTCCATTTCACTTTCAATCACGGCCTTTGAGGCACTCAGACAGTATTTAAATATTGATTCTGCTACCTATTTTATTACCCTGGAAATGCTCTAGGTCTAAAGGAAACTTTGCAGCTTGCGTCTAATGCATCATTTCCAGATGGGTTGGGAAACACTGCAGGAACGCTATCTTCACTACCAACTCCTCATGCCACTAAATTTTGACACACAGCTTGGGAGGATGGCATATCCATAGGCCTGTGCCATGATTCTTTTTTTTTTTTTTTTTTTTTGAGACGGAGTTTTGCTCTTGTTGCCCAGGTTGGAGTGCAATGGCACGATCTCAGCTCACTGCAACCTCTGCCTCCAGGGTTCAAGTGCATCTCCTGCCTCAGCCTCCCGAGTAGCTGGGATTACAGGCATGCGCCACCATGCCCAGCTAACTTTGTATTTTTAGTAGAGACTGGATTTCTCCATGTTGGTCAGGGTGGTCTGGAACTCCTGACCTCAGGTGATCCACCTGCCTCAGTATCCCAAAGTGCTCGGATTACAGGCATGAGCCACCATGCCCGGCCCATGCCATGATTCTTAATTCCAGCTACCTCTATCCTCTGCCATGCTCACCTCCCCTGTGTAGTTATCCTAGAAAATAAAGCAGAATTTACTCCTGGAAGGCAACCAACACCTATCTGGATGCCAGAGACATCACAAGAAGCCAACGGGGCTTTGATAAGTCAGAGTGAGCCTCGCACCACCTCCCCATGAGGGCAGAGATATTTGTCACTTTTGTTCACTGTTGTATCCCAAGCACCTAACTTTGTGCCTGGCACCTAGTTGGCTCTCAGTAAATATTTATTGAACAAATGAAAGAATAAGTGAACTAGTCAATGAGAGTCTATTATGCACCTGGCATTGTATTAGGGATTTTATGTATGTTAACTCCTTTAATTCTCAAAACAACCCAATGAGCTAGCTACAATTTTTTTTTTTCTTTTTGAGACAGAGTCTTGTTCTCTCACCCAGGCTGGAGTGCAGTGGCTCGAACTTGGCTCACTGCAGCCTCTGCCTCCCGGGTTCCAGTGATTCTCCTGCCTCAGCCTCCTGGGTAGCTGGGATTACAGGCACACGCCACCATGCCTGGCTAATTTTTGTATTTTTAGTAGAGATGGGGTTTCACCATGTTGACCAGGCTGGTCTCAAACTCCTGACCCCAGGTGATCTGCCTGCCTCAGCCTTCCAAAGTGCTGAGATTACAGGTGTGAGCCACCGTGCCCAGCCTAGCTAGCTAGCTACAATTCTTATAACCATTTTACAGATGAGAAAATAGCCTTAGAAATGTTAAATAAGTTGCCCAAGGTCACATAGCTGGAAAATTGTCAGAGCTCCTTCCATTGTTTTCATGTTTTTGAGTACAATGTAAAATTCCTGATACCTTATAAAGGTGTTATGCAATGGAATTATTTGAAATAATTTTGCTATAGTTATTATTATTTTTATTTACTTTGAGACGGAATTTCGCTCTTGTTGCCCAGGCTGGAGTGCAATGGTGCGGTATCGGCTCACTGCAACCTCTGTCTCCCAGGTTCTCCTACAGTTATTATTATCTATTGCCTACTTTCGTCCTTAGAAAAACACTCATTGGGCTGGGCACAGTAGCTCACACCTGTTATCCCAGAACTTTGGGAGGCCGAGGCGGGCAGATCATCTGAGGTCAGGAGTTCAACACCAGCCTAGTTAACATGGTGAAACCCCGTCTCCACTAAACACACAAAAATTAGCCAGGTGTGCTGGCGGGCACTTGTAATCCTAGCTACTCAGGAGGCTGAGGCAGGAAAATCACTTGAACTGGGGAGGCAGAGGTTGCAGTGAGCTGAGATGGTGCCACTGCACTCCAGCCTGGGCGACAAGAGCGAGACTCCGTCTAAATTAAAGAACAAAACAAAACAAAACAAAAAAACACTGAGTGGTAGAAGGGTAATGGATTATTCTTATTTTTTGCAGAAATGAAACTGCAAGTGGAATTGGACTAACTTACTGAAAACTGTATCAAGCATTATACCGTCAAGGGCATCTAGGTAGATCAAGGATATTTTAATTTGCTTAGGAACTTATTCCTCTGCACAACCACTTAACAGCAACGAAATTTCTTCTCAGGCAGGAAGTAAATTTAGCTCATTCTTTTGGGTTGCATTAGTGGGAAAGTAATATCTATTTGAGTCATGTCGAATGGCAAGTACCTCATATGTGGGTAAGTGAGAGTTGCTGACCTGTGAGGTGGTTAATGCATCTGCTTGCTGGTATCTAATAGCTTTTTACTATTCAATCAACAGACACATATTGAACACCTACTGTCCATAGGACACTGTGCAGGGAATTATGGAGGTGGGGTGGGTAGAAGGCAACCCTGTGTAGGAATTGGAGGGATGCTCATCCAGGGACCACTTGTGATGTGCTGGCAACCTTCATACCTTGCCTTATCTGATCATTAAAACGGCTTCAAAAGATTGACAATATTTATGCTTAGAGGTGTCAATGCACCTGCCCAGGGTCACACAACTGGTAAGCAGCAGAGTTGCAATTTGAACCTAGAGCTCTCTGATTCCAGAGCTTAAGTTCAACATCTGTACTACACCACTTCTATCATTTAGTTTTACAATAATCTATATCCTCTTTCTGGACTATGTAAGTGATAGGAACCTAAATTCATAGATACACTAAAAATATAAATTCCATTACTATTTCATTCACTGCTGTATCTCCAGTACCTAGGACAATGCCAGGCACATAGTAGGTACCAAATGAATATTTATCGAATGAATGAATGAATAATTGAATTATTTTTTAATCTGAATCCCCAGGGCTTATCATGATACCTGACATTACATTTCTGTGAAACAGAGCAATGTTTATGTTCATTTATAGGCACTTTGCCTAAATCCTGTGGAGTAGACTTCATTTTCCTAGTTTTATAGATAAGCACATAAATCTCTGAGAGAATAAGGAGGTAGCTCTGGGTTTAATGAATTTTAGACAGAGAGGCTACCTCTGTTCACTTCCGTTCTACCATGATATTTTACCCAAAGAAACAGTGGCAATCTTCAAATATTTTTGAGGAGGAATAAGACAATAAAATCCCCATTGCAGAAGGAACCCTAGCAGCAGTGGGCAAAAGCCTTCAGGATGGGAAGACAGTAGAAAGGAGAAAGAGAACTATCTGATTAATATCCCAGCTCAATTCTGGAAACTGACTATGAGATTTAGCTCTAATAATGTTGAGCCCATTCTACAGATGAGCAACTGGAGGCTTACAAAGGTTCAATAATTTGCCCAAACTTACAAAACTAGGAAGTGGCAGAGTCAGGATTTGGATTCCCACATGTGAGATCTGATGAGTCTCTAGTCTCACTACTGACACTATCAAAAAGGGAAAGAAAATGTGAGGTGGAATTATGCCCAATGCTTCCTGGAGGAGGTGACAGGTGACTCTCGTTTGGAAAGCAGAGAAGGTGACAAGGAGGGAATTCTAGACAGAGAAACTGCCAAGGTTTGTGGTCAAAAAAGGAAGCATATGTAGGGCCCAGAGGGGCTTCAGTCTGATGGGAGCAGAGTAAAAAATAGAAAATTAAAAGTTAATCCTTTTCTTATCCCTGTATGAAGATTATATTGGAATCCTCACCATGTAAGACAAGAGTGCCTCATGGAAACAGCAATGGCTTTGGTGTCAGAGACTTGTCCTCAGATCCTGATTCCCAACTTAACAGCTGTGTGTCTTTGGATAAATGACTTAATCTCCCCAACCTCAATTTTGTAGCAAGGTAAAGTATCTAATGGTTTGATGTACACAGTAAGTACTCAACAATTGTTCATTTCCCTTTATCCCTTCCTTTCACTGATGGACATGAGGGTAGAAATGCCTAGCAATTACCCTTGCATACAGATTCTAAGCTTTTAGAATAATATATTGACTTCATGCTCTAGATATTATCATTCTTGGATTGTGCATGTGTGCCCATCCTTTACCAAAAAAAGGAGGAAGATCAATGGCAACGAGCATTCACTGAGCCTTCAGATGCCAGGTGCTCAGGAAAGCTAGTGCTTAGCAGAGAAGGTGGGTGTCCTAGATGTCATTGTGCAGATTCAACCACTGATGAAGGACTGAGGCCCCTGGTCCTCCTACACCCCCTGGAATCTCAGAACTGGTCAGGGTCAGAGACCAGATAGTTCAGAGTTCTGAAACTTTATGATGATTTATCCTCCATATTTATTCACCACCTGAGCCAACAATGACTATCTTTCATGAACTTGAATTATAGTTTGACATAAAATATTTTTGTATTTATTTTTAAAAGAAAACTTTATATCACTTGCTATAAATAGAAGGAAATTATAAAAATTAGTAAAATGAAAAAAGAGAATAAAAAGAGCCTAGGTCTTGCTCTTTTTTTAAGAAAGAAAAAGAGAGACAGAGAGAGAAAGGAAGTGAGGGAGAGAAGGAAAGAGAAAAGAAGGAAGGAAGGAAAATGGAAAGGAGGAGGTAGTAAAGGCAACTAGTAGATGATAGAGAGGTGTTAAAAAATATTCTGTCCCTAAAATAAGATTTTCTGTTTTTACCCAGAAAGATCAAAAGAATGAAAAGGCAAAAACCTTCATCCTGTGTGATTCAGTGTTATACAGTGTCCTGTTTCTCCATTTACTTTCTAAAAACATCTCATGAACAAAATCTATGTTTGGGAAAATGCAGACCCAGACACACATTTTGCACATGGGAGACTGAGGTCAGGTTTGAGGATCTCCAATTCAAGTCCAGCTGCACAGAAATGAGCTGATGTCCTCTCTGCTCCCTTTCCAAGTAAGCACAGAAGCCTAAGGGATACTTCTCTTATTTCTGCCTGTGTCATCCCATAATTATTTACTGGCAGCTCTGGAGCCTTGAGGTAAAAGTCTTTTCATTATTTATAGAAGCACAGTTTTTATTATAAAGGTAACATAACCACAGCACCTCACTTGACCAAAAAAAAAAAAAAAAAAAAGATGAAAAAGCTACCCACGATTCCACTGCTCTGGCTCATTGGTATATTTTCAGTCAGCATTTCTTTTACGCATTTATTTACATAAGTGCAACCACAATATACATACCTTTTTTTAGCATCTTGAATGGTCTTGTCCAATCTCCTGATATAATTTGTGCCTGTTCATAGCAAAAGCCTTGGGAAAGAACTGAGTTTCCTCTGTGATTACTTTCCTGTCTGTCCCTCAGTTCTTTCATTTGCAAAACGTGAGAAATACTATCATACTTGCACCCCAGGCAGTTGTAAGGGTTCTCAGAGAGAGAGTATATGTGAAATACTTGGAAGGATCTGACTTGTACCTACCTTTTGCACATCATCCCCTGCAGTTTCTTCCTATTTGTAGGCCTGTTGTTCAGTGTCATCATTCTGCAAAACTCCTATCTATTTGTCAAAGCCCTATTCAGATGTGCTCTCTTACAGGAAACCTTCCCTTCTTCCTGAAATGCTCTCCTATATTATGCCTGAAGCCTATCCATGCATCTAATGTGTTTAGCATATGGACTCTAAATATGCAAGTGTGATACAAATACATTCATTGGTCAAAAAATTACAGATGAAGTTAAAACTTCTGAAAGTTTTAACCACCCTTCTCCATGCCCACCAAGAAAATATCTTAGTTGTTTCCACTACTCAACTTCCAGGTTAACCACCAAGTTGACACAGATTTATAATGTCTCTCACACAACTGTGTCACACTCAACGTATCATTTTCCCATTCCGTGTATGTCTCAGAAACCTAAGCATATTAGAACATTTAGATTATCTAATTCTATCTACTGCTTGTCACAATTTATTTAGCTACTTCTCAACATATATGCTGCTACATCCTTGTACATGCCTTCCTAGGCAATTTTCATTTGTTTGCTTATCCACTAGTTAGACCGTGAGTCCTTCGGGGATAGGATCTACATCTTATTTATCTCAGCAGTCCTTTAATTTAGCAGAGTGCCTGTTACAACAAAATGCCTAATAAGTAGTTGGTGAATAAATATTCACCAACTTATTAAATGAATAAGGAGAAAATCAAGGGACCCTTCCAGAATCTAGACACAGAAACGAGAAGGCTTTCCTGATCTTTCTTCCCAAAACATTAACCTTGAAGATTCGGAGCATGGTTCGTTTTCCACACGGGGCATGGCCAGGGGCCCTCAGTTATTTCAGAAGAGTACAGCTGCTTACAGAAAACAGACTGCCTGTCCCATTTACCTATTCTTGTGCAAGTGCCCAGAGCCCTTAGGCACAGGCAAAGGGGATTTAAATAAACCTAGGAAATAAATAAATAATTGCTTCGAAATAGCCAAATGGGATATTTCCAATAAACCATTTCCCTACATGAGAGAAGGAACATGAGGGGGAACAATGCCCAAAGCAGCAAATTTATGAAGAAGCTACAAAGTTAACAGAAATAGGAGGTTTGCAGAGAAATATGCTGCTTTAGCATCCCATCTTCAGGGTATTGCTGGAGTTTTCGTTTCTTTTATGAGGCAGTCATGAAGTTGGAAACATAAACAACACTTTAAATCATTATTTAGCAAGAGAGGAGCAATTTATTTGCTTAGACAAGCCTGATTGCTGCCATGATAATGTCCCTTGTTCATTTGTTCTCTCTCTCCAAGAAGCTGGAAATATTTGATAGATTGTTACAGTCTGTGCATTTACCATGGCACACCGTTATATCAGATTATTTAATGGAGGATTCCACTTCAGGGTTGAGACAGCACTTCCTGCCTTTATTTGTGCTCGCTCTTCAACTCCGTCTTTCCTAACCAGCTCTACTGATTTCTCAGCTCTCATCCCAGCATTACGTCCTCCAGAAAGTCCTCAGCACCATGGAGAAGTATATTGTATGGACTATCAGCACCATGCACTGCATGTGTGAGACTGTCAGCTACACAAGACTCTGAGTCTCACTTTTGGAATTCATAAAATAGGGAGAATACTGGCAGCCCCATCATAAAGTTCATGTAAAGATCAGACGTTTATAAAGTACTTGCCAATAGCCACTGCCCAAGAAATTACAGTCACAGTAATAATAATTGTTATTATACTTTTCAACACCTGATAGTCTCTCTATCAAAGACAAGCTGAGGTCTCTTGTCTCTATACCCACAGCATCCTGTGACTGCCTCATTGTGACTTTTATTATATTGCCTTGTTGTCATCTATATACCTGCATTTCCCCCTAGCTGTGCTCTTCCAGAGAGCCTACTTTCTCCATGAACTCCAACAAAATTCTGACCTTTAGTAATGTCTATGCATTTTCTCTTCTCTATTTTATTTTATCTGCACAATGAAGCTAGAGATTAAGCTGGGTAACTTTTTAACTTTCTTTAGATGCAAGAGAAAATGAAGTTCAAAGAGGCAGAGTGACTCATTAGGGTCCCCCAGGTTTGATGAAGTCCAAGTCCTGATTGAATCTCTCTACACCACAAAATAACCTTGTTATTATCCCTTAACACACTGGCCATCTTAACTCCTTGTTTGCTAAAAGGGCAAGAGAAAACCCTATTAAAAACTGAGAATATGGCCGGGTGCAGTGGCTCACGCCTGTAATCTCAGCACTTTCAGAGGTCGAGGTGGGCGGATCACCTGAGGTCAGGAGTTTGAGACCAGCCTGGCCAGCTGGCCAAGATGGTGAAACCCCATCTCTACTAAAAATATAAAAAAAATTAGCCGGGCGTGGCGGTGGGAGCCTGTAATCCCAGCTACTCGGGAGGCTGAGGCAGGAGAATCGCTTGAACCCAGGAGGCGGAGGATGCAGTGAGCCAAGATTGCGCCACTGCACTCCAGCCTGGGCAACAAGAACAAAACTCCCTCTTAAAAAAAAAAAAAAGACAGAATATTTCATTCAGCCTGATCGGAACAAAAAGGGAGAAATGAAGTTAGCAGTAACAAACACTTACGTATCACTTACCAGGTGCCAAGCACTGTTTTAAGCACTTGACGAATGTTAGCTCACTTAATCCTAATCAAAGCCCCAGGAGTGAGCACTATTATTATCCCTATAGTATAGAGGTGGAAACAGAGACACTAAACACTTTACCAAAGTTTACGCTGCCAGGAAGTGGCAGAGCTAGGATTCAAACCCAGGTGTCTGGATCCACAGCCTGTTCTATTAACTGCCATTAACATTACAACTCCATGAAATGTACATATCAAAAATATATATCTGCATGTAAGAGAAACACTTCCTAGCTCTCTCTTGGGTTTCTGAGAATTACAGCTACTATTCTGGGAAAGGGTACTGATGAAATTTTAGTCATTAGATACTTTTCTTCTTTTCATCAGAAAAGAATCCAGAATCCACATTAGTGGCTTCCAAAAGCTGATCCATGGACCTTTTTTAGTCTATAAGTATATATATATATATATATATATGATGAGATAGTATTCTCTTTCCAAGTAAGTATAGGAATAAGCACATAAATATCCTATTAAAGTTAGTTCACCACCACCACATCTCCAGTTGAAAATGAAAAGTGACTAGAGCTCTGCTTCCTTTGTATTAGCTTCTAGGGAAAGCTCAAGACCCTCTCTGGCCCACTCTGAATTTCCCAATTTAACACAATGAGCAAAACCAAGTGAGAGCTCAAATTCTAACCAGATTTGTTAAGCTATTTCATTTAATAGCAGCACTCCAATATCCTTTACTTGTCTTTCCACTCCCATATGCGCAGTCCCTGTGGTTCACCTGGGGCTGCACCTCTTCCAGTCCCACCAGAACTGGGCACAGGCTCCTGCCCCAGCCAATCAGCAGATTACTTCTACTCCCTGCCACGGTGATTGGCTGAAGAACAAGATCCAGCTGAATTACTTTGTTTAGAGGCAATAAAGAGACAGATGTTTGCTGGGACTGTTGGGAAAGAGGTATTTGTCTTCAGTGGAATGGCTTATGGCTAGGCCATAATCCCGGGTGTGCTGGTGTGTCCGGAATTGGTGGGTTCTTGATCTCACTGACTTCAAGAATGAAGCCGCAGACCCTCGCGGTGAGCGTTACAGTTCTGAAAGATGGTGTGTCCGGAGTTTGTTCCTTCTGATGTTTGGATGTGTTCGGAGTTTCTTCCTTCTGGTGGGTTTGTGGTCTCGCTGGCCTCAGGAGTGAAGCTGCAGACCTTTGCGGTGAGTGTTACAGTTACAGCTCATAAAGGCAGTGTGGACCCAAAGAGTGAGCAGCAACAAGATTTATTGCAAAGAGTGAAAGAACAAAGCTTCCACAGTGCAGAAGGGGACCCAAGCAGGTTGCCACTGCCAGCTGGGGCAGCCTGCTTTTATTCCCTTATCTGGCCCCACCCACATCCTGCCGATTGGTCCATTTTACAGAGAGCTGATTGGTCTGTTTTACAGAGAGCTGATTGGTTCGTTTTGACAGGGTGCTGATTGGTGCGTTTACAATCCCTGAGCTGGACACAAAAGTTCTCTAAGTCCCCACTAGATTAGCTAGACACAGAGCACTGATAAGTGCATTTACAAACCTTGAGCTAGACACAGGGTGCTGATTGGTGTGTTTACAAACCTTGAGCTAGACACAGAGTGCTGACTGGTGTATTTACAATCCCTTAGCTAGACATAAAGGTTCTCCAAATCCCCACTAGACTCAGGAGCCCAGCTGGCTTCACCTAGTGGATCCTGCACCGGGGCCACAGGCTGAGCTGCCCGCCAGTCCCACGCCGTGCGCCTGCACACCTCAGCTGTTGGGCAGTCGACGGGACTGGGCACCGCAGAGCAGGGGGCGGTGCTCGTTGGGGAGGCTTGGGCTGTGCAGGAGCCCACGGCTAGGGGGAGGCTCGGGCATGACGGGCTGCAGGTCCTGAGCCCTGCCCCGCAAAGAGGCAGCTGAGTCCTGGCAAGAATTCAAGCACAACGTTGGTGAGCTAGCACTGCTGGGGGACCCAGTGCACCCTCCGCAGCTCCTGGCCCAGGTACTAAGCCCCTCACTGCCTGGGGCCAGCGGCACCGGCCGGCCGCTCCAAGTGAAGGACCTGCCGAGCCCATGCCCACCCGGAACTTGCGCTGGCCCACGAGTGCACTGCACAGCCCCAGTTCCCACCCGTGCCTCTCCCTCCACACCTCCCCGCAAGCAGAGGGAGCCGGCTCCAGCCTCAGACAGCCCAGAGAAGGGCTCCCACAGTGCAGTGGCAGGCTGAAGGTCTCCTCAAGCATGGTCAGAGCGGACGCCGAGGCCGAGGAGGCACTGAGCGCGAGCGAGGGTCACCAGCACGTTGTCACCTCTCACTGGTAGCAGTCTTGCCTCCAGGGGAAGAGAGTCTGACAGAGAATGGAGACTACATGGAGAAAAGCAGAGCCAAGGGACAAGGAGACAAACAGATTCCTGACAACATCACTTGAGCCTCTGGACTCAACCTGGCTGGAAGGGTCTTCAGCAATTCTTTAATGAAGAAAAACGGAAAGGCCAACCCCATGGAATATCTTCTATAAATGGGACATGTATTTAGCCCTAAGTTAATGAACTAGGAAATAGTGTGTCGTTATTATTTTATACTGTGGGGTCATAATGTATTTTAAATATTTCATAGTCTTA
This sequence comes from Homo sapiens, assembly GCF_000001405.40. Classification (NCBI taxonomy): domain Eukaryota; kingdom Metazoa; phylum Chordata; class Mammalia; order Primates; family Hominidae; genus Homo; species Homo sapiens. Next base: position 132,250,519 of record NC_000008.11, read on the forward strand.
ATTTTCTGGGTCAGGCTAAAACAAGGCTAAAGCTACCTTAAAATACAGAGTCGAATTTTGTGGGTCTCAGTGGCCTAGTTGTACAGCACATGAACCGATTATAAAAACAATCTCTCAGGAGACTTTTGGCTCATCTGTGGACCATTTCTCTATTTCCAAGTGGATTGGGTGGACCTCGGGTTGAGACACTGGTGTCTCACAGGATGCATGGGCTCCTCCCCCAGCTCACTGGGCACTCTGTCATGGGCTGGCTTCAACCTGGCAAAACGTAATGGCTGCCCTTAAGGTACTCAAAGAGGGTGATCTCAAGCTCTCCCCTACCCACTATCTCCCAAAATTTTGAAAGAAGGAAACTGTATTGAGGAAGGATTTTGTGAAGTGCAGTTCATCAACTCTCCCCAGTAGTCAAAGATCGACCTCTTAGACCAGATAAGATCATTAGAAAGACATGCATTTGTGGCTGGGCACCATGGCTTATGCCTGTAATACCAGTACTTTGGGAGGTCGAGGTGGGCAGGCAGATGGATCATTTGAGCTCAAGTGTTTGATACCAGCCTGGGCAACATGGTGAAACCCTGTCTCTACCAAAAATACAAAAAATTAGCTGGTGTGGTGGTATGCATATGTGGTCCCAGCTACTCAGTAGGTTGAGATGGGAGGATTACTTGAGCCTGGGAGGTGGAGGAGGCAGTGAGCCATGAGTGCACCACTGCACTCCAATCTGGATGACAGAGTGAGACTCTGAAGAAAAAAAAAGGCATGCTTTTGTATTGCCCTCCAAAAAAGCTGCCTTCATTGAACTGCAAGAAGGGGAGCAGCATACAATGAAGGTCTGGATCAGGAAAAGCTGTAAAAAGATCCATTCACTGTGAGGATGACCCCGTTGAAGATGCTGTGGAAGATACTACTCCTCCTGATATCATTTTAAAAGAGAACTCCTGGGAAAACTTCTGAATGGTTACGGTTTTACTGAGCAATGGGATGCTTTGTTTTTGTGGTCTCTTCCAAACATGATACTTTGTGTTTCTGATGTGTTCCTGTTGTTGTGTTGCCAGCTTAGGCAGAGAGCTTGGCTGAGCCACCTGCAGAGAAAGTGTGTTGGTCATGGGAGGCTCACTCCTGCTCCATTTAGGTTTCCATTTTAGTTTTCCTTTCAGGCTTGGCTCCCACCATTAATGTTATGTATCACTATAGGCTACTCAAGTTCTTTCTGGAAGAAGGCCTCCTATAAAACAGCTCAGTCAGAGAATGCTTAAAAACATAGTTATAGAGAGACAGCTGGGCCCTGTGGGCTAGTGACAAGCAAACATCCCTCTCGGAGAATTTTATTTCTATCTGGACCTTTATATGCCCCACTATGATCTGAAGGGTTATCATCACTATATCTAATACAAGTGGGAAGGACAGATGAAAGTATTCTTCTCTTAAGTCCATTAGTCCTTTCTCATCTTCTGGATCCTTCTTAGACAATTCTGTAGAATCTTTGTGTTGGTGTGGATCTCAGAGTTAGCTTGCCCTTTGTTTTTCTCCTGATGGGGAGGATCATGGCCACTATGTATGATCTCAGTTGGCATCATCTGCTGTTTCCATCATGAAGCCTCTGGGGATGCCCTTCAGCACACTCTTATTGGACAGGCCTGTGTCCGGAATTGGTTCCTTCTGGTCGGTTCTTGGTCTCACTGACTTCAAGAATGAAGCTGTGGACCCTCATGGTGAGTGCTACAGTTCTTAAAGATGGTGTGTCCAGAGTTTGTTCCTTCAGATGTTCAGATGTGTCCGGAGTTTCTTCCTTCCAGTGGGTCATGGTCTCACTGACTTCAGGAGTGAAGCCGCAGACCTTTGCAGTGAGTGTTACAGCTCTTAAAGGTGGTGCATCCGGAGTTGTTTGTTCCTCCCGGTGGGTTCATAGTCTCGCTAACTTCAGGACAGAAGCTGCAGACCCTCGCAGTGAGTGTTACAGCTCATAAAGGTAGTGAGGACCCAAAGAGTGAGCAGCAGCAAGATATACTGTGAAGAGCAAAAGAACAAAGCTTCCACAGCACGGAAGGGGACCCAAGCCAGTTGCTGCTGCTGGATTGGGTGGCCAGCTTTTATTCCCTTATTTGGCCCCACCTACATCCTGCTGATTGGTCCATTTTACAGAGTGCTGATTGGCCCATTTACAATCCTTTAGCTACACACAGAGTGCTGATTGGTGCATTTTTACGGAGTGCTGACTTGTGCATTTACAATCCTTTAACTAGACACAGAGCGCTGATTGGTGCGTTTACAATCCTTTAGCTAGACAGAAAAATTCTCCAGGTCCCCACTCGACCCAGGAAGACCAGCTGGCTTCACCTCTCAGGCCTAGTGTTCTTCTATCCATCACAGCATATAGACATTCAGAGAGTGACACTACTCTGGGTAAAACACTGCCCTCCTTCTCACTTTTGCCTTCATTCCTAGCTGTTAAGAGGTCAGCCAATCCATTTCACCACACTCATCAGTAGAACATTTCCACCATTTCTGGAAAAGCACCTTTCCACTTCTTCAGAGAGGATTTTACAACGGCACTTCTGCATCCCTTTTCAAAATCTACCTACCTATCCATTCAAACTTGGGCATATATTTATGGAAGGTTTCTGTGTGTCAGGAACTGTGCAAGGGAGATTTAAAACCCCACTTACTCCCCAGGAGTTTGACTTACAGCAGAAAATGAGGTTCGTTTCCAAAAGGCAAGGACAGAAAGACTTGGAGATTAGATGTGGGCACTACTCCTGGCTCTACATCTAGCTATCAACTGTAGACAGGTCACACTTTCTTGGCTTCAGTGACTGAGTCTATAAAATGAGGGTAATAATGATTCCTTCACTGAGTTAAGATAAACTAACATTACTAATCACTTACTATGTGCCAAGTACTGGTATGTAGGTACTGATGTTTTCCCCATATTACAAAAGAAGAAACCAAGGCGCAGAGGAGACAGGCCCAAAGTCATGACACCAATAAATGTGAGCTCGAGGATTTGCACTTAAGGCTATGTGACTCCAGAAATAATCTACTCTCCTGAAGCTCCTGGAACACAGTGGCCCTCAAGCACATGTGTTTGCATTTTCCCTCTGCTTCGTTTTCCTCTGCTTTATACATTTATTCTCTTCCCCTCTCCTCTCCTCAGTGTGCTTAGAGAAAAGGTCTATGAAAGACACATTGCATGTTTCTAACCATTCAGTTTTCTCTTGGATTCGTCTTCACCGGTACTAATAGCACACAGCACTCAGAGAACCCAACCATGATCGATTTTACAGTGACCTGGAAATTTCCTCCATCTATTCCTGGCCCTGGGGCAGAACCTCACAAAAATTTACTGTAGAAGAAAAGCTTCTCCTCTACTCTGAAAGCCCCTGGAAAATCCCATAGGCTTCATCTGTTACCCACATTCTAAAGTTCAAGTGCATAAACAGCCCAGGTGGAGAAAGCAGATGGGAGCTATTATCTATTAAGAAGATGTAGGAGGTGGGCTTTGGAAGGCCAAAGCACCTGAATCTTTAGGACTCTGCTACTAAGTGTGACTCAGTGATCAACATCACCTTGGAACTTGTTAAAAATTCAGACTCTCAGGACTTACCCTAGACCGACTGATTTCGAATCTGCATTTAAAACTGACTCATGTGCCCATGGAAGTGTGAGCACTGTTGCTTTAGGAAGAGGTAGGAGGATGTGTGAAACGAGCAGGAAAGTGCATGTTCTCCCTATAAACTGGTGATAGAGATAGATGTGCTCGACTTTACACAAATGAGTGATTGGTGAGTAAACAGTACAGAAATTACAGGGGACTTTAAGAAACATTAACAATTTAAAAATACTGCTTGCATAGACAAATTAAAAACACAGGCAAGGCATAAACTGAAGTATATCAACCTGCACCCTGAGGATGCTACTAACATGATCATGAAACTGTTGGATATATTAATGTGTTTGTCATATGATATTTTGTTTATATGTGTTTGTCTCTTCAAGATTGTGGATCTCCTTGAGGTAAAAGACTATATTATTTCTCTTTGCATTCCTAAAGGCTGATAATAAATGTTTTAATAATGAATGAGGCCATGTATGGTGGCTCATGCCTGTAATCTCGGTACGTTGAGAGGCCAAGGCAGGATCACTTGAGGTCAGGAGTTTGAGACCAGCCTGGCCAACATAGTGAAACCCCATCTCTACTAAAAATACAAAAATTAGCTGGGCGTGGTGGCATGTGCATTCAGTCTCAGCTATTCAGGAGGCTGAGGCAGGAGAATCACTTGAACTGGGGAGACAGAGGTTGCAATGGGCAGAGATTGCACCATTGCACTCCAGCCTGGGTGACAATGAGACTGTCTCAAAATAATAATAATTAATAAAAAAGACTGGTTCAGCAATGGTGAAGTAAGGACCTCCTAAAGTCCTCTCTTCCATAATAGCAACAGAAAGCATAATAAACTTTTTCAGATCTCTAAAAGTTAACCACAATTTGGAACAAGCTGACTGTTTTTTTTTCTTTTTAAATTGGCTGAATTGGTAAGAACAATGAGCTTTGTTGCATTTTAATTTGCTTAATCCTATTCCTCCAATGCCCCCTCCCCCCCACCTCATGATAGCCTTAAAAACCAATGGCTCCAAAAATCACAGTGAAAATAAGCAGCCTATAAGTCTTTGGAGGAGACAGAATGGAGCTCCTCCAAAGCCCACTTCCCAGGTAGCTGTCATCAGTTGGTCTGTCTGGTGATTCCCTGAAAAAATTTCACTTGCAGGACTTGTCTATATTTGACCTGACTCAGAACTTTCCCAAAGAGGGCAGACTTTTCCCTCAGAGAAGTTTGTTGAAAACAAGCAGTGGCAATTGTTAAACACTGCAGGTGCCTGAGCTAGCAATATGAGTTGGGGAAAATAAGAAGTTAAGCAAAAAACTTAAAAGGAAAATCTGTGCTACAGGGATTTTCCTACATATTCCTGGGAACCTAGAAAACCAAGTGCATATCTTGTCTAGGGCTGGGCACATGCCCAGAGATAAGTGCATACCCAATAAAGACCCGAGAGAGCCCTAAGCTCTCACCTTTTGATGATTTTAAGACCCTAAGTAAGATGTGAAGACAAAGATGAGTTATAAACTAGCTGCCTGAGCATTAAAGTTATGCCCTGTCATGCACACAGAGACCTTTATCAATGACTGAAAGACTTATTGGTCCCAGGAATTTAAGACAATTCCTGTCCAATAATTAGCTGACCATTAAACTAACTGAACACAGACTTAAGTGGGCACACATGAAAAGGAATACAGACCTTACAGTGTTAATTCAGAAAATTCATTTAAAAATTACATAAACAACGAACCCTGGGGGATCTAATTTCTGAAGTTGACACATTTTATTTAAAATGTCCAGTTTCAAAAACAATGAGCTATGCAAAGAACAAAATGTATTACCTATACCCAAGAAAAAGAAAATAAACAAACCAAAAAAACAGTCAACAGAAAATTGTCAAAAAAAATTGTCTGTGAGGAAGCCCAGATGTAGAACTTTCTAGACATAGATTTTATGCCTACTATCTTACATATGTCCAAAACACTAAAGGAAACCACATACAAGAACTAAAGAAAATATGAAAACAATGTCATACCAAATAGGTTATATTGACAAAGACAGAATCTATATGTAAAAAATAAAATAAAAAATAAAGTGAAATGAAAAATTCATGAGAAGTCAACATTATGCTTGAGCTGGAAGAATAAAAATAAGCCAACTTGAAGATAAGTCAATTGAGATTATTCAAATTGAGGAATAAAAAGAAAAAAAGAATAAAGAAAAACGAATAGAGCCCTAGAGACCTGAGAGACACCATCAGTGTAGCAACATATGCACATGGAAGTTCCAGAGGGGAGAGGAGATAGAGGAAGGGTCAAAAGTATTTGAAGAAATATGGCTGAAAACTTCCAAAATTTGATGAAAAATATTCATCTAAACACCCAAGAAAGTTAACTAAATCCAAGTAGATAAACTTAGTGAATCAGAGCTAGATACCACATAATAAAACTCTCAATAGGCAGAAACTGAGAATTTTGAAAGCAGCAAGAGAGAAACAACTAATCATATATAAGTGGTCCTCAATAAGATTAACAGTTGATTACTTATCAGAAACCAAGGAGGCCAGAAGAGTGTAGGATGACATATTTAAAGTGCTGAAAGAAAAAATACTGTAAACCAAGAATTCTACATTTAGGAAAACTATTCTTCAAAAATGAAAGAGAAATTAGGGCATTTCCAGATTTAAAAACAAAACAAACAAACAAACAAAAAATTTGCTGCTTGCAGACCTTCACTACAAGAAATATTGAAAGGAGTCTTTTAGGATGAAAGGAAAGGAAATTAGACAGTAAATCAAATCCACATAAGGAAATAATGACATCGGTGAAGGTAACTACATAGTTTACATATACAAGATATTAGAAATGTATTTTTTGTTTGTAGCTTTTTTTCTATCTGATTTAAAAGACAACCCATGAAGAAATAATTATAAATGTTTGTGAGCATGCAATGTATAAAGACACAGTTTTTATGATAATGGTAGCACAAAGAAGAGAAGAGAGAATGGAGCTATATAGGAGCAAAATTTTTTTGTAAACTATTAAAATGAAATTGATATTAATCTGAACTAGACTATGATAAATTAAAAGAATTAATTTTAATCCCCAGAAAACAACTTTAAAAAGTAGTTTAAAGAAAGGAGAATTAAAGCAGTGCACTAGACAATCTATTTAATACAAAAATAGACAGTAATGAAAGAATGGAGGACCAACGAAGATGTTAGACATATAGAAAACAAATAGCAAAAAGACAGATGTAAGTTTTATAATATCAGTTATTACATTAAATCTAAATTGATTAAACACTCCAATCAAAAAGAAGAATTTAGAAAAATAAGAGACACAGTTTAGGCCGGGCGCGGTGGCTCATGCCTGTAATCCCAGTACTTTGGGAGGCTGAGGCAGGCAGATCATGAAGTCAGGAGATTGAGACCATCCTGTCCAACATGGTGAAACCCCATCTCTACTAAAAAAAATACAAAAATTAGCTGGGTGTGGTGGCACGCACCTGTAGTCCCAGCTACTCAGGAGGCTGAGACAGGAGAATCTCTTGAACCCAGGAGGTGGAGGTTGCAGTGAGCTGAGAGCATGCCACTGTCCTCCAGCCTGGTGATAGAGTGAGACTCCAGCTCAAAAAAAAAAAAAAAAAAAAAGAGAGAGAGAGACAGTTTAGATTTAAAAACATAAAAAGATTAAATATAAACTATAGAAAAACATGTACCATACAAATGGTAACCAATAGAGAGCTGGGGTGGCCATAATAATATCAAACAAAATAGACTTAAATACACAAATTGTTACACCAAAGGGCATTTTATGATGGTAACAGTCAATCCATTAGAAAGGCATAACAATTATAAACATGTATGCAAGTGATAACAGAGCCCCAAAATACATCAAGTAAAAAGAATCAAATTCAAGGGAGAAATAAACAGTTTAAAAAGAATCACTGGAGATTTCAATATCTCATATTTAATAATGAATAGAATTACTAGGCAGAAATCGATAATGAAACAAAAGACTTATACAACAGTATAGTTAGACTAGACATAACAGACAACTATAGAACAATCCACCCAACAACAGCAGAATGCACATTCTTCTCAAGTACACATGAAACACTTCCCAGAATATAGTATATGTTGGACAATAAAACAGATTTCAAAAAGTGAAAATAATTGAAATAATACAATATGTGTTCTCTAATGACAACGTAATAAAATTAGTAATCAAAATTAGAATTTTGAGAAATTCATAAATATATGAAAATAATAATAATACATTCCTAAATCATCAAGGGGTCGGAAATAAAAATCACAAGGGAAATTAGAAAATACTTTGACATGAATGAAAACAAAAGCACAACATATCAAAACTTATGAGATACAGCAGAACAAGTGCTTAGAGAAAAATTTACAGTTGTAAATGTCTATATTCACAAAGAAGTATCTCAAATAAATTACCTAAACTTCCACCTTAAGAAACTGGAAAAAAAATAGCAAATGAACCGTAAAGTAGGCAGAAGAAGGAAAATAATGACTACAGCAGAAATAAATGAAATAGAGAACAGAAAAACAACAGAGAAATCAATAAAACCATAAATTTACTCTTTGAAAAGATCAACAAAATTCACAAGCCCTTAGCTAGAGTGACAAGGAAAAAGGAGAAGATGACTCAAGTTACTAAAATTTGGAATGAAATAGAGAACATTACTAGTGGTCTTAAAGAAATAAAGAGAATTATAAGAAGATGCTATGAATAATTGTATGTCAAAAAATTAGATAACCTAGATGAAATGGACAAGTTTCTAGGAAGACACAAAGTATTAAAACTGAGTTAAAAAGAAACAGAAAATTTGAATAGACTTTAGCAAATAAAACTATTGAATTAGTAACAATAAACCATCCTTGCCCCATGAAAAAGAGTATGATCAAATGCCTTCACTAGTGATTTCTACCAAACATTAAAAGAAGAATCAATACTAATACTTCAAAAATTATTCTCCACACCAGGAAAAAGAATATCTCCCAACTCATTTTATGAGGCTAGCACTATTCTAATAACAAAATCAGATAAAAATATCAGAATAAAAAAACTACAGACCAATATCCATTATGAATATAGATACAAAATGCCTTAACAAAATACTAGCAAACTAATTCAATAACAAATAAAAAAGTTTATACAACATGACCAAGTGAGATTTATCCCGGTAATGCAAAGTTGATTCTATGAAATCAATCAATGGAATACATCACATGTTAATAGAATAAGAAACATAAAACCTCCTCTTGAGTATTTCAATAAATAGAAAAAGCACTGACAAAACATACCACTTTTCATGAGAAAAATACTCAACAAATTAGAAATAGAAGGAAACGTCTTCAATCTGATAAAAGATATCTATTAAAAACCTACAGCTAACACAGTCCTTGGTAGTAAACGACTGAATTCTTTGCCCCACAAAATCAGGAACAAACAAAGCAAGGATGTCTGCTCTCACATTTCTATTCGACTTTGGACTAGAAGTTCTATTCAGGACAATGAGGCAAGAAAAATAAATAAAAGGCATCTGAACTACAAAAGAAGAATTAAACTATTTCTGTTTGCAACTGACATGATCTTTTATACAAATAATCTCAAGGAAGTCACTAAAAAACTATTAGAACTAATAAAACAGTTTAGTAAAGTTACAAGATACAAGGTCAATATTCAAAAATGAACTATAGTTCTATATGCTAGCAAGAAACATTCTGAAAAAATTAAATTAAGAATATAATTACATGTACAATAGTAACAAAAACATCCCCAAAGGAATAAATTTAGTACAAGACGTACAAGGCTTGTACCTGACAACTACAAAACATTGTTGACATTAACTTTTAAAAAGTTAAATAAATATTAAGACATCCTGTGTTCATAGACTAGAAGATTTAGCATTGTTAAGATGAAACTACTTCCCAAATTTATCTACAGAGTCAACATAATCAAATTCCTAGTTGTAGAATTTACAAAAATTGAAAACCATGATCAACTGGCTTCAATTCGATTTGTATTCTCAGTTTTCTGCCCAAACTACACAGATGGGTTTCAAATATAATGAGAAGGTTGTAGAAAATTCATGATAATGTTTTCTGTATTTTCTCTTCTATCTAAGCTTTCGGGCTAGAAGGGGTATGTCATTCCTACCCACAAGGAATATGAATATGTATTCATTCACCTAACAATTATTTACTAAACAAGGTTCTACGTGTCAAACTTTGTTCTATGAGCTGGGAACACAGTCATGAACACAGCAGAAAATAAATCTTTCTTCTTGAGGAGCTTACATTCCAGTGGGGATACAGGTAATTAAAAAAAATAATAATAAATACATAGTATGCCATATTGGGATAAGTTCTGTAGAGAACAATTAGGCTAGATAAGAAGAGGAAGAGAGGAAGAGAGTGTCTGGTAGATGGTGAAGGCATTGGGAGTGGGTGGCTGGGGTAGGCATTAGCTGAAAAATTGAAATTCATGGTGGTATTTTCTTGCTCTCCAATCTATTCCCATCCTTGCCAATACAGCAGCTGAAATTAAGTGTTCTCTGCTTGGAACCGCCTCAGTTTTCATTTATCAACTTCTGCTTTGATCCATCCAACACTCCATCCATCCATCCATCCATTATCCATCCATTTAATTATTAGTCCATCCAATCCTCAGTCCATCCAAACTTCCATCCAACCATCCATCCAAACATCCATCCATCCATCTGTGCATCCAACCATCATCCATCCATCCATCCAATCACATTTCATCCTCTTACTCATTCTTTTATTATTGAGATATAATTCATATAAAATAAAATTCCCTCTTTTAAAGTGTAAAATACAGTGGTTCACAAAGTTGAGCAACCATTACCACTATGTATTTTCAAAGCATTTTCATCACTCCAGAAAGAAACCCCATACCAATTCACTATGCTCAACAGCCCTAGTATTTAAGTCCCTACTTAGGAGGCCAGAGAAAGAAAAGAAACTGGGACTAAGAATATGCAGGCAATTCAGCTCTCTATCTGGCATTGAGAAAAGTAGGGCATTGGGTGGGATATCCTGAAACCAGGATCTGTTTGGATGTATTGGTTTCCTCTATGAAGACTGAGTTGCCTTCTTTTTGTTTTTTCATTGTCATGCTTCCTGGTGCAGCTGCCTTCATATGTGCCTGCCTCTCTACCCCAGTCAAGGCTGCGTGCCTCACCCAGTGGGGCTCTGCACTGCTAAATGAGCTTGCAGGATTCCACTCAGCTGTCCCATTCTCACTGTGCCAATGTGGCCTGAGTCTCTCATGCATCTTTTGTTCTCTGACTGGCTCACTTCCTCATCCTCAGCTCTGGGGAGCTTCCCACAATGGTGGGGAATGTTTTGAAGCTTGGAATAGAAAGGCAATATGCAGTCTTCCCTCGGCTGGCTGCAGGAAAGAGGCAGGTGGCAGAATGTGTGGGTGGCAAGCTCAGTGGGGACCAAGCTGGCAGGAGCAGACGTGACTGAGAGGACAAGGAGGAGCAACAGCAGAGACAGTCTGTGACAGAGGACTTTGAATTTTCTGCCCACACTGTGCATCTCCATGTTTTCAGCCTTCACCTGCGCAAACCCTGGATGCTGAGGCCAACACCCTGCTTGGGAATGAGGCTTCTCTGCGGGTTTGCATCTAGGCTATAGAATAAAATTATTGCGTGTAGTAACAAGGCTGGAACTACAGTGAGGTAAATGAGACACTCACTTTGGGCACAAAGTTTAAGAGGGTACTTGTGCACAAATGCTCATAACAGCATTAGTCATAATAGCACCAAAGTGGACAAAACCCAAACATCCATAAATGGATGAATGGATAAACAAAATGTGGTATGTCCATATGATGAATTCTTACTTGGCAATTAAAAAGAATAAAGTACTGATACATGCTACAATGTGGATGAACTTTGAAAACATTATCGTAAGTGAAAGAGGTGGGACACAAATGGACAATTTCATCATATTGTACCATATGATATGATAGCATCTATGCAAATGTCCATAATAGGCAAATCTACAGAGACCAAAAGTAGATTAGAGGTTACTTTATGACGCCACTAATTCAGGGGATGGAGGAGTGATACCCAAAGGGTATGGAGGTTCTTTTGGGGGTCATAAAATGTCTAAATTTGACTTTAGTTATGGTTACACAACTCTGTGAAGATAATTTTTAAAAACATTGAATTGTACACTTTAAATGGGTGAACTGTAAGGTATGTGAATTATATCTCAATAAAGATGTAAAAAACAAATGTAAAGATCTCAGCAATCAAGGTAAATAATATTTTAATGCAATAACATCTCGATGAAGGTGTCAGGGAGGGCTTTAATAAGCAAGAAACCTCTGAGCTGAGCGGTTCAGAATGACAAGGTTAGGGAAAAGGCATCACAGTTAGTGGAAATAGTTTGTATACAGGTAAAGAGGCAAGAAGGGGTAGGCCACAGTGAAGGGGTGGAATTTCTTACAGCAGTTTTTTTTTTTTTTTTACCATGATATACTCTTGAGGATGGAGACATGAGCTGAGGAGGGTGGGATCAAAAAACAGAAGGCACTTTGGGTCCCCTATGACACCATGACACTGTTACACCCGTCTTGGACAGACATAAGAGAAAAAGAAACATCTGTCTGCTTTGTTAGTTGGGTTTTCTGTTTTATATGTTGAAAACTAAGTCTAACTGAAACACCGCCACTCACCATTTACTGAGTTCTTACTATGTGACATTGATCGGCTAAATCCTTTAGATGAATTGACTCATCAGTGAGTCTATGAGTGGGTACAGCCATTGTTCTCATTTCAGTCAAGGGACCTGAAGCTCTGAGGAATTGAGCAACGGTCCCAGATTCCATGGTTACTGGGAGGTAGATCTGGAATTTAATCTCCATCTATCTGACCCGAAAGCCAAAACTCCCACCACTGCTCTGTAACTGTCTCCCACTGAGCGCAATTAAGCTGGCGTCACACACTCTTTCCTGTTGGCTGGTGCTGGCCTCACTGTAGTTTAGATGGTAACCTCGTGTCTGATTGCAGAAGACCACTCATCCTGGATGCTCCAGCTCTTACAGCTCTGTCCCTGGCAACTGCCTGGTAACCTATCCACTCCTAGGCAGTGATCTCAGACTCTATGTGCTTTCTTTGAGCCCCCTCTTAAGGGCTGACTTCCTGGAGCCTGAATCCCATCTCTGGGCCTGGGGCCCTGATTCCCCTCGACAGGCTTATCTGATGCTGACGGCTCCACCCTACAGCCCCATTTCTATCCAGTTCCCTGAAGTGTGGGCAAGCGCTGTCCCAAGGACACCAGTCCATCAGGCTACTGCTAAGGTTGCCTCCTGAGGCTGGGGCTGGATGAGCTGGTCCATTACTCAAAATGGCCAGAAGCAGATGAAGCCAGAGTCCACCTAAGCAGACTCTAAAATTTAAATACACCATAAGGAACAAAGAAAAACTTGTGGACCAAAGTCAAAAGAGATAAGTGACTGCAGAAACAAAGAATGATGGGGGAAGCAAAATCAAAAAGAAGTAAAACAACCCAGAACTTTTGCAGTGGGGATGTAGAGGCTCCTTCTTCATGAGTGGCTCAGGTTAGAACAGCAGCCTCAGTGCTTGGCCAGCCTGTGGGAACATCTATGACTTCATCTTGGGCTCCCAGTGTTGATCCTTCGCTCTGTCTCACTCCTTGGACACAGTGTATTCTTACTTGACTGAAGATCTCCAGCTCTTCGGGTCACCCTGAGCCACCTCTTGTCTCACCCTGTGACCCCAGCCTCTTTACTCCACCCAGTTCTCCTTATGTAACCTGAGAGCTTACTAGGTGTTAAGCACAAAGTCCAGCACCTTCATAGTAGCTAATGTAGCCCTCACTAGGATCCAACAGGGTAAATATAATCATCCCAGCCTTGGACACTGAGGTACAGTCCAGTGACTTGCTCAAGTTGACCCAGCTAGCAAGTGGTGAAATTGGGATTCAAATTCAGGTTTGTCTGCCTCTAAAACCTGTGCTTTTGATCATTAGGGAGTACATGCTATTTCATTTTAGTCTTCAGATCTCCCCCAGGCCAGCCACTGCATGACACACTTAGTTCCTGCCCACAGCTACTTGGCCACAGGTTGTTCAAAGGTCTGGGCTGGAATGGCCCCAGGTAACTGTTCACTACTGAGCTGTGCAGAATAGAAGCACAGCCCCATTTCACCAGCCCCCAGCTATCAGGAGGGGCCACGTATTGGGGTCATCTCCCCAAACCCTCCTGGCCATTTCTGGTTGTGAAAATACCTGGAGCTCACTAAGGCTGTTGTGCAGTGAGTGTAGTGGGCAGGCATGAGATGGGCCTATTGGGAGAATCAACAGGAAGAAATGGAACTTTCAGACAGACAGTGGCCTCCAGGCAGGGGTTCCTCCTTGAAATCCATATCAGAATCTTCTGTAGGACTTCATAAAACACGACATGTGCCAGGAGTCCCACCCTAGAAATTCAGATGCCATGCAGGTCTGGGCGAAGAGCATTTAAGTGAAAGGACAGCAGATCCCATTTGTCTGGCTTTAAATCCGTGCTCTATCTCTGTCTAGTGGAACAGCCTTGGGTAAGTTATCTCACTTATCTGTGCTCAGGTTCTTCATCTATATTTCAGGATAATAACTTACAGGGTTTTTGTGAGGGTTAAAGAAACTTAGAAAATAACCTGACCCTAAGTAAGCATGTAAGGGGGTGAGTTGTTATAATCACTTACTAGCTCTAGCTGTAAAATTCTTCATAAGTTAGTTGAGAACTATGGCAAAAGGAAAAAGCAGGCATAGTAGAAAAACCCAGGCTTGGGTTTAGACAGACCTGTGAGTTGTGTGACCTTGGGCAAGCCACTTAACCTCTCTGAGCCACAACTGTCCCACCTGTAAAATGGGAATAGCTAACATGTAGGGCTGCTAAAAGGACTGCTAAAAAGGTAATAAAGGTACAGGTCCTGGCATAGCACACAGCACATAGTAGGTGCTCAACAAATCACAGGTAATATTTTTAAGGCATTCTAGAATAGCAGCTTAGCTAATTTCAACTGGGCCTGGTGGTTTTAAAATTTGAGTAACCATTTATTCTCTTTGCCTAGATGAAATAGGTCCTCTGCATTTCCAAACAGGAAATTCATATTTGCTTGTAATGGCAAGGCCATCCACCAACAACCAGTATGCTTAGAACTTCAGGTGGGAAGTGTTAATGATACAACTTTAATTCCTTGGCAAAGAGTCTACCCATCACTTCCAGGTTTTCCCAGCACACTAAACCGCAAGGGAAGGAAAAACCACGGCATTATTCACAGAACCCACTGCTTCTACAAGGTTTGTTTCCTGATGTTTCTAGCTGCTCCTCCTAAGCCCTAGACAATGTCTGGGACACAGAGACAGTTGCTATGGAGATGGGGGTTTTCCCACAGGGACAGCCAATAATAACCTCTTATTCAGAGAGGCTTATGTGTTACACATTCTGCATCAGTATGGCAGATTTTAGCAGTGAAACACGTAAATTGTTCAAATTGACGTCATAGCACATCAAGGCTGGCCCCTGTGTCTACCACTCATATAGAACTAAGCTCATCCAGCTTTAAATGGCCTTATGTGTCAATCTGTCTTAAATACCCCATCCCTTTTTTCCTCCCTAGAACAAAGGGACGAATGAAACACCCATATACACACTTTTTGTCTGTGTGTTTTTCTCTCCATCTTCTGTCTTCATTTAAATGGTAAGCTCCTTGAACTTGGGGAATTCACTTTTCACTTCCCTCGCTTTCCTACAGTCCCCTGGTGGCAGGCAAGATAGAGCAGAGAGAGTTAGGCAGCCTCCTTCAGCTATCACATAGCAGCTGTGAACCACTGCCAGACAATTCATCTCTTAGAGCCATGGATTTCTCCTGTAAAAGGGGAGTTAAATGTAGTACTTCCCAAAGTGTAGTTAGGAATGAATGATACCATTTATGCAAAGTGCCTTTCAGTTAGTAAGACCTCATTCAATGCTGTCTCAAAATCATTATTTACAGTCAAAGCATTTGTTGATTGACTTGATTGGTAGACAGATTTCTCAGGATATGTTATTTGCAGAGGCAGAACAAAAAATTATCAAACAACGTAAATGATGGAAGACTAATAGTCTCTCGGCCACCTCAGGGGATTGAGGGAGATGTGGGTAGGGGACAAAACCCAGCATCTCTTCTAAGCTAGGAGCCAAGAGCACATCTTTTCTAGTAATATGTCACAAGTTACTCTGTAAACGAGATATTATAGTCTCTGTTTTGCAGACGGGAAAATGGGAAAAGGCTAGACAGCAAGCTCATCACAGCCTGTTTTTTATACTTTTTGGACACTCATACTGCTAATCCCAGCCTGCCTTGCATAGGTGTGGCCAAAGGGATGAGAGGGAATGTGCTCTGTTTGGATCCAGTGCATCAGACTTGCTACACACACCTCCCCACTCTTTCCCCTTCAGACAGAAATCAGAGGGTCCCAGAGGCCGAGAGTAGGGTTTCTCAAACCGGAGCTGCATCACGATCTCTGAAGGCCATGTGAAAGCCCAGATTTCTGGAACCCACTCCAGACTTTCTGATTCAGCAGGTCTGGAGTGAAGCTGAAGAATCTTCCTGTCTAGCAAGCTTCCCAGGTGATGGTGTTGGTCCAGGACCACAGTTGGAAAACTTCTGTTCTAGGGCATGGCAGAGCCACAAGATGAATACTGGGTCTCTGAATCACCATACGGTGTAAAGACTCCCACTGAGTTTCATATCTAAAAATTTTTCTTACATATCAGAAATTTCAAGATTTATTTATTATAACTGCTAGCAGGACTCTAGAAAAGGAAGGCTAAAGAAAACATTTTCTCCATGTGAAAATGGGTGGCTTTATAGAAAAGGCTCTGAAGGGAAGGAAGGAACCCTGGGTTTCATATCCAGACCTCATCACCTCAAATCCTTCAGTAAGCACCAATACAATTTCCATTGACTGCAGTCATAATACCAAGTGCCACCTTCAAATTCCACTAAACATAAAAAAAGTGGCTATAATCCATTACTAGAAAAACTGGCAAAGAAAAAATTCCCCATTTAACCAAGGCCCCTAATTATGTTAAACCTTCAACACTCAAATTCAGGCATAATCCTTCCTCCTGATTCCCATTGCCATTATCTTGACTCTAGAGTAAACATTGTGACTGAAAGGTATTGCCCACGTCCTCTGTGCCAGGCACTATTTAAGGTCTTTGCACGTATCCTGGCACTTAATCCTAACATGTATTTCCTGGAGGTGTTGCAATGGTTTCTGCTGACGGCTTGCAGATTAATCTTCTCAAACCAACACTTTGAACAAGTCACTCTCATAATCAAAACCTCAGGGCCTCTTTATGGCCTACAGTGCAAAGTCTAAACTACTCAGCATGATCTTAAATTCTCTCCAAAATCTCATACATAACTACTTATCAATTTTAAAACTCTTACTACAGTCTGCATCTGTGACTCCCAAATATTAACGTATATATCAGAACTCCCTAGAAGGCTGCTGAAAGGCGGATTCCCAGGCACCACTCAAATCTCCTGAATGAAAATATTTGGTGATAGCCCAGGAATCTGCATTTTTAATAGACTATATTCTAGAACATTTTAAGTTAACAAACAGCAAAAATAACCAGAAAATACAGAGATCTTCCATATATCCCTGTCCCCAAACATGCATAGCCTCCCCCATTCTCAATATCCTCAACTAGCATGGCACAATTGTTACAACTGATGAACCTACAGTGACACATCATTATCACTTAGAATCTATAGTTCACATTAGGGTTCACTCCTGCTGTTGTGCATTCCACGGGCTTTGGCAAATGCATAATGACATGGATCCACCATAACAGTACCATCCAGAGTAGATATATTGATCTAAAAATCCTATGTCCTCTGCCTATTCATCCCTCCATGCTCCCTCCCCACCAGCTACTGATGCTCTTTTTAGTGTCTCCATGTTCTATCTCTTCTAGAATGTCATATAGTTGGAGTCATATAGTATGTAGCTTTTTCAGATTGGCTTCTTTCACTTAGTAATATGCATTTAAATTTCCCCCATGTCATTTAATGGTGTGATAGCTCTTTTTTGTTTGTTTGTTTGTTTGAGATGGAGTCTCACTCAGTTGGTCACCCAGCAGCGCGATCTTGGCTCACTGCAACCTCTGCCTCGTGGGTTCAAGAGATTCTCCTGCCTCAGCTTCCCGAGTAACTGGGAGCATGTGTCATCACACCTGGCTAAATTTTGTATTTTTAGTAGAGACGAGGTGTCACCATATTGACCAGGCTGGTCTCAATCTCCTGATCTCAAGTAATCTGCCTGCCTCGGTCTCCCAAAGTGCTGGGATTACAGGCATGAGCCACCGCGCCGGCCAGCTCATTTCTTTCTAGTGCTAATTAGTAGTACATTGTCTGAATATGCCCACGTTTATTTATCCACTCATCTACTGAAGAACATCTTGGTTGCTTCCAATTTTTAACTATTATAAATAAAGCTGCTATAAACATCCATGTGCAGGTTTTTGTGTGAACATCAGTATTCAGCTTCCTTGGGTAAATACTGAGGAGCACAATTGCTGGATCATATGCTAAGAATATGTTTCGTTTTGTAAGAAACTGTCAAACTGTCTTCCACAGTGGCTGTACCATTTTGCATTCCCACCAGTGAGAAATGAGAGTTCCTGTTGCTCCACATCCATGGCCCATTTGATGTTGTCAGTGTTCTGGATTATGGCCATTCTAAGTGTGTAGTGGCATTTTATTTTTATTTTTATTTGGATTTCCCTGATGCAATGTATGCATATATTATCATGTGGAACATCTTTTCATATACTTATTTGACATCTGTATATCTTCTTTGGTGAGGTGTCTATTAAAGTGTTTGGTCCATTTTTTAAATGAGTTGTTTGTTTTCTTTGTATATTTGGACAACAGCTTTTTATCTAATATGTCTTGTGC
Organism: Homo sapiens; assembly: GCF_000001405.40. NCBI lineage: Eukaryota > Metazoa > Chordata > Mammalia > Primates > Hominidae > Homo > Homo sapiens. The sequence goes on from NC_000008.11 coordinate 132,269,142, forward strand.
AAATCAGACAGTCTGTGCTTGTCTTTTCATTCTCTTGACAGTGTCTTTCTCAGAGAAGAAATGTTTCATTTTAATGAAGTCCAGCTTATCAATTCTTTTTCATGGGTAATGCCTTTGGTGTTGCATTAAAAAATCATTACCATACCCAAAGTCATCTAGATTTTCTCCTATGTTTCCTCCTATAGTTTTGTGTTTCACATTTAGGTCTGTGATCCATTTTTAGTTAACTTTTGTGAAGAGCATAAAGTCTGTGTCTAGATTCTACTTATTTATTTATTTTTTTGCATCTGGATCTCTGGTTGTTTCAGCACCATTTGTTGAAAAGACTATCTTTTCTCCATTGTATTGCCTTTTCTAGAATCTGCATTTTTAACCAGCTCTCTCAGTGATTTTGGTGTATTTAGTCTAAAGATCCACACATTGAAAGACATGTTTTTTTACATATCAAGTTGTTGTCACTCATGAGCATTGAAACAACCGAGCCCCCTATTGCCAATTAGACTTCATATCAGAGAGAAATTACCGTGTAGTTTAAACCACTGCTGTGACAGCTAGCATTGTCTTAACTAAGGAACAAATCTTGTCTTCCCCACTAGACTGTGGGCCTCTAAAGACAAGGGCCCAGTCTCAGTAGCCCTTATATATTTCTCACCTCCTCCTGACCTACCCTCTTTCTATGACAACCAGACTTTGTTCAAGAGCTGGTAGAGGGCAGGGGCTCATAAATATTTGTTGAAATAAAATTTCTGTCTTTTTGCATTCAGCCAACAGCCAGATGGGTGGGGGTAGGGCAAAAGGATGCAGATCCCAATCCAGACATATCTATATTACTAGAAAATTTACATTTTGATCACCAGCTCCAAAGTGATTAATTGTTGAGTAGTTTTCAAGTGGCCCATTTTCTGTGGGAACGGCTTTCTCTAACCTTCCCGCTTTCTTATTAAACACCTGCAGCTTCCCTAGGATTTCTAAGCTTTATGATTTTCCTGAAAAAAAAAAAATTAAGCAGACTTTATTATTCAGCTTTGCCAAAGTAATCAAAGAAAAGTTTAACTTGATGCTGCGATTAAAGCTTTGGCAATGGGCGTTGACGTCGCCAGATTGAAACTAGTGGTGGGGAAAAGGCTGTTTTTCTAAAAATACCAAATTAAGAATTCTCCAGTTTCCAACTACATGCAAGAGAATCTCCATACGCAGGAAGTCCTAGTCACAGGCATTTTATTGCAGAAATGGGTACTTTTTGTTTTCCTAACATGCTCATCTAAGGCTGTCCTTCTAAGAACTGTGTGTAACAGAAGGCAAAACTTGCACCACCTCCCTCCTTTTATCTCTTACTCTGGACAGGACTTTGATCCTCTTTGCGCCTCAGTACCTTCATATGTAAAATAAGGAGTCTGGATTCGAAAATCTGGTGTGCTTCTTGCTTTTATAAATAAAGTTTTATTGGAAGACATACCCATTCCTTTAAGTATTATCTATGGCTACTTTTTTTGTTCTCTACCAAGTCAGAGCTGAGCAGCAGCAAGAGAGGCCCAGCAAGTCTGAAATATCTACAATATGTATTTTTACAGAAATATTTGCCAGAATGGTTTTGTTACAGAATATTTTTATAGAATATTTCTTTACAGAAACAATTTGCCAACCCTTAGACTGCACCGTTTTGATTGTAAAAATTTAAAAGAAAGTTCACTCATTCATTTATTCATTTATACTGAATTTGTGTATTTGGGATGGGGCCCAGGGATGTTTACTTTAACAAGTTCCACAGGAGATTTGTCTGCAGTCTGCACATTAAAATTTGGGAAGTGCCAATCCAGTCAATTGTGTTACAGCAATTCATGAGCCTCTTAGTGACTAAGAAAAGACAAGGAGGAGTGATGTGGCTCCACATTCCAGCAAGCATGTATTGTGCCCTGATGATGTGGAAGGCTAACTCTTCTAGGCACTGCAGATACAGAAAAGACAACCTGGACAACCCCACTGCTGTCATGGAGCTCATGTTATTTCCATGAACCCCTTGGGAGTCTGGGCATCGCAAGGCCTCAAGCAAGAGCCATTGCTCCAGGACTTGGGCCAGTGCCTGCCACAGGGTGGTCAAGGGCAAAGGGCAAGGGCTTTGTCACTTACATTATCTAACCACAGCCTGAAACCCACATCATTGTAAAGTGGCTGACCAGAGGGCTAAATGGCCATGGGCCAAAATGAAAGCTGCCATATATTACATTGGTCAGTGCCAAGAAAAAGATGGGCTTCTTCTATGAACTGCTTTGTCATATTTTATTTATTTATTTAATTTTCAAAAACACCTCTTGAACTCTGCAACCCAGCTTGTTTCCATAGTAGCCTTGGCTGCCATGCATTTCACTTGTAGTAACTTCCCTTAACCTACACGGACCACTGAGACCTCCCTGCCCTTCACCCTTCCTTTTATTATTGTACTAATTAATGTTGTTGTTTTACCAGTTTGTGGCCTTATCAAATCTATTTGGGAAAGTAAAACTTGAAAAGGAATATAATAAATGTACTGTAGTGATGACAGTGAAAGTATTCTGTAAATATTAACACTTCCACCATCTCTCCACCCTCCATAGCTCTCCACCCCCGGGAAGCTGATTGCCTTTCCTTTTCTGGATGTGGAAAGAAGGCTGAGTGATTCACTGCACCGTAGTGAGTCAAAGATGAAAACATGCAAATCCGGCCCTGTGACGTCTGCTGTCAGCAGGCTTGAGATTGGAATGGGCATGGTCTTTGTTATCATCTTAACCTGGCTGATCCTTTTGTGTACCCTGTTAGATGGTAGTTCTTCTCATTTAGTATCTAAAGAAACTGACCTGACAGAGGGCTCAGTTCCTGGCCTGAATGGAAGCAGAACCGAGACATTTTGACTCTTCTGCCTAGAAAGTGGCTACAGACATGCCTTGCACATGTAGACTTTGCTTCCTCTCTCTTACTACGTCTAGGTAACTACTTTGGACATGATGCTTAACCTCTCTGAGCCTCAGTTTTTAAATCTGTAAAATGGAGAGAATAACATGCAAAATGCCTACTGCAGTGTCTGGGATGAAGTAGATTAACAGTAATGTGATAGTTCTCAGACCTTCCCTACCCTGCCATTGGCAGTATTCATTGGGAGCTGCTGGGACTCCAAGGGCATGGCTGTCTATGGAGGTGAGGCTGGAATCTGGGCTGTGATCAATGAACTCACAATTGGTTCATGGGCCCACATGGCCAAAGCTACCCTTTCTGTAGCCACTGTCTAGCTAGAAGAGTCGGAATGCCTGGGCTTTGCTTCAGTTCAGGCCAGGAACTGAGCCCTCTGGCAGGTCAGTTTCTGTATTAGTCCATTTTCATGCTGTTGATAAAGACATACCCGAGAGTGGGAAGAAAAAGAGGTTTAATGGACTTACAGTTCCACATGGCTGGGGAGGCCTCACAATCATGGTGGAAGGCAAGAAGGAGCAAATCACATCTTACATGGATGGGGGCAGGCAAAGAGAGAGAGCTTGTGCAGGGGAACTCCTCTTTTGAAAGCCATCAGATCTCATGAGACTTATTCACTATCAAGGGAACAGCACAAAAACACCCGTCCCCATAATTCAATTACCTTCCACTGGGTCCCTCCCATGACATGTGGGAATTGTGGGAGTTAAAATTCAAGATGAGATTTGGGTGGGGAAACAGCCAAACCATATATTCCACCCTGGCCCCTTCCAAATCTCATGTCCTCACATTTCAAAACCAATCATGCCTTCCCAACAGTCCCCCAAAGTCTTAATTCATTTTAGCATTAACTCAAAAGTACACAGTCTGAAGTCTCATCTGAGGCAAGGCAAGTCCCTTCCACCTATAATCCTGTAAAATCAAAAGCAATTTCCAGGCCCACGGTGCAAGCTGTAGGTGGATCTACCATTCTGGGGTCTGGAGGATGGCGGCCTTCTTCTCACAACTCCACTAGGTGGTGCCCCAGTAGGAACTCTATGTGGGGGCTCTGACCCCATATTTTCCTTCTGGAGTGCCCTAGCAGAGGTTATCCATGAGGTTACCCAACCCTGCAGCAAACTTCTGCCTGGACATCCAGGTATTTCCAAACATCCTCTGAAATCTAAGTGGAGGTTTACAAACCTCAATTCTTGACTTCTGTGCACCCACAGGCTCAACATCATGTGGAAGCTGCCAAGGCATGGGGCTTGCATCCTCTGAAGCCATGGTCTGAGCTGTACCTTGGCCCCTTTTAGTCATGGCTGGAGTGGCTGGAATGCAGGGCACCAAGTCCTTAGGCTGCACACAGCATGGGGACCCTGGGCCCAGCCCATGAAACCATTTTTTCTTCCTAGGCCTCTGGGCCTGTGATGGGAGGGGCTGCCGTGAAGACCTCTGACATGCGTTGGAGACATTTTCCCTATTGTCTTGGGGATCAACATTTGACTCTTTGTTGCTTATGCACATTTCTATAGTGGGCCTGAATTTCTCCTCAGAAAATGGGATTTTCTTTTCTAATGTATTGTCAGGGTGCAAATTTTCCAAACTTTTATGCTCTGCTTCCCTTATAAAACTGAATGTCTTTAACAGCACCCAGTTCACCTTTTGAATGCTTTGCTGCTTACAAATTTCTTCTGCCAGATACTCTAAATAAACTCTCTCAAGTTTAAAGTTCCGCAAATCTCTAGGGGTAAAATGCTGCTAGTTTCTTTGCTAAAACATAACAAAAATCACCTTTGCTCCAGTTCCCAACAAATTCCTCATCTCCATCTGAGACCACCTCAACCTGGATTTCATTGTCCATATCATTTTCAGCACTTTGGTCAAAGCCATTCAACAAGTCTCTAGGCAGTTCCAAACTTTCCCACATTTTCCTGTCTTCTGAGCCCTCCAAACTGTTCCAAACTCTTCCTGTTACCCAGTTCCAAAGTTGCTTCCACATTTTCAGGTATCTTTTCAGCAGCACCCCACTCTACTGGTGGGCTATCAATTTACTGTATTAGCCCATTTTCACGTTGCTGATAAAGACATACCAGAGACTGGGAAGAAAAAGAGGTTTAATGGACTTACAGTTCCACATGGCTGGGGAGGCCTCACAATCATGGTGGAAGGCAAGGAGAAGGAAGTCACATCTTACATGGATGGCAGCAGGCAAAAAGAGAGAGCTTATGCATAGGAACTCCTCTTTTTAAAATCTTCAGATCTCGTGAGACTTATTCACTATCACAGAGCAGCACAAGAAAGACCTGTCCCCATGATAAAATTACCTCCCACTGGGTCCCTCACACGACACGTGGGAATTGTGGGAGTTACAATTCAAGATGAGATTTGGGTGGGGACACAGCCAAACCATATCAGTTTCTTTATATGCTAAATGAGAATATGTACTCTCTAACAGGGTTCAACTAGCCTGCCACCCCTTTCTACAGAATATAGTGCTCCCCTCCTTGAGCCTCCACTATATCTGAAACTTATTTCTATATTGTCCATGTTATATTTCATTCATTCATCAAACAGTGATTGCATCTGATGTGACACATGCCAGGCTAGGGTCTAGACATACCTGTCTTCAAGGAACATGACCTTCAGTAGCAGAGATATGTCAACACATAAATAAGTGAAAATTGTGAAGTTCCCAGTGGGGTGCTGGGAAGTGGGCAGCTATTAATATTTCTTTAAGAGGTGACTTCAAGCTGAGATCTGAAGGATGAGAAGGAGCCAACCTTACAGAGTGTGGGGAGGCTGAGGAGTTTCCTGCACAGGAGCCCTGAGGCCCAGAACAGAGCACAGGACTGGTCAAAGAAAGCAAAGAGGTCCAATCAGCTCGGGTGAAGGGGGAGAGGGAAGAGCAGGAGGTCACTCACCCCATGCAGGAGGTCATCTACCAAAGCAAGGTGATGGGTTTAATTGGTAGTGAAAAAGTGGGAGGGGCGTGGGGAGGTGTCAGCAGAGGGTTTTAAGTAAAGTCAGGACATAATTTTCATTTTAATAGGACCCTTTTGGAATGGCATTTGTTGAGGACAGAGTAAGTATCTAACTTTTGTTTACCTCCCCAGAGAATGCACAATGGCCAACAGATAGTAGTCACTCAATAAATATCTAGGAAATGAGGGAACTAATAAAGAGAAAAAAGGATATATAGAAAAATGTGGAAAAATGCTTTCAAGTTACAACACATTATAAATGTGAATGAATAATTGCTATTATTTAAAGATTATTTACATGCCCTTTCAAATCAAATAGAAGCAAACTCAATGAATTTATTGCATGATCCCTTGAAGAGAAAAAGAAAGCTGTAAAATGACATAGAAAGGGGTTCCAAGCACAATCCAGTCATCATTAGCAACAGCAAAACCCCAGCCTTTGGAGGCTGGAAGGAGTATGAGGGTCATTTGCCCCACCCTAGAGGCCCAAAACGCACCTCATGGGATCATGGGATTTTTATGAGCACCAGTGAAACCTTTTTTTTTTTTTTTAGACAGAGTCTTGCTCTGTCGCCCAGGCTGGAGTGCAGTGGTGTGATCTTGGCTCACTGCAAGCTCCGCCTCCCAGGTTCACACCATTCTCCTGCCTCAGCCTCCCAAGTAGCTGGGACTACAGGCGCCTGCCACCAGGCCCGGCTAATTTTTTGTATTTTTAGTAGAAACGGGGTTTCACTGTGTTAGCCAGGATGGTCTCGATTTCCTGACCTCGTGATCCGCCCACCTCGGCCTCCCAAAGTGCTGGGATTACAGGTGTGAGCCACTGTGCCAGCCAGTGCAACCTTCTACATGTGCACTCATTCCCACCGGCCTGGAGCCCTCTGTGGAATCACCTGCTGAACCCAAGTAATTAAACTAAAAGACTCCTAGTACAAACTATGATTTACTGACCACTTACTAGGGGTCGCTACACATCAAGCACTTGCACCCAGGACCTTGGGTCTTTGCACCTCATCTGATTTGCACAATAGTCTCAGTGACTGATGGGGACCACAGAATAGGCCTTTGATTCTAGGACTGCTGTTTCGGCAAAGGAGCCAAATCGTACAAGAACTCAATTTTTATTTTTATAAAAATGAAAATAATCCTAGCAGCTACATTTATTGTACCCCCAACGCAGGTTAGAAATGGTTCTTGACACTTTACGTGGTTTATCTCAAGGCTCGTGCCTACTCCAGGAGGTGGACACCCTTTGTGGGTTTTACAGAAGAGGAAATGAAGGTGCTGAGGTGTAAGTAATGCAGGAGAATTGCAGAAAGAGGAGTGACAGGGGAGCTGTCAGCAGAACCACAGAAACATCCAGGGCAGGCTCTGTTCCTAACCAGGGAACTTGCTGTCACCTGGCTTCCCCTCCCCAGCCCCTGCAATGGGCTCTGAGACTTTCTGCTTAGACATTCAGTGGTGGGAGCTCATTACCTGCCCCCACCCCCAACAAGGCAGCCCATTCTAATTCCAGGCAGCGATGGGTATTTAAAACTACTTCCTCATGTTGACTCACAATGTGTCTCCTCTCACTTCCCTGATGTATTTTTATCCTACTCTGTTCTGCGGCTGCACCTGCATTGTTTTGAAATATCATAACAATCCTCCATGGTCAGCACCATCCACCCCAAGACTGAATGCCATGAAGAGTATGTGCCTCAGGAAGAACCAGGCAGAAGCAACTGAGTCTCCACCCCAACAACCAGAGCTAGGCGACTATGGAAAATCATTCGACCCCTTAGAGGTCATGTCCTAGTCTGTACAATGGGATAATGCCAGTAATAATAACACCTATTTCAGAGCAATGCTGTGAGGCCAAGATGTCATAATAAATATGGAATGCTGAAACACATTAATAAATGCTCCTTCAACTTTCTCATCTTCTTGGCACAGAATGAGCCCACCACATCAAAGTGACAAAAATTATGATTGAAGAAACATGCAATGAAACTGGATTAAAGATGGCAAAAACATAATAAACAATAATTTTTAAAAAAAAAAAGGAAAAAGAAACTTGATTAAAACTTATTATGTGCTAGACTATATACTTACCACTTTTGTGTTTTCTATTCTAAGTTGAAAATCTACAAGGTAGATGCCATCAGCATCATTTCACAAATTAAAACAAAACAAAACAAAAACTGGGATTCAGAGATGTCGAACAACCTGCTTAAAGTCACACAGCTTTTAAGTAGCACATTCAAACTCAGGACTCTTGACCCAAATCCAGTCCTCTTTCCACTCCCAGTCTTCTCTTTCCTCCAACATCTGGCCAAGCCCAGGTTATTATCAGTGTTTGCTCAGCCCTGGAATAGGCACAGATCATGCTGAGCATCACAGATAGTGTGGAGGAGCTACACATTCAAGTTTGCAGAGTAAATCCTAAAAAGCCTTAGAGAAGGAACTGCAAGGATGCCAAATCAATCTGAAGGAGGCCTCAGTAGACAAGGAGGCATGGGGAAGACCGGCTGGGGAGACAGATTTTTGAGCGTCTTTTCACAAAATCTAAAAATTACTAACCTTCTACATGTCAAAAGATATTTTTTTGTCAACACATGCAAGAACACCCTGCTAAGAAGCCCAAATGAGCAGATGGATGAGTTCGCAGACTCGCAGATGCTGGAGTTGGAAAAGTCCCTGCTGGCAGTCCCCAAAGGACGGCCCAGAAACCCCACCCTGCCCTAGCCCCTCACCAGGCTGAGTTCAATACCTTTCAGAGAGCCTTCAAGCTTCTGGCCTTAGACTGAATCTTGCTCTCTAGAAACCAGGTTGTTGGAAGGTTTTTTCTTCTTTTTATAATGATCCCCCTGTCTCTGCTTCCTGCTCCTACCTCCCTCTCCTTAGCTTCTCACTGCTTTCCATTTGGCATTCCACAAGCATCTCACCTTCACCCCCACAGGACAGAAGGGATCATCCTTCTGTGATAGGCAGGAATTCAAGGCTACAGAGCTCAGATTCAAACAAGTCAGGAGGACACAATTACACCAAAATCTGTCCATCCTCAAAGACCATGAGATTTCCACAGTACCACATTGCCTCTAACTAACTAGAGAATCCCCATTTTGTACTCTGGAAATTTACAACCCAGAGATGTCATGTAAATTGGTTTCACATAGGATGGTAAGACCAAAGACAAAATTAGCATACAAAAGTAGAGGCATAAATCTCAATATCATTTCTAATTTGGGTTGCAATTTAGACTGTGCTTCCTATGGCCAAAGGAAAAAAAAAGAAGAAAAATGAAAAGAAAGAAACAAGATTAATCCCACAATCAGCATTGTCCTCAAGGAAACATCTACCAGTGCTGCGTCGACACATGCTTCCTGGTATTCCTGTCTGAAAGAGCAGCTTCCTATGGGCTAGTGATCCTTGGGCAGTAAGACCAACTCTCAACTTTCCCACGACAGTTTATTTTGATGTAAGTGGAAAGGGACCCTTGAGTCAGACCTTCTGAACACAGTTCGATGGGACTGAAAGTCCATAAGTAGGACTCTGGGGTGTTCCCGCCTAAGTTAGTGATAAGAACAAGATCCACCTTCTTACTACTCCAAGTGTGGCCTGAAGACCAGCAGCATCAGCATCCCTGGAGGTGTGGCTAGACATGCAGAATTGCAGACCTCCTGGGCTAGGAATGAGAATCTCCATTTTAATGAGAACAACAGAAGGTTCCTATGCACATTCAACTTTAAGAAGTACTGCACTAGGGCAGTTGCTCTAATTAGCCCCTCCTTAAGAATTGGAGTGTTCACTAAAAATATAAATTCCAGCCTCCCCAAAAGCTAGATGCCTGGTCCTTAACCTTGACTGCACATTAGTATCAGTAGAGGGGCTTCATAAAAAAGTGCACATCCGTCAGGGGCGGTGACTCACGTCTGTAATCCCAGCACTTTGGGAGGCTGAGGCAGGCAGATCACTTGAGGTCAGGAGTTCAAGACCAGTCTGGCCAACATGATGAAACCCCGTCTCTACTAGAAATAAAAAAAAAATCAGCTGGGCTTGGTGGTGGATACCTGTAATCCCACTACTCAGGAGGCTCAGGCAGGAGAATTGCTTGAACCCGGAAGGCGGAGTTTGCAGTGAGCCGAGATTGTGCCACTGCACTCCAGCCTGGGTGACAGAGCCAGATTCCATCTAAAAAAAAATGCAGATGCTTAGATCCTAACCGCCAGTGATTCTGATTTATTAAATATTTGATCTAGGGTGTGAACTAGGCTTCAGGATTCTAAAAGTCTCCTAGGTGATTTTACCGTGCAGCATGGTTAAGAAGCCCTGGACCAGAGGATCAACATTATGTGTAGCTCTGCTAAACAACACATGGTAAGATGTCAGTGGACACTACTGTGGTGAGACTTAGTTTAGGGTCAGTTAGATCTGGGTTCCTACTCCATATGAATTCAGTGAGAATCTATGGACGTGAAGACAAGATTTCGAATGTTTTTAAAGCTCTGCAGTGGACTCTACTTGCAGGTTGAGGATCACTGGTTAAAGCATACTGCATAGCACCTGGCACATAGTAGGTGACTTATGAATGGTATATATTTTTTCTTAGAAGCCATGATCACACACATCAACAGATACACACGCACACACACGTGTATATGTATACACATGATTGTATGTCTACATATATGCACACATACATATGCATGTAAACACAAACACACATCTATGATCATATCTGCATATCTACATGCAGACATCAACACATACTTATGTGCACATATGTGCATATATATGCATACATATATGTGCGTGTATGTGTATATATGCGTGTGTGTGTGTGTGTGTATATATATATTTGAGATAGTTCTGGGCTTCTCAAGGGAGATCCTGGATTTGAGAAGCTTTGACAAATTCCATAAAGAATTAGCAATTAGGATATGAGTACTGATGGAGAGTCAATTGTTTATTCAGCATAATTTACTGAGAACTCAACTTATGACAGACCCTCTTCCAAGTGCTGGTGATAACAGCAATGAACAAGAAAAATCAAGTCTTTGGTCCCATGGAACTTACAGTTTGTTGGGGGGAAAGACATGTAATGAACAATAAGCAAATACTCAAGATGATTTCAGAGAGAAAAATTCAATAAAGAAGATGTCCCAGGCTGCCATGATTGAAGGGGGTTAGCTACTTTAACTTGGGTGGTTATATTAGTCCATTCTTGCGCTGCTATAAAAAATATACAAGGTAGGGTAACTTATAAGAAAAGAGGTTTAATTAGCTGATGGTTCTGCAAGCTGTACAAGCATGGTGCTGGCATCTGCTCAGCTTCTGGGGAGGCCTTAGGGAGCTTTTACTCACGGCAGAAAGCGAAGCAGCAGGAGCAGGCATCTCACATGGCAGGAGAAAGAGAGAGATAGAGTGGGTGCAGAGATGTGCCTCATTTTACAACAATCAGATCTCTTGAGAACTCACTCACTATAGCGGGAACAGCAACAAGCCATGACGGATCTGCCTCCATGACCCGAACACCTCCCATCAGGCCCCACCTCCAACAATGAGATTACATCTTGGCATGAGATTTAGAGGGGACATCCAAACTCTATCAGTGGTCACAGGAGACCTTTTGGTGGAGATGACATTTAAGCTGAGAGATGAGGGACAAAGGAGCCAGCCATGAGAAGATATACAGAAAGCATATTCCAGGCAGAGGGAGCAGCTGGTGCAAAAATCAGAAGGTGGAAATGAGTTAATCATGTTCAAGGACGAATGTGATTTCATTCCTCTTTTTGTTTGCGATGTAGTTGCATTTGTCACGTAGTTGGCAGAGAACATGGTAGGAACTGAGCATAGAGAGCTACACTGGGGCTTGTTCCACAGTTAAGTGTCACACAGTTTTGAACACGGGAGAAAGAAGTGACGCAATTCCTTTATTTTCCGAAAAAAGCTTGGATTCCAGGAAGACCAGAACAAAGCAATCATCAGGGTTATTGTTCAGCTTGGGGTGGGAGGAGAAAGCTGAGGGTGAGGAGCTCTCATTTATTAGGCACCACCTGTCTTCAGTGGCAGGCAGATGTGACTTCATTTAATAGTCCACATCAGCCCTGTGGATAAGATATCATTAACTCTCCTGGACCAATTTGGAAACAGAGATTAAGGCTGAGCACCTTGTTTGGCACTATACGACTAATACCATGTGCCCTTCCTTTAGGAAAGCTCTGTCTCCTGAAAACACAGTTAACTGGGAACTTACAGGCAAACCTCAGGCATGTGGTGGCACTCCCCAAGAGGTGCTCTGGCACCTCAAAAGCACCTGCCCTTCCTCCTTTGCTACCTTATGACAAGAAGGCAGCACTGAACTCCATAGAAAATTATATAGACACAAAAACATACACACATATATTATATATATACTTGGAATATATATACACATACACATGGAGTATGTATATATGGAATATATGTATACATGGAATATGCATATATATGGAATCTGTGTGTGTGTGTGTGTATATGTGTGTGTATATATATATATATATGAAATGAATATGGACCTACTTCATTCCATCTCCACCTCCATCTCCATCCTAGTACAGGTTTCCACATGGACAACTATAACAATCTCCGACCTAGCCCCTCCACATTCGCTCAACTCCTGATTGCATGCCCACCGGCACCCCCACACCCCAACCACCACCATGTTTACTGCAGCCTGGGAGAACTTTACAAAGTGAGGTTCATGTAGACCTTCAGATGCTCAAAACCCTGCAGTGGCTTTCACTGCCTACGGGGTGGAGCCCCAGGTCCTGTCAAAGATCAAGGTGCTCCCTGAGCACTTCTCTTACCTCTCATCTCACTGCTCTCACTGATGGTCTTGCAACTCTGGAAACTTCAACGTGACCTCTCTTCCCTGGGTCTTCACACACATTCTTCCCTCTGTATCAATCACCTTCCTCACATTCTTCATCTATCTCACTCCAACTCCTCCTTCATGTGGTGGCTTCAATGTACTTGCACCATGATTTTGCTAACTATACTGGCCCATCACATATGCTCCTAAAGCATCCTATACCCAAAGCACCCTGTAAGACTCAACAGGGATCCCTGCTCTATCAACACCATGAGATAAAGAACTGGTTTTATCTTCCAGACTCCAGCAGAGTTTCAAAACACTATCTGCCTAAGTGAATTACACTATGACCTCCTGAATAGTATGGCATGAGATGATCCTCTGAGAGTTTCTCTTCCAGTCTTGTATCCTATTCTCAAGTAGGTTAAAAAGAGCCATGTCCTTCTCCTGAATTTTAACAGGTGAGAAACTTCAGTCCAACCTTCCTTTGCTCGGCTAAAGAATCACAGGGGGAGAGTAGCCCACCATATTGTTCCCAGTCCCATCTGTCCCCCTTGCTAAGTTTTGGGAGACTGAACACAATTTTGATTTTCGTACACTCTCCAGCATCTCCTAGGCTCCCTCTTTGTCTCTTCTTTCTTCCCACAGTGCTTATCCCCCCTTGCTCTGCTCCCGCCCCCTGGAACCATCTTTTTGTGTTTGCATTTTCCCTCCTGCTCCTCCGTGAGAAGGATCCCATTTCTAAGACTCATGCTTTGCCAGGGCTGCTTGGCATAGGGCTGCCTTCTCCCCAAGATGCCTGCCAGACCAGCTTAGGCACAAAGGCAGGTGCCACCAGCCCTCCCTTTCCCTCAGCATCAGTTGTCAAGAGCTCTGCTTCCATGAAGCTACCAAAATAGAATTGTGCTCTGACCTCTGCTTAGCAGGGTTGCCCTCCTGATGGGGAAACCTGCATGTTACATGCCAGAAGCCTGGCCCAATGACCACTAGGGTGCTCAGAGGCCACAGGGTCCCAACAAAGTGTGGTGAGAAAAAAGCCGGCAGGAGAGAGCCAGGATACGAGAGAGTGAAGGAAGGAGCTCAGTGAGGAAGCAGAGAGAAGCCTGGGCAGAGAAAAGAAAGGAAGACAGTGGCTGGGAGGGAATCACAGATGGGAAACCGAACATACAGAGGGAATGAGGCAGAAAGGAGATGAGGATCTCTCTCTCTCTCTCTCGTGTGTGTGTGTGTGTGTGTGTGTGTGTTTGGTGGAAGATATCTATAGAAATTCTTGTTGAGTATCTGCTCCATTGCTCCTAAATATCTCATCAGGACTTTCCTGAGCCGCCATTATTATTTAGTTCCCATTTTCCAGAGGAGTAAATGGAGGCTCAGAGAGGCAAAAAAAAAATTTATCTTTGGTTCTCCAGCATATAGTCCAGTATCAGGGCATAAAGTAGACTCTATTCAGCAAAGTATTGCATGAAAAAGGAATACATTAATAGATTTAGCATGTATTATTACAAATTCTCTCCTTTTAACATTATATTTTCCTGTATTTCTCTCAACAGGAAACACACTCAAAGGAAAGACCAGCATACTCAAGTGAACAAATGTGATGTATTTGTTTCCATATGTTCTGCATTTTGCTGGCAGAGATTCCAGTGCTGGGTGGAAGGTCCTCTTCCTGGTCTCATTTGCATCATCAGCAATGGAGGTCAGCATGACCAGCAGGCTGCTGCCTCCATGAACATCTTAGTAGATTCCTGATCCCCCTTGTCATCGGTACCCTATGCCAGGTTAGACAATGGGAAAAGGTATCAGTGACACATCATGTGGGGTTTGAACATGCTCTAAAAATACGGAGAAGTATACGCATGTAGAAGGTAATTGTTTTTGCTGTTACACACTTAGTTCTATAAAATAAAAGCTGGGAATTTCTGACATCATCTTTCATAAACTGGTTCCTGATAGCACCAAGAAAACATGGTCACAAGGATTACAAGTCTAGCAAGATCAGGATTGGAACCCCAATCTTTTTATTTCTATTCATTCAATTGAAACAAATATTTGTCAGGCATCTACTTTTGTGTCTGACAGATTCTGTGTTTGGCCCTAGGTATAAAGATGGAACTCCTGTCTTTAGAAGGCTAGAGCCAGATGAGGAACCATACATCAAACAAGGGCAAACAAAGAAGCACACATTGAATTACATGCTATGAAGGAAAGAAGCGAGATGCCACAAGGAGATCCACTCTGCTGTTAATAATATACATATGTAACTAACCTGCACATTGTGCACATGTGCCCTAAAACTTAAAGTATAATAAAAAAAAATAATAGGGCTTGAGAGTGTCTTTCTAAGAAATTGACCCTGGGGCATGAGGAGGCAGATTCCAGATGAAGAGGAGCAAATTGTTATTCCTGGTCCAGTGACCAGGGGTAAATATACCTTGTACTATTAAGTTATACCTCAGAAAGAAGAAACTCAAGAAAACACCAGATTAATTTTGATTCAATAATGACCATTTGTTAAAACCCACTATGTGTCAGTATCTGTCTCAGGTAACACAGCTAGGAAGTGCCAAGGTGGTATTTAAATTAAGATCTGTCTGTTTGTGAAACTCTATAGATTTTTTTTTTATCTACTCTTTGGATATGAGTGTCCCATGGAGAGGAGGAAAGGGGAGCAACTGTCAGCCTTCAGTTGCTCGGGTTACCAGCCCAAAACAAGTCTGAAACACAGCAACCTGCATATGGAGAATTTTCTAGAGAGATTTTATAAGTATCTTTCCAAGGAAAAGAAGTTCAGGTCATATTTACTAGCCTTAGGATTAGACACTTAAAATTAGACACCTAGGGTGGTTTAGATTTTTCCTCGCCAAAACTCATGTCAAAATTTAATTGCCAATGTGACAATGTTAGGAGCTGGTGCCGTTAAGGGGTGACTAGGTCATTAACATGGATTAATGTCTTTCTCATAAGACTAAATTAGTTCTGGCAGAAATGAATTAATTCCCATGAGGGTGAGCATGCCTCTCCTATTTTGCTCTCTTTGCATGCACTTGCTTGCTCTTCAACTTTTCTGCCTTGCTATTAAGTAGCATAAGTGCTTCACCAAATGCAGCTGCCTCATCTTAGACTTCCCAACCTCTAGAACTATGAGTCAAAATAAACCTCGTTTCTGTATAAATTATTCAGTCATAGGTATTTTTTTGGTAGCAACATAAAATGTACTGAGGCAGAAAATTGGTACTGATGAGTGGGATGACACCTGAAAATGTGGAAGTGGCTTTGGAACTGGGTAATGGGTCGGGGCTGAACAAACTTGGGAATAGCAGGCTGGAAAAAAGCCTGTGTTGCATGAATGGAGTATTAAGGGTGATTCTGGTGAGAGCACAGAAGACGAGAAGGTTACAGAAAGTCTGGATCTTTTTAGAGGTTGGTTAAGTGGTCATGACTAGAAAGCTCATAGAAATATGGACAGTAAAGGCCATTTTTATGAGATATCAGATGGAAAATGAGGAATATCTTACTGGGAACTTGTTGTATAGCCACAAAGAACTTGGATGCACTGTGTCCATGCCCTAGGGCTTTGTAGAAGGCCAAACTTAGGAGCAATGGAATAGCATATCTGGCAGAAATTTTTAAGTAGCAAAGTGCTCAGGCAGATGTATGGTTACTTATAACTGTTTACAGTGAGCTGCTAGAATACAGAGAAGCAGAGTGAAAAGATTTGAAAAATCCACAGCCTGAGCACATGGTAGAGAATGAAGAACGTCTTCAGGAGGAAATCAAGGGTGTGGCCCAGAGACTGTTTGCCAAGAAGATTAACATGGTTAGAAGGGAGCTAGGTAATACTCATCAAAACTATGGGAGAAAGATGCCAAGGCATTTCAGAGATCAAGGTTGTCCCTCCCATCACATGCCCAGAAGCCTAAGAGGGCAGAATGGTTTTCTGGGATTGACCCAGGGTGTTCCCAACTGGCTGACTGCCCAGGCTACCTAGGGACTCTGCTCCTTAAATTCCAGCACTGGGCCCCTTGGTCACTCCAGTCAAAGTTCCAGTGGCCCCAGGTGTGGCTCTTCCTATCACTCTGGAATGCAAATTGCAGACCTTGGTAGTGCCCATGTGGTGCTAATTCTGCAGGTGTGCAGAATGTAAGAGTTATGGAAGCATGGCTTTCTCTACCTAGATTTCAAGGGATGTTACAGAAAGCCTGTGAACCCAGGCAAAAATTTGCTTCATGGGTGGAGCCATAAAGAGCCTCCACCAGTTATACCCAATGGAAATGTAAGGTTGGGGCCACTGTCAGGGCCCCAGAATACAGCCACTAGCAGCCTGCAATGCCTGCCTAAGAAAGCCACAGACACCAGGATGTAACTCTACCCAGAGACAGCAGCCACGTGGACTGCACCCAGCAAAGCTGTAGAGGAGGAGTTACCTGAGGCCTTGGGAGCCCAGCCCCATTCCAGTGTGCTCAGGAGGCAACACATAGAGTGAAAGATTATTTGAGGCCTTTAAGATTTAATGTCCTTCCCTCTGTGTTTCAGATTTGCTTTGGGCTGGTAACTCATTTCTTCCTCCCTATCTGTTCCTTTGGAGTGAGAATGTTTACCCTATACCTGTTCTGCCATTGTATTTTAGAAGTAGACAACTTGTTTTTAATTTTACAGGCTCACAGGTGGAAGGAGCTTGCCTTGAGTCTCAGATGAGACTTTGGACTTTAGACTTTTGAGTTGGTGCTAGAATGAATTAAGACTTTTGAGGCTACTGGGATGGATGACTTTTGCACGTGAGAAGGACACGAATTTTGGGGGTCCAAGGGAGGACTGCTATGGTTTAGATGTAATTTGTCACTGTCAAAACTTATGTTGAAATTTAATTGCCACTGTGACAATGTTGGGAGGTAGTTCTTTTAAGAGATGGTTAGGTCATTAAGATGAATTAATGGCTTTTTCATAAGACTGGATTAGTTTTCACAGGAATGGATTAGTTCCCATCCCACCCATGAGAGTGGGTTGTTATGAGGAGAGGTTACCTCTCCCATTTTGCTCACTTTACATTAGCTTGCTCATCCTTCCACTTTTCCACCAACTGATGAAGTAGCACTAGGCCCTTGTCAGATATAGCAGCCCAGTCTTGAACTTGCCAGCCTCCAGAATTACAAGCCAAAATAAACCTCTTTTCAGTCTCAGGTACTCTGTTATAGAAGCATAAAAACCAACTAAGGCAGATGTTTAGATTAAAAAATACTTTAGATACAATAACCTGATCTTTCTCCTCTAACTTTGTAATGGAAACATTTCACCATGTTATTGAGATTTTATAGAATTATTTTACATTGCCGTGTAGCAGTTCAAAGACTGGCTGAGAATGATCACATACACAAATAAGATGCCTTTAAGGGGCAGTGTAATTTAAATGTAGGAATATAAAAGGGTTGGGTATAAAACCAGAGAGAGTGGTTAAAACTGAAACCAAGCTGAATATGAGGCCCAACTAAAGACATTCAAGTTGAATTTGTTTTAAATTTGACAATCCAGAAATTTTACTCATAGATATGTACTCTCCAAGTTGAAAACAGGTATTTAAACAAAGTTTGTACACAAATATTCACAAAAGTACTATTGGCAATAGCCAAAAGTTGAAAACAACCCAAATATCCATGAGTGGATGAACTGATATACAAAATGTAGTCTCTCCAGATAATGGAATATTACTCAGCTATGAAAAGGAATGCACTACTGATATTTTATTCCTTGCTACAATGTGGATCAACCTTGAAATTTGGTGGATCATTATGCTAAGTGACAACCAAGACATAAAATATGTCTGGTTTGTATGTATGATTTTATCTATATGAAATATCTGGAATAGAAAAATTCATAGAGACAGAAAGTTGATTAGGGATTACCAGGGACTGGGGAAAAATGAGATGGGTAATAACTGCTTAACAGGTACAGGGCTTCTATTTGGGTGTCAGAAATATTTTGTAACTAGATAGAGGTGATGGTTGCACAACATTATGCATGTAGTGCCACTGAAATGTACACTATAAAATGGTGAATTTTATGTTATTAAAAAAACCCTCATTTTAAAAAAATTGACAAAGTCATATTTCTGGCTTTGGTCCTGGGTTGCCACCTTGTGAGCTCTAGAAACCATGATTTTGTTCACTATTTCCTTCTTCTTGTATGCATAAGTTATTTTTTGCTTTCCACATTATAAACATGGCTGCAATGAACATCTTTATGCATGACATCTTTCCATATTTTGTGTTACTCCTTTAGGATAGATTCTTGAAGGCAGCATTCTCAGTGTAAAATATATGGATATGTTTATGGTTTTTAATACATATTGCAAAGTTATTCCCTAATAAAATTGGATTAATTTAGCCCCCCACAAACACTACATGAGAGGTCTTAATCACCTCATTCTCATCAGCATTCCCATGTTACTCTTTATAAATTGCTTGTATGGTACAGGACACTATGAGGCATCTCATAATTTTGCCTTTGATCTTGTAAAAGTCATTTCTCAATATTGGCTTCCTTTAGGAACTTCTTCTATATAAACATGAGATGCTCTGCTGCTTTTGGACTACCTGTTCTTCACTAACTCCATAAGTCACCCTCATCACATTTGCCCATGCTGTGCCAGCTGTTTAAAATGCCTCTCCTTCCCCCTCTCGGAGCTACAAATTCATCAAGGCTGAGACTGTCATATTTCTCTATAGCTTTCTGACTCTCTGGCATTGTATTGTTTCCACTTCTCTACTCCCAAAGCCATTTGTCCCTACCTCTTTCATAGGGCAGTGCATTGTATGGGTGTTTTTTTTTCTCTTACATGTCTATTTTGTTCTCTGGATCTTGAGATCCTTCAATACAGAACTAATACTTACAAAACTAAAAGCTGAACTGACCCTACTAGCATTGTCCCTGACCCACTCTTCCACTGGACTCATCTGTCTACCGATGTGTCCAGGACATCTCAACAGCATGGCAACATGGTCTGAATACTCAAGAGCCATTCACAGTGAAGGAAGAGTGGTATTATTTATGCTATCAGATGGCAAGGCCTTGTCAATGAGACATGATTATACTACATGTGATACAAGTGAAAAGGTAGGAGTTCCAAGTGGCAGAACTATGGTTGGTGTTCAAGAAATTGAAGTGGATTTCAAAGTGATTCTGGAAGCAAAAATGTCAACTGAGCTGCAAAGACATTGAATATAAGAGGTAGGTTAAAAAATGCATCACTAAGACATGTTCTCAATTCAAGGTTATGTGGAAAGTACATAGCTGGGTCCTCATTCAACAAGAATACCCCTCAAAAAGGCTGGAGGGATAGAAAGAAGCTTTGAGCATCATTGTATGGCATGCCAATTTAAAATGTATGGATTTTAATGGTTAGCACTTCTCATACATCATTTATATGATCAATAATTTCAGTATAAAGTTTCCTATGGCTGCTGTAACAAGTTACCCAAAGTTGGTGACCTAAAATCAGTATCCTTGTGCTGAAAAGAGTTGCCAGCAGAGCCAGCTCCCTATGGAAGTCTAGGGGAGAATCCTTCCTTGTCTCTTCCAGCTTCTGGTAGCTGCTGGCATTCTTTGGTTTGTGGTTGTATCATTCCAAACTCTGCACTGTTTTCTCATTGCCTTTTTCTCTTCTATCTGTGTGTCAAATTCCTCAATGTCTCTCACCTACAAGGATACATAAGATTATATTTAGAGCCCACCAGGATAATCTGAGATAATCCTCCCATCTCAAGATCCTTAACTAGGGTAACATTCACATGTTCCATGGGTAAAGACATGGATTTTGTTTGGTGGGGAGGGGAAGAGAGGGGATTATTCATTCTATTACAAATATATAAATGAAAATATTCTCAGTCAGTTTGCTGTAAAGCTCCAAGATAAGTAGTGCATTTATATTGTTTCTCTGCCTCTTTTTTATATTACAGACTTCCCAAAGGCCAGAATGTGACCTTCTGAGTCTCTTATCCAACCTGTGACTGCATCCTTGGTAGCAAGAAGAAAAAAATCCCAAAATCTTCAAATAGAGCTAAGTCCCAGTGACACAATTCTACTTGCTGTCTCTTTTGTAGACTCTTCCCTGCATTCTCAGAAGGAGCTTCAACCTCCACATCTGTAGAAAAATGGTTTTGGGTACAGCAGACTTTAATTCATTTAGCTGATATCCACTAATGTAGAGGCCAACACAAAAGCTCATCCATGAAAATTATCTCATGTCCTTTCATATCAAATCTGAAATCCTAATAAAGAGCAGAACATTCACAACTAATACTCCTGACATGGAAAGCCTGCCCACTACTTTGATTAGTCACTAAGTTCAAACAGTTAAATTATATCTCATGTCTTGTATTCCTTGAGGTCTAGCCAAAGACTAAAATCTAGTAGACAATGGAGGAGATGGTAGGGGATGAGACAAGAGAAGAAGGTGGAGGCCATTCCAGGTAGAAGCTGCTTATATGTATTGGTAAGGATGTTGTGCTTCATCTCAAGAACAACGAAACTCACTGAACGTTGGTTTGGAGAGAGGGTTAGGGAAAAGGGTGAGACAAGACCCTAACTGTATTTTCACATGGATTACTTTGGTTGCAGCGTGGAGTTTCAAATGAATGAAGCAAGAATGGTTGGTCAGGGGACTGCACTAATCCTGACACAAAATTATGTTGGCTTGAACTAAGGGGTGGCATTGGAGATGGAGAAGTAAAGACATCAGGAAATATATGAAGATAGAGACAAGAGGGCTTGGAGGATGTGGAGGGTGAGAAATAGGTTTCGTGGATGTTTTAAATTTCTGGTAGGAAAGGATGGAAGTGCCACCATGCTGAGTTAGAAAACACCGGAACAGGATGAGATTTTTGAGGAAAGATGACATTACCTAAACAGCAATAACAATAAGGCAAGTGGATATTCAGGCAGGGAGCAGACACACTACTGTGAGAAATCAGTACCTGGAAGAATACTCGAGTCCTGCAGATGGGTGAGATTTCCTAGGCACCGTGTTCTGTCTGGAAGGGACAGGCACCCTCAGATGATAAGGGACCAACAGTTAGAGAGGAAGAAAACCAGGAGATACAGTGCCATGGAAGCTAAAAGAAGACGAGATTTCAAGAAGTGCTGAATACTGTTGAGGTATCAAGTACAATTGCGACTGGAAACTGTCCACTGGATTTAATGCCATGAATTGAGGATCTCAGCAAAAATCATTTTTGTACAGTAAGCCAGACTAGGGTGGGAGGAAAGGGAGACAGCAAATTGAGACAATAGTTTTGGGGATTCACAGAATCCAGTAATGCATATAAAGCACTCAGCACAGTGTTAACACCTAGTGGCTGAACAATAAATGTTAATTTCCTTGCCTTCCTCATTTTAAACACCAATTGACTTTCCCTTTTGGATACTGACAGAGATGAATGCAAATGTTTCTTTTCATGGCTTTGCAAAAGTACCAATAAAAGTGATTTTCTATCACCAAGATACAGCCTGCTGATGTGAAATATACCCAGGCCTGCTTATTATTGTTGTTGTTCTCCAGGACATTGCCGATGTCAAATCATGTAAATCTATATTATCATAAAGGCAATTAATTAATTGTATATCTAAAAGTGCTTAATTTTTATGCCTCTGCTAGACTTCTTGGACATATTTCTGAACCACATGCAACCACGCTTAGCTCAGACAATAATATTCCCAATGTTTATCCATTATTGTACTCAAGATTCATGTTATCTATTTTACTTATGATAAAATCCACATGAGATTTCACTTAGAAAAAATAAGGGCTTTTGCTATTCACACATAACCAGATGCAGAGAAGCTTTTGAGACCCCAGAGCCAAGGCCTCCAAATTGTTGGGGTGATCCATTCATTTATGCCATCTATAACTGCGTATTAGGAACCAGATGAGAACCTTATGGGACAAAATAACTTTAAAAACAGCAACATTAAGCCTGTCTTGGAATATAAAATGTAAAAAGATTACTTGGCCTCCATAAGTTGCAGATAACAGAAGAGAAATAACAAAGGAAATATCCTGCAGACTGACACAGAGCAGGAGCTCTCCATAAGGAGATTTTTAATAACTTCTGTCTCCAAAACAGCCCACCCCACCTTTATCCTATCTGAATGCCAGAAATTGTTCATTGCCCACACATTTAAGAGTTGGAATCTCTTTTTCACATATTGAGTTATAATTCCCAAATGATAGCTTCACTGACCTATTACTACTTGAAGTGATACATGCTAAAATAATCAAATATATAAAAGGCAGAAAAAGCTTGAGTCTCACTGGGGTGAAGAGCTCCTTGCAGATGGCTGGACCTCAAGTGTCTTGATTTCCCCACTCTCTATAGTAGGGTATTAATAACTGATAACAGTGGTTGAATGTTTACCTATGCATCAAGAAGTGTTCTTGAGATTTATATGCACCACCTATGTAATTCTCATCCAATCTTAGGAGTATGAGGTAAACATTATTCATCCCCACTGTGCAAATGAGGAAAAAGAGGTTCAGAGAGATGAAGTTCCATGGTAATAATTTGAAGAGCTAGAATCCAAACTCATGGAATCTGACCACAGAGATTAAGCACATTACAAATGTTTGTGGGTGGATATATGGAAGGAAGTAGCGTATAAGTGGAGATATGGTTGAATAAATGCATGGATGGAGAGACAGCAGGATGGAGACCAACAGAGGAATGAATGGGTGGATGGAGAGTTGGATACATGGATATTCATCTGTCTTAGGTTCAGTAAAAAACACAAACTTCCAAGGGCACTCGTGTGGTGTTATGATATATAATTGGTTTTCATCCATGGTTCCTGGCTCCTAACTCCCATAGTCCTTGTTATAATATTGGGGCACTTTGGGCCTCAGGAAACAGAATCTCTCTCTGACCTTCTTCATGTCCTTCTTTCACCTGCCCAGTGCCAGACTCTAATCTGATTGTGGATCAGAAGACCCTAATCCAGAGAGATTCCTGCCCCATACCTAGAGGAAGGAATGCTAAACAGAGAGGCCAAGAAAAGTTTGAATGGACAAGCCTTGCTGGTGTAGATTATGCGCTTTTTGTCCAATCACATTTCCACAGGGTTGTCAATCATGCCTAAGTAATGAAGCCTCCATAGAAAACCCAAGAGAACTGTGTTCAGGGAGCTTCCAGACAGCTGATCATGTGAAGATTTCTGGAGGGTGGCGGTGCATCCAGGGAGGGCATGGAAGCTCCACACCCCTTCCCCTAGACCTCACCTTACCCATCTCTTCATCTATATCCTTTGTAATATCCATATAATAAACTGTAAATGTGTTTCCTGGAGTTCTGTGAGCTATTCTAGCAAATCAATCGAACTCAAAGAGGGGGTCATGGGAACCCCAACTGGCAACTGCTTGGTCAGAAGTTCTAGAGGTCTGAACTTGAGACTAGTGTCTGACGGGAGGCAGTTTGAGGACTGAGCCCCCAACCTATGGGACCTGACACTATCTCCAGGTAGATGGTGTCAGAATTGATTTGGGGGACACCCAGCTGGTGTCTGCTGCCTGGTGTACAGTGAAAAACCCCCATACCTTTGGTCACAGATGTCTTCTTCTGTGTTAATGATTGTTGTGCTATCAGAGCAGAGGAAAAACACTTTAAGAGAGTTTTTCCCTACACGACTAGAAATGATGATTGAAAGCTGACTCTTGTTCTTTAATCCAGTTTCACGTGAGAATGAGTCATCAGTCCCTGCATGCTATGCTTCTTATTATGTGATGCTGTCAGACTATAGGGGAGGCAGGTCTTCAGACTGAGATGCAGGGGATGAGAGGGAAGGTGTTGGGTGGGGAGGCGTGTCATATCTCTTTGGGTCTTGATTACTGAAGAGTCAGGCATGACACGTGAAATAGTGTCCAGAAACTGGGTGATAAGTTGTTATCTGGAAATGGCAGCAAGCAAATCACACAGGCAAGGGTCTTGCTCATGTATCTTGGGATTGAGCCAGGGAGTCCTGAAAAGGACTAGAACTCTCCTCCATCAACCATGTTACTGAAATTAGATTCCTCATAGGTTCTGAGATTACTCCTCTAATGTTCTCTCTCAGGGTTCACTAAGGGTTTTTTGTGTGTGTGTGGTTTTTTTTTTTTTTTTTTGAGACGGAGTCTCGCTTTGTCACCCAGGCTGGAGTGCAGTGGCGTGATCTCAGCTCACTGCAACCTCCGCCTCCCGGGTTCACGCCATTCTCCTGCTTCAGCCTCCCAAGTAGCTGGGACCACAGGTGCCCACAACCACACCCGGCTAATTTTTTTGTATTTTTAGTAGAGACAGGGTTTCACCGTGTTAGCCAGGATGGTCTCCATCTCCTGACCTCGTGATCCACCGGCCTCGGCCTCCCAAAGTGCTGGGATTACAGGCGTGAGCCAC
Source organism: Homo sapiens (assembly GCF_000001405.40). Taxonomy (NCBI): domain Eukaryota; kingdom Metazoa; phylum Chordata; class Mammalia; order Primates; family Hominidae; genus Homo; species Homo sapiens. Next base: position 132,294,290 of record NC_000008.11, read on the forward strand.
CGTACCTGGCCCACTAAGGTATTTTTGAAAGACAGTGTTTACCCCAGTGATGATGGAGTGAATCAGAGGCAGGGGACTGGGGGTGTTGCAGACATTGTTATGAGGAGCAGGGCTTCCCCTGGGACCACCTTAAGGAGAAAAGGAGAATCAAAGAGAGAAAGAAAATCTGAGGCTAGAGTTAGGAAGAACAGAATCAAGGCTTCTTGGTCCTATAGGTCCTCTTCAGTGGGAAATTCTCATTCTGGGGCTAAACCTGGGAGATTTTGAGATTTACTTTCTTTACCCAGGGACACAACTTTCATAAGTTCTTGTGGAACGTTTGGTGAGATACTCTGTATTTTGTAAGCTGCAGATGTGTAGACTTAAGGCTGACCACATTGCATCAAGCTGGTCACACTGGCAGCTGCTCACCCAGAGTGATGCCCACCCCATAGGAGTACAGATCAGATAAACTGCTAGCAAAAGGAATACTTATCATGTTGAGCAACTATCCTAGGTCAAGTATTTTACAGAGATCCTCTCTACTACTTAAAGTTATTGGGCATTTGGCATATGCAGAACATTGAAACTGGACCCCTCCCTTACACCTTATACAAAAATTAACTCAAGATGGATTAAAGTCTTAAGTGTAAAACCCAAAACTACAAAAACCCTAGAAGAAAATCTAGGCAATACAATTCAGGACATAGGCACAGGCAAAGGTTTCATGACGAAAACATCAAAAGTGCAACAAAGGCAAAAATTGACACATGGGATCTAAACTAAAGAGCTTCTGCACAGCAAAAGAAACTATCATCAGAGTGAACAGACAGCCTACTGTATAGGAGACAATTTTTGCAATCTGTCCATCTGACAAAGGTCTAATATACAGAATCTACAAGGAACTTAAACAAATTTACAAGAAAATAAAACAACCCCATTAAAAAGTGGGCAAAGGACATAAACAGACACTTCTCAAAAGAAGACATTTATGTGGCCAAGAAACATGAAAAAATGCTCAACATCACTGATAATTAGAGAAATGCAAATCAAACCACAATGAGATAACATATCACACCAGTCAGAATGGTGATGATTAAAAAGTCAAGAAACAACAGATGCTGGCAAGGCTGTGGAGAAATAGAAATGCTTTTACACTGTTGGTGGGAAAGTTAATTAGTTCAACCAGTGTGGAAGACCATGTGGCAATTCCTCAAAGACCTAGAAGCAGAAATACCATTTGACCCAGCAATCCCATTACCGGGCGTATACCCAAAGGAATATAAATCATTCTATTATAAAGATACATGCATGTGTATGTTCATTGCAGCACTATTCACAATAGCAAAGACATGGAATAAGCCCAAATGCCCAGCAATGACAGATTGGATAAAGAAAATGTGGTACATATACACCATGGAATATGATGCAGCCATGAAAAGGAACAAGATCATGCCCTTTGCAGGGACATAGATGGAGCTGGAAGCCATTATCCTTAGCAAACTAACACAGGAACAGAAAACCAAACACTGCATGTTCTCACTTATAAGTGGGAGCTGAACAGTGAGAACACATGGACACAGGGAGGGGAACAACATGCATCGGGGCCTGTTGTGGGGGTGGGAAGGGAGAGCATCAGGATAAATAGCTAATGCACACGGGGCTTAATACCTAGGTGATGGGTTGGTAGGTGCAGCAAACCACCATGGCACACATTTACCTATGTAACAAACTTACATGTTGTGCACATGAATCCCAGAACATAAAATTAAATTTAAAAAATAATAAAGTTATTGGGCACTTGGAATGTGGCTAGTCATCTGAGGAAGTGAATTTTAAATTTTATTTGCCTACTTTAATATGTTCCAATTTGAATGCCACATGTGGCCATTGCGTACCATATTGGGCAGTGCAGAACAGAACACTTCCATCATCACAGAAAATTCTCTTGGACAGTGCTGCCTTAGGGCGGCTTTTCAGCGAGGTCCTGTAAACCCTGTTTTGACTGAAGAAGAAACTAAAGCTGAGATGTCAAATCATTTGCCCAGCATGACAAAAAGTGAGGGTAGCAAAGCCAGGATTTGAGCTTTGGTCTTTCTGACTCCAAAGCCTCTTTTTATTTTATTTTATTATTATTATACTTTAACTTTTAGGGTACATGTGCACAATGTGCAGGTTTGTTACATATGTATACATGTGCCATGTTGGTGTGCTGCACCCATTAACTCGTCTTTAGCGTTAGGTATATCTCCTAATGCTATCCCTCCCCACTCCCCCCACCCCACAACAGTCCCCAGAGTGTGATGTTCCCCTTCCTGTGTCCATGTGTTCCCATTGTTCAATTCCCACCTATGAGTGAGAATATGCGGTGTTTGGTTTTTTGTCCTTGTGATAGTTTGCTGAGAATGATGGTTTCCAGTTTCATCCATGTCCCTAAAAAGGACATGAACTCTTCATTTTTCATGGCTGCATAGTATTCCATGGTGTATATGTGCCACATTTTCTTAATCCAGTCTATCATTGTTGGACATTTGGGTTGGTTCCAAGTCTTTGCTATTGTGAATAGTGCCGCAATAAACATACGTGTGCATGTGTCTTTATAGCAGCATGATTTATAATCCTTTGGGTATATACCCAGTAATGGGATGGCTGGGTCAAATGGTATTTCTAGTTCTAGATCACTGAGGAATCGCCACACTGACTTCCACAATGGTTGAACTAGTTTACAGTCCCACCAACAGTGTAAAAGTGTTCCTATTTCTCCACATCCTCTCCAGCATCTGTTGTTTCCTGACTTTTTAATGATCACCATTCTAACTGGTGTGAGATGGTATCTCATTGTGGTTTTGATTTGCATTTCTCTGATGGCCAGTGATGATGAGCATTTTTTGTGTCTGTTTTTTGGCTGCATAAATGTCTTCTTTTGAGAAGTGTCTGTTCATATCCTTCACCCACTTTTTGATGGGGTTGTTTGTTTTTTTCTTGTAAATTTGTTTGAGTTCATTGTAGATTCTGGATATTAGCCCTTTGTCAGATGAGTAGGTTGCGAAAATTTTCTCCCATTTTGTAGGTTGCCTGTTCACTCTGATGGTAGTTTCTTTTGCTGTGCAGAAGCTCTTTAGTTTAATTAGATCCCATTTGTCAATTTTGGAAAAGTCTCTTTTTATTTCATGACCTATTCTATTTAAAACTCTGATTTCATGAACAGTGTGCTAATCAATAATTTTCCCTGTTCAAGAAGGTTTAATGTGGCTTTTCCTAGAGCCTTTCCCACTACAGCACAAATAAAAACTAACCCTATGTCATAAATGTACTCTAAATTATTTTAAATGTATATATAAATATGAATGAATCAATAATGGTAGTGCAGTTTACATTACAATAAGACATAACCCTCTCTGTGGCTGAATGTGATGAAGGGTCATTTCTGCCTCGTTCACATGACAAGTCCACTGTGGATCTGAGCAGGGCTCTGCTGGAGAAGGCTACATGGCCAACTCTCCTTTCGCAGCCACCCAGACTCCCCGGCTCCTAAAGCTGCTAACCGGAACTCATGTATCAGTTCCATTCCCATTCATTAGTCAAAGCAAGTCACAGTGCATCTTAAAGGAGAGGAAATAAGTGGTGAAAGCACTGATATCTTCTACAAGCAACTCATTATCTTGGCATGTGTCAGTTTCTTTTAAAAGTGTGTTTTAAATTACATGAAATCTTTCTTTGGTTGTTCAGATTCTAAAATCACAAATATTGATGCTTTTGTTCCCTTAAGAGGCTTTGTCCGGCACCCAGACTGCAGAGTGTTCTGGCCTTTGTGTTAGAGAAGAGGAGGATGAAACAGTATGTTTCCTGTCTACAGGGGGATGCTGGCTAGTAGAGGACACATGAAGAAATCAACCATCCCAGTTTGCCTGGGACTCAGAAGTTTCCCAGAACATGAGACTCTTGAGTGTTAAAAGTAGAATTCCTGGGCAAACTCCCTCTGCATTCATGGGGTATGAGATTTGATGAACATCCTACACAAATAAACAGACCACTATACTCCTGTTTGAGAGAATTATGATGGGGAGCAAGAGATGTTTTGAAAACACAGAGACGGGCCATCTAACTGGAGAAGGTAGGGTGGGGGTCCTTAATCAGGGTGTGGGGATGGAGGTTGCTGGAGGGGAAGTATGTACCAGGCAAAAGGAACTTCACACACAAATGTGTGGTGGCCAGAGAGAATGTGCCTCATTCAGAGAACTGTGAATGCTTAATTATGCCTGGTGTCTAGAATTTAACATGAAGATGGGGTGGGGGAGCCTTAATATACCGATTTTAGAATGTCTGTAAGATAAGTTTATGATTTACACATGTACTCGGCCGGGCACAGTGGCTCATGCCTGCAATCCCAGCACTTTGGGAGGCCAAGGCAGGCGATCACCTGAGGTCAGGAGTTTGAGACCAGCCTGGCCAACATGGTGAAAACCCATCTCTACTAAAAAAGTACAAAAATTTGCTGGGCATGGTGGCGGGCACCTGTAATCCCAGCTACTCGGAAGGCTGAGGCAGAGAATCCTTTGAACTCAGGAGGTGGAGGTTGCAGTGAGCCGAGATGGCACCATTGCACTCCAGTCTGGGCGACAAGAGTGAAACCCCATCTCAGAAACAAACAAAAAGAATTACTCACTTAAAAAAAATTACTCACTTTTAATTTAATTAAAATTATTTTCAGGTGGAAATACATTCATATGACACAGAGTTTAACAGGGTCTAGAGTAGTCTGTCTCTTATTCTGCTATTTAGATAACTGTTCCTATTCCCATAGGCAACCAAGGTTTTTAGTTTCTTTTTTTTTTCTTGGTTTATAAGTAAATGCATTTTTAAAAATTTTTAATTTTTGTGAGCACATAGTACATATATATATATATATATATATGGTACATGAGAAGATATTTTGATATGGGCATGCAATGATGCAATGCATAATAGTGGTGGTTTTTAGTTTCTTACATATTCTTCCAGACATACTCTGAGCAGATACAAGAAAATATGCACATTTTCCCCCCAAAAATTGTTTCCCACACTAATGCTACTGGATTACACACTCTCCTACATTTGGCTTTCTTCACTTAAAAACCTAATGTGGAGGTGTTTTCAGAGCATTTGTATTCATATGAAAGCTGGATCCTTGAGCAATTCTGACAAACATCCAGGGTTGAGACCCACGGGGGATGTTTGCTATTTCATCTGTGTATCCCCTGTGCCTGGCAACATTCATGGCAAATTCTGATGGACCAGACCAAGGGAATAAATGAACAAATAAATAAAGTGAGAGAAGGGAAAATGAATTTCAAAAAGTGATAAGAATGCAAAAGGGGGAAGGAAGGACCCGATTAATATTTAATCCTTTGGAGGCATCTTGCCCCAAATTAAATGACATGCCCTGGTTTTGGAAAATATCACACAATTAGGGAGGTGCCAGTCTGCTTCAGCCTGTAGATCCCATTGCCTCTTCCATAATCAGATATGCAACTTTTCTGAGGGCGGTATTTTCCTGCCCTTCTGAAAAATGAAGCAATTTAAATTCTGTTTATAAGGTCACAGACTTGCGCTCAATGCCAGGCAATGACAGAAATGGTTTCCTGCTGGCAGAAACCAAGTTGGCTTCTAAAGAGGCCATGTGCTCCTCTTCTCTGCTCTCTTAGAACTCCCTGGACATCTTTCTATTTCAGCACCTCTGGTGGGAGATTGACAGTATCTATTTATGTGTCTGATTCCCTGACTAGAGGAAGTCCCTGACTGAGGACAAGGATTAGGTCTCATTCATCTTTGTCTCCAATAACATGCCTGCAACACAGCAAACACAGTCAATAAACTGAGGCCTACTGCAATGACAGGTGAATTGAAAGAATGTGCCTATTAAGGGAAAGAAAGGACAAGACAAGATAAGAATGGACCATGGATCATTCTGTCATGGGAGGTGACACCATTTTTTTTTGCATTTTCCCTCCTGCAAGGGAAAGCCCTTTGCTGCCGTTTCATGTGCAGAATGTTGGAAGTGTTGGCCTCCCATATGACAGGAGTGCCCTGCACAGGGACAAGAATACATGAACTTGTTTCATGGTTTCTATTTTTATTCCTGGTAGGAAGGGCTATTTCTGTTTCAACTCTGAGGGGCTGCTGAAGGAAGGTACATTGCAGTTTTCGTTGGCTGTCAGAATGTGGCACATTTTAAAAACCAGAACCTGCTGAGAGGTACCCCAAAAACCTTTCAGGGTTTTGAGATGGCAGCGGGAAGTCCAGAACTGTGGGACACATCAGTGTGTGGCACCAGGACTCTGTACCCATAGCATCAGAAGGAGGGTGTGTCTCATGCCCTAGCAGGTGAGGAATAGCTATGTTTTCCAAAACTACCTGGGCAAGTTAGCCCCACGCAACATGCACTAAAACAGAACCTTTGGGTTTTAACCCAATAAAAGATGTTTTAAACTGTATCTCAGGTCCTGGCCATATAAAGGGACTCCACCTGCCCAACTCTGGCAGGTTAATTCTTTTCCATGACCCCTTGTGGGCTCATCTGTAGAGTATCAGTACCACCGATCACTGGGCATGATGTGAGAATTAGGGCAGATGATGAATGAGCAGTTTGTCATGCCGAAAGCAATTACGAGGGTTCACTAGCATCAAGATGGTGATAATTATTATTATTAACTTGATGCCATAACAAGGGATTAAGCCAGCCAATGAAGAAAGAGAATATCATCCGTTTAGTCATTTTCCAGGTGCCTTCTGGCTGGCTAGTTTCCACTGAATCCCAAGCCCATCACCCACTCTTTAAGCCTACCCCACGATTCATCACTCTTCCCTTGCCTTAGGCCTTTTATTTTCTGTTCTGTGGCAGGTAAACACAGATTTCCTTCTCAAGAATCAGCGAATGTGCTCTATTTCTGATGCATAAACTCTGAATAACTTCTCCACACTTCCAGATTCTTCACACCTCGCTCTGGCTCACCCATCCGACTGTACGCCCATCTCATCATATCCCACTCCTATCAGGTCAGCACTCACCTGTTGGCTATGAAATGAACCCTGTCCACTCCAGCCACCATGGCCACCCTCCCTGCCTGTCATACCTTCTTTATTATTTACCTAGACACCCACCTGGTCAATAAAGTCCTACTCAATCCCATTTCCTTATGGAGTCTTTCCTGACTGTTGCAGTCCTTACTGTGCACTTTACTCTGAAATCGTAAATAATAACAGGTCCATAATTAAACAACTAATTAAAGAAGCATTTACTGACCATCTACTAAGTGGCAACAAGGGTGAAGTGAGAATGATGGTGACTAAATGGGAATACTGAACCAAGGTCTTGCTGGGTGATTGATGGGATCAGGAAGGTAAGGAAGATGAAGGAACCTAAGATGATCCCCCAGATTCTGCCCTGAGAATTGGATGGGGTGCTGCCACTCACTGAGATGGGGATACAGAAATGGGATCAGACTGGTGGGATGGGGATGCGAGACAGTTGCAAGCAGGGCACATTGAGACTGAGACTGCTGTGATGCACTTGGAGAGAGGTGTCCAACAGAAAGTTGGCTCTGTGAATTTTGTAGTCCTGGAGCTCAAGAGCTCTCTGTCTAATGAAGGAAGCCCACAAATAAGCCCAGAAATTATAATAGCAAGCAGTAAATACTACAGACAAAGTGGAAACAACCAAAGGAGACCAAAGGAAGGACAAATGCCTGGGGATATTGGGAAGCTTCTAAAGGAAGTGGCACTCGAGTGGGGCTGGAAGACCAGTCCAGGTTTAACATGTGAATGGGTAGAAAGAGCACACCCAGATGAAGCAACAGCATGTGCAAATATACCAAGTGGGGACGAGGATGGGCTAGTCCACAAGTGGCAAGTGGGTCACAGTGGCTGAAGAGTAGAGAACGTGAAGGAATCCATGGCAATGAAGCTGGAGCAGATGAAAGACCTGCCAGTAATGACCTCTGGACCATATCTGACACAAAGTAGTTTAAGACACTAGATATTTTACACTCGAATCCAGATTTCCCTCTTCTACTGAAAGAAAAAGGAGGGCCAGAGCTTTCATTTTCATGGTGACAATGGTCAGGCAGAGCAGTGGCTACTGCCATCGAACAGTCAGGTCTTTCTTGTTGGCCACAACTCTCAAAACAACACTTTACTCTTGATATGATCCACCTCGCCCCTGTTGGCATTTGCAGTTTGAGCCACTGCTGGAACTGGAAGACAATGCCAAGGAATCTGGACTTATTTCCAAGGGCAACACAGGCCTGCTGAGGGCAAGGATGGTCCGGCTGGACAACATAATGAAGACATGTGGATAAGGTCATTTCTTTTGAGTTCCTTCTCCTGAAAGGGTTGACCCCAAACTAGGCCTGAATAGAGGCCATCAGAATGTTCTCTGGTCTTGAAAAGCAGTTTCCTGGCACTCGATTTTTTTCTCTCTCCTGCCCTGTTAACAATGCTGTATCCTAGATGTTGAGTCATAATGGCTCTACCTAATTTTACTAGGAAATCCACCCATCCCAAGACCTCTCAGCATGGTGGTCCTTTGGCCCACAGGTGATTTGGATGTCTAGAGATGTATGTGTCTGTCCAGGAGGCAGCTGGCTGTTTTATAAGCTGCTCAGGAGAACCTATTGAATTGTATCACAATCTTCAGGCACTTCTGATCCACCACCCTCCTGGGGAGCATGCTGGGAAATGCATGACTGCTGAGGGAAGAAAGACTCAAGTCAAAGGGTAGTAGGCTTAAAATACTCCCAGCCAGAGCTATTGATCATGCAAGAACAGGAAAGGGAAGGAGCCCAAGAGGGCAGCAGGCTGGCCCAAATTTTCTCTCAGCAGAGATCTTGCTGATCTATAGAATTTAAACCTATAAAGGCAATGAAGGAGATTGGCACCAACAGGCCCATGCTACAGCATTACTATTTAGGTGCTTATGGAACCCATTAAAACGATGATAAAGCACTCATTTGCAAATCTTTTTCTTTGTACCTACTATGTGTCTCCCACAGTGACTCAGTTCCTGTCCTCAAAGACCTCACGGTCTATTTAAAAATGTATACAACTAAATGAATCACTACAACACAATGTGTAAAGTGCATCCATTACATATTTACCAAATGTTACGACATTCACAACTATGGTTGGGTATTATGGAGGCTTCATGGAGAAAGGGAGAGTTTGGCCGAATTTTGAAGGATGAGTAGGAATTTGGCCAAGAGGCTGAGAAGAAGGATGTCTAGGCAGAGGGAGCACTTGTGATCAGATAAAGAAAATGTGATATATATATATATGGTGTGTGTGTATATATATATGGTGTGTATATATATATATATATATATATATGGTGTATATATATATATATATTTATGGTGTGTGTGTATATATATATACACACACACAGCCACACCACACACACACATATATATACACCACATATATGTACATGCCACACATATGTGTATATATGTATATATCAGCCTCCCATAAAATATTGCATAAAATATTACATGTGTGTATAGATATACACACATATATACATATGTACACACAGAAAATATTATATGTGTATATATACACACATATATATACACATATAATATTTTACATATTATATGTAACATTCTTTTTATGTCTGAGTAATATGCAGCCATAAACACACACACCATAAAATATTACTCAGCCATAAAAAGAATGAAATCCTGCCTTTTGCAGCAACATGGATGGAACTGGAGGCCATTATCTTAAGTGAAATAACTTAAAAACAGAAAGTCAAATACTGCATATTCTCTCTTGTAAATGGGAAATAAACCTGTACACATGGACACAGAGAATGGAATAATAGACAGTGGAGACTCTGAAAGGTGGGAGGGTGGAAGGGAGGTGAAGAATGAGAAATCACCTATTGGGTACGATGTACACTATTGGGGTGATGGTTACATAAAAGTCTAGAATTCACCACTATGTAATACATCCATGTAATGAAACTGTACTTGTACCCCCTAAATCTACAGAAATGTTTAAAAATGCCATAAAATAAAATGTGGTATAGCCTTAAAAAAATGAAGCTGCACACGTTTGGGGCCAGTGAGAACTGGGTCCTTGTTCTGGCTCCACCAATAATAACCATTGTAATTGGTGTCCATGGTCATCTTAACTTCTCCAGGGCTCAGTTTTCTCATGTCTGAAATGCAGATAGTAAGAGCAGCCCTATAGAGTTATTTAGAGCAACACTGTCCAATACAGTAACCCTAACCACCTGTGGCTACTTAAGTATAAATTAATTAAAGTTAAGTAAAATTTTAAGGTCCAATTCCTTATTCACAATATTCATAGTACAAATGTTCAGTGGCCACATGTCCCAAGTAGGACCATATTGGACAGTGCAGCTTATAAAACATTTTCATCATTGCAGAAGTTTCCATTCGACAGTACTGATTTAGAGGATGAGACTTTTGGCTGTAAAAGTCACCTTGCATATTGTTTAGTATATAAACAATGTTTAATAGCATAATTATACCTATTATTAATTATAATAATTATAATTTGTAAAGGCCTAGAGTCATAATTCTCAAAGTGTGAAATGAATGAAGGAAAGAAGGAGACACAGATAACAAAGAATTAATATCGATTGGGAAATGAGGCAATTAGGGAGTAACTGAAGGAAAGGAGGAAGGAAGGGAGAAAGGCAGGCAGGCCAATAAGTGTGCTGGTTCTTCTGCATTTGTTCCCCAGAGCCATTTCTCTCTTTCCTGCTCTGCTCAGTGCCTGGGAGGCTGATCTCTGCAGACCACTTCATCTAAGCTCCCTGTCTGGCTGGCTTCTGATAGAGTTTGGTTAATGGAAGTGAGAAATAAAACAGTCACCAATTTGCAAAATAAAGTATGACCTGCAAAAGGGATAAACTGATCCAGCCATGACATGTAACACAAATTAGCTCAAAACATTCTTAAATACCAGCTCATTCAGTCCCACATGTTCCCAGCTAATACTACAAATTGATGTAACCATAACTCTGTATGAACTTTTATGCTCCACAGATAAGACCACTGACTGTCCTAGAAAATTGCTTCATTCATAAATTCTGACCAATCCCTGTCTAGACAATGCATATTAAAACCATCTTAGGACTAACCCCACAATCTTACAAGTACCTTCCCTAACTCCCCTTTTTTGAGACATTCTTGAGATTTTGTTGCAGGACTACTCTTCCTTGCTTATCATATTTAATAAATCCAGCTTAGTAAGATAACCAGTGTTCCCTGGTGGTGGTTGCTTCAACAGGAGGCAACCACAGGAGCCAGGAGAGCAGGAAGTAGGGTGAGGCATTGCTTTCCATGCCTCACTCTGTTTCAGTACTGACTCTGGCTGTAGCTGTACCTGCCCAACCCCCAACAGTAGCTTCTGCTTGGGGGCCCCTTCTTTATGAGCTCCAACAACATATCTTCCTCCTCTTGTCCCTTCAACTTGGGGGCAGTAATAGAGTTTGAAATTGCTAGCTTCTGCCGCTTCAATATTCCTCATTTGTTCCCTTATCCTTGCCCATTTTCTACACAACTTCCCCTCATTAAAGAGTTTTTTGGGGGGTTTTTTGTTTGTTTTTGTTTGTTTTGTTTTGTTTTGTTTTAATGTGTGGGCAAACTGAGTTTCTGAATGACAGATAGTGCAACTTATTATTTATTGTCAAGCAGTGTGCTAAGCTCCCTTCCCTGGGCATCTTCTTAGACACACGCATGACAGGCACTCAACCCCAATTTACAGATGCAGAAACCTAATTCATCAGGTTAGGCAACTCGCCCAAGGCCATGTCAATCCATGTTTAGTGTGGGAACATAGACCTTTCAAATTCAGATATCTGTGTGCTTTCTACTACTCTGGACTGAACTCAAACGTGGGCATTTGAAAAATGGTTCTCTCCTTCTCTCAAATGAGTGTTCTGTTAGCTCCTGGAGGTTGTTCTCAGTGTTTATGTTTTTGCTTTCTTCTCTCTCTCCCAATCCTGGTAACATTCTGACTTTGCATTAAGCTTTTACAACTTCCCCTCAGGAACTAACGTATCTTCTTTACTCCCTCTAAGAAAAACTTGGCCAAAAAATCATCTACTGTCCTTGCAGATCTCTGATCATCCATCTCTGGCTTCAGCCTTGGAAGATGCCAATGTCCTGAAACCCAGCATCAAAGAGACCAGATGATGACTTTTAAGGAGGGTGGGGTGCCACCCGGAAACCTCAAATGGATCTTCCTATCCAATTCACAAATCTGTTTCCCAGCAGTGTGTGCATAGGTGTAGCACAGCTAAATTGCATCAGTATATGCACATCTAAATTTATACAAAAGGGGACAACACTATAGGAAGCAGGCAAGCTAGCAAGAGTCAGTAAGAGTTGGAAGTTAGTGTAAAGGATAGCAAAATCTTCCTCGAAGGATGTAGCGGTAAACTTAGAAAGATCAATATTTAGGGGAGAATCTCTTGAGTAATAGTCCTTAATTATGCAAACACACAAATCATTTCTGGGGGAAAAGTAATGGAATATTCCCTAGCTTAACAAAGGCAGACTCTTGACAGCATTTTTTTATATCTTAAGTTGAGAGGTGGTGGAGGAATCCACATAAGGAGTTTTTGGGGATTCCAGATGGGAACAGACCAAGACAGAATACAAAGTGACTCAGAAGCTGTGGGAGTCTTGGCTAGTGACATTAATTTAATACCTGGGCCACAGAGTTTGGGGGTGAAAGCTGGTCCCATCATTACTTATAGCTGAGGCTGATTCAGCCACCTAGCTATGGAATTCTTTACCACAAATGACTGAGCATATAAAGCTGAAATCAAAGAGATGAAAACTTGGAGCCTGAGTTTGTGGTACCTTGGGAGCAAGTGTTAGAATCTGGGCCAAAAGTAGCTTCAGCGCAGGGGAAATAAGCAGCCACTGAACTGTGCAGGACCTGTGTTCCACAGTGACACCATGTGGCAGTGAGACAAGAGTGGACTAAGTACACTTTCCAATTTTCTTCAAAGGAGCATTAAAAGCAAGACTGGCTCCTGTTTTGCACTACATACGCCCCTTAGGTTTGTGGCTGATTCAAGAGGGAGCTAGTGGTCACCCCAGTGATAAGTCATAAACTGGAAAAGTAGAGGTAAAGTAAGCTACAACAACTACACTGAGAAACGTGGGGCTTAGTTCTTGGGTTCTAACTTGCTGTGTGTGACTTAGGCCGAATCACTTCATTTCTCTTGGCTTTATCATTTCATCTTTAAAAAGAGCCTTTCTAGATTCAAGACTTCCCAGAGGACCATGAGATCCATAACAATAGAGACAAAGTTTTGTTCACTGCAGTATCCCCAGAGCCCAGTGGACAGCACAAAGTACTCACTCATAAGTGTTTGTTTAATTGAATCAGATTAATGATCTCAGGCATGAACTATTCCCCAACAAGCTTAGCCTTGAGGCAAATGCAAAAGAAAAAACAGATTTGGGCCAGGATATTGGTCACTAAAGGAGTCACAGTAGTGCTGAGTTCATGGAAGATGGATGATAAATGTTCATCCCATTCATATCAGAAGATTAGAAAGGTTATATGAGTCGGGGAGTTGCACAGCTCCCCACACTTCCATAGGGTTCTCTTTATGTTCCCTGGTGACAGAAATGTGTCCACCAGCTTCTTTTCCTTTTGGACCAGCTGTCTCATCCTCTGGTCCCCGGAGGATGGCAACCCTTGCCTCCTGTCCCAGAAACAAGCACTAAAGCTTCCTGGGGCTTCTCTGAGAGTTTTCAGTGTCAGGCCCAGCAGGGAGCTGCAGGCAGGGAGAAAGAACAAAAAAGTAAATGATATCTCCTATCTCACGGGGCTCACGGCAGAAGCCTTCCCAGGTTTGAGGTTGAATAAAAACAGAGCTGGGCTATGAGGTTCCACCTGACTTTGAGTCTAGGTCCCTCTCCTCCTCCATGGGCTCCTGAGTCCACCGGCTTTCTTCTCTATCAGTAGCTCCAACTGCAACCCTGCCTTCCCGAAGCCTGAACAAGTGAGAAAGAGAGAGCAGATAAGGAAGCCAGGCAGAATCTACAGTGACAAGTACCATTAGAGAGGGATGGATGGAGGGCAGGGGGAGCCCAGAGAAGAAGATAACAAACTCAGCCTGGAGGGGAAAGGCTTGACAAGGGACCTGCATCTGGAGGCAATAGAAGCATTGAGGAGCCAAGAAGCCATATCAGTGGGAAGTACAACAGCAAAAAGAAAAGCCATGTTCTCAGAGTTATTTATCATGCTTCACATGAGGGGCACACGTAAGGGAAATCAGACACTGTGATTCAATGGCTGCATGCGTTTGTTTTTCTAATTATTATTATTACCATCAAGGGGAGCCATAATAACCACAAAGGGTAAGACTTGTCAAGCGCTGACACTGGGGCAGCCGCTGTGATTGACCTGGTTTATTTGCTCATGTAATTCTCACAATAACCCCATGACAGAAGAATGTTATCATCCCCACTTTAACAATGGAGATACTGAGGATCAGAGGGGTTAAGTAAACTGCTTGAGCTCCCACAGCTAGAAAGTGGCAGAACTAGAATTTCAGACCAAGTCTATCTGACTCCAGAGTCTAAATTGTTGCTATTTGTGAAGGTTAATATTGAGGGTCAGCTTGATTGGATTGAAGGATGAAAATTATTGTTCCTGGTTGTGTCTGTGAGGGTGTTGCCAAAGGAGATTAACATTTGAGTCAGTGGACTGGGAGAGACAGACCCACCCTCAATCTGGGTGGGCACCATCTAATCATTTGCTAGCTCCCCTAGAATAAAAGCAGGCAGAAGAGCATGAAAAGACTAGACTGGTTTAGACTTCTGACCTGTATCTTTCTCCCATGCCGGATGCTTCCTGCCCTTGAACATCAGACGCCAAGTTCTTCAGCTTTGGGACTTGGACTGGCTTTGTGTGAGTCAATACTCCTTAATATATACTCCTTAATAATGTCCCCTTTATATTTACCTCTATCTGATTAGTTCTGTCCCTCTAGAGAACCGTAATACACTATTATTATCTCCTGCTGCTCATTAATTCATTATTCCACAAATATTTATTAAGCACCTACTGCATGCCAGGGGCTATTCTCTGCCTTATTATGCTGATTTATTGACATTTGAGTTAGAGGCAAATTTCCAGGGTCACAGCTACTGTATGGAGCATTATGCACACTGGAAGATATATGTGAGCTAATGAATGGCTCAACTCCCTTTCAGGACCGGCACCCCAAACACCCTGGACTACATCCATGAGTGTGCCCCCAGAAAATGAGGCACCTCCCAGCATCGCTGACAAGCGAGCTGCAACACCAAATAGCAAGGACCACACACTAGAAATCCCCTCACCACATGTCAGCTAAAAGAATGAACTAGTAACTGCATGACCAGGATTTCACCAACACAGAACTGGGTTGAAGAAGCCGACAAAGACAGGACAAATCCCCATCCCTTTAATCACAAAATCTTACAAACTGGTCCCCTCTGTGAGAGTTTGAATCCCAGCTATCTCAGAGAGAACTCTGAGCTGTGAAATACTAAACTTGGAAGGGCCCTAAACATCTTTGAGACTTTCCCAAATGTCAGTTGGTCAGATACCCCGTCACCATCTTTGCTTTGTTTAGGCATGACTTGTACTATTAATTACTTTAGGTATTGTTTTAAATCAACTTTCTTTTCCACTTCAATCCAATTACAGCATAAGAGAAGGAGACTTTATATCATGACCTTTAATAGGAAAGCCAGACCTTCTCATATAAATAGGTTACCATAGGAATAGATCTACTGGCCTCAGAATGTGACTGAGTTCAAAGCAATTTAATATATCTCCGTGTACCCCATATTCAAGGGAGCACACTGACCAGCTGAGTGGGAATGAGCCCTGCTCAGATCCCTGGGTGGATGCTGGTTTACTGAGACTGGCCGTGCAGACCCAGGATGCTTTCACTGCTGTTTTACTGCTTGGTAGCTGCCTGTGTGAATAGCTGTGCAACCTCGGGTCCATCTCCATGTAACATAAAGATCCCCCAGCTCCCTTTTCCATTGCAGGTTTCTCTCTCTCTCTGAGCATGAATCTATTGACCACAGCTTCTTAAGACTCCTCTCACTCCAGTCTCCACGAGGAGTGCAGGAGTGCGGGGCAAAGCGCCCCACTGGGAGGACCTGGGCAAGGGTAACCTACAGGAGGAGAGGTGGGGTGGGCAGCAGAGGACGAGTTCCACTGCCTGGGCTGGTCTTCCACTTCTGTGACTGACTGAGATGATGCTGCCCTCCCTGTAAAATGAGCCGTCAAAGAGCACAGGTGCTTCTCAATGTGGGCCTGGGCACCACAGGTGGCACCACAGGTGACTGGACGCCTTCACAGCTGAACATCTTAAATATGTTTAAGTTAAACTCATCACTCCACCCCTAGAACATCTGGAATCCTAAAAGTGGTATGTGAGCTGAGTGGTCTCTGTTTTTAAAAGGGTTAAAAGAGAATTTGCCAAACTATATCCGAATAAATCTTGGAATGGATTCTTTGAAAAATTCTGCGTGGTTTATTAAAGTGATGGGTTTGAGGAAAAATACTGGTGACCACTGGGAAGCAGCAGATGTTCACTATAAACAAATGGTATCAGAGTCACCTTACGACTTTTTTTTTTCTTTTTTTTTTTTGAGATGGAGTCTAGCTCTGTCGCCAGGCTGGAGTTCAGTGGCACGATTTCGGCTCACTGCAACCTCTCCTGGGTTCAAGCGATTATCTTGTCACAGCCTCCCCAGTAGCTGGGATTACAGGCAAGTGCTGCCACACCCAGCTAATTTTCTATTAGAGACGGAGTTTTACCACGTTGGCCAGGATGGTCTCGATCTCCTGACCTCAGGATTCTCCCACCTCGCCTTATGACTATTTTTAACAAGGCAAGCCTGGTAGATTAAAGTGATTTGTTTATTCTGACAACGTTTATTGAACAGCTACAATAGGTCAGAGAGTTTGTTGGGTGCTCCACATAAGCCATTTCATATCATTTGCTTTGGTAGGGCATGACAGCAAAAAGATACCACCAAATCATTTAGAAACTGAGAAAAGAGATTGTCCCGTTTACTAATTTATTGTAAAAGTAAGCAAACAGAATTGGAGGACAGATGTGTAAACCGTCCTTAAGGAACAGAAAGGTCAAAATGATTTAGCAGCTCCCTGTCCTGTGTCCTTCCACTTCTCATTAAAATGCCACCAAGGACACACACAGGAAGAAGCCAAAATCTCCTAACTTACAAACACCCTGAAAACCAAAAGTGATAAGCCAATTATTACCAGAATTAGGGAGAAATTTTCATTGACTGTATTTGAAGAATTCACATATGTGAAGTGCTTAGAGCAGTGTCTGGCACACAGAAATGCCAATTGTTAATTATTATTAACTTAAAGTCAAAGGAACTGAACTGAGGAAAAAAATTGGTCACCTCTGAAGACACTGTCCTATGAAAGAGAGGCCCTACCAGGCAGAGAGGTGCTGAGCAGATGTAGTTGAGCTGAATAATGTCCCCCAAATTTGTCTATTCAGATCCTCAGAATGTGACCTTATTTGGAAAGAGGGTCTTTTTAGATGTAATTAGTTAAAGAGGAATTATACTGGAGTTGCGTGGGAACTAAATCCAGTGACTGATATCGTTATAAACAGAAGAGGAGAGGAGACACAGAAACTCAGAAGAAGTCCATGTGAAGATGGGGGCAGAGATGGAGTGATGCATCTACACACCAGGGAATGTCGAAAACTGCTGGCAGCCACCAGCAGCAAGGAAGAGTCAGGAGAGGACTTTTCCCAAGAGCCTTCAGAAGGAGCGTGGCTCTGCTGACACTTTGATTTCAGACTTCTTGTCTCCAGAGCTGTGAGAGAATACATTTCTGTTGTTTTAAGTCACTCAGGTTGTGGTGCTTTGTTATGGCAGACTCAGAAGAGGTATCTGTCCCTCTACTGCACTGGCAGAGGCCCAGGGTCTGCATTCACTGGTAAAATGTGCCATATTTCTGCTTTTTGGTGCTGCTTTATGAATCAGCAGATACTGTTTTCAGTCATTTCCAATCTTTTCAGCTCCAGGGAAAAGTCAAAACAGAGAACAGCTATGACAGACTATGTCTGGGGGATGCAGCTACCACAGGCAGAACCTTGCCTTGGGGGTGAAGACAGAAACAATATGGGGGGCTTCAAGTGCAGGGGGTTGAGGTCTTTCATGTGCTCCACCACTGGATCAATAGAATGGTGATATGGTTTGGCTCTGTGTCCACACTCAGATATTATCTAGAATTGTAATCCCCATAATTCCCATGTGTCAAGGGAGAGACCTGGTAGGAGGTGACTGGATCATGGGGGCGGTTTCCCCCATGTTGTTCTTGTGATAGTGAGTGAGTTCTCACAAGATCTGATGGTTTTGTAAATGTTTGACAGTTCCTCCTTCACACTCTCGCTCTCCCTCACCTGCTGCCATGTAAGACATGCCTGCTTCCCCTTCTGCCATGATTGTAAGTTTCCTGAGGTCTCTCCAGCCATGTGGAACTGTGAGTCAATTAAACTTCTTTTCTTTGTAAATTACCTAGACTCAGGCAGTTCTTTATAGCAGTGTGAGAATGGACTAATACAAATGGACTTCTTAGAAATGGAAGCTCCCACCACCATTCATCAAAACTGCACAAAACCATTGTCTGTGAGGCTCTGGGACCTGAGCTCAGCATTATGCACATCAACCTTCCAGCCGGACGTCTGAGAGAAAGCTGTGTCTATTAAGGTGGCAGTGAGCAAGGCCAACAGCAATCCACGTAACCCTGCCTGTTGGCAAATGCTGGCCTAGAAAGACACTCCCTGTTTACAGAAAAATTAAGGGGAGAATAAAGAATATTGTGGTATGAGTGGAACAGAACATTATCTTGAAGTCTTAAAGAGAATACCTATGAAAAGAATGTGCTACAGAAGCCTGAAGAATAGTTTAGAAAAACAGAAAAGGCTTTTGTTTTGCAACAGGATAGAGAACCTGGTCTCTGTGAAACAGAAATAAAGAGTTACATGAAGACAATTCACAAGGAAAGGAGAACTGGGTATGATAAAAGGCAAATATCTACATTTATAACATGAATGCAAATTTTTTTTTAATGTTACCATATGGATTGTGGAAAGATATTTTAGAAGACTAACCCACAATGACTTAAATAGAGATTTTTCAGGAATGCTACAAGGGTTTAGAGTCAGCAAATCACTTAATTATTTGTATCAATAAGACATTTGATCAAAGTCATTATCTATTCTTGAAAAAAATCTAGTAAACTGAAAATGGAAGGTTATTTTGCTGACATGAGGAAATATCTTACTTCTGAGCTATGAGATGGGATCCAATTAATGTTATTGACAAGATAAGTACCTATATTATCATTACAGTAATTCAATATTATCCTTTTGAAAAATATAGTCAGAATAATTAGAACCAGAAATAAGAGTTCTGGCTTTTGCAAAAGCAAAGAAAAATATATCATTGTTTTCAATAATATGACTGTCTACCTCCAGTAACACAGGTAACATTTACTGAATCGTCAACAGGCCCATGCACTGGTTAACACTTAATAAGTTCCCAGCCAAATCTCCACAGTAACCTTATGAGATAGGTGCTATGATTAAACACTTAATGAACAGATAAGGAAAGTTAAGAATAGAGAGGATAATTTTGCTCAGAATAATACAATAGTAAGCACAGAGTCAGGTAAGTTGGCTTTAAGATCCATTTCTGAATGGGTACTTCCAAGCAAATCAACTGAAAATTGAACAAAACAAACAGCAACTCAACCAAGCCAAACCAAGCATTATAACTAGTAAGACAAGGCTGTGAAGTGGCTGGATATAAAAATAAATACTCCCAATGCAAAACATTTCCTAAATGTAAACACTTAGGAAAGATAAAATTTTAAAAATTTCTATTTTTATTAACAAACCAACAACAACAATAACTCCAGCAACCATATGATGAGGGAATAAAAGTCCCGACATTAAGTCGTCAGGTCTAGAGGAAGACAGACAAAGGAAAACTATGCTTCAAGAAAAAAAGACTAACTGTGAAGATTTTGTGAATGTCCCAGTTAATTTTAGGCTTCATATAATTCCTAACAAAACCCAAAGATTTTGGTGAAGACATGGGGAAACTATTCTAAAATACAACTGAATATATCAAAAGTTCAGAAAAACAGAGTAATAAGAGGGGCCTTGCCCTAAAATAAAATGGCAGTTATTAAGTATCTTTAATAACAAAAACAATAAGGTCAAAAATGGTTATCTATGTAACAGGAATTATTGAGTAGAGGCAATAAAGTAGAATACATGGAAACAGGTCTTAAGAATATAAAATTTAGTTTATGGTGAAGGTAGCAGCACTAATGGGTGAAGGAATAAGAATGATCCAATAAATGTTTTCCAATATAATTAGCAAAAGTAGGCGTTTTCTCTAATCCAAATACCAAAAAACACTAAGAGTCCTAATAGAGGTTATGATGTTTGAGAGAAGTCTTAAAATATGAGCAGGATTATATCAGATGAACTAGCAAGGTAATATTCACAATAGGCGGGAAAAAATATGCAACGCATGCTGTGATAGAAAAACAACAACAACCATATTCAGACATTCGCAAGAAATTGGTTAGATGGTGTGACAGGGAATGTCAAGAAAGAAGACCATAAAGGTAAATTGGACCTAGTTATGAACTTTAGATTCTATCTCACAAGGGATGGAGAACCAACCGCTGAATAATTTTAAGCAGATGAGTAGCATGTTCTGCTTAGTGTTTTAGGAAGATCACTTAGCTGGCAATGTGGAAGAGAAGTGGGAGAAATGAGAAATTGAATATATTTAGGAGGCTGATATAATGGAATTATGCAACAGGGCAAGAAGAATGTGGGGAAAACGAGGGGAAGGAATGGAGTCGAGAGCTGCTTAGGTGGTAGAAAGAAGTAGACTAATGGCAAACTGGTAAAAGTGGAGTGTGAGAAAAAAGGTGAGGGTGAGGTGTGAGAAGAGGTCAGTGTGATAGTGAAGAGGAGGGGAAAGTCTTGATTTCTGCCTGGGGGGCCGTAGGGTCACTACTGGAGATGAATTCGGGGAGCAGAAGGGATAATGGTTAGGATATGTTTTATGGGTCACGTAGCTGAAGGAGCTGAGCTATGACCTTGGCTCGGGGAAGGGAGGAGTGTAAAAGCTCATACTCCCAGGGTTTGATTTGTCCAATGACTACTTTAAAAGAAAAGTTTAAGTGTTTTTTTTCCACCCCCTCCCCAACTTTCGGGTTGAGATATAGGGTCTCTTCTATAAGTAGTTTCTTCAAATTGAAAGATAACTTATTTCCCATGACATCCCAGTTTCTGTTTGTTTTTCCTTCTGCAAGGGCAATCCACATTCTTTATTTTCCTTGTGTCTGAAATATTTCTAATAAATTAGCTAACTTATCCCTGAAGTCATATCCTTCACTTTAATAAGAATAAAATGAGGCCACTCTATGTATTATTAAACTTCATTTCAGGCTGAAATTGAATTATAAACTAGCCATAGTTCCTCTCATGTATCACAAGTTATTGCCCTATGATTCATGCTTCTGAATGGTTTTCAATCTTTTAGAGGCAGTAGGGAAACTGTCTTAAAATAGCCTGAATATAGCGCAATGAATATTTTTGAGAAGTCTGTAATTTTGGAAACTTTTATAGAAACATTTTTACTAACAACGACCCTGGAAAAGGGAATCTGCGGTAGGCTTTTAACGTGTGAGTTACTGTTGTTTCCTTGCTTATTTTTTTTTCCTGAATTACTGGTATTTTAAAAGACTACATTTGTCCCCAGATAAGCCATCGTGATTAAATGGGACCCTTTTATCCAAACCCTAAGATCTCAGTGGTGCACTGTGGCATAAGCTCTCTTGGCATCATTCTGTCCTGAAGGATTACATTTACATGTTCAACTTGCCTCCTCTCCGCTGAAGAGTTCCTATCTTCTCCCCTTCTGAGTCACTCTGTCACAAATTACTCACCACCTCACAGAGTGAGGTGTTAGGAAGAATAAAGTCCCTAAAGCCAGATAGACCCGGTTAGAATACTGGCTCTGCCAATTCCTTAGTTCTGTGACTTGGGGCAAGATCCTGAGGTCCCCAAGCTTCTGATTTCTCATTAGTAAAGCAGGAAAAACAGGAGTTCCTTCAACACTGGCCACTGTGTGGCTCAGTTTGTGATCCTGGAGAAGTACTAGCACAGCATCTAGCCCAGAGTGATTGTGAAATTCTGCACACATCTGCACATATGCATGGGATCATTGAGCCCAAGATCAAGTGCTGCTGCAGACCAGCTGTGCAGATTTGGGCAAGACATCCACCCTCTCTGAAGAGATCACCAGTTGTTTTCCTCAGTTCAGTTCCTTTCACTTTAAGTTAATAATAATTAACAATTGGCAGTTCTACGAACCAGACACTGCTGTAAGCACTTCACATATGTGAATTCTTCAAATATAGTCAATGAAAATTTCTTCCTAATTCTGGCAATAATGGACTTATCACTTTTGGTTTTCAGCATGTTTATGAGTTAGGAAATTTTGGCTTTTTCTCATGTCGTTGGTGGTATTTTAATGAGAAGTAGAAGGACTCTGGACAGGGGCTGCTGGAAAGAAACTATGTTAATCTTTCTGTTCCTTAAGGACAATTTACACATCTGTCCTCCAATTCTGTTTGCTTACATTTACAATAAATTAGTAACCAGAGGACAATCTCTTTTTTCAGTTCCCAAATTATTTAGTGGTATCTTTTTGCTATCATGCCCTACCAAAGCAATTGATATGAAATGGTTTATGTGGAGCACCCAGCAAACTCTCTGACCTATTGTAACTGTTTAATAAAGGTTTATGGAATAAACAAATCACTTTAATCTACCAGGCTTGTTGTGTTAAAAATAGTTGTAAGGTGACTCTGACCCCATTTGTTTATAGTGAACCTCTACTACTCCCCAGTGGTCACCTATATTTTTCTTAAAACATGCCTAAAAACCATCAATTTTCATGCAGAATTTTTCAAGGAATCCATTCCAAGATTTATTTGGATATAGTTTTGCAAATTCACTTTTAACTCTTTTTAAAAACAAAGACCACTAGCTCACATACTACTTTTAGGATTCCAAATGTTCTAGTGGGTAGAGTGATGAGTTTGACTTAAACATATTTAAGATGTTCAGCTGTGAAGGCGTCCAGTCACCTGTGGTGCTACCTGTGGTGTCCAGTCCCACGTTGAGAAGCATCTGTGCTCTTTGATGGCTCATTTTACAGGGAGGGCAGCATCATCTCGGTCAGTCACAGAAGTGGAAGACCAGCCCAGGCAGTGGAACTCGTCCTCTGCTGCCCACCCCACCTCTCCTCTTGTAGGTCATCCTTCCCAGGTCCTCCCTCTGGTGACCCCCGTGAAGTGCTTTGCCCCGAACTCCTGCCCTCCTTGTGGAGATTGGAGTGAGAGGAGCTTTAAGGAGCCATGGTCAATAGATTCATGCTCAGAGAGAGTGATATCTGCAATGGAAAGGGGAGCTGGGGGAACTTTATATTAAATGGAGACGGGCCTGAGGTTGCACAGCTATTCACACAGATCAGTGGCTAATAAATACAATGGGCAGCTACCAAGCAGTAAAACAGCAGTGAAAGCATCCTGGGTCTGCACAGCCAGTCCCAGTAAAGCAGCATCCACCCAGGCATCTGAGCAGGGCTCATTCCCACTCAGCTGGTCAGTGTCCTCCCTTGAATATGGGGTACATGGAGATTTATTAAATTGCTTTGAACTCAGTCACATTCTGAGGCCAGTAGATCTATGGGTATGGTAACCTATTTATGAGGGAGTCTGGCTTTCCTATTAAAGGTCATGATATAAAGTCTCTTTTCCTTATGCTATAATTGGATTGAAGTGGAAAAGAAAATTGATTTAATACATAAAGTAATTAATAGTACAGGTTGTGCCTAAACAAAGCAAAGATGGTGATGGGGTATCTGACCAACTGACATTTGGGAAAGTCTCAAAGATGTCTAGGGCCCTTCCAAGTTTAGTATTTCGCAGCTCAGAGTTGTCTCTGAAACAGCTGGGATTCAAACTCTCACAGAGGGAATCTGTTTGTAAGACTTTGTGATTAAAGGGATGGGAATTTGTACTGTCTTTGTCAGCTTCTTCAGCCCAGCTCTGTGTTTGCAAAGGGCTTGTCATGCAGTTACTAGTTCATTCTTTTAGCTGTCATGTGGTGAGGGGATTTCTTGTGTGTAGTCCTTGCTATTTGGTGTTGCAGCTCGCTTGTCAGCGATGCTGGGAGGTGCCTCATTTTCTGGGGCACACTCATGGATGTAGTTTAGTGTGTTTGGGGTGCCGGTCCTGAAAAGGAGTTACCATCATACCAAAATGCTAAAAGGAAGGGAACGGATGTGATGTGTTCACTCACTGAACAATTTGCTGAGTGCCAACTCTATGGGAAACACTGCGTTAGGCACTATGGGAGCATCAGTCGACCCTGAATCCATTTTCCTCAGGAATTTTTACCTCTAAAGATGTCTAGATCCCATGACCTTGGAGAAGTACCTTGAATTGGCTAGAGACCAACTGGAATGTTAGTGCAGGAAGCTGCCCAAGGTTGGAGACTTAAAAAGTACTGAATTCTGAAGACTAAGGGGGAAGGTTTCAGGAAGACTGTGCTAGAGCAGGGTAGAACTATAACCCCAAAAATGTTGGCTCCAGAGAATTTAAAAAGTGGGATAAAGCAAGGCAATACAGAACTTGGGAAAAGTAAGTGAAAGGGCATGTCTGGGGGAAAGGAGGGCATGTTAAGGGAGTGATCTCATTTCTCCATGGATCCCAGTGTTAGGAAATATACAAACAACAATCACTTCTGTGCATCAAATTGCACAGATAAAATATTTTGGGGGCAAACTGAGGCTCAGAGAGATTGAGTAGCTTGTTTAAGCTCAGATCACTCATCTGACCCAATGGGAATTTGACCCTAGGTTTGTCTAATTTTTTGTATTCCCACAGTGATGCCTGTTTGTCAACAGGCTCACTTCACCCTCTATAGGACTCTCTGAAGGCAAGGTCTGTGGGCTTATTCTTCTTGTCTTCCAGCACTGGCAGGCTCAATACTTATTTGTTAAGTGAAGTGAAATAATAAATCAACACGCAGGCGCCTTTAGAACAAGCCTATGATCAGAACAGAGACCAAAGGCAGATTTCTCAATTATCTGAGACAGGCTGCCCAAGACTCTGCAGACCCCGAGGTTGGGCTGACCCTCGTCCGATGGCCCCGGGAATAAAAGAGTCATCGAGCTGCCACGACGAAGCAGCCGCACTGCCAGATGATGTGATGGATGATGGCCACAAGTCCCTCTGGACTCTTGCATGCTCCCCCGCCCATCTATAATCCTTGGATCACTGACGCAGCATGATGTAATGGGCTTTCCATCGCTCTAATAGTCTGGCCTGTCAGTGTGGATTTATCTCAACATGTACAGGGACATGGGGCCTGAAGCCTATTCAGGACTATATGATGGAAGAGCTTTAACAAAATGAAGTGTCTACTATGGCAGACCTCAATCTAACCTTCTCAGCTCCCCAGATGAACTCCCTCCCAATCCCCACAGCACCTATGGTGGCTAGCCTTGGACAAACTTAGCTCCCTTCTTGAACTACCTGGTGAATGAATGAATGAAATAAAAAATGAATAAATGCTAGATATGAATTCCAATAAACCCATAGATTTTATTTCCAATAAATAGATGGTACACACATCTGTCAATTTGGAAAGTAGTTCTTTGGGAAACTGGTATGTGGTTGGATTTGTACAGTTCCCAGTTTCTAGAGGATTTTCATGTATTTTAACCAGTAATTAAGACTGTGGGCTCTGGAGGCCAAATGTGAAGACTAGAATATCAGGCTTATAATTTACCAGATATGTGACCTTGCACAAGCTACTAAACTCTCAGACCTCAGTTTATCCATCTGTGAAATGGGGTTGACACAAGAAATAACAGAGATAACACAGATAAACAGCATGATCTTCACCTTCTTATCTGAATTCTGGCCTTCTATGGAGATGGTCTTTCTTGCCTGTTTTGCCGATGAAGCAACTGAAGCTCAGGGGGATTATGTTATTTGCCAAAGGTCACAGTGTCACCAAAACCCAGGACAGCTAGCTCACCACAGTCCATCAGCCAGAGCCACTTCCAATCTGAAATGTTCCCAAATTCTTTGTAATTCAGGTAATTCTTCCTGTCCCTATTACCCCATTCAATTCTGAGGGCTATAAACAGCTCCCACTCTACTCAGAGGAGAAGCTGGAACTTGATCTCCTGGAAGGAAATCTAATACATACTGACAGCCCCACTTGCTCAGAGCCAGAGCCCCTGAAATTACATTTAACACCAAGCAGAAAAGGGAAGGAAGGGCAGGCTTAACGAATCCAAGGCTGCTGTTATTTATAACAGAAGAGAAAACAAATGAATGCTGGTGCCTGATCATGTTTGCCACTTCTCAGCACCTCTGTCCAACCAGCAGAAGCCCTCTATTCACGTGCAACAGTGAGAACTTCCTTTTCACCCACAGTCCTTAGGGTTTTTCAGCTCTAGCTGCCCACTGGAATCACCTGGGTGCCTTTAAAAAACACATAAGTATGCAGAGGTACATGAAAACTACCCATAGAGAGTTCATATTCAAATGGTCTAAGACAGGACCTGGTCTTCATTGCTTTCTGAAAGCTCCCAGGTGATTTGAATGCACAGCCCAGGCTGAGACCACAGCTGTAGGTTGTGGTTATTGAGTAGTTGATTGGTTTGGAACATAGAGTCATCTCATGTTGTAGAAATTCCATTTCAGATGAATTCAGTCACAGAAACTCATGATGCCCAATCATAAGGTGTTGTTTCCCAAACCAATCCCTCACCCACTTCCAGTTCTTGCCAGGTTCTTAGTGCCCTACTAAAATCTGGATAAAGCCCTCCATTTTGCCTGCATAAAACCTAGCCTTGGCACAGCCATCTCACCCTGCTAAAACTAGGCCATGACACAACCATATTGTAGAAGCCCTTGGTGGATCACGAACACTATTTTCTCCTCCAACCTCCAACCTGACACGGAATACATACCTGAAACACGCTTCCTCCCTCTGCTTCCTCATTGAGGTCCTCCATGCCTGTGCCACCATGGCCCTCCTGCTTCTGTTTGCTCTCCCTTCCCACACAGACACACAAGGATGCTTCTCAGAAGTAGCCAAGCATACTGGGTCATTTCCTGGTTGGCTCTGAGTCATACGGGATAAAATGCAAACTTCTCAGCAAAGCACTTCACATTTTCACCTAGTTTCCTAACCACATTTTTCTGGGGTTACTCCATGTGATTTACACCCTAGCCAAACTCATCTATGTTGCATTTCCAGAACACACCATTCACTACCACACCCCTGTGCTTTGGCCCAGGCTGTTCTTTTCACCAAATATGCCCTCTACACCAGTGCACCTGGTGAAATCTGACTTGTTCTTTAAGATCTCTGACACCTCAGGGCCCACCTCCCCACCTGTACTGGCCGGGCCCTGGGCAGAGTCTCTTCCAGCATTACTGTTCACAGTCCCCCCTACTGCCCAATGGAGGAGGAGGTGCTATTTTTATGCCCACATGAGAAGTGTTTTTTTAAAGCACATTTTCTTGAAAATGACTTGGATGTGGCCTGAGGACAAGGTGTGGCAGAAGAAGGAGAGCGGAGAAAAGAAGTGAAAGAAGAGGGGCGGAGAGAGATAAGACGGTTAAGTCATATGACGGGTAGTGGGAGCAAGGGGCTAACAAAGAGACTTTAGCTTGCAATTCTTCGGTGGCATCTTCAACGAATAACAGAGAGGCCAATTAACCAGTTTGAATTGTTTGCTGTTTAGTGCTTGCTTTGCTTCTCTCATCTCTGCTAATTCCCTAAACTCTCAGCAAAGGTGACTCTATATGCAAATGCCCCAGAGAGTCATTTGGAAAGAAATCAATGCAAGGGGCTTGGAGGACATCCCTGCTGGCTCAGAGCAGAGTGATGAACAGGAACAGCAGGTGAGGCAGAACTGAGATGCAGAATTTACTGGGGCAGGAAACTCAGAGCCCAGTGACATGGAGAAGCCCATCTCCTCTCCACCCCACACCTCCTGAGCTGTAAGGACATGGGCAGAATTGAAAAATAGCCCTCTGGTATTCCCCGCATGTGTGCATATGTGGAATAGAGGGAGGTAGGTCCTACCTTTTATTTAAATCTCAAAGATAGAGTGACCCCAACAGGTACTTGGCTGATCTGCCAGAGCATGAGTACCACACAAGCCAGGCTTTCAGACAGGCGAAACTGGGCAGGCAGACGAATGTGCCTCTATACTCACTTGCTCAGCTCAAATATGTTTGCATGGGAATCTTGGGGCAGAAAGCTTTGTCCTCATCCCTCAGATGTCGGCTCAAGACTATACAGGCTTTTAAGCCTCCAAATAACCAAGGAAAAACAATCAAGTCATGAAGGCCTTTGAACACAGTTGGTGATGACCCATCTGAGAATAGAGAGCTCCAAAATAATTACATTTCCCCATGCAGCCCACAGAAAAGTGCCAAGTGCACCACTTGCAAGGTTACTGCGTTGGTGCTGAGTCGAGCAGTTTGGGCCCTTTGTTTCAGAGAGCAGTGCTTATGTCTGCAAGATACCAAGTACTCCCAGCAGTGATCCAGCTGGACGTGCTTCCCTGCCCATCACGGATCCGGGAAGCTTCCTCCACCCCAAGGAAGCAGGGAAGGCAGTTCACATTTTTAGGAGACCCTATGCCAAGCACTGAGGCCCGCACTCTTTATTAACAGCTCAGTGCCCTCTGTCTTCTTCCTCCAAGGCCAAATCTTGATTATGATCACTTAAAGATGAGCAGAGGATGAGGAAGAGATCTCCTGACCTCAGGATAGGGGACTTTAGCCCCATGGGTCCAATCCAAGGGGCTTGCAGGCCAGATCCAACCAATCCAGCCTGCCACCTGCATTTGCAAAGTTTTACTGGAAGACGGCCATGCCATTCATTTACACATTTTCTGTGGCTGAGTTCATGCCACAACGGCAGCACTGTGTAGCTGTGATACAGGTTATATGCGGCCCACAAAGCCCAAAATATTTACTTATTCTTTGGTCGCTTACAGAAAAAGTTTACTGACCTTTGACATGACTTGACATGTCCCAAATTGTATTGTTTTCCCCCAAAACCTGCTCCTAGCCTGTTTTAGAAAATGGCCGTAGGTGCTAAAACCACGATTGGGCTTATTGCTCGTTTCCATCCTCTCTCTGACTTCCCATTTCCATTAAATTAATGTGTCAACTGATTCTGTACCAAAATCTGTATTTCTACTATCTGTCACCTTTTTTCATAGCCCTGCTGTAGTGGAGTTGAGTTCTGTCCCCATTCTCAGGTAAGCCATCAAGACAACTGTGGGTCTCGGCCTTGCGCACCTCAATTCCACTGCCCCTCTCCTGCAGAAGTAGTCTTAAAAAAAACATATCTGATTTTGTCATTTCCTCCTTACGATACTTAATATGCTTTCATCACCTACAAAAGGAAGCACGCGTTCTGACCTTGGCAATCAAGACCCTCCAGTCTGACCCTTGACGATCTCTTCAGCCTCCTCTCCCATGGCTACTTCTACATCAGCAGTGTAGGGTTCAGAAATTCCACACTGCTTACGGTTTCTCTGAAGCCATCATACTGTTTCATCCCTCCATATCTTAGTTCTTCATGCTGTTCCCTCAGTCTGTAATTCCCTCTGGATAATTTCAATCTGAAATATCCTTCAAGCCATTCAATACCATGTTCAAATGTCAACTCAATCCCAGGAAGACTTCCCTGATGTCCTGTCCCGTCAGCATGGTCAGTTCACCTATTCTCCTCCTTTAGCTTATACATGCTTCAGTTTTTGTGCCTTTACTTCATTCTAATGTCCTTCCTTGGATCCTCTCTTCTCAGCAAAACTATAGAATTATTGAGACCAGGGACCCTATTTATATGCCTCTGCATCCCTAATCTCTAAGCACAACATCTAAAACTCAGTAGATATTTGTTAATTGAATTAAGTGAAGAAATGTGTGAATAAACAAATGGGCGAATGCAGACACAGTCATTATCCCCACATTGCCATCTAAGAAAACTCTTTCCACTCTCACCCTTTCTTTACCCCAGTAACTTGTCTCTAAAAAAGAACCAGAAGAAAAGGGGAGTGGACACAGTTTAATATGAGGACTAAGGCTAATGACCAAGCAGAATTTCCTTTTCCATTAAGCAACCATTTGTTGAGCACATACTATGTGCCAAGCATGTACCAAATTATTTACATATAATTATCTGAAACCATCGCATGGAGAGGGGTAAGGACAATGAGTAGATCAGCCCCATTTTTATAGGCTAAGGCTAGATAGTGACTTCCCAGGGTCTCCCAGTGAGCTAGTGATGGCTCCAAAGGTAGGACCCAGCTCTGCTGGCTCCAGAGCCCGGCGGTTGCCATCATAATGTGCTGCCTTCCTGAGCTTTCCTGCAACTCAGCTCCACTGAGTTCTACTTGTTATTTAATTTTGTGTGAAGCAAAGTTAGAGGCTCGCCAGCCTGAAAACAACCCAGAATAATTTTGTATTCGCTGTCCTAGTTAGTTTTTTTTTTTTTTCTTTTTAAGAAAAAATAAATCAGGGCAGCTTGTTCCCTGGCCTCATTCCCACTGTTTCTAGGATTGCCACACAACACAGCTTGGTAGGAGCCCTGGAGTGGGCAGAGCTGACGCCCACATGGTGATAGGCTGGCTTTCTCGAGCCTTGTCCTGGGGTCCTGGCGGTGTGGATGGGGAAAGACAGTTAGTCAGTCAATAAAAGGAAAGAAAACCACCTAATCATGAGAGCTGCAGATGGACTTCATAAAATGTTGGACTCACGGGATGCAGGAGAGAGAAGTGTGTTGGGGGTCAAGAGAGCTGGGTTCCGTCCAGGGTCTAATATAGGCTTGGGGCATTTGTCAAGACCTTTCCATTTCTGAGCCTTGATCCACACCTGAGAAAAGAGACGACTGGCTGGTGTCATGGGCTGAACTTTGTCTCTCTAAAATTAATACGTTGAAGTCCTAACCCCTAGGACCTCAGAATGTGACTGTATCTGGAGATAGGGTTTCTAAAGACGTCATTAAGTTAAAATGAGTTCATTAGGGTGACCTGCTCCAATATGACTGGTGGTCTTATAAGAAGATATTTGAACACAGACATAAACAGAGGAAAGAAAATGTGAAGACACAGGGAGAAGACAGCCATCTACAAGGCAAGGACAGAGGTCCCAGAAAAACCACCCTGTTGACACCTTGATCTTGGACTTCTAGCCTTCAGAACTGCGGGAAAATACATTCCCGTTGTTGAAATCACCCAGTCTGTAGTACTTTGTTTTGACAGCCCTAGTGAACTAATGCAGCTGGATGCATCAGACATCCAGCTTCTGCTCCAAGCTATGTCACCCAAGTGGATGTGTCTAATTCTGGGATCTCAACTGGAGAGAACAGGATCATGAGAGGCCAAAAAAGGTAGTCAAATACAGAACTGAAACTATTTAGGTCTGAGAAGAGAAAACTCTGAAAGAACAAACTTTCCTTCGTATGTCGAATGTAAAAGGGACAATATTTGTTGGGCTTTGTGGGAGGCAAGTGGCCACCCTCAATGGCTACTGCCATTGAGAGAGATATGTTGTCTCAGCATGAGGCTTGGATGTGCATTACTTTGAACTTCCTGTCTTTGGGGGCATTGAAGCAAAAACCCAAAGACAATGTGGTGAAGGTGATGCTGAGGGCTCCCACTGTGTCATGGTGGAAGGAGGAAGTGGCATGAGTGCAGAAGGTGGCGTGACATACAAAACCACTTCACAAAACTTTCTCAATAAGGAGACAGGCTACCAAATAAAGGCATAGGATTCCTGTGCCTGGAAGTCATCGGGCAGGGTTCCAAGGCCACCAATAGCAGGTGGAGATTCTGACTCTTGGTCAAAGCCTGGAACTTCATCCATCAGACAAATCTTTTGAGTGTCCATTGTGTGTTAGGCACAGTGCAAGAGAAGGAAAGATCCAGTCCCTGCCCCCAGGCAGTTAATACTCACTCCCTCATCCACAGCTACAGTTTGAATGTGTCTCCACCAAAGTTCATATTGAAATTTAAGCCCTAATGCAACAGTATTAAGGGATGATTGAGTCACAAAAGGTACCACCGTCATGAATGGGATTAATATCCTGATAAAAGAGCTCTAGGCTGAAGGGAACTATCTTTTGATCTCTTCCCTCCCCACTGCCAGGCAAGACACAGTGCTCCTCTCCAGAGGACTCAACAGCAAGGCACCATCTTGAAAGAAGAGCTAAGCCTTCATAAAGCACCAATCCTACCCATGACTTGTCTTGGGCTTCCAGCCTCTAGAACCATGAGAAATAAAGTTATGTTCTTTATAAACAACCCAGTCCCAGGTATTTTGTTATAGTAGCACAGAGGGACTGAGATACTCATTCATTTATTCATTCATTTACTCATTTGCCTTATCAAAGAGACTACCTCGACCATCTCACCTAATACAGCAACTCTCAGTCCTCTTTCCCTGTTTCATTTTCCACCCTAACACCTACAGCCTCCGGCCATATTCTATATTTACTGCTCATGTGTTAACCTCCTTCACTGAAATAAAAGTACCAAGACAAAGGAAGCTTGACTGTTTTTTTCATTGCTATACCCTCGAGCCTAAAAAGTCAATAAATA
This sequence comes from Homo sapiens, assembly GCF_000001405.40. NCBI lineage: Eukaryota > Metazoa > Chordata > Mammalia > Primates > Hominidae > Homo > Homo sapiens. The sequence goes on from NC_000008.11 coordinate 132,327,103, forward strand.
GTTGGTTCTGTCTATGTGCAAGGCATGGAGGCAGGTGCTGAAAAATCAGAGGTGAATTTGACAAATTTGTTCCCTGTTTTATGGCCTTTAACACATGCAGGATCTCATGTGTGAGAAGAAACATGCCAACCAAAGAAAACTGAGAAAACAGAAAGAGGTAATAGGTACTGAGGGAAGCACTCTAAGATCAGACACTCTAAAACCTTTTTTGCCTTATTTCTTTGAATTCCCATAGTGTCTCTATGAAGTTAGGTGCTATCATTATCCCTACTGTACAGATGAAGAAACCGAGGCTCAGAGAGATCAAGTAACCCGCCCCAAACCACATGGTAACAGGGTTTGATCCCAGATCTGTAGGTATCAGAGTATGGCCCTTAAGTCTGGATACCCAGGGACCCTGTCCTGGCTCTGGCTTTTGGGGTTCCACTAGAACTCTCATTCAGCTGTGCCCATCTGCATAGGGGAAGGAATCTGCAAGACCAAGGGGATGTGCCTACCTGGAGCCCATGTGCCCCCTGCTGTCCCACAACTGAGCACCCAGGACCCTGCAATTCCCTGCCTGACACCCCAAGTACCTGCTGGGCTCCATGGGCCTCATCCTGTTCTCTGCTCCTAGAAAATCCCAGGCCCTGTATGAGCATGAAGAGGCCTAAGGGGAAACCCAGAGGGCTGTTTTGTGGAGGATGAAAGGAGCTTAAATGTGTGGGCTGGGGGTCCACAGCAGGCATGTGCATGAAGCCCCCCATGGTGTGGGAAGGGAAGGGGCAGTCTGGGGTACAGAGGACCCCACCTGTACTTGTACTACAGCTCCCCACTCACAGAAATTAGGGGCAGGCCTCTCTGTGGGATCTAGGACCTGGGGCCTTAATCTCCAGACTCTATCCCACAACCACTATGTCCCCTCTACCCCAGAGCCAGCATGGGGGCATGGGTGATGAGCAGGATGCCTGCTCTCTGCAGTCACACAGGATGGCTGGGCTGTGCCATGTTCACCTGAACCAGTGAGGGAAGGTACTGAATCCAGATGGCTTGGAGGAGGAGCCCACATGATCAAGGCAAACACCCAGGAATAGGAAAGTGACATAAGGCACGGGCTTCCCATCAGCTGGCCCTCAGGACTCATTGTCTGCACACTCCCCTACACACCTCACCCCACTCAGTCTAACCAGGTTCCCTGCTGCAGGGGACAACAACACCCCCAGTGTCATAGTCATGCTGCCTAAGAGTGGGGATAGAGGGGCAAATCGACTGAGGCTATATAAGGGAGAACCAAATCCTTCACCTTCGGCAGGCCAGGCCAGCCTCATAATTAGAGAGACAAGATGGTGAGGTGGCTATAGGTGTGTGCTCAGGGAATGATCCCCTGAGTTCCACCTGACACTGACTCTGGACAGCTGGGTGAACACGCCCAAGTTACTTGAGCTGGCGCAAGTGATTTAAAGTCTCCTGCACCCCAATTTCCTTATCTGTAGAACACAGAAAATTATACTCTCCACCTCAAGTCTTGTGGTGACAACTAGAGAGTTAATATATCCAAATCTACAATGAGTATATAGAACAGTGCCTAGTACAGAGTAATGTTCAGTAAATACCATTTTTTACAATACTCCGTATCTCTTCTCTTCCCCTCAACTCGAGCACCTCCTTTGTCTTTGGGTATTATAGTTTCTGGTTCCTAAAAGTATCCACTCTACCACTCTTTCTCATTTTTACCTGCTCCTTCCTAGGCCACATCCTCTCTCCTGAATTACTGCAACACTTCCTAACAAGTCACATGCCTCACATTGTATCTCCCCAAAGTATTCTCAGGCCCAGGCCACAGAGACCTCCTGATAATGTAAATCTGCTGTCACATCTCTACCCGCCCATTCAGTTACTGAGCTCTTTACTATCACGTTCAGCAGGTACGCGCTGAGTGCCTACTAAGTGCCAGGCATTCTCTGAACACTGGAGGAGGAGGATTGAGCACCAGTAAACAAGAACATTGCCCTTATGGAATTTCTCATGGAGGAAGGCAGACAATACACAAATAAGCAAGAAAGTAGCAGGTAACGCCGGGAGATCTGCAGAGCATGAAAATAGGGCAACAGGCAGGACCTTTGTAAGCCCTAAGATGTCTCCATGTAATTGAGAAAATGGCACGCCTTCCTCCTGGGTGAGGCACCCCCAAGTGCTGTTCAGCCCCCACTCACCTCCTCCACCAGCCCCACCATGTGCTGCAACCCAGGTAACGAGGTGCTGTAACAGAAAACACTTAAATGCTAGAATCCTCCAGTGCTGAATTTGCAGCTCCAACCAAGTCCTGGACGGATTTCTAATTCTGTATATATAGCAAAACGTCTGCTAGTAGAAAAGGATACTGGATTCTGAGATTCTCTTGAAATAAACCTTCATTGCCATCAAAGGCGACACATGTCTTTCTGGATTTCAGAGGCCATGCACACCTTCTCAGCTCCCATCACAACATACGACAGTGGTCGGTGTAGCTCTGGTCCTTCCCACATCCCAAGGCACCCCCAGATAGCTCTAACTAACCATGCCAAGCCTCTGCGAGAAAACCTTCTGTGGCATTGTATTACCAAGAGGCTGGCACTCGGTCCCTCCCAGATCTGCTCTTGTTATCTCTCTAGCTTTGACACAGTGTTCCCCAAACTCTAGAGGACAAACAAAGCAGCTTGATTATCCAGGCCTAAGAAGACAAGGAACCGCTCTCATCCTCAGGACTACCCCACATGGTTGTGCAAGGTGTGCCCTCGCAACTCATGAATTAGGCCCCCTGGAGTTGTTCAGTGCACACCCTGTGCAGCTGTGTATGGCAGACCTGGGTAGTTAGCTGAATGGTGGCCCCCAAAATATAGGTCTACACCCTGGAGCCTGTGAACGAGATCTTATTTGGAAAAGGGTCTTTGCAGATATATTAAAGTTAAGGATCTTCAGATGAAGAGATCATCTGGATTATCTAGGTGAGCCCTAAATCCAATGACAAGCATCCTTGTAAGAGACATCCAGAGCAGAGGTACATAGAGGCAAAGGCAAAGTGAAGATGGAGTGGAGACTGCAGTGATATGGCCACAAGCCCAGGAATGCTGGGGCAGGCACAAGAACCCAAACGAGGCAAGGAATGGATTGTCCCATAGAGCTCCCAGAGTGGACAAGACCCTGCTGGATTTGGGACTTCTGGCCACCAGAACTGTGAGAAAATAAATTTCTGTTGCTTTCAGACACCAGATTAATGGTACTTCATTATGGCCATCTCAGGGAATGAATAATGCCTGCACCAGGTCTTAGTTTAAATGCCATTTGCTCGAGGAAAACCTCCAGGGGATCTATCTCTCTCCTGCAGCTGTGCTGAGTGCTCCCACTATGGGGCTCTCAGGCACATCACCTTCCTCTCGACACCAGCCCTTTTGCCATTTGGGGGACTCTAGTCTGTGACTTTGCCCTCCACTCCTGGGCTTGTCTCAGAAGTGGGAGATGGACATGTCAGCAAAAACTCACCCGTGTCCTCCAAATGCAAGGGGTTCTTTTTCAAAATCTTGAGACCCCAAAGGCAAAACATTAGGAGCTGGGAAGTAAGTGAGAGTTCCCTAGTCCCTGATTTTCTGCAGCCAGAAACATGTGTGGACACTTTATAAGGCTTATATAAGATGATGGTGATACACACTTGCAGCTGGAGGAAGATGCAGCAGCTGTCAGGCCACCTCAGCCCTGGTGGTTTTCCCAGGCCACACTGGGCAGTCTGTCAGTTGTTGTGTCCCAGAATTGAGAGCCCCAGGAGTCAGTGGCAACTGCCGGGTCTGATGGACATAACTTTCCTGCCCTACATCTTCTCCATGATCAGCACATCATAGTGATAAAGGCAGCGTCCACTGGGGTGGCTTCTGATAAGCCACGAACCTGAATGTTCCCATTTGTCCCATTTTTCCTGGCTTCCAGTCCCCTTGGGTGGCTGGATGCTGTGCCCAGCAGGGGAACAGGAGAAGCACTATTGCTAACACTCATGGAGCACCTTCTAGGAACCAGGCACTGTCCTGTGCCCTTTACCAGGAGAACTCCATCTAACCTCAGGACAACCCTGTGGTAACAGCTCTCTCTGTACACTGCAGATGAGGAATTTGAAAGTCTAGGTGGAGAGTTTCCCAAAGTCACAGAGCTCGTAATAAAGGCCCTGAGATTCAACCTCAGGCTCTCTGCTTCCGAAACTCATGCTCTTAACTTAGAAAGCCAGAGTTAGCCTCAGTCAGGGTCTCAGCCTCCAGGAGGATCACCCTTGAGGGCTGACTCAGTCTCACCTGCAGAGGACCCAGCTGAGACTCAGGGGTGCCCTCATATGGCCACCCGTGGGGCCTCTGGTTTGGAAGAAATGGCATCCCATGGTTAACATCTGGCCTCTTACTCTAGCAAACAGACTAGGGAAAGTCATAGCCTGGGCAGCTGTGGCTGCTGCTTCCTCCCCTCCCTGTCCCCTCCCCTCTTCTCTTCTGATTTCTCCTCTTCCTCCTCCTCCTGCTCCTTGTTCTCTCAAAAAATATCTATTGAGCACCCACCGTACTGAAGGACCTGTGTCCACTGGGAATTTAGCATTGTAAAGGAGACACAGCATAGTATAATGGGATATAAATAAGTAAACAGGAAAAATGAAATAAATATTATACCCATTGCTGCTGCAGGAGAGGAAGAGATTTCCTTGATGGGCTACTTTGTTTATGGCACTGAGAATCTGTCTCACAAAGGCTGAAGATGAAGAGTGACTGGAGAACTCCGAAGCAGTCCAGAAGTCTCAAGAGATCTGAGTCATCAGGGCATGCCAGTCAGAAGTTCTGTGGTAGACAGTGGTTGGCAGTCTCTAAGATGCTCTGATCATGCTTGCCTCCTGACAGTCACACCCTTGTGCAATCCCCTCCCCTTGAATGTGGTCTGGATTTAGTGACTTGCTTATAATGCATAGAGTAGGACAGAGTGATGGGATGTCACTTCTGATTAGGATATAAAAAGACTTTGATGTCCTTCTTGGGGGCCTCCTTGCATGCTCTCTCTCACTCTTGCCAGCAGGGAACCCAGCAGCCATGCCATGAGGCAGCCCATGGAGAGGTGCCTGTGGGGAGGGACCAGAGCCTACCCAAAACCACGAGTGAGCCTGGAAGCAGACTGTTCCTCCCCACTCTAGCTCTCAGATGAGACTACAGCCCCAGCAATAGCTCCGGAGAAACACATAAGAGACTTTGAGCCAGAGGTACCCAGATAAGCCATGCTCCCATCAGAGGCTGGCCAGAAATGCATTAGGCATTATTCTCCTGCAGAAGGCACCCACTGCACACAGTAGGACAGTTCTGACATCCAAACTGTGCCACCTCTACCCCGAGCACTAGTTCTATCTTCCAGGAACACACAGAGATGATGAATCAATTCCTTTGCCATATGATAGTCTTTCAGGTGTGGGAAGTTGGTGACCTAACAGTGGGTTCCCCTATTCTCAGTTTTCTTCACTCCTAGCCACACTTTTCTAACTGGTTCTCAAATCCTTCTCTGTCCTTGTGTTTCCCCACAACACAATATCCCAATTATGTTCCCATAATGTCAAGCCAATTGAGCTGTCTTGTTTCTGGCTAGCAAAGCTTTGCTCAAGATGTGCCCTCCACATGGAATTCCCTTCCTCTTTCTTGTCTGGCCCAACTTACCACGACTGTTCCAAGAATCCTTTCTGGAGCCTGCCCCCTCAGTCTAGCTGGACACCTCCCTGGTGCAGAACCTGTCCTTCCTGCTGCACTCACCTCTCTTCATTGCATCGCTGTGCCATCATGATGTGTTTGTGGGTTTGCTCCTGTAACTGTGAGCACCTTGAGTTCTGGGAAGGACCCATGGTTCATCTTTGAATCCACAACACTTGTTCAGAGTGAGAGGATGGATGAATGGATTGGATGGATGGATGGATGGATGGATGGATGGATGGATGGATGGAAGATGAACAAAGGAAGAGAGGGGCATCCTCCTTAGTAGACAGGGTTCCATTGGCATTCATCCTCAGTGCTATCCTTCTGGGTATGTGCACTTTGTAAGGAAGCTTCTGTGCCCTTCAAGATAAAGCCTGGACAATTCCTCATGGCCTAAAGCAGAGCAAGCCTTACCAACCCCTCTAAGTCCTGCAGGTACAAGTGTCATGACTTCAGTGGTAAGAAAGTTCAGAGAGAGAGAGAGAGCAAGCGAAGAGAAAACAAGAGAGAAAATGAGCCTAGGTTAAAATATTTAAAACATTTCCATACTTCCTGGACTTATAAATATTTCATTAGTAAGATGCTGTCCCACATAAATGCAAACTCAGGGGAAAGGGTCTTAGGAAAGCTGGGAGTCAGCATTTTAAGGAAGCCGATTTCCCTTTATAAACATAATACCTTCTCACTGTAATGTGGAAAACAGAAATACAAAGAAGAAAGAAAAATTGATGTATTACTTAAAGTCCCATCACTCAAAACCAACCATTTTTAGTATTTTATAAATTTTTGACCTATGGATTTTGTATATTTGGGGTGGTTGCATGATACTACATATTCTCTTGTGTGCCTGGATTTTCTTATTTTCCCTAAACATAGTAATGTAAACTTTGTCCTATGTTACTGTGAACTCTTTATGAAACAAATTTTTTTTTTTTTTTGAGACTGAGTCTTGCTCTGTCACCAAGGCTGGAGTGCAGTGGTGTGATTTCGGCTCACTGCAGCCTCCGGTTCCCGAGTTCAAGTGATTCCCCTGCCTCAGGCTTTGGAACAGCTGGGATTACAGGTGCCCACCACCATGCCCAGCTAATTTCTGTACTTTAGTAGAGACAGGGTTTCACCATGTTGGCCAGGCTCGTCTCGAACTCTTGACCTCAAGTGACCCTCCCGCCTCAGCCTCCCAAAGCATGTGAGCCACCACACCCAGCCATGAAACAAGTTTTAACAGGACTACATAATATTCCATCCAGGACATGTACCAGCTGGGAAGTCATCAAGGCCTCTGTGATACAGTGGCAGAGACAGGTGTAGTTGATTTAAATCTTCCCATATTGTTGGGCATTTAGGTTGCTTCCAATTTTCTTACTATCAGAAAAATGTCAAAGTTGTGGCCGGGTGTGGTGACTCACACCTGTAATCTCGGAGGCGGAGGCAGGCAGATCACTTGAGGTCAGGAGTTCGAGACCAGCCTGACCAACATGGTGAAACCTTGTCTCTACTAAAAATACAAAAATTAGCCAGGTGTGGTGGCATACACCTGTAATCCCAGCTACTCAGGGGGCTGAGGCAGGAGAATCACCTGGACCAAGGAAGACTCTGTCTCAAAAAAACAAAAATAGAAAAAAGAAAAATGTCACAGTTAACTTATTTGTCTAACCTCAAATTCTTTCCTTAAGTAAGTTCCTCAGAAATACAAATAATTGGCAAAGAAGACAACCTTTCTATGGCTTTTTATACTTATTTTCAGTTGCTTTCTAAAAGGACTGTACCTAAATGATCTCCCCACAGTGGGATTTGAGTGCTTGTCTCCCATGCCATCCCCATCTGGGGGCCATGTCATAATGCTTCCAGATGAGAATACCTCAGAGATAACTGATCCTGGCAAGGAGGCAGGTGAAACCCAAAACTCATTGATACATTCAAGAGCGTTTCTTGTAGGGAAGTTTCGCTCCTTGATCTTCAGCCCAGACAAGACCCTCTTCCCTGGACACTGAGGCTATTTAACGGCCCCTCCTCTTGAATCCCACTGCCTGACTTCAGACCCCATCCTTTCTGGCTTGGGTCATACAACAGCCCCCACACTTCTGACTTCTCTCTGTCCCATTTATTTTATTCCCCCTCTTTCAGCCAAAGTGGTCTTTCTAAAATCAAAAATCTAAAAACAAGTCATCTTAGACATTTTTCTTCCTTCCTTCCTTCCTTCCTTCCTTCCTTCCTTGTTTTCTTTTCTTTTCTTTTTTCTTCTTTTTTTGAAGGAGTCTTGCTGTGTTGCCAGGCTGGAGTGCAGTGGTGTGATCTCAGCTCACTGCAACCTCCACCTCCCGGGTTCAAGTGATTCTCCTGCCTCAGCCTCCCAAGTAGCTAGGACTACAGGTGCGTGCCACCATGCCCAGCTAATTTTTGTATTTTTAGTAGAGATGGGGTTTCACCACGGTGGCCAGCCTGGTCTCAATCTCTTGTCATCATGATCCGCCTGCCTCAGCATCCCAAAGTGCTGGGATTACAGGTGTGAGTCACCGCGCCCAGCCCATCTTAGACATTTTTCAATGACTGCCCATTATCTTGCACCCAAGTCTTTCCATGATGGTCCCCAACTTCTCTCCAGTCTCACTGTCTACTCTGCAACTCTATCCCCCTCACTTTGTAATAAGTATTCACTAGGTGCTGGTGACAGGCCAAAGAGTGTGATAACCGCCCAGCTACTCACCCTGGGGGTTCTTGGTCTGACAGAGGAATTAGAGGGTGACGGTACAGGGTGACAGAGCCCAGCAAAGGTTGGGGATGTCAGGTCTCCTTTCTTTTCATTCAAAGCTTTCATTCCTTACAACTGAAAAAAGGCAATTTCAAAAGAGAATCCAAATTCAAAATCAGAGAAACCATTCAAGAGTTTTGTGAAACGATCCAAGAGTTAGTGATTTTCAGAAAAGCCTGTATCAGGCTATGGGGTATGCTGTCGGGGGAAGGGGTGGAAGAAGCAAAGTTGGGGAAAAGAATCTACTTCCTCCTTGTTCTGTGTCACCTCTTTTTGTAGGTTCCTTTTTCCTCCTCTCCACTAGTGGTTCCATTTATTTACCTGAAGGACTCCTGCACCTGCCTGTGATGTCTAACATGATAAACACCAGGAGGCCCTTGTGCTGGAGCCTTTTCTTCCTTCCCTCTGCAGCTCCAAGAGACTAATTTGTAGAGAAGAGGATCCTTCTCCAGCAGAACTCAAGTGTAGAAGGGAGCTGAGCTGGCTTTTTAGCAGCAGTGGGAAATTAATCTGTGTTCTCACCATCACAGTCCCACACCTGAGCTGCCGTCCTGTTTTCTTGCCTCTCCCACCTGACTGTGCATTCCCATAGGGCAGGGTCTAGGGCTGGGCACTTTGGGACCTACCCCAACCAATGCCAGCAGGGTTTCCAGAAGCAAGTCACAGGGGTCTCCCCTGCACCATTGGCATGGCCTCCAGCTGTGCCTCCACCTCCACATCTGTGGAAACCTCATGGGTCAGTGGGCCACACACCATCTAACACCTTCCAAGTCAGAGATCCACTTTCAAATGGTGGCTCTATCCCACATCCAAACACAAGGCCCACTGTAGTGACTTAATCTCTTAGGGTTTCTGCGTCCTCTTCTGTAGAAAGTACCTGCATGATGGGGGAGGCAGGGTTGGAGGATAATATTCATGGAGCTCCAGACAAACAGTAGGTGACCACAAAGAGTAAAAGGCACAGCGGTGTTATAAGGCCCATAAGATGAATAACGGGGATCTGAAGCCAGGGAGCCTGCCTTTGGGATCCACGTGCCTAAACATTGCACCAACCACCTCCTCTCTGTCTAGCCAAGTCCCCCTGCCCCTTGCAGTGTCATATAGTTCTTCCCAGTAGTAGTTTATAGTGCTCACTCCCTCTCCCTCCTCATAATTATTCTGTATGTTGGGCACCCATCATCTTATAATGCCCCAGTGCCTATTGAATCTTTTTTGGATCAGAGACATCCAATACAACTCATAGCTCTCTCACTCTAAAATGATCATAGGCACAGGCAATAATTCACAGGCCCTCTTATAGGATTGTTCAGGTTGTGCACTGCATAAGGGTACCTAGCCAATGGGCCTCTACAGGAATCTAGAATCCAGCCCACATTCCATTCAGGAGACTTGAGTCCTTGAGAGGAAAGCCAGGAGGAAGAAGTCCATTTTGGTAACAGGTATGCCCAGAGAGGAGGTCCTTTGTGCATTTTTTCCTTCTAAAAATGTTGGGTGCCACCTTTGTCTAATTTGTATAAAGGTCCCTTATTGCCTAAAGTTGGTCATGACACTTACATATAATTCCAGAGGAGTGGATGCCCCAGAAACCTGTCCATGGAACATCCTGGGGCATAAAGGTTTCTCAAGTCAAGAACTGTAAGGCTGAGCATGGCGGCTCATGCCTGTAATCCCAGCACTTTGGCAGTCCAAGGCAGGAGGATCGCATTGCTTGAGCCCAGAAGTTTGAGACCAGCATGAGCAATAAAGTGAGAGCAATAAACCCAGTCTCTATAAAAATTTTAAAAGTTAGCCAGGCATGGTGGTGTGTGCCTGTAGTGCCAGCTACTCAGGGGGCTGAGGCAGGAGAATTGCTTGAGCCCAAGGAGGTCGAGGTTGCAATAAGCCATGATTGTGATCGTATCACTGTACTCCAGCCTGGGCGACAGAGCAAGACCTTGTCAAAACAAAAACAAAAACAAACAAACAAACAAACAAAACTTTAGGGTCAGCACCCACCACATGAATATATGAATGAAGAAGGGCTGGTACCAACAGGTCACATGTTGATTAACGGTTTGGGACTCATACAGACATGGCATTCACAGGTATAAAAGACTCCTCAGACCCCCCAGACCTGCCGACCTTGCAGTTTGGAAATCACCATGCACACACCATTGCTACAGGAAAATGCATTTGCCCTCAATGTGAGGATAAAAATCAATGTGCCTAGGCCCATGCCTGGCATATAATAAATATTCAATGCATATTGCCCCAAAAACCTTTTGTGGGTTGATTCGGTGCCATAAGACTGAACTTTGAAGTCTGGCAGTATAGAAATGAGCTTTGCAAACCACTTGCCAAGAGAGGAACATCATAAATGCACATGATATTCTTATCATCTAAATATTTTTCCAAATCAATTCAACATAGTAAAGATAGGAACCATCTTGGGGCTACATAGGGATGGGCTGGGTAAGAGGGAAAACTTATGGGCAAATCTCAGATGGTCGAAGGTTTGGAGAAACAAATGGCTTCTATAATTTCCTTTCTTTTTGGATTTATTGAGTGCCTTCGGTGTGCTGGGCAGAGTATACTGGGAAGCACTTTGTAGATATCCATTTTAATTCTCACAATGGCCCTGTGAGAGTATCAGCATGCCTAGGAGGACCTTGGAGGTGAGGAGGCTTAGGCATGGCCCAAGGTCACACATTAGTGTGTAAAGGCAGAACTGAAATTAAACACCCAGGTCTGACTTCCCAGTGGTCCTCCTGCACAAGGGAGTAGCTGGGATCCCAGACCCAGGAGTCCAACCATTGGGATTTAAATCCCAGCTTTGCCATTTCCTACCTGTGTGAGCTTGGATAAGCTCCATGTCCTCTCTGAGGGATAATAAAATGGGGGTGATTGTGGTACTGACCTCAGAGGGTCACAGGATAAGTAATTATTACTATATGATAGCACTTAGAAGAGTGTCTGACACATATGTGCTGTTCATTTCAATATCATCACTGTTGTTTTGATCATGGCTCTTTGGAAGCTGGTGGTTTGACCGTGGTGTTCAGAGGGAAGCCGAGGGTGTGAGAACACTCAGTAGCGTCACCCTCAAATGGCGCCCGCCAGTCCAGAATTCCCATCTGTGCTCTCAGGAACACACCGGTTGTTTGTTAGCAAATGACCTTTCTTGCTGAGGGGATGCTGACACAGAAAAAATTAAGCTGCTTCTGGCAGAAAATAGGCAGGAAACTGGTCTTCCCAGTAAGCAATGGTTCAGAAAGAAGGGATGTTGAGACCTCATGGATATGTGAACTCCAAGACCTCCATCACCTCCTCAGTGAGCCTTCTCTTAATGGGGCTTGTACAACGTGGGTCAGGGGGAGAGGGAGGTCAGCTAGCTTGGTCTTGTGAAACCTCAGGAGAAACCAGTGTTGAGAATGAAGAGAGACCACAGGGCAAAACCATTAAAGTTGCATGCATACTGAAAACTTCCTCTTCCCGCATTACAAAAGTTCTTGGGATAAGATGGCATGGGAATTGGAATTGAGGGTCCTGGGCTCCAGCTCTTGTTCTACCATTAATCAGGCAGCTGTGTGGCCTCAGGTCAATCTATTCCCCTCTCTAGGCCTGAGGCACCTCCTCTGAACAAAGTGGGGGCTGGAACAGAGCCAGGAGCAGGGCCCTTCCAGATAAGAAGCAATGAGTTTTGTTAAAAATAAGAATCTATGTTGTATATCATTTTTAACTTCTTCTGTTCATTAATCCGTTACTCATTTATTCATTCATTCCACCAACTCGAACTGGGCAATCTAGAGGACCCCCTCACCCTTCAAAAATCTAAATTATACAAGTTTGTCCTCTGCCAATTCCAAATGCCTAGGAATGCTTTGCTCTTTACCACCATGTACCATGGTCAGCTTCTTCACTGGTTTCTTTAAAAAAAAACAAAATGCACTCACACTAAACATTTTATGAGTTTGGATCCTTAAGATGGGGCAGGGGTGAAACCCCATTTCTACTAAAAATATTTTAAAAATTAGCTGGGCATGGTGGCGGATGCCTGTAATCCCAGCTGAGGCATGAGTATTGCTTGAACCAAGGAGGCAGAGGTTGGAATGAGCCGAGATCTCACCTGGAGAGGGCTTATATGACAAGCAAACAGCCCCTGTATCCTGCCTGCACTCTGTTTATGCCTCCCAGTGCTTTGCCATCACTATGAAGTCCACATTTTTCTGACAGTATTAGAAAGATTAGCTTCCCCCATTCCCCAAAGCCTGGAATCCTGGCGACACCCAGACCCTGGGAACAGAGATGGGGTAGCTTTTATTGGAAGATTTATAAACCCAAACCTATGAGGACATCCAGCAACACAAAGGCCTTCTCTGTAAAGAAATTTACTCTTCTGAGTGCGGGCAACAAACATAAAAAAAAAAAAAGCTCATCAAAAAGTTAGATAAGGAGTTTCATCCATGCAGCTGAAGTCATCACTGGTCATTAGAGAAATGCAAATCAAAACCACAATGAGATACCATCTCACGCCAGTTAGAATGGCAATTATTAAAAAGTCAGGAAACAACAGATGCTGGCGAGGCTGTGGAGAAATAGGAATGCTTTTACACTGTTGGTAGGAGTGTAAATTAGTTCAACCATTATGGAAGACAGTATGGCGATTCCTCAAGGATCTGGAACCAGAAATACTATTTGACCCAGCCATCCCATTACTGGTTGTATGCCCAAAGGATTATAAATCATTCTACTATAAGGACGCATGCACACATATGTTTATTGCAGGACTATTTACAATAGCAAAGACTTGGAACCAACCCGAATGCCTGTCAATAATAGAATGGATAAAGAAAATGTGGCACGTATACACCATGGAATACTATGCAGCCAGAAAAAAGAATGAGTTCATTTCCTTCGCAGGGACATGGATGAAGCTGGAAGCCATCATTCGCAGCAAACTAACACAAGAACAGAAAACCAAACACCGCATGTTCTCACTCATAAGTGGGAGTTGAACAATGAGAACACATGGACACAAGGAGGGGAACATCACACACCAGGGCCTATTGGGGGGTGGTGGGGGATGGAGGCAAGGGGAGGATGCGTTAGGACAAATAGCTAATGCAAGTGGGGCTTAACACCTAGATGATGGGTTGATAGGTACAGAAAACCACCATGACGCATGTATACCTATGTAACAAACCTGGACGTTCTGCACCTGTATCCCAGAACTTAAAGTAAAATAAAATAAAAAAAGAAATTCATTCTTCTTAAAGAGCAGCCTAGATTTTAAGTAGTAAAAAGTAGTTTCCTTCATTGCACCTATATTGAGCACGTACTGAGAGCTAGGAACTGAGCTGGATCCCTCAAGGAGTTCTCTGATATAGTTGTCACTAGCTACATGTGATCATTCATCTAAATTCAAATGAATTGCAGCTAAATCACATTTAAAGTTTGGTTCCTCAGTCACAGTAAAGACATTTCAAGTGCTCAATAGTCACATGTGGTTGGTGGCTACAATATTGGATAGTAGAGATATGGAGTATTTCCATCATCAAAGAAAGTTCTACCGGACAGTTCTGGTCTAACAGGAGCAAAGAGAGGAACAGAAAACTATGCCAGCCAGAAGCCAAAGCGTCAAACACTGAGGAAGAGGTCTCCTCTTGAGTTCAGCATTAGTGCGTGACTACCTCGCAGGCAGGAGTCATTCACAAACCTCAGTGGAAGAGGTATCTACTGGAGAGCTGTCATGTTCAATCTGTTTCAACCTTCAAGTTAGATAAGGAGTTTCATCCATGCAGCTGAAGGCACGTTTTCTCCGTCTCAAGAGGTTCCAGTCAAATGTCCCCTCTTTCTGGGCCTTCTCCTCTTCACTTCTGAGCTCTTCATCTTGCTCACTCCTGCCACACCCATGGACATTCTACCTTGCATCACAATCATATGCATGTAGGTCTTATGGCCCTTCCATCTGTGAGTGCCTTCTCGTCCCTTGGTTCCTAGCAGTGCAATTTGATAACTGAACGAATGAATGAATCAGTGAAAAATAAGTGAATAACTGAATAAACAAAGAAACAATGAAAACATGCACAACTGTCCATTCCACTGTGGGCTTAATCCAGACCTGGTTTCTCTGTCATAAACCTATCCAATCACTGGTGAACTTGAAGAGGTTAAGGGTCTGTGTCAGCTACCAGCTTATTATCTCTCTAATCTTAGAAACCTGTGGAAAAAAGAGACATTCAGAGCATATCCACCTCTAATCAACCTGATAACTGCCTATACAAAACTCTCAGGCATCCATGCAGTTTTTACCTGGCAAAAATAATTCATGAGTCATTGTATTTTCTCTAATAAAGGGGATAATTTTGCATGCACAGAAACATCCCCATTTGTCCACACAGCTCTTTCTTCCTATTCCTCCTCTTTTCAGACTTGGAAAAGTGTTCTTTCTGCTTGTTAAGCAAAACTCTCTCCATGTGTCCTTGGCAGTAACCTCTTAGTTCCACTGGGTATTGATCCATCAATCATTGCCCTGTCCCCTTCCCAATTCATGTCCACTGTTGCTCATGGTCAGTTTTCTGTAAATGTGGACGGAGGATGATGATCTCTTACCATCTCTCTAACACTCCCTAAACTCATTTGATTGCCTCTAGCTCAAACCCAAACCATGACCCTCTCTCTTTCTTTCACCATATCTCCTTTAAAAGGCACCATGTCTTCACCTCCCCCTCCCCCTGAAATCCAACTCTGTCCCCATCCATTGATTTCTTTTTTCTTTTTTCTTTTTTTTTAAGGCGCGTCATCCCCATTCTCATTACCCAAACCACCATCAAATTTCCCCAATTCTCGCCTTCTCAGGTGCGGTGCCAGAGTAGAAAGGGCAATAAGTAAGGTAAAGGTGGCCAACAGGCAGCCCACGGGCAAAATTTGGCCTATGGATGTGTTTTGTTGGGTTGACAAGGTATGATAGAAATGGAGAAAGTTAACAGAAAAAATCCAGATTCTCCCTCTTGTGAAAAATAAGATCTGATAAATTATCATCCCTACTCAGCGTCAGCTAGCAGAAGCAGTAGTTGCTCTCTTTAGAGAAACTAGAGTTTGCCACCAGTTTCCTGCAAGCCTCACTACTTCCTATTGTCTTGCCCTAGTCATGCCTTTCATTTGAAATACTTGCTAATCCCTGTAGGCATTTGAGTCTGTAAGTGCTGGACTACAGTTTCAAATTTATAATATTTTACAATAAATGTGTTTCAATAGTTCTGAAGTATGTATAGTCATAAACATCTAAACATCACTGAATAAATTGGGCATAGATTATGTGTAGTTCTTCATCATGAGATATGGCTTGTATTCTCCCCCATCACCTACTGCACTATAAACACATTTTCTTACACATGTGGTTTTTGTTTTTACAGGCATGTCAAAGAAAGCATAGGGCCACTTCTTCAGGGCTAACGTATTGGGCATTGTGAGCTTTCCTGCAAGCTGATGCCTCTGTCCAAGTACACTGAATCCACAGCACACAGCGCTTCAATCCAACCCTGCTGTAACACTGAACATAGTGTAAGGACTGCTGGGACTGCTCACCTCTTCATTCTTGAAGCATCTGCTACTCTCGTGGTGAATCACAGTGTTCAATGGATTTGCTTGCTCACTCCATTTCATCCATGCACTCACCATGTCACTTATTCATTCTTTATTACAGTTTTATTGAGAGTACACTGTGTTCCAGACCCTGTGCCAGGCACATGGAAGACACATCTTTGTTTATACCCTTCCCATGGTGTCTACATGACACTGCCTGTATTATATTTATCTGTGTTCATATCTTGCACAAGAGGTTGAAACCAGTGCCCAGGCCTAATCTTTCTGTGTCCCAAGCACCAAGCTGGGGAAATACCCAAGGAAGCCTCCATAAGTGCTTATGAAAATTGAATTTGACGTGTATACCCAAAGCTGGCAGAGGCTGGAGAAGACAGAATCTTGCTAAACTCACAGGAGTCAACCCCAAGGCTCTAGCTGTCTCATCAAAGGCCATCTGGGCTGAGGCATCATGGTCAGTTCAGCAAGGCAGAAGGAGGGCCACCACCAAGGTGCTGCTGGTGGCTTCTTTAGGGACCTTCCAATGAGAGGTTTGTTTTCCAGCTACTCCTACCACCCAAGAGATACTCGCTCCCTGATTTCCCAAGCTGGAGGTGGCATGCTTGTGGAGACCTCCACCTGGTGTCCTGGGTGGCTTTGCTTGTGGCTCTTCCAGTTTCTATAGTGTGCAGTCTTCAGTTCCATATTTTCTTTGCCACCCTGAAATGAAGGGCGTATCTGTGCCAAATCTGCTCAACGAAGAAGACAGGAAATGAAATGAGATTTGAAGCCAAGTTACTACTCCTTTTTCCAATTTTAAGACTGTGGCTGAACAGATGAAAGATATTCAGATAAGTGGCACATGTTCTTTGTGTTTAAATAGAGCTTGTTGCTGGGCAATAATTGGCCTCTGCATGCAGGTGCCTTTGGTGAGAAATCCAGGCTTCTTTGGAGGGATGATCTGAGTAAGTGCACAAGCATATTATGGGAGATATCTAAGGAGGAAAAGGGATTCTCCCATAATACACGGTGATCTCATCTGATTATATCCAGGTTGCAAGGAAATCTCCACAACTTACAGAGTATTATAGGGTCAGTACCCTATTCTCTACTAACATAAATGTATAAACAGCCCTTACATTTACTACACATTTAACATCTTTCCCAGTGATTTTATAAATGCATCATATTCAAAGACATTGCCAAATCTAAATCTGTGCATGTGTCTACTGGGAGGCTATCTACCAGGTGCCATTTGAGGAAACTGCACACCTTCCTTCCCCTTTGCCTCCACTTATTAGACCTGAATAAGACAGACATTTAGTGAGTTTGTTCTAAGTGCTGAGCACTGTTCTGAGAACTTGCTATGTATTAACTCTGACTCCTCAAGAAAAACCTATGAAGTTGTGTAATTATGATCTCCACTGTGCAGATGAGGAAACTGAGGCCTGGAGGAGTAAAGAAACATGGCCAGAGTCACACACTCATCACGGTGGAATCAGAATTTGTATCTTCAGCACCTAGGCAAAGAAAATAGGGCAAGTAGCTTTGTTTATATTCCTGGGAGAGATCACAACATAGGCTACAGGTTCAGGGTATAGAAAGCTGGTGGGGACAGTTGGGTGAAGGCAACAGGTAAGGTCGAGGCCAGTGCAGAAGGAGTAATGGAGACTGGAGAGGAACCAGTTGGTGGAGTTACCTAGAGAGGAGGGGGCTGGGTGCTTTGCGTGGGGCAACTTACGAGCAGCAGTTTCCAGAAGCTTGGGAGAAGGGAGAGAGAAGGTGTCAAAAGACAAAGGATGTGAAGTAACCCAAAGGAGAGGACAAAGAGCTGAGATAGAGTGACCAGTCTCTCAAGGTCAACTTTCAGCTCCATGTGATCAATGGTACAGTTTCACTAGAGCATGCCCCCCTGTAATTTGCTGATCCAGGGGCATAGATTGGTGGCCCTAACTTGCTGAGGGATTTTAAGTGAATCCTTGCTCCTCTGGGGCCCTCAGGACACTAGAATTTATGACTCTGATGAAATTTAGAATAATATTGATTCACAAGTCAGAAATTAAGATCGGTGATCTGGTTAAGTCATGGAGCAGCTACATTCATCACCTACTTTCTCTCACGTATGAAATGGAACCACCCACACCCATCCTGCCTTCCTTAGATCTGCCTTAGGATTTAAAAAGTGCAATGAAGGTGAAATACATTTGGAACCTTGAAAAGAGTACATAAAACTGAGGCAGAGTGATGGTCCAGGAACGTACTCAAGCAACTGGTAGGTAGTGAGAGCCTACTCCGTGCAAGGCCTGCATGAGGCACTGGGGATGCAGTGAACAAGATGAGCTTCAACCATGATAGTAACACCAGATCAGGAAGACAGCCACCACACAAATAATTCCTGGAGTACAGTTGTAATAAACAGTATGAAAGAACAATCCCATATACAGTGAGAGCACATACTTTGGAGGAAGGCAACATCTGGTTTGAATACTGTCTTGATAATTTCCAACTGGGGAATGTTTTTCTGCCCATTGTTTAAAGCACTCTCAGTCTCATTACCCCTATCTCTGAAATGCAAGTCTTGGAGGGTGGTGGGGAATACGATGATTATCACAGAGCTGTGCACATAATAAGAGCTCAGTAAATAGTTCTTGTATGTCATGTAGAAGACTACAGCTACATTAACAATGATGATGAGATAATGAGGATGATGACTGATAATGATGATGATAATGATGAAATGGTGATGATGGTGAGGAGGATGGAATGGTGATGATGATGATGATGACTTAATGGTAATAACGTGATGATGATGATGATGATGATGGTGATGATGATGGAATGGTGATAATGTGATGAGTATTATGATGGGATGGTGATGATGACAATGATGATGATGGTGATGATGATGAAAAGGTCATGATGGTGATGGTGATGATGGAATGGTCATAATGGTGGTGACAAGATGACGATGATGATGATGGTGATAATAATGGTATGGTGACAATCATGGTGATTGAGGATGCTGATGGCAGTGATGCTATGTCAGGGCATGACCATCACTTTTCCCTTTCTTCTCTTCCCAGAGGGCTCATATGAGCTAATCTACAAGTGGGTCTGGAACTTTAAGCCACATATGGGTACCCTGCTTGGGCTGTCAGGTTCCAAAAAAGGCAGATTGGCATTTCCACACTGGTTTTCTCTGGCTACATTTCTTCTGCCTCTGCTCATGCAAGTGCCACTTCACTCTGAGAAAATGCCAGCCTCTTTGAGGTGAGCTGGAGCCTAGAGAGGCGGAGGCGGGAGCATTTCCAAAGGTCGGGATGACTCAGCAGTCCTCTGAAAAGCCTCTGGTGATAGGGAGGTGATGCTGTCAGAACAAGGAAATACTAGAACCCTCTCCACCACTCTCCATCACAGCTAAAAGCTTGCCTTGCCATTTCTTTGCCCTCTTCTGCAAGTCTAATGAGGGAATATAGATGCTTACTATATTTGAGCTGCAACTAATGCTTCAACTCTGGAAACTCTGAGCAAACTCCTTCATGTTTGCCTGGACAAATCTCCCAGGAGTCCCAGGCTGGAAGGTAAACTGGTACCCCAAAGCCACAGGGTCTCCTACCAGACTTGTTTAACCTGCAGGACAGAGTCTGGGAGGGGAGAAGAGGAGGTCTCACCTCACAGCTGTTCCCTCTAGTGTGCACTCCTCAGAGGACTTGCTGATGGTAGAGCTGCCCCAAATACAAAACGGCTGTTTTGTGGGAAGGGAAGCTGGCAAAGCTTCTGGAGACACTAGGGAGGGAGAATATAGTATAGACTAGGCTAAAGTGGAGGGCAGCAGTCCAGGGCCCTGATGTTGTTTCGACGGCGTTGAATGGAACTCCTTCTAGGTGAAGATGCTGGTAGTTTTGCCATCACCCTCCATTGTCTTGTGTGGGCGGATTCACGCAGGTAGGATACCTGCCTGGCCCCTGTAGATGTCTGAGTCTGTACCCCTGGGCTGGATATTTTTAAGGATACCTTCTGCCCCTGGAGTCTGTAGTTCTCAGAAATAAGTTATGGTAAACAAATCACCCAAGAATGAATAGCCATTGATTCTAATCCTGACTTTGCCAATGGAATTCCTGCCAAGTCCCTGGCCCTCTCTTTACTCATCAAGTATTTCAATGGCCTGGAAAGTACCCATTCTTACCTTTCCAGGCATGATGATGCGATGGCAATGATGACAGTGATGATGATGGTGATGATCTTATAACACTGCATTTGCTTACTTTGCTCTTTGCTAATGCTCCCATTCTTGGAATACAATAGTGAACAACACGGTTGTGTTCTTTGACCTTGTGGAATTATTTGCTAGCGGGGGAGGGAGTAAAAAAGGGTATATATAAATACTTAAGACAATACACAATGGCAAATGGTGACAAATGCTGTGAGGTGAAAGGACAGGCCCCTCAGAGCAAAGGGCAGCAGCAACCTAACTTACATAATTCATCAAAGAAGATCTTGTTTTAAATAACTACTCTTTAAACTGAGATAAAAAATATTAGATAAAAGTTATCCAGGTAAAAAGAGGAAAACCGGCCGGGCGCAGTGGCTCACGCCTGTAATCCCAGCATTTTGGGAGGCCGAGGCGGGCAGATCACGAGGTCAGGAAATCGAGACCATCCTGGCTAACACAGTGAAACCCCGTCTCTACTAAAAATACAAACAATTAGCCGGGCCTGGTGGTGGGCGCCTGTAGTCCCAGCTACTTGGGAGGCTGAGGCAGGAGAATGGCGTGAACCTGGGAGGCGGAGCTTGCAGTGAGCCAAGAACACGCCACTGCACTTCAGCCTGGGCGACAGAGCGAGAGACTCCATCTAAAAAAAAAAAAAAAAAAAAAAAAGGAAAACCCACTATTCCAGATAAGGGGAGCAGACCTTGAGGATGCTCCAAGGCAGGGAAGAGTTGGACAGTTCTCTGAGTCTCTATTGCATTTCCTACATTGTAATTTATAATTGAAATTCTTCATTATGAAGACTGTGATCTGCTCCTACAAGTTAACTCTAAGTCCCACCCTAGGAGAAGTGAATTACTATTTGCAGCTGCTAATGAAAAAAAAAATGCTGCCAGGATCATAAGCCAGGATATGAACTGCCCTAATTTGGAATCAGCACCTTCAGAGGTGGTTACTTAGCCCTTAAAATATCTGTGTAAATTTGCAACAGACGGTTTGCTGGACTTGGATAAGGGCTGTTAGAGATAATTTTTCATGGGTGAAATAAATAGTATTTACATTAGAATCTGACAAGCCCTGCAACTGAGGGTTTCTCTGCTGCATGGGAAATCCAGTGGGGCACTGTCCAACAGAACTTTCTGTGATGGGAGAAGCATCCTACATCTGTGCACCACTATGGTGTCACTGGCCACCTCAGGCTGTAGAACACTTGTAATGTGCATAAACTAAAATTTTAATTGTATTCCATTTAAATTAGTTTCAATGCAAGCAGCAGCATGTGGCTAGTGGCTACCATATTCCACAGGTGCAGAGGCTGGCGGATCCACCTTCTCTCCTCTTCACAGAGGGCTCTGTCATCTGATTCCACACTAACCAGGCAGTCCTGCTTCAAAAGATCATCGTGTTCACCTGAAAGTGACTCCTTCTTGACTTTCTAGGCTAGTAAATCGTTTGCAATACTGTTCATTCCTTTGCCTTGCTTTTCACATATGTGGTAGTGAATGTCCGCATTTTGGCAGAATTTAGTCATAAACTTGCTTTCACTGTAACATACCATGTGCACACAAGATTCTGGGGAGGAAACAGATAGTCTCCCACCTGTACCCTCGGGGCCCACCTATCACTAGCTATGAGAAGCTATTAATATTCACCAAAATAATCTGACTCTTTCAGAAAAGCCAAGTTGAACTGAGTCTGTTTCCAACAGCCTTGGTTTCCTCACCTGTAAAAGCAAGAGGCTGAGCTAGATGGTCCTGGAGAGCCCTTCCACACTTCCGCCCTGGGAGCTTGTCACAGTAATGCAGATTGTCAGAGCTGGAAGAGACTCATCCAGGTCCCTGATGCTCAGGGAGGTGAAGTGGCCTACCCAAGGTCACACAGCAAGTCAACGCCTCAGGCAGCATGTGTGGCTAAGTACCCTGGTTTCTATTCCACTTTAATGGGGAGACTGTGAAGACAGATTTACTTTACACTAAACTAGTATCTAACGAGCGACTTCCAAATGGAATGGAACAACCCACAAAATCAGAAGCACAGATGAGAGATACGCTGCATTTTTCCTTACTTTACAGATGACGGGGGGAAGAACAGAAAGAGAAGAGAGAAAGAAGTCTGCTGTACTTGGTGACTCATCACTGACAAAGCGGACTTCCCTGTTCCTTCAATCTGGACTTGTCACGTGACTTGCTTTTGACTAATAAAATATTATAAGATGTTAGCAGATGTGATGCAAGAAGGGGCTTGGGATATGCATACGCATTTGGGTTTCCCCTCTTACACCTCCACCAAGCCCTGAAAGAACATGCCCTAATTACTCCACATATGGAACAGATTCAGCCCAGGAGACCTGCAGAGCAGACCTGCAGGTAGAAGAAAAGCCATCCAGCCAAGCCCAGCCTTGTTTAAGCAGCTATATTCTTCCTGAAAGCATGTGAGCAAGCCCAGCCAGGATCAGCAGAACCACCCAAGCCAACCTGCAGATCTAGGAGAATAAAAGGTTGTTTTGAGCCACTGACAATTGGGGACAGCTTGTTACACAGCATTTTTGTGACAACAGCTGACTGATGTACTCAGAGGTGAAATGACACGCTGAAGGCTACACCACTAGTAAGAGCGTAGCTGGAATTCTTACTCTGCATCAAGCGAGATCATGCTTCATGGATGGGGAAACATGTAATGAATCATTTAAATGGAGCCTCTTTTGACAGTGAAAAGGAGCAGTGAACATTACTTTGGACCTGTGAAATGATACTGAAGTGTAAGGTGCCTCCCCACTCCCAAATGGCACACTTAGTGAGGTGAACACAAACATTGTTGGCAGTCCGGATACATCTTGCAGACACTGAAGAGTTCAGAACGTGTAATATCTGCACAGGTTGACACACAGACCCAATCACCCCATTGCAAACAAGTTCCTTCCAAGAGAAAATGTCCGGGTTTCAGATTCATGGTGGGGAGGGGCTAGGAGCTTCAGCCCTGGAGATGCTGGCTATACTTTGCTCTAACTCGCCCTAGCTGGTGCCACTGCCAAATGTTTCAGCTTCCCTTTGTTCTAGTCTTCCTAACATCCCAGGGACAGAAGGGTTTACAGGTAAGATCCCGAAGTCCACCGAGGCCAAGCTACCTGTTGTAATCACCTAGCCAATGAGCACCCAGATGGCACTGATTCCAAAGCAGGGGCCACTGCATCTGCTCATCCCAGTAAGGGTGGGCACTACAACATCCTACCAAGGATCCTGCCAACCAGGCAAGCGGGGCTCTTTCCTGGGAGCACCTCAGAGTGCACCACAGAGCAAAGAAGGGACTGCATTTTCCATCTCCTTTTCCTTGTTCTTCCCTTCCTGACAAACAGTCTAGGGCATCTAGGGTGGTCAGTCAGCATTCCTCACGCACGTGAGTCTTAGACAAACACTACCTGGTATTGGTTTAGGCAGCCATGGAGGAAATGTTACCAAACCCTCACCCCAAGTGCCCATGCAATTCTACCAGCCTTCTCTTCTGGAATTCTAAGTCCTATTTTTCTTTATTAGAACTTAAAATTGAAAACTCAAGAGAGAGGAATTTTTTTTTAACGAAGCAAATCTATTCGTGTGGCTAATGACAGGAAGCTCAGGGGTTGGCCTCAAACTCCAGGTAGCGACGCTTCACCCACCTGACCTACTCGCACCCCACCACTAATAACTAGGGGCCTGGCCTCCCTCACCACCCCTTCCCTTCCCCACACCTCCACTCTCACACATTTCTGCTTCCCCCACAGTGACAGATCCCATTAATACAACTTGAATATCTGCCAAGCACTAAGCATTCTCTAGGTTACAGTAACACAAATGATCCCATTTATGTCCAATCCTCAATCCCCAAGGCTGGGATGGATTATTCCCATTGTTCAGATGAGGAAAGTGAGACTCACAGACATAAATTGCCAAATATCATCGAGCTTAGCCAGTGTTAGATCCAGGGCTGAACTGGTTTGTGTGTGACCTCAAAGACCATTCCCCTTCTTCCTTTCTGAAATTTACTCAATCAAAAACTACATCCCTGGGGATACTGTGGTGAACAAATCCAAATGGAAAGCAATCTCCTCCACCCCTGCCCCAACTCTCTAATTTCTACGAAAGTCAACCTCACTCAGAGACTGACGGGCTCACCCCTTAGTGAGCCCATTGAAGCCCACGGAGGAGGCCCACTACCAGAGACCCCAGAATCCTTCAAATATAGGTGTTCCCTCCTCCACAGTGGCTGTGGGGCTGGAAGTAGGCCCTCCCAGTGGATGACCATGAGGGTCACCTGCTACAGCTCAGGCTGTACAGCTCAGGGCACAGGGCAGGGAGCTTTGCCCTTCCCGTGGGTGGCACTGTGACCACTTGGAAGCAGGTGACTGTCCTTAGGCTGTGGCTTGAGAAGCATCCCACTCACTGAACCAGAAGCAGCCTCCTTGACTCAGTTTTGCTTCTTTCCCTGAGAGGCACTGGCTATAGGGATAAGACAATCACTTTGGGTTCCAACAGATGTGAATTTAAATTCTGGACCTGCCAGCTGACAGTGGGCAAATCGCTTCTGCTCTCTAAGACTCAGTTTCTTCAGTTCCATCTGGGGTGACTTCAAATTACCCCCACCGCACCCCTCTCAGCAGGGAAGGAAGTCAGCAGGCTTAGAGTCGGCATTATAGCTCACAAGTGTGCAGAACATACCATTTGCCAAGCCATGGTTTGGGCTCGTTTTATGAATTAACTCAATTAATCCTAATAAAAATCCCATGCATTGTGAGGGTGGCACTGTTTTCAACCCACGTTTAGACGAGGAAGCTCAGAGAGATTATGTAACTTACCCAAAGTTACAGAGAAGAAAGCAGCTGATCTGCATTTTACATCCAAGCAGTGCTGTAAGACAGTGGTTCTCACCAGGGGCGGGGTGTTAGGAGCAGAAATAGGGGACAAAGGGATGATCTTGACCCCCCAAGGAGCATTCAGCGATGCCTGGAAATGGTTTTGGTTG
The DNA here is from genome assembly GCF_000001405.40 of Homo sapiens. Classification (NCBI taxonomy): domain Eukaryota; kingdom Metazoa; phylum Chordata; class Mammalia; order Primates; family Hominidae; genus Homo; species Homo sapiens. The sequence goes on from NC_000008.11 coordinate 132,352,328, forward strand.
TCACAGGTGGGTGGGGTGCTGCGATCGTCTAGTGTGCAAGGATGCTGCTAAACATTCTACAATGCACAGGAACAAGACTCCTACAACAAAGACTCACCTGGCCAGAAATGTCAACAATGCTAATGCTGGAAAACTCTGGCGAGTTCAGGAACACAGAGCAGGACTCGCTTAGGAAACTCACTGCCCCGAGCTGCTGTGAGGGCTAAATCAGAGGTTGCCTGTGGGCACCCTGGCACCACAGTGCTTGCAGGGAGGTGTTCCTTAGCTCTGGGGGTGACAGATCGGACCGCAAGGTGGCACAAGTAAGTGATAGCAACAGTTATGCCAAAGGGCTCATCCTTTTCCTTTGATTTTATTTTTCATTTTTTATGGAGATTACGCTATTTTAACACTGTTGTGGCAAAAATACTCAGTGACTCATGTGTCATGATTTTCATAGCTGATTTCATGAGTTTTTGACAGTTGATGGTGGTTCCTATAGTTAGGGTTATTTTCTGTCTTTGGGACAGTGTGGGGAAAAGAGGTTGGTGCTCAAGGCACACTGCCCTGACCCCAGTTCCACACTGGGCATGATGTCCCAGGAAGGCTGGTTTGGATTCATGGAAGGGATGGCATGAGAGTGAAGCACACAAAGTAGGATTTTAATCCCAGCACTTTGGGAGGTCGAGGCGGGTGGATCACGAGGTCAGGAGTTTGAGACCAGCCTGCCCAACATGGCGAAACACTGTCTCTACTGAAAATACAAAAAATGAGCCAGGCATGGTGGTGGGCGCCTGTAATCCTAGCTACTCAGGAGGCTGAGGCAGGAGAATCGCTGGAACCTGGGAGGCAGCGGTTGCAGTGAGCCGAGATCGCGCCACTGTACTCCAGCCTGGGCAACAAGAGTGAAACTCCACAGCCCCCGACCCCCAGCCCTCCGCCAAAAAAAGTAGGATTTTAACTGGCAGACCTGGGAGGAGGCAGAGGGTGGAAAGAAGGGAAGGGAAAGGAAGGGAAGGAAGGGGAAGGGAGGGGAATTTCAGGCAGAAGGACTGTCAGAAAAAAAATATTGATCGACAACTAAGGACAACCATTGGGCACATGGAAACGGTCAAAACTGGGAAGTTGAACAAATGTCTGTTCAAACTTTGGCTCTTTCACTGAAGAGGGACTTTGTGCAAACCTGCTAATCACTTACGGTCTCATTTTCTCAACTGTAATTTGATTAAACAATACTTGCTTTCAAAAATGTTGGTTTTTTCTTTGGGCAGCTGAAGCAGGCGGATCATCTGAGGTCAGGAGTTCGAAACCAGCCTGGCCAACATAGTGAAACCCTGTCTCTACTAAAAATACAAAAATTAGCTGGGCGTGGTGGCGCACGGCTGTAATCTCAGCTACTCAGGAGGCTGAGGCAGGAGAATCGCTTGAGCCTGGGAGGTGGATGTTGCAGTGAGCCGAGATCATGCCACTGCACTCCAGCCTAGGTGACAGAGTGAGATTCTGCCTCAAAACAAACAAACAAACAAGCAAACAAACAAAAACTTTGGATTTTTGTAGCAACAAGATGAGGTCATAGGCAAGAGAGAACACTGTAAGCTCTAAAACGGCTGCAGATGAAGGTTAACTAGAGCCTTGTTTGTGGTCATGAGTGTGTGTTCCCTACTTGTCTACTAAAAAGGGAAAGAAGCCCTGAGCCAGGTACTGTGGGGAACACACAGAGCAGGAATATAGCACCTGGCTCAGCACTTTGACCAAACAGGAGCTTGAATAGCGAACCTTCTGTGAAATGTAGGAGCTTGTCTGATTTCCCTCCTAGTGCCCACCTTGGGCTGACCACTCACAGAACCCCCATGTGTTTGAAGAAAAGCTAAGACAGATATCTGCAGGAGAGGCAGCTGGCTCCTGTGTGCTCTCATGGGATGGAATTCACCATTAGTCAATCATTTATTTTCAGGGTCTCCACCCCCATAGGTAGACTCACATTAACTAAACTGATACATACATACACTAGCATGCTAAATGATTGCTATATAGTGAGAACAACGGCCAACGATATCAGACAATACATCCATAGGCCAGTTTATCCCTGCAGATCACCTGTAATTAGAAATTGGCTTGGTAAGAAAGGAATCAAAACAGGGGGCATTAGTTATATTATCTGAGTGTTTCATGGCCCTGAACTTCTAGCCAGCCTGACATTTTCATCTCCATTTCAAGGATACAGAGCCACTAAGACCAGGCAGGTCGTATTCTGGGGTCAGCACACCCTCTCCCCTGAACAATGCTCAGAGGACACTTCCCACCTGCTTCTCAGACTCCCCATATCCATACTTCCATGGTGAGCCAATGCTACTTCTGATGGGCAAGTTATTGCCTCTAAGATGTTCCTACCTTCCGTGAGATGACAGCTTGGTCTTGCTCTGGACTGAGAGCCATTCTGCCATATAGATCTTGGATCTCCTCCTCTGGAGGCTGAATTCCTGGCCAGTCTCATTTCCTGTACTGCTGGGCTTGTGGAGTCAGTGGGGCACCCCCAATAATCCCTGGTAGCCTCTGCTCTTTACAGTCCTCAGTATACAGCCACTGGTTCTGGGGATGGGTTTGAGGGACATGGGTTCAACATCCCAGCAGCCTTCCTAGATCATCACCCTGGCATTGTCTCTGCGACTGCCCTAAGGATATAGCCCCAGAAAGCAGTCAGCAACAGGACCAGTTCTATAACAGTCCTCATATCAGCAAAAAACCTCTAGGGAAAGAGAGAAATGTTCCTTGTTCTTTATGCTAGTTGACTAAGAGCTTATCTATTTATGAAAATGTCACAAAGCACCTCTAGACCAGATTGAGGTCAGGATTTAGGATGCTTTCCTTTACCTTAATGCAGAGCTGTAGGCTCAATGTGCATAAATTACTGGTATAAAAACACCTCAAGGCTATTTGTTAATCAGTGGTGAGCAAGGATCACATATCTAGTAGGGCCTAAGATGCCCTAAGATGCTGTCCAGGGCCTCTGTGCCTCCCCTCCACTCCAGCACCATCACAGCCACCCTGATGACTGAAGGAGTCCTCCAGTCCAAGAGAAGCTGTCCCTCCGTTATCTGTCCAGGGAGAGGCCCCTGACCCAAGCTGAGCCAATCAGAATAGTTCACTCTCTGTCACAGTGATTGGTCCAGGGATTGACATGTAACCCTGAGTCTGCCAATCAGGACCCTTTCCTGGAAATTGATGAGAGTTTAAGAGGAAGAGCCCAAAACAATCAGAAGGTGAGTTTCAGTCTGGTAGCAATCGTGTTTCCATGCCCTCAGGGAAGCTGGTCTAAAAAAATAAAGCTGGCAAGCAAAGAGAAAAAGGGATGAGAAGGGGAATGCTGGTGGGATCTGAGTGTTCCCCTGGTTTCTTTTGAACCTGCCCATCACATGGTCTGCTGACATGAGCTCATATAGTCCCCTTTGTGCCTAGTCTTCGGAAAACACAGACTTTATCACTTAACAACCACGGAGTCTAGGCTTACTGGACCTCTGAGATATATTCACCTACCAGAGTCCCTCAACTACCTGATCCTGAATTTGCCTTCAGAAACTCCAAAGATTGCATGGATTCTCCAATGGTCCTTTTACTCGGGGAGAGTCAAATAACAAAAGGCAAATGTCATCTTGATGCCAAGAAGTCAGGTAAACATGGCTTTGAGGCCAGGCTCACCTGAGTGTGGATGCGGTTCATGAAGGTGATAAGTCAGATAAGCATGCTACTTCTCTGAGCCTCAGTTTTCTCATCTATAAAAATGGTGAAAATCACAGGGCCATTGGTGGATCTCCTGAGACTCTCAGCACAGAGCCAGGCACTGAGTGGAGGCTCCATGAATATTAGTTCCTTGTTATTCAGAAAGTAGCAGAAGACACACCACTGCTCGCAGGCTGCTCACCTTCAGCCATCACGGAAGAAATATAAGTGTTCATTCAAAGTCAAGTTTCTACAAGAAAAATGTGCTGGGAAGAGAGCTGGACTGGGGCAGGACAGCAGGGACTGATTGAAAAGATAAGATAGCAGCAGTGTGACAGCTTTGATGCCCACTACTCTACGAAGCAGGAATGATGTTTTTAAGACTACACATTCAAGTATCTTCCTACTTTGAGGCTCTGGGCCCTCTGGATATGAGAGCTGTCAGGTAGACCTCAAGCCTCCACAGAGTGGCTGGATGTGTGTCCACTCTGCAGACTCATCTTTCCCCTCAGGAATAACACACACTCTAGTCTTGGAAACAGAATATCAGGAAGCTCTTGAGATCAGGAGGAAGCCCCATTTCCTGATGTATAATTATCGGCAACAAAGCTGGCATCTACGAGACCCCATCTAACTGTTGTGCTATTTCTTAATTGCTTTACAACCCAGAGGGAAAGGGACTGTGATTAATGCCCTTCTCAAAAACTCCAGCACCTGGCACTTAGTGGATGCTAAATAAATATTCATTGAGTTGATTTTGTTGAGTGATGGCCCAGGAATGGGATGGTCAATCTGGAAAGTAGTGAGATCCCCATCAAAGAGACAAAAAACAGAGAGTGACGACTACATGACAGAAAGGCTACAGAGGCAATTTCAATATGAGTTGTGAATTGGATTAGATGTCTTTTAAAATATGTGCCAGACTTGAGGTTTTACAGTCACGTGGCTCAGGAGAGACTATAGTAAATCTAAAACTATTTTATTAACAACAACAACAACAACAACAACAACAAAAACTAAGGGCCTTGGAATTCTGGAAGTTGAGTCACTTGCCCAGGGAGGACCAAAAACATCTTGAAGATGATCATCCCTTTCTAAATGAGCCAGAGAATACCATGCTACTCACCCAGTCAGACCATGTGGCATTAGATTCATTTGACATAAAACAAAAATAATGCCCCTATCTTAGCTTGGGCTTCCCCAAAAGCAGAACCCAAGAAAAGGGCTGGGAGTGGTTCCTTTGGAAGGTAATTCAGCGAAGCAAGAGTGAAGAAGTGAGCCGGTAGAGGAAGACAGGCAGAGAAGTGCGTCAATGTGAGGGTGTGCTGTGGAGAACAGGGGCTCGATTCTCCTGAGACCACATGAGATACTGAAAAATCTTCCATAATTGTCTGCACGAAAGGCAAAAGACTGGCACATTTATCCATGTCTCCTCAGACAATGATTGTGCTGGCACCAGGGTCGCTCTCTGCCCTGCACTTGTGGAATGAGTTTGCCTGCACACAGTGATGTGAGGTCAGTCTGCAAGTCTGAGCTGCCCCAGCCAGTCCTAGCCAAAAGGAGATATGGGATGAGCGCAGGAGACATGGGCACCACAGGCAGCTGCAGCCCTAAACTCATCACTCCATGTCGTCCAGATCTCCAAAGTCACAGCCCTGTGTGCCAGTCTCCAAGCTGTTGCTTCTGTGATCTTCCTGAGACTGTCTTCCTTGCTCAAAACCCACAGGACTACAAGACAAGTCTAAAACCCTTCTCCATGGGATCCCCCACTCCACTGGTCCATCTCAACCTATGGCTGCTCCTCCTCCAATCAGAACCTTCCCCTTGCACTCCAATGAGTCACCTGCCATTCCTTACTCATGTCCTTCCCTAAAGGCCTTTGTGCTCTGGCGCAAAGAGCTCTGTCTGGAACACCATTTAGTTTCATTCCCATCCATCAAACTCCATCCCGTCCTCGACAGCCCAGCTGAAACATTTCTTCCAGGGAATTTGCTCCCTTGTGAGTATACTTACTGAGTTGCATTGTAATTTGTGTAAGTGTTGGTGTCCTCACAAAAAAGGAGCTTCTTTAAGGTCAGGGATAAAGTTGTAATCTAACTTCAGGGCCATCCATAAAGGAGATATTCAGTGAAAGGTGGCTGAGTAAATGAATGGATGACTCCAGAAAACTTCTCCCTTCAAGGCCTCAGCTTCTTCCACTTTAGAATGAAGAAGTGGGAGGAGCTGAATTAGAGTTTCCTGCAGCATTTTCTGAGAAGTCCTAGCACTGCCAGATGCCTCTAAAGAACATATTCTGAGGCCTAATGGGTTTGAGAGATGCTTTAGACCCCCTCTGGGAGTCACTGTGGCTCTACAGAGAATTCCTTTAGTCTCTGTTTAAGTCAACAATGCCCAGATCCATTCAGCCACAGAATATCTAGAGGAAGAAGTCAACCAAAGAAGGCTCATTGGGTAATGTTAGCTGAGACATGACTTTGGCTCCTTCCAACTCAAGAATTCTATAATCATCATCAAACTCTGATGAAGCTGAACATTACAAATATATGCGTTTGATTCAGAAAAAAAATAATATCCCAGAGCTCTCCAAAGGTGAGGAGGCACGAAGCTTGCCACCATGACTGGGGCTGTTCAAAAAGAATGGATGGTCCCCAGCACTTCACGTGGAATTCAAATATGGGCAATATCAGGGGGTCTTCATTTGGGGTCCACAGACATGCTTGTGGGATGAGTATGAACCCCTGAGATTATACATGAATTTGTGTGGATGTACACTGTCGCTGAATAAGGACTCAATACTTTCAATGCATTCTCAAAAGGGACTGTGAGTACCTAATGGCCAAGGATCCCTGGCCTACATAAGGGTTCAGAAGGGTAGTGCATAAGAAACGAAACACAACCAAACCCCATCAGCTCGAGGATGAGGGAATACAACAAGTCTTGGAACCATCCCTCTCCATTGCTGGAATTCTGCCTCCAATACTCTCACTAAAGAATTATCTGCATTAACACTCATTATGCTTGTTACCTCTTCACCTTGGCCCCATACTTGACCTCTCCATATCCTCATTTCCTTATCTGTCTATTGGGAACAGTACAGTATAATTGGGAGGGTCAAATACAGTGATGAAGCATCACATAACTTGACAGTTTAACGGTAGTGGGGTACCCAACCAAATCACCTGCCATTTAAAAAACAGGAAAATCCTCACTCAGTTTAAATCTAAGAGGGAGAAATGTTTCATGTTTGATTCAGATCAGGGGTGTCTTGCTGTAGTCTACATTTTATATCTAAACACTTGCCAATTTCCCAGCATTGTTGGTGCATGGATTGGCATGAGGCTCCTTGCTCCTTCTCTCTCATAGGCTTATCATTCCTGAAGCCCTACCAGGGTGCTCACTGTGTCCTGCTGGGTGCTCCAGGGAAGGGGTCTGTTTCCTCTTAAGCTCCTCTGCTTGGGTCAAGCCATCAGGGACACCTTCACTGCACCATGTTACGATGCCTCTTGGACACGGCTAGATTTCTGCATCAGAAAGAGGGCTGGGTACCAATTGAATCTGCTTACACACTCCAGAAAGAGAGTCCTTGGGGCAAATCCAGCTGTGGATTGTGTGACAAGGTGAAAGTTCAGTTAGTGCTTCCTAATTGTGTGATTGGTTATTAGAGAAACTAGTAATGATGACATTAGCATAACAAATAATTTGATGGAGTTTACAAAGCACCTTTGTATTCATTCAATTAATTTTGTTTTCCAGGCACACCCAGGTCAAGGCACTTGCCTGGCAGGTGAATAAGATCCCTTTCCCAGGAAGCCCAGGCCCATGCACTGCCACATCTGCCAACTTTTCTCCTGGCTCTCACCCACTACTTCCTGCTAGTGTTTCCTCAGCTTCTGACTTCATCTGCATCTCCATGCCTGCACTGGCCCCTTGGATCTGATACAGATTTAGTTTCTCAGGCTTGAACTGGGCACCCCACTTCCCCTGATGCCATCTACCCTTGACTTCTGGTTCTCACTTCTCCCAGTTACAACTATCCAATATGGCCTCAGATTTTAGGACTCTACAGCACAGCTAGGTCAATGACCAAACTCCCTTGCTTGGGGTGTCAACCACAAAATGACAACTCTTGCCACAGCCTGCAAATCTCTAGCAGTCCAGCCCCTCAGAGCCTCCCTGTCTCTCCTCCCCATTGCTTCTGTTGGTCCCACTGGGCTGGCTTCCCAGCTGTTCTTGAAGTCAGCCAAGCAACTCTGTCTAGATATCTGCAGAGCCCCTTCTTCTATGCCCCCTTCACCCTATCTCTCATCCCTCTTTATTTTGCTTCCTCGCACTTATCTGCACTTGACCTAAGAGATTTGGCTTGTTTGTTGATGACCCATCTCCTCTCACCAGAATGTGAGCCTCATGGGGGCCGAGGCTTCATTTTCTCCCCTGCTATTGCCCAGCACAGGAACAGAGCCAGGCACATAGGAGGGGTTCAGGAACCTCTGGTGGAATGAGTGAAGGAATGCACTTTCAACCTCCCAGAGGCTCTTGAAGGAGGCGCCACCTCCAGCCCAGCCCTTGATCTAAGCCCCTTCTGGCAGAGACCTCAGACTCACGACAAGAGCTGCTAGCTGTGCTTCCAGGCCCCTCTGACATCTCTGGTCCCTCCTCTTTCCTCCAGTCTCCCTTGGACATCACCTCATTTACTTCCTTCTTAGTAATGTTCACGGTCCATACCTCCCTTGTGTATTCCTTGGTTTTCTCCTTTCCTGTCTGTTTTGATCTTCAGAATATAAGTGTCACGAAGGTATAAACTTGATATCTTTTGGATGCTTGGGGTCCAGGCCAGTGCTTGGCACACAGCAGTTTTTTATAAAAATGGAGGAAAGAAGACAGGGAGGGACTGTGACCTGGCTTCAGCATCACTGCCCAGGCCCTTCAGGGCCATGCTTCCACCAGGCTACTGCTTGGCTCTTCATTATGGCCTCAGTCCAGAATGCCACTTTTTGAGTGCTCTTATCTCTCTGGTTTCCATTCCACCCTCTCATCTAATAACCAATGCAAGCTTCCCAAATTCCAGCTTGTTTTACAGATAAGGGGGCTGAGGTACATATCAATGAGGTTACTGAGCTAAGGCAACAGTGAACAAACTGGTATGCGAGACTCCAAAGTCCAGACCCCTGACCACTTTCCAATAGCCTCTCTGAAGCCAAGTAGTTTGTTTATAAGTGGAGCTGCACAGAGAACACTGCAAGCAAAGAACAACTCTGACTCATCTGATGCTTCTGCGGCACGAACCTCCTCAGCTCCTCACTCCAAGGTTCCCTTAGCAAAACTCTCCCCAAATGGCCATACCTGGTAGCTCCAAGGCAGAGATCTTTTATGTCTAATATGTTCTTTAATGTACTGACCTTTTAAAATTAATAGAATATTTTTTATCATCTGAATTTCTCAGAGTGAGGACTTGCGGTTCATTGTTGTTTTAATTATGCCTTAGAATAGCAACCTCGTTTATCAGGCTGCAAGATTACTGTTTGTGAGAAATCTTCCTCATAAAGTAAAAGGATCTAAACAGAACACTCAAAAAGAAAAGAAAAATAAAATGAAAAGGTTAAAAGAAATGTAAAAGGGTCAACATTAATAGCAACCAAAGAAAAGAAAATGAAATAAACTTCCTTTCTCACCAATACATTTAGAAAAATCAAAAGAACAGAAAAACAAAATTCTTAATTATTGATTAAGAAAGAATACACCAGTAACTGTATTTTGGAAATTAACCCAGATAAGATATTTTTAAACTTTTAAACTGTCCATTCGTATGTGTAAAACAAAGTCAAAGATACACGCCAAGCAAAGACCTTCAGTATTATTTATAATGAAGTAATAGTGGAAGACAATAACTTCTTTAATCTACATCTAGGGGAAGGAATAGTATAAAGCCATTAACATTATATTAACACAATTATGTTAGCAAATATTAAATAATAATAGTAAAACGCTTATGTTTTGTGTAATTGTGAAATGAGTAGTATTTTGAATTATAGGATGTAACTTGAACAAAGAAAAAAACATGCACGAGAGCTCCTAAAATGTTGATAGTGCTTTATATTCTTTCTGCATGTGGCTTGACGATTTTCTTTAGCAATCTTTTTTCTATTATTTATTTTACAATATTTCAAAAGAGACCAGTATTAATTTCATCCTGGAAAAAATAAACATACTTAAAAAAAACTCAAAATGTAACCTTTCTACATCTTAGTTTAGATCTACCAAAAGATTCCAAACATGGGGTGTTATTTTTCTAAGAACGTCACATTTTTACCTGTGGAAATTCTTTAATTCTTACTATTTATCCAAATTCAAAGCGTGCCTTAAGGACCTGCCAAAGTGCCACATTGCCAAGTCATTTGCAAACATCTACTGAGCATCAACCTTCCAGTTCCAGCAGAAACTGAGAGGAACAAACAAAAACCATGCCCTTGAGATGCTCAGGTCAGTTGGGGGCAATTGGTGCTTAAATAAACAAACAAGAAATGAGGACATGCTGGGACAAATGTTCTAGCAGGGGTTTTTGTGCTTGCTCCTGAGTAAGCCTCAGAAGGCTCTGCTGAACGGGAAGTCACCAAGGTACTTTGACACCAGAAAGTGGAACATTTGAGCCAGGCTATGAAGGGGACACAGGATTAACCAGGCAAACAGGGGGAAGCATGAGAAAGCAGAAATCAAATGAGTGCAAAGACAAGCAGGCTTGAAGGGCATGTGGTCTTTAGAGGCAAGGAAGAGTCACAGCTGGTAGGAAAGCAGATGTATTGAGCTGGGAAATGACAAGAGGCCAGAGGATTTGTGACCATGTGAATAAGTCTTGTAATGGGGCGAGGGCGGCGTGGGTTGTAAACAGGGAGCAACACAGTGTACATCTGAGTTCCTAAGGCTAGAGGGAAGGAGAGGCAAGAGGTAGTAAGTCCCATCAGGTGAAGATTTGAAAAGTGAAGGGGGAGTTACCAAAACCTGGACACTGACTGGCACCTAGTAGACTCAATGGGTACTGCCAACAAGACAGACAAAGTCACGGGAAGGGGGCTAAGAAACCAGATGCAGAAGCAAGCAGTTCACTCAATCAAACCAGCCACTTGTAGGAGAGCTAACAAGATGTGTAGAGCATCTCTGATTACTAAGTTCAAATTTCTGAAGATGTAACACTAGTTCAGAAGGATATTGGTAGATAAAACGCGAAACCACAAAAGGCGTCATTTGGAAAATGAGTTTGGAAAAGGCTAGATTATGATGCTGGACTTCTCAGAGCCTCTAATAAGTTAAATAAATTATCCAAAAGATGGGTAAGTGTTTCCCAAATTATCTGGTCATTGAACACTTAATTCCATAATTTATTAAGGTCCCTTGGAATGCACTTTGGAAAATGCTACCGGGCCAGGTGGTGTGGCAAAGGAGGAAGGGGAGAGGGTGTCAAAAGTGGGCCTTATACAGATTTATTAATATATTTACATAAAGAAGACCCAAGAGCACCTATAAGGAAACACATCAAGGAAGGCTCATACATGCGGGCAGCCCCTGTGTTCCTCAAGTCTACATCTCCAAAGGCACTGGCTGGCCCAAGCAGTGATCTGATTCTGTAGTACGCTGTCACCATCCACCCTGGATGCCATCTTTTAGCCCACAGACTTAGCCTAGGGCCTGACAGTGGCTCCCACGTGCTCACGTCATTCACTCTTGTTTTTATGAACCAAGTTCCATTGGAACTCCTGCATCCCACAGCTCCTGCTTCTTCTGCTTGTCTTACTTTCTTTCTCTCTTTCATACTTTCTGAGTGTCAGCTTTGTGACAGGAACTGGTGAATTTTAAGCCAGGCTGTTCTAGTTTATCCCTAACTGACCCTGTATTTAAAACTACAATCTCTCAACAAATCTAAACTCAGATGCAATTATCTGTCTTTTTTTAAAAAGTTCATGTGTACCATTGAAGTTTGTGTTCTGTTCTTGGCTAGCAGCAGCATAATTTACCTCTTCATTTGTGACCCTGATATTTGCAGGAAAATATTGTCCCCAAATGCCATTAGTTTCAACTCCTCAATCCATCTTCCTTGACACTTAGTCAATGATTCTCTGGCTCTAATTCATCACATCGAACATAAGGCAAAAATTGAATTAAAATATTTCAGGGCAGATAGAATACAAATTAGGACACAGGATGTGGTTAGCATTGTGAAAGGCAACACTGGAGAAGATATAATTTGAAACATTTAAACTGTGAATTACTTTCAGTGGGGGTAGGGAGTGGAGACCACCCCAATCTAGGGCTCCAAGTGTTGGCAATACATCTATATAACAAATAGCTTACTGCTCTGGGCTGATGATCCCACATTATGTGGAATTGCCTAAGCCTTTTCCATTGAATCTGCCTTTCACTGAGAAAATGTTCCCCATCATGCCACGGGAGGTCACTTCTGTTTATCATCTCAAGGTTCAGGAAATAAAATGGTGAGAGCCTAGGCTGGAGGGAGTGTCACTGCTGCTTTTTTGTACATTCCAGAAGGCAAGATACAGGTGTGTCTGGCTCACAATTATAGGCTCAGGACCTAGGACAGTTCCTAACATATAGTAGGCAATTTTATACAGTATTTAACAAATGGGTTTAGTAAATGGATGGACGGACGGACGGACGGACGGACGGATGGATGGATGGATGGATGGATGGACGATGAATGGATGGGTGGCTGGTTGGATGGATGGATGGGTGGATGGATGGGTGAGTCAGTATGTACTTATGCAAATACTATTACTTATACTACTAATCATATAATAACAAACATTGATAAATTTCCTAAGTATTTTTGGGGTATATTTAATTTAACCCTTTCAACAACATTGTGAAGTAGGTACTATTATTACCTTTCTCCTTTTACAGACAAACTAAGCAGGGAGTGCTAACTTTATCAGAATCATAGAGCTAGGAAGTGGTTGTCTCCTATTGTCCACCTTCATCTGGTGACAGAGAATAGCAACAGGAAAGTGAAAAAGGCCACTCAAGCAGCCAAGATACTGGTTTTTGTTTTACATTTTGCCTGTGCTGTTGTTTGTTTATTCAATTTCACACCATTTAATATTCATTCCTTTTTACACCCAGAGTCAAGCATGAAGACTAGCCACAGTGAGAGCATAAAAAATCACGTTGAACAAATTAATGAACAAAGGTTAAACCTACTTTATGCTGGGCTCTGCACTAGGTGCAAAGGAGCTAACATTTATTGGGTGCCAACTTTGTGTTAGATGCCTCCAACTTGTGTGAGAGGCGTGTTAGACGCCTTATGTGGGTGAACTAATTTAATTCTTACAATAAACCCAGGCATTTTTCCTACGTTTTACCCATAAGGAAAGACAATGAGCGTGGGTGCCTGTGCATGTTTTTTCTATCATACCATCTGCTTCCAGTTGCTTCACAATGTAGCACCTTGGCTGGAGGGGATGAGGACTGAGGATGTGAACTCCCAGGGTTTTCAGGCCGGCTCTGACATTTTGCAGCTGTGTGCAACCTTAGATAAATTAGTTCACCTCTATGTGCCTCCATTTCCTCAGCTGTAAAATAGATGTAATGATAATAATTGTACATGCCTCAAAGTTTGTTGTCAAGTAAATGAATGCTGATAATAAATGTAAACAGAATCTGGAACAAAATAAGTATTTGATGTGTGACTCTACTTGTATAGTTTAAAAAGTACCACTATGGCTTGGCGCAGTGGCTCACACCTGTAATCCTAGCATTTTGGGAGGCTGAGACAGGAGAATTGCTTGAGGCCAGGAGTTTGAGACTAGCCTAGGCAACATGGCGAAACCCTGTCTCTACCAAAAATACAAAAATTAGCTGGGTGTGGTAGAGCATGCCTGTAAGTCCCAGCTACTCAGGAGGCTGAGGAGGGAGGATGGTTTGAGCCCATGAGGTGGAAGTTACAGTGAGCCAAAATGGCACCACTGCACTCCAGCCCGGTTGACAGAGCCAGACCCTATAAAGTACCACTATATTTATATTGAGATAAACTATATAGAGAAATACAGACAGAATTGACACCTTTATCTTGCTGAGGCTTCTGAAGAGCCCGTTAGTCTCTCCCATTTATTTAGGGCTCTTGTTGTTTACCTTCAGAGTATTTTTAAGTTCTCTTCATATAGCTCTTGCACATTTTTAGTTAAGTTTATCCTTAGGTATTTTATATTTTCTATTACTTGGTAAACAGTTTTACCATTACTATGGTAAATTGTATATCGATTTCTATATATGACTTTTTTGCCTTGCCCCCTTATTGAGTCTCTCTTAGTAGTACATTTTACTTGATTTAAGTTTTCCAGGCATTAATTATGTTATCTGAAAACAGCAATAATTTTACCTCTTCTTTCCTAATCTTCTTGCTTCCAATTCCTTTCTCTTGCATAATAACATTGGCTAGTACCTCTAGTTCAATTTTAAATAATAGTGTTGATGGTAGATGCTCTTACCTTTCAACCTCCTTTTTTACTTGAATTCCCCTCCTTTTTACTCTGAGTTCTTCCATTGTTTTCTCAGTAAGCATGATGCTGGCTTTTGAATTAAGGTAAATATATTTTACCAAGTAAAATTAAGTATCAATTATAATTTAACTAAGAAAATCTTCAAGAAATCTATATTGAATTTTGCCAAATGCCTTTTCAGCATCTATCAAGATGATCATATGCTTGTTCTCTTTATATCAATTTACTGAGGTGAAAAATGTTATAGATCTCCTAATGTTACATACCAGAACAAATTCCATTTGATCATGGAATATTCTTTTAATGTATTGCTGGACTCTCTTTGCTAATATTTTATTTAGAATGTTTGCTTAATTTCATAAGTGAGATTGGACTGTAATTTTCTATTTTGGGGACCTCTTCATTGAGTTTTGGGATCAATATTATAATTGCTTCATAAAAAAAACTTTGGAAGTTTTTCTTATTTTTCGATCTGAGCTGCACATCTTAAAAAATGAGCAAGAATTAGCCAGGGGAGGAGGCTGGAGGATAAAAGAAGGAGACATTACATTAAAGGCACAAATGAAAGAAACAAACATCAGTATATGCGGAGAACTCTGATTCTGAGGCTGCTTCACACAAGGCCTGAGCCCTTCTCCTCTCCTTCAACCCTGAATGTCTGTTTGGAGGTAGCTGTATACAATTGTTTTCTCTTGCATATTGATCCACAATGATTTCCCACATCAGTATTTTTTTTTCCTTCTTCAATAAGATTATGAGACCTTCCTTTTGTTTATCCCAGAGAAGTTCTTGGATTAAACTCCAGAAGCACATGGGTGTATAAAGAGCTAGGCCATGGTATCTCACTAATAAATTAAGTCATTCACACTCATTAAGTCATTCAGTCACTTATTCTTCCAACATTATTTAAACCTGAGGGCAAGATCTGGAAAAATAAGAGGCGGGCTTTGCTTTCAAGATCTTAGAGTCTAGCATAAAAGAATAATACTAGTACTGTTGTAATCTGCATGACAAATTAAGCTACTAGGTGGACTTTGCTTTTTCAATACAAAACAGTTTTCCCTACAAATGTTTCTTCAACCTCTAGTGCCTGCCACCAAAATCTCAAAGATACAATCAGACAATAAGAAGCACTTCTGGGATAAGCTAGAGGCAGCAGCACTTGCTGAGTTTCACAAGTCCTTCTGGTAGACCTAGTGCTGTGGGTCAGCTTGTACTTTCTGCTAATATCTTTCTCCCAGATCAATTCTCAGAATTAAATATGCTCATGAGTCACTGTGCCCCATCCAGAATGACATGGCTCCCAGGATCTCTACTTCTCCCAGACATATTTGAGAATCAGAACTCCCAGAGAGTTAGAGAATATGACCGGGCATGCAGTAGGTGATTATTGAAAACTTACTCACTGACAAATATTTTGACATTCAGCTACTTAAATCCTGCACCATCATGATGCAGGAATATACTGCACCATCTAGAAAGGGAAACAATACCACCTTCTTCAAGGAGGTATCACAAGGCAACAGCACCTCCTTTCACAGGAGATATGTGAGAACTAAGTACAGTAAGTTCTCAGTTCTTGGAAACCAAGACTTTATGTGAAATGATGTATAACAAAATCGTTTTCCTTATAAACATCACAGTAAAACAACATTATTCA
This sequence comes from Homo sapiens, assembly GCF_000001405.40. Classification (NCBI taxonomy): domain Eukaryota; kingdom Metazoa; phylum Chordata; class Mammalia; order Primates; family Hominidae; genus Homo; species Homo sapiens. The sequence continues at coordinate 132,368,186 of NC_000008.11, forward strand.
TTTTTTGAGGGCCAGCTGTCTATTGTTTTTCCAAGAACCTATTGAGGGCGTTAAGTGAGGACTTGCTATAATAGGAGTGACAGAATCAACATGAATTGAGGACCTCCTCTGTATACACACTGTGTGTGCTACGTAATGCCTCATGTCTTTTTCACAACAATCTTATTTGATATTAATAATATAAATAGTCGTGCACAGTGGCTCACTCTGTAATCCCAGCACTTGAGGAAGCTAAGGCAGGAGGATCACTTGAGTCCAGGAGTTTGAGACCAGCCTGGGAAACACAGGAAGACCCTGTCTCAACAAAAATAAAAATAAACAGCTGGGTGTGGTAGCACATGCTTGTAGTCCCAGCTACTCAGGAGGCTGAAGTGGGAGGATCACTTGGGCCCCGGGGGTCAAGGCTGCACTGAGCTGTGATTGTGCCACTGCACTCCAGCCTGAGAGACTGAAAGAGACCCTGTCTCAAAAAAAAAGAAAAGAAAAGAAAAATATTTTAAAAAGAAATGTTAAAAAATAAAAAATAGCACTACCTACTTTTTACAACAAATGTTTTAGTTTACACTAGTTTTAGAGTAACTGAAAACTTGAGAAGATAGTACAGGGAGCGCTCATATATCCACAACCAGTTTCTGTATTGTTGACATCTTACATTACCATGGTACATTTGCACAGCTGTATTAACTACAGTCACATTTTTTCAGATTTCACCAGTTTTTCCTTTACTGACCCTTTTTTCTGATCCGGGATCCCATTCAGGATTCCATATGATGTTTAGTTATGTTCATTAGGCTTCTCTAGACTATGACAGTTTTTTAACTTTGCTTGTTTTTGATGACCCTGACAGTTTTGAGAGATACCAGTCAGGTATTTTGTAGAATGTCTCTCAATTTGGGTTTGTACGGTGTTCTTTCTTCTCATGATTAGACTGGGTTATGGGTTTTGGGGAGGTAAAGTGGCATTCTCATTACATCATATCAAGAGTACATACTATTAATGTGACTATCACTGTTGATGTTGACCTTGTTCACCTGGCTGGGGTTGTGTTTCTTAGGTTTCTGTATATGAAGCGACTTTTATCATTCCTTCTTTACATACTGTACTAATTAGCAGAAAGTCACAACGTGCAGCTCATACTTAAGGGGTGGGGAGTTATGTTCTACTTCCTTGAGAGGGAGTTTCTCCATAAATTGTTTGAAATTCTTCTGCACTGGAGATTTGTCTAGAAGCAACGATGCCCCAGTAGCAATGAGCATACCCACCCCATTGTCCAATAAAAGAAACCAGGGTTCCTTAGAGTAATGTCTGATTTTAGGGCTGGGTCAGGGAGTATAAAAATGAGGCTGGAGTATCTCATGGTACTACAAAGTAAGGAGGTGCTCAAACAGCACACACACACACACACACACACACACACAATCACACAATGGGGGGTTGTCAAAGAGACACAGGAGCCAACAGAAATAGTTCCCAATGATGAGGAACTGTGGTTCAGCAAGATTCAGTTACTCGTCCATGAGCACTCAGCAAATGGTGGTAGAGCCAGGACTTAAACCCAGGTTCTGATCCTGGAAACAAGTTCTTATAAGCATCGTCCACACACCTGGCATTATAAGCTCCTTGAGACAATGTGTTCAGGGTGTTTAGGAAGACATGGAGTATGACAAGGCTTGCAATAAATATCTGCTATTAAATTATCACCAGTACTATCCCCACTCACAGTGAGGCTCTTTATCCACACTTTCCTCACTCTAGGGCTTTCCCATGCTGCTGTATTCCCTCTGCTGACAATGCCCTTTCACCTGTTCTCTCTTGCTGGAATTCCACTCATCTTTTAAGACTTGGTGGAAACCTCTGCTGTCTCCTAGCCTGGCTGACTCTTATATTGTGACTCTCAGCACTCTATCTAGGCACCTCCTCTGCCTATTCATGGTTTCCAACGGCTGTTACCTCCAGTTTGTCAAGTTCAAAGAGGGCAGGGACAATGACCACACACAGGAAGCACTCAATAAATATCCACTGAATGCCTGCATGAATAAACAGCGAATTTGTATTTGTGATCCTCTTGGTGCCCAGCACAATGTTTGAGCAACAGCAGGTGCTCAATGCGTGCCTGCTAAATGGATGAATGAATGAATGAATGAATGAGCAATTGAAACTTCTTGCAGAAAGCTGACCCCACAGCAGGAACAGGTATGATTAAGGGTATCCTGTAATGTCCTCCTGATGCTTTGATGCTTGCCTGGGGGTGAGTCCTCAGCACCACTGGCCAGCTGGTGTGGGGACAGGGCAGCATCTGTGAGCTGCCAGCCTTCTCCTTCTGGCAGTCTCTCTGTTTGTGCCATTAGAGCCCCGTATTTTCCTCAGGGCCTCAAGCAGCTCCAATCAATTGGGAAGAGGAGAGCAAGACGTTCAAGCCAAATTCAGCTGCAGAGCAACGGGGGAACTCGTTACACAGTTGGTGTAGGTGGGAATCACGCACTCCAGGCTGAGAAGACCCTGGGGAGCAGAGCCCATAGCGAGGAATGCCCTTCTTACTGGTACTATTGGAAATAATAATTTGTTAATAAAAATATTAACAATAATTGGTTAATAACAACAGGCAGTATTTCTCAAATGCTAAATAATGTGCCAGGCTCTGTGCAAAGTGCTTCTCATGCCTAACCTGGCTTACTACTTACCAGTACCCAGTGAAGTCAGTCATCATCTCCATTTTACAGATCAGGAAACTGAGGCATAGAAAGTTACACTGTCCAAGAGCAAGCAATTTGCAAAGCAGGGGCCAGAACTCCTAAGTCTAAGCCCTTAAACCACTACTCTAGGGTTCTGTGCACTCCCCATTTTGCAAATCCTTGGGAATATCCCTCGTTTCCTGGACACCCTCTCTGATCACTCCCAGATACATTTGTTGTTGACTCCCAGGCACAAAAAGATTGGTGTGGACACAAATCTTCTCACAACCTTGCCTTATCTACCCTCTCCTCCATCTTCAATCTGACTCTCCTTGAGGTCAGGAACTGAGGTTTTCTTATCTCCCTCAGTGGGACATGGGGCACTTAGTAAGCACGTTTGTTGATTGGTTGTTTCACAGGGCTCTGGTAGTTTGTTGGGCCTATGTCTTCCTCTGGAGTCTTTAGCCACCATGTGGCATTACAATATGATCTACTGGAAATGATACTGAATCCCAAAGCAGGTACTTAATAATTGCTCTAAATGGGACTAAGAGTCTGCCTACTGCGGTTGTCAACTTTATACATGGGCAGTCAGGGAAGACTTCCCAAAGGAGGAGATGTCTGACCTGCGTCATCAAGGATGAGATGGAAATGACTGGCAAGTAAATAAATACAACCTATGGCTACCTTCAATATGCTGGTCCCCACAGAAGAGCAGGATTTGTGAAAGAAATCCCTCTCTGAGATCTTGCTCTGTTATAAGTGGGGACAAGTATCTTCAGAGGCAGGGAAGGCGATCCTTGTCTTTGTGCCAAGCTAGGACAACCAGGCAAAAACCAACACCACTCTCCACGAAGAAGGTAAAGCTTTATCCCTTTAAGAGTCAAGAAGCACAGGCTGCATCCTCCCAAGCACTAGCTCCAACATGAACAGTCAATAATTCCAAAGTAAATATCAGCAGAGGAGGCCTCATGTTTCTTCAATCTCCCTCCGCACACAGCAAACACATTATGCCACTGCCCTTTGGTGAGCACCCTTCCTTAGGCTGCGGCCTGTGATTGAATCCTGAGAGCTACTCCAGGGGGGATTTGTAGCAATTTAAGATACCGTTTTGCACAGGGTAGGTACAAAGTCTCGGTCAAGCCTTGCAGTAAAGAGCAGCCAGTCTTTCAGGACCATTTAGCCCCAGGCCTTACCCATCACTGCCAGCTCCTGTCCCAGCCCTATCCTTCCCCATGCTGTCTCCTTGCTTCCTCTTGCAGCCCCATCTCCAGCAGGGGAACATCCGCAGCCCTTTAATGGCTTCCTCTGGGCTTCTAACATCATGATTCTATTTCTTAGTGGTTCTGTCCCAAAATTCTGAGTTCCCTTTCTTGCTTACCCCACTGGTCAGCTCCATAGGGCTTTTCTTTCCAAGGCTGCAGCTTCATGGATGGCTCCAAAATCAGACTGTCTCTGACACTGTCTTATTTCTGATACTCACTAGCTAAATGTTCTTGGGCAATTTCCTCCACCTCTTCAAACCTCAAGCTTCTCATCTGTAAAATGGACACCTTATTAATACTACTCCCCCAGGGCTGTTCTGAGATGGGAGTGAAGACAGAAAAGTGCTTAGAGGCCGGGCGCAGTGGCTCACACCTGTAATCCCAGCACTTTGGGAGGCCGAGGCTGGTGGATCACTTGAGGTCAGGAGTTCAAGACCAGCCTGACCAACATGGTGAAACCCCATCTCTACTAAAAATACAAAAAGTTAGCCGGGAGTGGTGGCATGCACCTGTAATCCCAACTGCTCAGGAGGCTGAGACAGGAGAATCGCTTGAACCCAGGAGGCAGTGGTTTCAGTGAGCCAAGATCGTGCCATTGCACCACTTCAGCCTGGGCCACAGAGTGAGACTTTGTCTCAAAAAAAAAAAAACAAAAAAAAAAACGCTTAGAGCAGAGCCCAGCAGGGTAGGCCTCAGGTAAGCATCCATCACTCTCCTTAGCATCAGCTCATGGGCCGGTTGTGAATATTAGAGGCAGAAAGGCATGCAAACTGCAGAGCTCGGCTCCTGGGGGAAAGTTCCCTGTGAACGTTAGCATGGTTAGTAAGGAGCAGGTAGAGGAAAGAAAGAACCAAAGAAAGAACAGAAACACGACCAGAGATAATAGAATCTCACAGAATTGCCATGGCCTCAGTCCCTGGTTGGGATTCTGATTCGCTAATGGACCACCAGGCTCATCCCATCTCCCTGCGCTTTCCCAGCCCCATGCAGGCCTTTTTCACCAGGGGGCTCCTCTTAAGGCAAGTCATACTAGCACTCAGGGCCTCCAGCGTCAGACATGGGCATTGAAAAGTCAGCCACCTGCGGTCTGAACACACAGAGAGGGAGACCAGAGAGAGAGCCCTGGAGACCTACACCTGGGGTAAGTCACTTAACCTCTCTGGGACTCCATATATTTATTAATATCATTGGGCAATAATAAAACACCTAACACGCAGACCCACTGTGAAAATTACATGAGGAGATGGGCCTTAAAACGCTACCAGATATTAATATGACATACTAAGAATCATATAATAAGATGCTGGGAATGACGTTTATCAAGTGCTTTTTCTCTGCCAGGACAAGATCTAAGAGCTTGACATGTACTTCTTTGTCTAATTCTCACCTACCTACATTTAACTACTTGCATATACTATCTCCATTTGACTCAGAGGAAACTGAGGCACAGAGGGATTAAGTCAATGCCCCAGGTCACCTAGCTAACCAGCGTAAGAACAAAGTGAAAGTCCAGAGCCCCCAAGACCCAATGTCAATTCTGCCCCTGCTTGCTGACTGCATTGAAAGAAATTAACAGGTCTTTGCTCTTCTCTCCCACTGGACAAAGCTTAGCACCTGACAGATACAGGTGCCCAGTGAGCTCTGCCGAACGACTACAAGGAGACAGCTGCCCTGAAGATGAGTCCTCCCTGCCCAGCTCCCCAGGTTGGTTCCACCCAAGGATAAGCTCATCACTCCTGCACACTTTTTCCAGAGCCCCTGCAGGCCACGGCAACCCCCTCAGTGGAGAGTCATGTTGCCAGATCAGCATCCACCACCCTCCCCGAGGTGGGTACCAGCGTCTGAGTCTACCCCCACCCCCAGGGTGCATGTTCTCCCGGGTGCCATCAGAGACCACCCCACAGGGCAGCCAGAGGGGAGGACGAAAGCCCCAGGCAGCTCTCATGGACCAGAGCCTCAAACTCCCTCCTGTCAAGGAGGCCACTTGTCACCGGAGAAAACTGCAAGGGCCCAGGAGTCAGACAGACCTGGATTGGAACACTGGCCATGACCCGACTTGCTCCATGTTGTCAGGGAAGCCACTTGACCTCTCTGACCCTGTTTCCTCCCTTATAAAATGCAAAACCTACCAGCCCCTTTCTCATGGTGATGTTGTAAAGACAAGATAAAGGACAAATGCCAGCTCCAGCACCAGGCACCTCAGGAAATGGTGACTCACTTCTAGAACAGAGAGCAGAGAAACTTCATCGAGGGATGTCTTGCCTGAGGCTTTCCCTTAGGTCACTATCCTCCTCCACTCCCCGACCCACTTCTATCCTACCTCCTACTGCAGGGGCCTTGGCCCAGTACTGCCCCCCGCTGGCACTTGCGGCACACACCCCTCCCGGAAAGCTAACGTTTTCAAAAAACTTTTATTTCAGGTTCACAGGTACACGTACAGGTTTGTTACATAAGTAAACTCGTGTTACGGGAGTTTGTTGTACAGATTATTTCATCACCCAGGTACTAAGTTTAGTACCCAATACTAATTTTTTTCTGCTCTTCTCTCTCCTCCCAGCCTCCACCCTCAAGTAGGCCCCAGCGTCTGTTATTCCCCTCTGTGCATCCACGTTTTCTCATCATTTAGCTCCAACTTCTAACTCAGAAAACGTGGTATCTGGTTTTCTGTTCCTGGGTTAGTTTGCTGAGTATGATGGCCTCCAGCTCCATCCATCTTCCTGCAAAAGACATGATCTCATTCTTTTTTATGGCTGCATAGTATTCCATCGTGTATATGTACCACATTTTCTTTATCTAATCTGTCATTGATGGGCATTTAGGTTGATCTCATGTCTTTGCTATTGTGAATAGGGCTGCAGTGAACATTCATGTGTACATGTCTTTGTGGTAGAATGATTTTTATTCCTCTGGGTATATACCCAGTAATGGGATTGCTGGGTCAAATGGTAGTTCCATTTTTAGCTCTTTGAGAAGAAAGCTAACCTTGAATCTAGTGTTTTTTTCAAACTTAAATTTTATAAGAAATCCCAAAGAACTTTCATTTATATGGATCATATTCACCAACATTCACTGCATTACAAACTAAAACTAAGATATTTTAAACACATTTTTATTTAAATATAAAAATATTAAACTTATTACCTGTTTGCATAAATAACATATATTTATGAAAAAATCACTGCATTTTCCAAAACAGGTAATCACTACTGAAAAGAATGGCACTGTTTTTGCCTTTTGGGAAATCTCTCGAGTGTCTGGTTTAATAGGAGACAGCTGAGCTCACATCTCTGCTTCAGCATTCAATCTGTCTTGATCTCACTCATTCTGCAGCCGCTGAGAAACTCCACTGTACACCCCTGTGAGAATGCGACTGAAAAGGGCACATGAAATCTTAGTATCATGAAAATAGCTTTGACTTCTCAGACTTCCTGAACTGTCTCAGAGGTCCTGGGGTATGGAGAAAGGGCAAACCACACTTTAAGAATAGCTGCTTTAAGTGGTTCTGTTCCCTGCTGATCTGTTCCCTAGAACATTGCCTCCCTCTCCTAGGCTCTCCCTGCAAGAATGCACGGAAACAATTCCCACCCATGTGTCTTTGCTGGGTTACACTCTCTCTCCAATGCCATCTCGGCCTCTTCTCCTGGCCCACTCCTTTTCACCTCTGGAAATTCACAACAGGTATCACTTTCCTTAGAAATTCTCCCCTGACCCCTATCACCCCCATGCCAGGTAAATGCTCACCTATGCTCACCTTACGCTCTCTTCGCATGTCATTCGTCATGCTAGCATTCACCACTCTGGAGTCAATTATTCAGGTTAGAAATCTGGGTCTCATTTACTGACTTTCAGCTCCTTGAGGGCAGGGGGGTGTCTTATTCACTATGATGAGTTAGCACGAAGCCCAGGCGTATCTCTTGTCAGGCCCTCATGGAACATGCATGTGGATGTTTTTCTCTAATTGAACTTGCCTAGCATGCCAGATTTATTTTCTCTCTACTTAACTTCATCTGTCCAAATTCCCATTTCCAGTCATTACCCTAATTCTTCAATTCTAAGAGGCATGCTTTTTTCTCCCCACATTATTATATTTCTAAAATCAGAATGTCTTAAGTTGATGTGTACATTTAACACTTCTGATATTTCTCTTCTTGAAAAGTTGTAGTTAAATTGACGGCCTATCTTCCAATCAGCAGCATTTTACATTATAACGAGTATAATTACTCTGTTCCAAATACGGTGCTGGCAGTCCACAATTGTGCATTTAACTAAGTGCTTCCGTACAGTCCTCACATTGTTCTCCCAATAACTCACCCAGCCCTGGGCACACAGAGCAGTGGTTTCATTAATTGGGAGTTTTTTGGCAGGGAGAAAGGAATGGAAGAATTTCAGGCAACGAAGCCTACATGCTGAGAACTGAGAGAGAAAAGTGCCATCCAGCCTCAAGCGATTTGAGCTAGAAAATACATTGCTTTTGTGCATATGACTGTCCAGACACTTAAGAGGTTGATCCCAATCTCTTTGTTTTTTGACACCTGCAAATTGTAACTCACATTTGCATATCTTTTGCCACTTGGCCAGTTGTTTTGATATCTATTAGCATATTTGATCTTCCCAGCCATCCTATCTGAAAATCAGAGCAGGAATTGTTCTCTTCATTTCATTAAGAAATTAGAGGCCTAGAGAGATAAGTGACACTGACTTAAATCAGAAGAGGAACTGGATCCCCAAAGAGCAGAGCACTAGTCCTGTGCTAATCCCCTCCACCATGCAACTGCCATCCACTCCAAATAATTGGAAGGAGTGGGTGAAGGGAAAGAATGAGGAAGAGACTGAGCTATGAAAATAAGGACACAACGAAGGAGAGAGAGAGGAAAAGGGAATTGCGATGGTTAATTTCATGCGACAGCTTGATTGGGCTAAGGGATGCCCAGACAGCTGGTAAAACATAATTTCTGGGTGTGTCTGTGAGGATGTTTCCAGAAGAGATTACCACTTGAATCAGTAGACTTCCCTCACCAACATGGGTAAGCACCATCCAATCCACTGAGGGCCCAAGTAGAACAAAAAGGCAGAGGAAGGGCAAATTTGCTCTCTCTGCTTTGGTTAGGGCATCCCTCTTCTGCTTTTGGCTCTGGACACTCCTGGTTCTCAGGCCTTCATAGCTGGACTGGAGCTAAACCACTGGCTTCCCTGGGTCTCCAGCTTGCAGACAGCAGATCAAGAGACTTCTCAGCCTCTAGGATCACATGAGCCAATCCCTCATAATAAATGCCTTTCTAGATATCTCTGTATATCCTCTTGGTCCTGTCTCTCCCTGACTACTACAGGGACTGATGGTTAAAGAGCAGGAACAAAGGAACACGAGAGGTAAGGAAGGGGCAGGAGGATGAGGCTGGGTCAGGGAGTCCGCAGGCCTCCCAACCCATCACAGAACTTGTCACACTCTACTGAAATTGCTGGCTTGCTTGTTTCTAGCTCTGGCTGAGACTATAAAACCTACAGGGATGGTTTGTCTGTCCTGTTTATGACTCTCATCCATGTCCAAGGCTAAGCACAGTGATAGGTAAATAGTGGGTGCTTGATAAATATTAGTGGAATTATCTTCAAATATGGTAGTCCTTGGAGCCAGAGTAATATCGGGTCAATAACTTTACTCTCTCTGATTCCGTTTTCTCATCCATAAAATAGGTATAACAAGGTCTTTCTTAGAAGATTATGTCAATAATTAAATGAATTCACTCCGTCAAGAGCATTTGGAACTCAAGAAACACTGGCATTGTTAGACTGCAGCCCATAGGATACCAATGCCATTGCCACAAATAGGGCCCATCCTTGGAAACACAGTAATCAACATATTCTATGGACTTGGAAGAAGGTTCTACAAGGACAGATTATTTTATTTGAAAAAATGACACTTTTTTTCAAAAAAAAGTGGAAGATACTGATTATGAAAGTCATACAAACACATTTTTTAAAAGTCAGACAATATGGCCGGGCATGGTGGCTCACACCTGAAATCCCAGCACTTTGGGAGGCCACGGTGGGTGGATCGTTGGAGGTTTGGAGTTTGAGATGAGCCTGGCCAACATGGTGAAACCTCGTCCCTACTAAAAATACAAAAATTAGCCAAGCAAGGTGGGTTTGCCTGTAGTCCAAGCTACTGGGAGGCTGATGCACGAGAAACACTTGAACTTGGGAGGCAGAGGTTGCAGTGAGCCAAGATCATGCCACTGCACTCCAGCCTGGGTGACAGAGCAAGACTCTCTCTTTAAAAAAAAAAGAAAGACAATACTAAAAACATTAAAAAGGAGGTAAATATAATTTATACTCCAATCCGATGGCAACAATCATATTGCTATAGCAATTATCATCTTGGTGTTACTTTTTCCAGGACACTTTTCCATACATTGCCTTAAATAATGGAACTATATTATATACTAAGACAGATACTCTTGCCTTGCCACTTCCAAACCATTCTCTTACAGTTTGTTCACTAATAGAATATTTTTGTTTGTTTTCCGAATGGAGGGACCATGTGCTTTAAATGAGGTCCCTTCTGTTCCCAAAACATCGATCTTGACTAGGCCAGAGGAAGTCTCACTCGTTCCATTCTTATTGCTGATGATTGATTTGTGAGTGGAAGAATAGGCATGTGGTCAATTCTGGGCAATAAGACACAAGGGAGTCTGGTGGAAGCAGCAAAACACTTCTAGGCTTGCAAAAGAGACTTCCAATAAGAAATACTTTTTCCTGTTTCCAAACATAATTGCAGAAGGATGTGATATTCAGAAGAGTAGCAGCCATCTTTTAAATATGAGAGGAACTCACAGTTGACTTCAGAAGAAGCACTGAGAAGCCAATGGGAACCATAAAGTTATTGAACGTTGAGTTAACCAAGCCAGGACTTCTTGTTCTATAGGATGATAAACACCCCTCATACAGAAGTCCCCTGCATTTTGGTTGGCTGTTACTTGCAGCCCAAAGCATTCTAACCATACAGTTACTATTTATAACCGGGTTTATGTGTTCACTTTTTACCTTCTCTACACATCAATGAACAGAATCATAATAATTAATGTCTATGAAAGACTTCCTATTTGCAAGTACTTTATCAGGCACATTACATGGATTGTCTCATTTTTAATCCTTGTGACAAATTTCTGTAGTCGAAATGATTAGCTCTATTTTTTTTTCAGATGAGGAAGAAATCAAAGATTTGGAAAGAGCAAATGATGTAACAACAAAATGGAGGGGCAGGAATGTGACTCATGTTGTTCAGTTGAGGGTCTAAGTTTCTTCTCCACAATCACAGCCCTTAGGACTCCCCTCATCATTTACAATAGCTCCAAGCACCCTATTTTCTGTACATAACATGCACAGCTACCCTCCCACTGATGCCCACATCCCACAAGGTGAGGTCTTTTTCCCTCTTCCCTTCCCAAACCCTTACCAGTTGGCCCTACGTGTTTGGCATCTTCTAATTATCCTGATTCCTAAATATGCAAAATAATAATATTCCCCAATTGCCTTCTGCTGTAATTTCATGTAACAGGTCCCCTCAAATAGAACGTCCTTAATTTTAATTGCATATTATGTTCCCTTTCTCAGGGCAGACAGCTATTTATTCATCTAGCTAATTGTTCAGGAGACAAAGACATGGAATATATCTCACCAAATTAAGTATTTGCTAGTTGCTATTACTACTGGGGCTATAATATATACCCCTGATTTACTTTCTAGAAGCTCCTGAGGAAATCTTGGCATCTTTTTTTTTTTTTTTTTACATTTATTTTTTGGCTTAGCCTACCTATGATTGTATGAAGGCCAACAAATCCTGGGGTATTATTATTAGTTGTGATGATAATAGTAATTACCACAATGTATAGATATACAACCATACGCTTTATTCAATGAAAGAAGAAACACAGTAAAAATGGCTTTTATTGAATACCTATTGTGTGCTAAGCATTGGCCTGGGTATGAGAAAATATTAGCCCATTGCCTCATTTTTGTTCAAGAACTTCTTAAGAGACTAAAAGCCTCATGTTTACTGATGAGAATTGAAGGGTACAGAAGTGAAACCACTTGTCTGCACCCGGCACACAGCTGGGCATCAGAAGAGATGGGTTTTGAGCCCAGGCCAGTGAAGACCAAAGTGTAGGTTCTTGTGGGGCTACCACAGAGCACATAGCCCCTTCCAACCTCACTAATTACACGTGAGAAAGAGGCAAGCATCTCAATGGCTACTTTATAGATATGGTCACCTGCATAGATAGGAAGTGATTTTCCCGACCTTATTGGATCAAATTATTCATCAGAAGCCGGATGAAGAAGTGCTAATTATCATGCAAAACAGCCCCCGAGACTAAGAAGCCTGCCTTGCCTGCTTCCCAAGCTGCCCACTTCCAGAAAGGGTGGGGCTGTTTTGCCACCTGCACATGTCTGGATTTCCCTCTCCATCTCCCATCTCCCACCCTTCACACCCACACACCCGTGGCTGCAGGAATTTCAGCCACATTCACCAGACTTACCTTCTGTTTTTTCCCACCCTCCCTCCCTCCCTCCCAGGGAGTCAGTCCCACAGCTGAGTGAGAGAAAATGCCCAGAGAAAAACCATCAGTTCATTTAATTAATATTCACGGAATAGCCTGCCTGTATTAGGTGGGTACTGTGCATGCAGAGATGTGATAAACACAGCTCTGCAGACCTCCCAGCCCCAGAGAAAGTCCCAGCTCATCACGACCCTATGGCCAAGGGAGATTGGGCAGGAACTAATACCTTCTTTCTACAGAAAAAGAAATGAAAGCAGAAAAAAAAAAAAAAAAAAAACAACCTTGGAAGAGGAGAAGGGCATGGTGCATCTGAATAGAGGCTCCAGGAACAAAGAAGGGAGGATAGAGCAAAGGGAAAATGGGCAGTCAGCGCTGCCAAGAAACCTATTAACCTGAAAGTAATTACTGAGTGCCACTATGTGCTAAGGACATTGCACACATATGCTCGATCCACCACAAGGTTGGTCCGTTATCCATAATTTTAGACAGGGAAATTGAATCTCAGAGAGGTTAGGCCACTGGCTTTAGACTGCACAGCTGAATAGCGGCAGTGTTAACATTCAAGCCCAGATCGGTCTGATACCAAAACTCATTCCCTGTGTGAGACAGTCCAACACTAGCCCGAATTGGCATTCATGAAAGCTCCACAGCTGAGATGGCACACTCAGACAAATGTGCCAGACACTTCCATACACTCACCAAGTTTCATGGTTTTGGATTCATTAATAGCAGAGATTTCCACTAAGAAACGACAGCCCTTCCCAAACAAGAGCTGTAGAGAATTCTAGGTCTTCTAGGATTCTAGGGAATTCTAGGGCTTCTGTAGGGAATTCTAGAACTGTTATGCTGGAAACACAAGGAGAACACTTTCCCCAAGAGAAAAATTCCCCATTAAGGTAACTCTCCTACCAGCCTACAACTAGAGCTCGTTTATTCAACAAATAACTTATTGAGCACCTACTATTGCCAGGCACTGTTCTAGGTGCTTAAGATAATCAGTGAACAAAAGAAGTGTTGACCTTGTGGTGCTGACATTCTAGTGATGGATGCAGAAGGAGCAAAACACCCCCAAACCCCAGCTACAAAGCCCAGCAGCTCAAATGCACCCAGAGAGACCTTCCCTTTACTTTAGCTTAGTCCTCTCCCACAACCTTGTACACCAGGGGATCAGTAAGGCCTGGGCAGACTTTGTCTCAGGTCAAACTGAGCCTCCTGGCAGAAATGAACAGGAAACATCTTGAACATGTGGGTAGACCCCTTCTGGGCTGGTCAGCCAAATCCCATCTCACCAGGAGCCTGGAGGCCTGCCTCGTCATGGCATCTGTCCACTGAACTAACCAGGCAGAGAGCTTGTCCAAATCAGATTAAATGGCAAGCAATGCAGGACTGCCTCCCAGGGCAGGCTGGCCAGAAGGCATACTGTAATACAGTTTTAAGTCTTTACAGTTCTTTTTTCTTTAATAACACCTTTATTGAAAAATAATTTGCATGCTGACATGGTCTGGATATTTGTCCCTTCCAAATCTTATGTTGAAATGTGATCCCCGGTGTTGGAAGTGGGGTCTGGTAGAAAGTATTTGGGTCCCGGAGGCAGATCCCTCATGAATGGCTTGGTGCTGTCTTCATAGTAATGAGTGAGTTCCCACTCTATCAGTTCATGTGAGAGCCGGTTGTTTAAAATAACGTGTATCCTGCTCCTTCTCTCTTGCTCCATCTCTCACCATGCGACATGCCTGTTCCCCTTCCCACTTCCGCATGAGTAAAAGCTTCCTGAGGCTTCACCGAAGCCAAGCAGATGCTGGAGCCACACTTGTACAGCCTGCAGAATCATGAGTCAAATAAACCTCTTGTCTCTATCAATTACCCAGTCTTAGGTATTAATTTATAGCAACACAAAACAGACTAAGACAAATACTGTAAAATTTTACAGGATTTTTAACCAACTCACTGGGAGGGTCAGGCATTTTGAAGTGAAGTGTGGAGACAGGTGGCCAGCTCCCAGGAGAAAGAGATGCCTTTAGCCTCAAGAGAGTCAGTGCAGGCTTAGGCTCTGAGCTCCTTGTGAATTGGGGAAGGGAATAGGAGAAGGGTGTCACGGGCATACCATCCTTGGTGGGTAATAATATGGAAGAGCCAGGTAAGGAATCAAAGGAGCCTGCACCCGGATCCTGGTTCTGCCACTTCTCAGCTCTGTTCATTTGGCTAAGTTATTGACCTTCTGTGAACCTCAGCATTTCCATCTGTAAAATGGAGCTAAGGCAAGTACCTGCCTCAGGGAGCTGTTGGAAGGATTCAATGAGGCAGTCTCTACATTGTCAGACCTGGCTCCAGCCTCACAGCATCATCATGAGAAGTACCTAATTCTTCCTAAAACTCTCTCATTCTAAATAGAAAAAACTCCAACCCCTTGTCTTCCAAGGGTCCACAGCTGAAAATGCCCCACACCCAAACCATCCCTTTGCCTGCTTTCCCCATGAATCCAGCAACTTTGCTTTGAAGACCAAGTGCTCACCCACCCCAATGAAGATCCAAGATAAGGGGAACAGAAGGCACAGGTTACAGAGGAATGCCTCCGGCTGCTCCTGAGGCCACACGGCAGGCAGGGCCTGAGAAATCAGACATTTTCTCATGAAAAATGGCTTGTGCAGTGAGTTTTTCTTGCAGATTGTAGGATCGCCATGGTGACAGGGCCAGGGCAGCGAGGGAGGTAGAGGCACTGCCAGCCTGCAGGGATCTGGGGCTGGGGGAGGCTGGGTTGGCAGCAGAGGTCAGAGAAAGCCTCAGGCTGCAACAGGGGCCATGAAGCAAAGAGAAGAAGGCAGTAACTACAGGCTGGTCCATTCACTTGACACTGAGATGGTTTGGGGTCCCCACCTTCATATACTTAACAGACCTAGGCTGAGCCCCAGCGCCATATAACATCAACTGGGTCTAAACACTGGAGGGACAGACAGGACTGTGCTTGTTCATCTCTACAGCCCTCAGCAGCCGAAGCAGTGCCTGGTACATGCACACACAGAGGATGCAGACCTTGTGGATGCGGATCGGGACAGGGTGGTAGG
Source organism: Homo sapiens (assembly GCF_000001405.40). NCBI lineage: Eukaryota > Metazoa > Chordata > Mammalia > Primates > Hominidae > Homo > Homo sapiens. Next base: position 132,383,737 of record NC_000008.11, read on the forward strand.
AAGGTTTTCCTGATGGAAAAGGAACCTATCTGTAGATGACTTTTTTCCTGTTTCCAAAGATCAGATCGGCCTCTGAGCATTGCTGAGCAAGGAACCAAACTGTGCCTCTACAACATCCTGGCTGTGTAACTTTGGCAAGGCAGGTAACCTCTCTGGGTCTCAGTTTCTCCTCTGAAAAATAAGGGTTAAATGAGTGAATAGAGGAAAAGCATCCAGAGTTTCTGAGTTAAGTCTTAGCTACAATTTGCTGTAATGCACTTTGTCAGGCCTAACTAAGGAGAATGGGAGTCAGTGTTAGAACACCAGTTTGTTTCCTGACAAATTCCTATGCATCCTTCAAACCCCAAATCAGAGTTCACCTTCTACAAGAAGGCTTCTCTGCCCTAAGACCTGCCCTCTGACTCAGTGAGTCTTTGCTAGGTCTGTTTCCCCAGCCATGCTCACCCCACAACACTGCATTTTGTGTTCTTATCTGTTCCCTTGTCCCGGTGAGCTGCTATAGCTCTTATTTTTGTGTCCACATCTCCTAGTACTGTGTCTGGTAGGGACTGAGCACCAACATATTTCAAAAGATGAATAAACGAAAGGATGAATGAGCGATTTCTTCACAAGAAGAGCAGATAGGAAGGAAGTAAACATCTTGAAGTAATGTGATGGCAATTTTTCAAATTCCAGGACGGAGACAGGCTCCTACAAGCACACAAACAGAAGTAAAGAGGTCATGTACAATGGAAGATAAAAGAATCAGAGGGCCCTAAAGACTTCTTGGTACAGTGCATTAAATCTCAGATGGCAGCTGAACATCCAAGCTAGGGCTTAATGGGAAAAGGTTGCAACCCAAGAATTCTATACCTGTCAGCTGGTCATTCATGTGTAACGGCAACTTGGAGACAAAAGCATATAGTCATTTGAGAAACACGAGTTCAAGGAGTTTTTTAATATTTAAAAGTAACTGCCAGGAAAAGTAAGAGCAGGACTCATAACTTTCTGATCGATAGAAGCAGTATATTAAAGTCACACAGTTTAGGTTTCAGTATCAATTCTGCTACTCTATGTCTAGTGCTAAGTCATTTAATCTCTTGCTGCCCCACTTTCCCATCTGTAAAATGGAAACACTGATAGTACCTATTTCACAGGATTTTGGGAGAATTAAACAGGATAATCCACATGCAATGCTTTTCCCAGTGACCAGGACATAGCAGGTTGCAGTAGATGCTGTGCTGCCAACAGATCTTCCCTCTGGAACAAAAGATGACCCTCATCAGGGTGCCAGAGTTCTCTACAAGAACACCTCAGCAACCAGCTCTTAGAGGACTATGTTGGCTGAAATAAAACTCCTCACCTAAGATCATGCCTCTTTCCACATGTGGTCCACAGCCAATGACTCACCAACACACAAGTAAACAGGCAGCCCCCTTGCCCCAACTTGAAACAATTCTGAGAGATCATCCCAGCTTCAGAGATTGCGTGAAGTCAGTTGAGGCCTTTGCAGGGACTGCAACGCAGCTCAACTCTTCCCTCAGCTCAGTGCTGCTTCCTTTCCTTCCCTTCTACAGTTGCCAATGTCAAAGGTACTTCCTTAGAAATAGCATGCATGCCATTGTCCAACTCAGAGTGTGCTTTCTGGGGAGCCTAACATGCCAGCAAAGAGACTGCAGTGGTCTGAATGTGTTCCTCAGAGTTCACATGATGGAAACTCAATCCCCAGTGCAGCAGTGTAGAGACGTGAGGCCCAATCCAAGGCCATTAGGTCAGGAAGGTTGTGTCCTCAAGAATGGACTAATGTTATCCAGGGAGTGGGTTAGTCATCTTGAGAGTGGGCTTGTTATAAAAGTGAGTTCTACCCCTTCTGCTCTCTCACACTCTCCTCCCCTGCTCTTCCCCTTCCTCTCTTCCTTCCACCATGGAATGATGCAGTAAGAAGACCCTCACCTTGAAGAGCAGAATTCTGGCTGCTAGAAGTTGGTAGGAGAGGGGGAAGGGGCAATGGGGACAAATTTGTGTATGGGTACAAAGTTACAGTTAGAAGGAGGTGTGGCAGTGAGCCCCTAGCAAAAAACAAAAAATATAAGAGCAAGGAAAAAGCAAGGAAGTGTAATGAACAGGAAGCATAAAACACAACAAGATGGTAATGATGATGGATAATCAAGCATATAAGTTAAAATTTGTTTAAATATCCTTAAAACACTCTATCCGGGCAAAAAAAAAATCAAGTCTAACAATTTTGTATCTACTAGAAACACATTTAAAACAAAGTACCAAAGAAAAAGTAAAAAATAAATTAAAGGGCCCTGGGATGGGGGGATGGTGCAGGGAAAGATCAGACTTTCAGGGATTGCTTATGTGGTCTGAAAAATCCTTCAGGAGATCTTGATACACGTTCCTAAAAAAGCATACTCTCCTGATTGGAAAAGAAATGACATTTCACATCAGAATTTAAGGGTGGTATCCAAAGCTGTCCTTAGAGGAAAATGTATAGCCTTGCATGCTGTCAATATTAAAGGAGGCTAGATTAAAATAAATAAAGTAAGGTTTCAATGGAATATTTTTTACTCTTAAAAACAGCTTAATAAAATTAAAAATATAAAAATATAAATTAAGAGTAAAATTGAAATATAAATCAGAGCCAGTTAAACATAGACAAATAAAATTTTCTCAGGAAGCATATATAATCACAGATATATATCAGTTTTTAAATCTCAAAAATATTAATTATAGCTAGTTCTGTGTAGTTATCCTTGAAGCAGTTGGTGAAATAGATGGTTTTAAAGGTAAATATAAATTACCAAAGTGAGTTCAAAAAAAATCTTGAGGGATATCATACAAAATTAATCATCCTTTTAAACTATCACCATTAAGTAAGATATTTCCTATTGGTTTCAAATAATTCTTACCATATTAAAGAGGTTTATTTCTATGCTATTGATATAAAAAATTGGAAACAGATATCAAACTGGATCAATTGCCAACTGGTCATCTATTAAGGTGATCATATAATTTTTTTCTTTCACTTATTAATGTGATGACTCCTACTAGAAACTCTTCTAATGTTGCACTATCTTTTATTTTCCTGGAATGGTTTATGAATCATTCCTCTGACTCTAAGGAAAAACAGAAATTCTCTAAATACATTTTGGGGAGCATTACATCATGTTGAAAACTAACAACAATATGATTTAAAAAACAAAGAATATCTTCACTACAAAGAAATGAAAAATGTTTGTGGTGATGGATATGCTAGTTACTCTGATTTGATCATTACAGAATGTGTATATGTATTGAAACATCACACTTTCCCCCACAAAATACATACAATTATTATATCTCAATTAAAATTTGAGAAACCAGAAAGAACATTCTCTCAAATACTCACAGAAGCCAAAATCCTAAGTAAAATCTTGGTAGGAGAGTTTAGAGCATATTAAAAGAAAAAGAAAATCATCATGTCCAAATAGGATAGCATAATTCAAGACGTCTGAAAATAGGGCTCATGCCAAGAACACAAAAGATAGCCCAACATTAGAAAAGTTTCCAATGGGAGTCATTACATCAGTAAGTCAAAGGAAAAATTTATAAAATCACCTTAATAGATATCTAACTGGTAATTAATCAAGTTTGATGTCGTTCCCAATTTTTAAAAATCAGTAGCATAGAAAGATACTTTCTTAATATGGCAAGAATTATTTGAAACCAATAGGAAACATCTTAATTAATAGTGAAAACTTAGAGCTAGTTTCACTAAGACAATAAAGGAAAGGCTTTAAGAAGTAGAAACTCTAAGACTCAACCACAAAATAGAAGACTGATAGAGGAGATTTTATACATAAAAATGTGAATTTTTTGAAGAAGGAAAAAACAATGAACTTCAAAGAAAAGTGACAATTTGGGAAACCCATCTGCAATATATCTGATATCAAAAGATTACTGTCCTCAGTAAATAAAGACCTCTTAGAAGATCCTGGGAGTTATAAAAGAAGAAATAGGCTGGGCCCAGTGGATCAGGCCTGCAATCTCAGCATTTTGGGAGGCCAAGGCAGGAGGATCTCTTGAGTCCAGGAGTCTGAGACCAGCCTGGGAAGTATAGTGAGATCCCATCTCTACAAAAAAAATTTTTTTAATTAGCCACTTGAACCTGGGAGGTTGACTCTACAGTGAGCCATGATCGCCTCACTATACTCCAGCCTGGGCAACAGAGCAAGACCCTGTGAAGAAGAAGGAGAAGAAGAAGAAGAAGGAGGAGAAGAGGAAGAGGAAGAGGAAGAAGAAGAAGAGGAAGAGGAAGAGGAAGAAGAAGAAGAGGAAGAGGAAGAAGAAGAAGAAGAGAAGAAGAAGAAGAAACATAAAGGGTTAAACAAGGAACATTTTCAAATTCACTGGAAATAAATCAATTAAAAATTAAAATTAAAATGTGATATGACTTTTTTTTCCATCAAATGAGCCCAGATTTTTAAAAATGATCATGCAAAAGATTCTGGAAAAGAGGCATAGTCGTTGTTTGCTCGTTAAATTTTAAATGGACTTAAATTTGTTTTAAAGCAATTTGGTAATAAGTTTAACAATATGTATAAATATTCACACCTTGACCAACTGACTCCACTTCTAGGAATACATTCTGAAGAATTAAACTAAAGAGTACGAGAAAACTTCAGAACAGACAGTGCCATTATTCTAGTTAAAAAGTAAAAATAATGTACAAGTTCAACAATAGGGTACCGATTAAAAACTTTCTACCTTTGATGGAATACAAGAAAACTATTAAACATCATCAATTAGAAAAAAAATAATATTAGAAAACAGTTGAGGGCTATACTTAAGTGAATAAATCATGTTGCCAGTAGCATGTATAGCATGACTTAGATTTGTATATTACAAAAAGAAAAAAAAGATGAGAGGGGTTAAAGTTTCATTCATTTATTAATTTCTTATTTATTTCAAAAATATTGATTAAACATCTACTAAATGTCAGGCCTGGTTCCAGGCATTGCCAAATAAAATAGACAAGATGCTTCTCTTCATAAAATAGATTAATGGAGTTATTTCTGGAAGGTAGGATTAGTAATAGTTTTCACATTTTTCATTGAGATTTTATACTTCTACCCAAGTGTCTTACATGAATCGTGATTTTAATCATCATGCAGTGGTTCTGATTCCATTCTATGATTTGGAGTATAGTGGGAAACTTAAATACCGACACATACATGGATAAAGCAGATTCTTAAAAAACATTCTGGAAAAATTTGGTATCAAGTGGAAAGAAAAAACAAACACATTTGGCCTCTACCTCACACCATATACAAAAATAAATTCCAGTTTGATAGTAGACTTCAGTATTTAAAAAAATGAAATTTCAAGAAAAAAATGGAGAAATCTTCATGAATTCTTTCATAAAGGACATAACTGATCAATCTCACTGCATTAAAAGTAAGAATCTTTGTTCAGGCCAGGTGCAGTGGTTCACACCTGTAATCCCAGCACTTTGGGAGGCTGAGGTGGTTGGATTATCTGAGGTCAGGAGTTTGAGGCCAGCCTAGCCAACATGGTGAAACCCCGTCTCTACCAAAAATACAAAAATTAGCTGGGCGTGGTGGCACATGCCTGTAATCCCAGATACTTGGGAGGCTGAGGCAGGAGAATTACTCAAGCCAGCAGCGAGCTGAGATTGCGCCATTGCACTCCATCCTGGCCAACAGAGCGAGACTCTGACTCAAAACAAACAAAAACCTTTGTTCATAAGACAAAACAATAACAACAAAAACATCAATAGAGAGAAACACCACAGAGTGAGAAAAGGCATTTGCTGCACATATAACTAACAAAGGGCTTGTATCCAGAATCTGTAAGGAAAACACAGGCAACCTAATGGAAAAGTGATGTAGAGACTAGAGTACTCACTTCATGAAAGAGGATATCCACATGGCTTTTAACCAAATGAAAAGTGAGCAACCCCAGAAGCCACTGGGGAAATGCAGATTAAAGCCACAACAAGACACTGCCACATACCCATCAGAATGGCTAAAATTAAAACCATTAACAACATGAAAGATGGTTGAGATGTGGAGTAGAGAGAACTCTCACATGCTATTGCTACGAGTATAAAATGCTACACCCTCTCAGGAAAACACCTAGACATTATGTAATGTATTTGAAGATTAATGTACCCTTTAACCAGCAGTTGTGTACCTAGGTACAAACTTTGCAAGCACACACGCATGTATGTTCCAAAAAGCACATACAAAAACACTCCTAACAGCATTATTTGTAATAATAAAATATAAGAAATTACCTAAATATCCATCGACTGCCATTGGTAGTATGGTTATACAATGGAATTCTACACAGCAATGAAAAGGAGCTAGAGCTACATGCAACAACATGGATACAACTCACAAACGTAAGACTTAGTGGAAAAAGCTAGACACAAAGTTAACACCTTCTATATGTGGTTCCAGTTATATAAAACCAAAAACAGACAAAGAAAAAGTATAGCATTTAGGAATGAATACTTAGGGAATGAAAGCATACAATAAGGTAGGAAAGTGATGAGCATAAAAGTCAGAATAGAGATTGCTTTTGGGGGAGAGTCTGGGCTTGAGTAGAAAGGGACAGTGCAGCACCTCCCAAGTACTGGCAATGGTCTTGCTCCTGGTGGTGACACAGTTGTTCTCTTTACAGTAATTCAGCTGTACATTGTGTTACGCTTTCTGAGTTATAATACACCATAAAAAATGATATTAAAGCAACCCAACAAAAACATTAATGCCTGGGCCCCACTCCAGACCAGTGAAATCAGGATCTTTGAGAGCAGGGTGTGGTATGGGTGTTTTGTAAACATTCCCAAGGAGATTCTCATGCACCTCCAGGGCTGAGAAGCCTTGGAACACTGTATAAGAGCAAGCTCAGGTTCTCCAGTCTCCAGCACTCTCCAGCACTTCTCTCTGGGCCTCCATTTCCTCTTCAGTTAAATGAGTGCAATAACAGTACTGACCTGATGAGGTTCTAAGAATTGCAAGTGCCAACACCATGAAGGGTTTGGAGTATTTACCGGCACATTTTAAGTACCCGATCAGCATTAGACTGGTATCTTTATAATAATAAAGTAGCAATACATTTCGTTTCTTAAATAAGACAATGGAAGGGGTCAACACAATTCCAAATATTTAGCAAACACTTTCAAAATGTTATTACTATTAAATATTTGGTTTCCACAATCTCAGGATGAACTAGGATGCCCCTCAGCTCTGGAAAGCCTGTCTCCTTTGGGCTTGGGAAAGAAATGCAGTTTCAGAAAACAGTCCAGTGATATTCAGAATCTGCTGGAATAAGTGGATATTACCACTTGGAATACCCCCACTAGTTTTTAGTTTTGTAAATTCTCCAGAGACAAGGCCCAGGCCCTTCTTTTCTTGATTCTGCTGATAGTGCCTAGAGCATACCTTGTAAGTGCTAATGGGCACAATGCTATTTTGAGCCAAGACTCATGGGTTCGGTAGGTCAGAAACTACCCATGAAGATGATGGTATCAAAAGGGCAGAGCTTAAAACTTCATTCCACCCTTTACTGGCTGGGTGACTTTGGCCAAGGCATGATCTCTGAAAGCCTCAATGCTCACATCTGTAAAATGGAGAGGATGACAAAGACAGCTGTCTCGCTTCTTCAAGATGTTTTGGTGAGGCGACGCCGAGAAGAGATGCAAAAACTCCTAACACACAATATGTGCCCAGCTAACAAATGCTTTACGCCTCTGCACCCAGCAGGTGGCCGGGTAATGGCACTGACAAAACAAATTCTGCAGGCTGAACTGGATTTTGGGAGCCTGTTGAGCTGAAACAAACATCACCAAACTACTCTGCAAGGATACACTTGGGTACACAGTGCTCAATGAGGGAAAAGAGAGTAGGAAAAATCCTTTCCCACTGGTCTACAGCTATCAGAAGAGAGAAAACATCTTCCCCCTCCCAACAGCAGGACACTCAAAAATAGCTACCCCATTTCTCTTCTTTCTAACCCCCTCAGGACATATTCTCAACCAAATGCCAGCCAGCCTTCTGCACCACATTCCATGTGGGGAGCAGCATCTGCTTGCAATACAGATGCCCATGGCACCTGGGCAGCCGCTGTCTTGGAAACTGCTTCCTGCACTGGCGAGGGTGGGTATGGACACGGTGTGTTTTCCTGAGCCACAGAAGGGAAGATAATAATCCATCCTAAAGCCTCACCGAATATACACTCTGACACTGTGTGTCTGCATGCCACACCTGTGGGGGTGTGTGCTCATTTTTATCGGCACGCATCCTGCTGTCATAAACCATGGTGGACTTTAATTGCCCAGCAGTACCAAGTCTGTGCCTTTTAATGCCTACAGCATCCGGCCTCCCCCCTGGAGAAACATATCTGGTTACGACGTAATTCCTCTGACCTAAATTGAGTCACTTTCTTGTCAAAGAGGACAGTGGTTCTTCAGCTCTGGGGTCAATTTTATTGACTTTTCTCCAGCAGAAACCCTTTGGAACTCATCTTTTGCTCCTGCCTTGGATTAAAAGTTTCTAGAGGAGAATTTACCATTTGTGTTTTTTAAAACAGAGGTGCTATGCTGGCCCCCGAGCCCTGCCCCAGCCCAGTACTCTCTGATTTCAAATACTATCATGCGCTCTCCTCTTCCTAAATCTTCCCCGGCCACACCAGCATCCTTGCTGTTCCTCAAAAAGATCAGGCCCATTTCCATCCCAGGGTCTTTGCACTGGTCCTTACCTAGATGTTCTTATTCCCCATGTCTGCCTGGCTCACTCCTCTCTCTCTCTCAACTCTATATTCAAACCTCACCTTTCCATGATGCCTACACTGATTCCCCATTTAAACCTGCAACACTCTTAACCTGAGCAACACAGCAAGACCCTGACTCTACAATTTTTTTTTAATTAGCTGGGCATGGTGGCACACATCTGTAATCCCAGCTACTCAGGAGGCTGAGGCGGGAGGATCACTTGGGTAGAGGCTGTCAAGAGCCATGATTGTGCCACTGCACTCCAGCCTTGGGAACAAAGCAGAACCTGTCTCAAAAAAAAAAAAAAAAAAAAAAAAGACGACAAAAAACTGCAACATTCTCCCCCTTATCAGCTCTTACCATATCATATTTTAGTCCACAGCACTTTTCATCTTATATCTTAAGATAAAGTTTAAACCTTTTTCTTTTTTTCTGGTAGTTCTTTATTGTCTGGGTCTTGCACAGACTCTAGAATAAAAATCAGAGAATGCTAACAATTTTCCAGTTTTGTTCAACTTCTCGGTCCCCAGCATGAAGCACACAGTAGGTACTTTAAAAATATTCCTGAATTGTTACTGCTCTCCTACCCTTCCCCAACAGAAGCTTTCTGTTGTGAAGAAGTCAATGGCTTCACAGGCAGAGCTCTGTTTAAATGCCACCTCAAGGGAGAAGCCACTCTATCTAAATAGCCATCCACTCTACCTCCCTACTCCCCTGCATCACTTTATTTTCTTCCTAGTCCTTATCACCACCTGACATTATATAATGAAAACAGAGCACAGCTTTGTCTTTGTTGGTGTTCATGGCTCTATCCTAATCATCTAGAACAGGGATTGGCAAACTTCTCATAGAAAAAGGCTAGAGAGTAAATATTTTTGGCTTCACATGACCTGATGTCTTTGTTTCAACTACTCAACTCTGCCCTTGGAGCACAAAAGCTGCCACGGACAACATGTAAACAAAGAGTATGGCTGGGTTCCAAAATAAAACTTTATTTACAAAAACAGGTGGTGAGTCGGGGCTGGCCTATAGGACACAGTTTGCCAACTCCTGATCTAGAATAATGCCTGGTGCATAGTAGGTGTTTAATAAATATTAGCTGAATGAATGGGCTGAATGATTTAACAACTAAATTTATCAATTTACCGCATGTCAGGCACTCCGTCAAGTGATCTTTCAATCATGTCATTTCATCCATAGAACACCTATTAAACTAAGGACTGTTATTCCTCATTTAGAGGTGAAAGGACAGAGGATAAAGGAGTTTCTGACTTTCCTGGGCTATCACCATGAGAGAGGATTAAAATTCAGGTCTTTCAGCCCCTGCTCATTCCACTACAGAACATGTACCCTCCCAGTCTTGTTGCATGCTCTATGAAAATGCAAAGTCATGCTGAAGATGATAACTAGAATTCTTCACCACCCACTGTGTACAGATTCCTTCACTCATCTGCCAGCCAGGGTTTGCCAGCTACCTACTGTGTGCCCTTGCTGTGCTCAGTGTGATAAAGCTCTAGTCAGACCCAGGCTCCACAAGACAACAGAGCTACGGAAACAGCCAAATACCAACCACGTGCCAGGCACCAGGCTGCCGGCATTAGAAACCTGACTCTGATTCAGGGCTTGCCTTCAGGAGGAAGGGCAAGAAGCGCAAGTACTCTCAGGGCCTTCTATGTGCCAAGCACTATGCAACATATTTCCTTGCCATGCAAGTAAATGACAGGTGTCCACAGAAATGCAAAGGTTGGGGGAGTTCTGAGGAGAGAGCATGGGATTTCCTCCTTGGGACTCAGGAAAGCTGAGTTAAAGGGCATGGTTAAGCCATGTGTTTTTGGGAATCAGAACTGGGACCACTTCCCATTCCAAGAACTTACTAGCTATGCAGACCCTGGGAACATGACTCAGTTTCCCTATGTCATAGAAAACAGTGATAAGAGTGTGACCTCCCACCCCCCAAATTTTTTTTGAAAAACTAAATGGACTAATATATATGTAATAAGTGATTGCTTGATCCAGTGTAGGGACTTAAAGTGTGGCCATAATTATCATCCTGATCACCCTTGAAGGACCTGAGAGAACTTCAGAGTGAAACCTTTGGTATTCAGAGATCTACGAGTGAAAGTGGTACCCTACCCTACTTAACACACTGGTTATTATCAATGATGACAATGGTGTGATGGGGTGGGGAGTGATGGGAGAAGTTCAAGGACTTCCCAGATCATGAGGCTCCTGTTTGTTAAGTAGCCTGAAGTCAGACAGGACCCCAGATTGGATCATTTGCTTATTTAACCAGCACCCAGCACTGAGTAGGAATTCTGTCTGCTGCCAAAAGCCAGTGAGTGCGCCTTGGCCAGAGCTGCCTGGATATCCTGAGAAGATGAACTGTGCTTCTGCCAAAGACACAACTTAAGACCAATGGTCAACTCCAGCTGCGTCGGATGTGGAAACTGAGCTGGGCCTGCTGGTAATGGGGCCTGCCTCCCTGACAACCAACCCTGCCTCCATCAGTCAGCGCAAGCCTCATGCATTTAGAGCACCCAGATGGGAGTGTAGTGCTAATAGGTGCTTCATTACTGTTCCCTTCCAACCCTGCTGGTTTTTAAAAATTTAATGTAATTTAATTTTTAACTTAATTTGTTTAATTGACAAATAATAATTGTATGTATTCATGAAGTACATAGTGATGCTTCGATATGTATAATGTACAGTAATCAAATCAGGGTAATGAGCATATCCATCATCTCAAACATTTATGATTTCTTTGTGTTGAGAACATTCAATATCCCCCTTCTAGCAATTTGAAATTACATCATATTGTTAACTATGGTCATCCTACAGGAGTATAGAACACTAGAACTTATTCCTCCTGTTTTTCCCAGAAATCTCCAATCACACCATGCTCTAATAGAAGTATCAGGAGTTCTAACACGACAGCAAAGAGATGCCTTAGAGTCTGGTTTGACATAATGCAGTTCAAGTGAAAGTGGTACCCTACCTGACTTAATACACCGGTTACTACCAACAATCACCTTTTTAAAACTCAACCAAACATCTTAGCTCAGAGCAATTCAAAACACAAACAAACCCTAGGAAAGTGATGAGACTTTCAGTCACAGAGTAACAACATGTTGTGTTTATCCAGCATCTCCTACTAAAGAGATTTCTCATTCACCAGGCATTCTGGAGCTTCTACAATGATATGCCTGGAGCTTTCTAAGTTTTCCCTTATTTATTCCTTTTGAAACCTCCTTACAGGCATTGGGCTCATCCCCATTTGGCTGAAGCCGAAGCTCAGTGAGCTCAAGGGACTTACCCAATGGCATCTCCTAGGGGAATGTCGCATCTCAGCAAAGAGGAGGAATGGACAGAACCCATGGGAACACGAACTGGCCCAAAGCATTTAGCAGAGACTCTTGTTTTCCAGATGCTAGGCCCTGGCTGTGGTCACAGCCGGGCCTGAGTTCAGTCCCAGCTCTGCCAATCTGATCTGGAAGGATTTGGGTTACTATTACCTAGTACTCTAATTTCGGTTTCCTCATCCACTAGGTGGAGCTAACGCCAGTCTCTCTGCCTAGCACTGCAGTGAGGATTAGAGGAGATGGCGCAGGAGAGGCCCTCAACGCACTGTTGTCAAAACCTTCATTTCCGACCCAGGCAGTGGCCTGGGTGCTCCACATATGTTTCTCATTTAGTCTCCGAAATGGCCCACTCTTTGCCCCATTGAACAGAGCAGATAACAAACACTTGGGTCTCCCATCCAGTTTCCATGGAGCATCAATTCTCTAACCACTACGTACACTGACACTCTGCAACTTAGAACTGATCTTTGCAGAAGCAGAATTTACATGAGAGAAAAACTTCCACTTATACTGCAAAGAAAAAAACAAAACAAAACCCGACCTCCTCAGAGCCATGAACTTGGTAACAGGAAAAAAAAAAAAAACCCAGAGCCTGACACAGCAGTAACTTCATGTATTATATTATCAAAAGGAAGACATTTCTTCCTTTTACTTTCAAATTTGGTCTCAGATTTATCCAGCCTTGCCGCCTGGTAGTTCAAAAATCTAGATACCAAAACTTTGGAAAAATACCAGAATTGAGGACAGTTGTAGCGGGTAAGATTATAAGACAGTCCCCAAGATTTCTGCCTCTGCGTACCCACACCATTTTCTCCTAGTGAGTTAATCAAACACAAACCCAGGGACTGCTCTGAAGGGATTCTGCTATCGTCATTAAGATCCCAAATCAGCTGACAACAGATACAGAGAGTATCTGGGTGGGCCTGAGCTAATCACCTGAATTCATTAAGAGCAGAGAACGTTCTTAGAAGAAGTCAGAGAGAAATGTGTTAGCTAGTGAAGTGGTCCTAAGTAGTTGGAGGGATCTTGCCAGAGGTGACCAGAATTGAAAGAAAAGCAATCAAAGGGGATGGGATAAAAATTGTGTGTGTGCGTGTGTGTGTGTGTGTATGTGTGTGTGGGAGAAAGAGAGAGAGAGAGAGAGATTTAAGAGAGTCAGGGAGAGCCTCTCTAGTTGGTGCCATTTATTCCCCAAGTGTTTTATTATTATTACTGCATTTTTCATTAAAAAACACCCATTGCTTAAGACACACATCAAATCCAGTTGGTCTAGTTGGGTGGTGGCTTAATGGGCTAATATCGCATTTTACCAAATCACTACTGGAAACTTCATTACTCAGTCTGAGTGGCTGAGTCAGGCCCTCTGTGCCCAGAGGACTGCTGCCTGACATGACCTACATCCCCATCTGACCGTGCCTCAGTGCCCTCTTTCAAGGTACAATGAGCTGGGAAACGTGGTTATAGTCACCTTTCCAGTTGGGTGGAAAGATGGCAGGGCATGAGAGCAAAGTACTAGATTCCATTAAGGCCTTCCTCTCCCTGCCAGGGTAACCTAGACAAGTTGTTCAGCCTCCCTGGAACCTCTTCTGTGATGAGGGAATCAGAATAAGACTATCTACGCTGCATAGGGTTGGGATGGGAATCATGTAAAATCTTATATAGGTAAGTGCTGGGTACAAAGTAGATGCTCATGAATTGCTGTTCTTCTGATCATGATCCTTAGGGAAGTAGGATATGTTTTACAGAGACCATCAGCTATGAATTTAAACAGGTTTTCAGTACACTGTGCTCAGTAAGGGATTACCAGAGGAGATTTAAGGAATTTCCACGGCTTACAGACTATCTGGTTTGAAAAGTCTTTTCCCTTCATTAATAATAATAATAAAGACTAAAAAAAGTTCCCAGAGAAGCTAAGGAACTTGTTCAAGGGTGCACAGAAAGATTAAAGGTTGTTATCTCACTTCAAGTTCAGGAATTTGTTTTCTTCATCTTCAGCTAAATGCCAACTATCTATCCATCTATCTATCTGTCTTTCTGTATATCCATCTATACAAAATCCTAGGAAATTTTTTAAGGAAAAGCATATCTACTATAAAATATCTAATTTATAAAATATTAACTCCCTGTGCAAAAGCATACACCTTTCTTTGTGTCTTCGGGCGGTTACACAAGGGTAGCAAGGGAAACCAGTGGTTTCAGAGGCAAACACTGAGAATTACAACTCCAGAGAAACAACAAATTCCATCCACAGCAATTTTTTTAAATCATCAAGTTTTTAGAGAAACCTTTTGGTTTTTTTGTCAAAAGTAAACACAACTCCCAAAATTTAATCTTCACTCTCTACAGGCAGTTTCTGCTGAACCAAAAGATTAGCAATGGGCTTCAAATCTCTCCCCCTCTTCAACTAGTTGGTTAATTGTTACTTTCCTTTTTTCTGTGTGATATAGTCTCTTCAAATTTTTGAGTCTCTTGATTTTGCTTTTGCATTTTATATATTTTATATATTTTTTGAAAATGCTTTATAGAATCAGATAGAATAGAAAGAAACCAACTTACACTGGCTTTTATTTTTAAGTGGCATTTTCTTAAATGATTTGCTTATTATTCACATTTTCTAAATTCTCTATGTACTTTGTTCTGCCAAATAAAAATCTCAAATGTCAAAATCTCATTTGGGGTGCCCGAAGAACTCAACATTTCATTAAAGGTTACTTGCATAAGCCTTTGCCCCTATTAAAATGCTATTTTAATTTTGCTACAGATATATAAATAGTATAAACCAGTACAGGTTAAGTGGCTGGAAACAGAAAGACAGGCAGAAATTGGATGATGCTTACAGTGCAAAGGTGGGGGATACAGGAGAGGGGAGCATGAGAGTAAGGAACAGAGGGAATGGGCAGATGAGCCTGAAGCAAAGGGAGAGAAGGAAGCCAGCAAATAAATTAGGCAGCATGTTGATGGATTGAATGGGCTTTCCCAGAACCCCAGGTGATACTGGCATCTGCCCAAAGGGAAGGGAAGCTGAACTTCAGACCACCTCCCTGAGACAGCCTAAGTTAAAGGCTGCAGTGGTGAGCCCAGGCATCACATGACTTCTGACCACAGAGTGAAGGCACCATGCTTGCATGTACCTAAGACAAATTCAGTGCAGCCATATGTCAAGTGCCTTTGAGACAGGCATCGTAAAAGTCCACCAACAAAATAGGAAGGCTTCTCCAGACCTTCATCCCAGAATGCACATCAATGACAGAATATGCAGATACGATTTACAAATTTATTCAGAAGACAGGTCTCTATAGGCAGTAGAATCAACTTGTTTTGCAGGTTCTTATTAACAATGTTGCAATAAAAAACTCTTTTAATGAGTTACAGAAATAGCTCTCACCTCTGTGAGCCCAGAGAGCAGCCTGAGCCTCAGCTTTTGGGGAGTATTTTTTGCTTTCAATGCATTCGATCATTTTTGCAGCTCTCACAGAAAGCAGTTATATTAGATGACAAGCAACCAGCTGCCTGTCCCTCAGGAAGACACTTCTCCCATGCACCCAGTGTTTCTTGGTTTCCAGTCTTCTACTTCCTCTTATCCCATCCCTGGCCATCCTGGCCTTTGGGAGTCATTTTGTATGTGAGGCCCACAGAGATAGGAGAAGAGGGAAAAAGCGCCCTCCACCCCTGGAAGAAAATAAACCCTATGATTTGTATAACTCCTTACATTGTCCAAAATTCCAAGCATCAAGAACTCACTCCTCCTGGATTGGAAGAACTTAATGGACACCTCCCATTAGAATGAATCATTCTAACAATTCCACTAGAATTAGTATCGCAATACACGCTCACACATATGTCTGTGTTCTTACTCGATGGTGAGATACTTGAAGAGAAGGGAAATCCTACACATCTCAAAGTCCCAGGTGGCCACATCTTTACCACCTGTTTGGCTTCAGATAAACACTCTCTGGGCCTCAGTTTCTCCTTCTGTAAAACGGAAACACTAGGCACTTGTACCTTGGAGGACTGTTGTGACCAGGCATCAGAGGAGTTAAGAAAGGCTTCTGAGTCTACTCAGCTCTGTGAATGAGCTAATTGGATGATCTTTACATCAGGTTTTCTGGCTCCCAATCCTGGACAACAACCTACCGGGTGCCCATGACAAGGAAGGGGTAGGTGCAGGAGAACGTAACCTGGCCACCAGGGAAGGCTTCCTGGAAGCAAAGACACCTAGGCAGACCTGAGCAGTGAGCTGGAATTGTCAGGTGAAGAGCTGCATGTTCAGGGCAACAGACAAACACGTATGTACTATTCACCAATTCCATTCATGTGTTAAATGTATTCAGCGTCTGTGTGCCTCTTGTCTGGAATCTGCCTCTTTTGTGAAATGAGAAGACTGAGCTAAATATGAGCTCAAATCCTATCCACTTCTAACATTACCTGACACAGAGCTGGGTTCATGGCTCATTTAACCACGATCCGATTTGCAGGCATTGAGTGGAACCCCAGGGCCGGCTTTTCACACATCCTTGTGCTCAAGTCTGCGTTTCATACAATAACCTAAATGAAAGTGACATTTGATCAACTTTGAACAACTGACTCTCAACAGCACGGCTGTGAGTGGTCCAAGCTGTGGGATGAGGCTTGTCTATGGCTGATCAGCAAGAGCACGGAGCCAGCTCCTAGGCCCTGGTGATGCCACCGCGGGTCCCTGCACACACAACGACCCCCACACCAGATCCAGCCAGGCTTCTGAGGAAGCCCACGTGGGTACAGGAAAGCAGCAGATGTGCTCTCTGAAAGGATCTTCTCTCCTGTGTCATTTCTGTAAGGAAAACAATCACAGAGGCTTATCCCAGTGGGGAGGGAATAGTGGGAAACAGCGTATAAAGAATCAGAGTGGTGAGGCCCTCCAGCAGTCTGGGGCTCTGCCTTTATATTCAGGGCCTTGCTATGCCTGGGCACAATGGCATTAATCCTAATCCCTTTCCCTCCCCTCCTGCTTACGCTGTCTCACTTGCCCTTTCACCACAACCTTGAAAGGCAGGTAGCATTGTTGGTCGCACATCTGCCCAGAGGGAGCCTGTCCAGGCCCCTGACATGATCTCAGCATTCTGTTAATTCCCCTAGCCTTTGCAGAGGCCACAGCCAGCATTCAGGATAAGCAAGCTGGGAAACCTGGACTTAGTTTCACAAAACAAGAGCAGGAAGGTCCAGGCTAGGGTGAAATCCAGGAGAGTAGCTGGGCAATCCCCACCAGGCGGCAAATCTACATATGAACCCCTGCCTCAGAAACTACTAGAAACCAGGGCTGCATCCATGAACAAGGAGCCAGCCACATAGAGACTGAGCGGAGAATCCTCCCAGCTGATAGGCTTTCAAGGAAAACACAAAGAGAAGGCTTGATTTCATAAGATGGTTGAATCTTATGAAATCCACTCCACTGTGGATTTCACCCACTTCCACTCCACTGTCCCATGTCCCTTTTATCCCCATGAATACGGATCCTACAAATGCCAATATTTGGGAGGAATAGAACACTTTTTTTTTTTTGAGATGCAGTCTTGCTCTGTCGCCAGGCTGGAGTGCAGTGGCACGATCTTGGCTCACTGCAGCCTCCAAATCCCTGGCTCAAGCAATTCTCCTGCCTCAGACCCCCAAGTAGCTGGGATGACAGTCATGTGCCACCACGCCCAGCTAATTTTTGTATTTTTAGTAGAGATGGGTTTTCACCATGTTGGCCAGGATGGTCTTGATTTCCTGACCTCGTGATCCGCCTGCCTCGGCCTCCCAAAGTTCTGGGATTACAGGCGTGAGCCACCACGCTAGGCCAAATAGAACACTTTTAACTGCAACAATATATCTGCAACTGAAAAGCTATGAAAGAATCTCCTTTGACATACCACCCTCTGCCCTGCCCACCCTCCTCCTAGTCAGTGCTGATGCAAAACGAAATACTTGAGGTTTACACCAAATGCTGCAGTGATTCTACCAGCACTGCCCTGACGTGGGGAGGGACAGGGGCTAACTAGATTTGGCCAGTAGAACCTGAGGAAGGGGCTGGGAGAACCTAGAGTCTGGAACTATTGGGACACTGAACACTTCTGAGTGAGAGGGCTGGTGCAGTCGGGCAGTTGCTAGAGCCAAAGCAAATCCCTGGGGAAGGAGGCTGTGCCTGGGTTTTCTCCTTGCAGACCTGGGGGCAAGGGTGTGCATGTGCCTGTGGTGTCATAATTAGTCTGGGGCCACAGGCTTTGGAATGTTAATTCTGGAGATATCATGCTACCTAGAGCTGTCTCTTGCCCAGAGAGCGTGTCCGTGTGTGGGCACTGTGAGGGGCCACAGCACTTCCATCTTGCTCTTATTTCTATCTATGGCCTGTTGAGTGCCAACTTCCTTCTTGGCTTAATGAGAAGGAGCCCAGCTTGAGAACTGGCCCCCACTGCCCAGCCCCTTCCCACACTGCATTGTGTCTGGTGGCAAAGAACTTGCTCGGCTTCTGGTGAGCAATTAGTCTAATTCATTCTCCCAGTTCTCTTTCCTATACAAGGCAAATCTCAGCTAAATAGAAACCTTCAGCACATTTTAATTCAGAATAGCACTAAAAACTGTTATTATGGGTAAGGTCTTTCGTGTATCTCCTGACAGAGCCTAAAATGACCAAATAGGTTGTTTATAAATGCATTCCTTGGCACATTTAAAGGCCTTGCATGCTGTTTCTAAATGGTTTCTAATAGGTGGAGCACAGGGAACTTGTAAGGCAGTAAAACTATTCTGTAGGATACTATAATGGTGGACATATGACATTATTCATTTGGCAAAACCCAGAGAATTGTACAATGCAAAGACAGAATTATAATATAAATTATGAACTTTAGTAAATAATAATGTATTGGCCCGGCGCGGTGGCTCATGCCTGTAATCCCGGCACTTTGAGAGGCCGAGGTGGGCAGATCACGAGGTCAGGAGATCGAGACTGTCCTGGCCAACATGGTGAAACCCCATTTCTACTAAAATACAAAAAATTAGCCGGGGCGTGGCAGTGCATGCCTGTAGTCCCAGCTTACTCAGGAGGCTGAGGCAGGGGAATCGCTTGAACCCAGGAGGCAGAGATTGCAGTGAGCCAAGATCGTGCCACTGTACTCCAGCCTGGCAACAGGGCGAGGCACCATCACAAAAAAAAAAAAAAAAGTGTCAATATTGGTATGTCAATTGTAACAAATGTACCATACTAATGCAGAAAGTTAATAATAAGGGAAATTGTTTGTGGAGGGGGCAAGGAGGCATACAGAAACCCTCTGTACTCTCTGCTCAATTTTTCTGGGAAACCTAAAGATGCACCAAAAAAATCTATTATTAATTTTTTTAAATCCCAAGGCAAGAAAACGCCCAAATGAGGACTTGTCTCAAAAGAGCCATGACCTTGGGCCCTCCTGTGGATCTCTGGGTGCCCCTAAGACCCCAGCTGGTCCCATGGCTGCTCTGGGCCATCCCCAGCCCCTGTGGATGGAGACACTCCCTCAGCAGCCCAAGCCTTCTGTGCACAGACCTGCAGCCCATTCCCGCTCTTCAGGGAGCAGCCTACTCCAAATGCCATGT
Organism: Homo sapiens; assembly: GCF_000001405.40. Lineage (NCBI taxonomy): Eukaryota > Metazoa > Chordata > Mammalia > Primates > Hominidae > Homo > Homo sapiens. Next base: position 132,403,441 of record NC_000008.11, read on the forward strand.
CTGGCACATTCGAGGAGCAACAGCAGCTTTGGGTTCATTAATTAGCAATTGGGGTGTTAAGCAGCATGCAGACCCAGGCTGCAGGTGTGAACCTTGCTTCCTCTCCATGCCTTAAAAATGCCACCCTATAAGGAACACCAATGATCCATCCCAAACTGGGAAGATGGTGAACTGTGAAAACTTCAAGGAAGGAAAGTATCATAGTTCCATTTCCACCAGCCATCATCTATGAATCCTTCAAATCTCGGTTCAGTGTCATCTCCCCAGGAGCTTCCTCTGGCACACACAGCCCCGGGCCTCTGGTTTGCTCCTGCTGGGTTCCCAGGGCACCCAGGCTCACCCTGCTGGAGATAACTCTTTCCCCATCTGTCTTTGTCACTAGTCTGGTGGATCCTGCAGAGAACAGGGACCTTATTTTATTCATCCTTGGGAAACCTCATGAAACATCCTGTAGCCTGTCTTGTTTTTAGCTACTAAGGCCTCACCAAGGGGCCAGAGCCATGGGGTGGGTACAACACCGCCCTCTCTCCAGGGCTCATCCTGAATCACTTCTCCCTGAATCTCTTCTGAGGACCAAGCCCCATTCTGTACATCTCCACAGACCAGCCCTTGCCTGGAATAACATGTCTCAGACTTGCCCACTTCCCCTTCTCTTGCATAAAACTCAGAGCAAATGGGAGGAAGAAATGGGGCAGAAACGTTTTTACTATGAAAGAAGAAAGTGGGACAAAGGGATGCTCTGTAGAGTCGTGGTTCTAGATGGAAAGAAGCATCACCTACCAAAAGCTCCAGGGAAGGTGGGCTTCTGTCATTTGAGTAAGTTGCCTGATGTCTCAGACACCCCTCTCTCTTTTCCCTGGGTTAAGAAGTTGGTTGGTCTTCTGATATGTCAGTTAGGCTAGGTACAGCCCCCAGACACTTAATCAAACATTAAGTATTTCCTGTAAGGCTAATTTATAGAGGTGATTAAAGTCCCTAATCAGATGATTTTAAGAATGGGAAAGTATCCAAGATAATCAGGGTGGGTCTAATTCAATCAATTGAAAGGCCCTAAAAGCAAAGCTAAAGCTTCCCTGATAAAGGCGAAATCCTGACTTTGGGCAGTGGCTTCAGTCCATGAAGACAATTCCAGTCTTCCCTTCCTGAAAGCTTCCCCTAAGGGTTTCAGATTTGCCTAGCCAGCCCCCGACAATGACATAGCCAACTCCTTGCAATAAATCCCTTTATATGTCTCCTTCTGGCTCTGCTTCTCTGGTGGTACCTTGGCTCATACAAGAACTAAAACTCTTAAGTAGTCACTGCAGTTCTACCAGCAGACACTCAGGAGGATGAGACAAGGAGGGGACTTAATAGTCATCAAGCACTTTATATAAAGATCAGGCAATTCACATGTGATAAGCATTTATCTTAATCTTCGCAATAACCCCATTGTCCTGATTTTTCAGTGTGGGTGACTTAAATTTTCTGTGCGACAGCTTCATTTTTTGTGAGGGAAAGGGAAGACTCCCAAGTGACCCACCTATGACCACAATTCAGAGACAAAGCAAGGGTCTTGCTGTGTTGAGTACACATCTGCAGGAATAGGAAGCCTATATTTCCCATAACAAACAATCTGGGCAAAGTGTGAGGGGGTGCAGGAAGGGGTGAAAGCACAACAGCAGCAGATGACACATGCTCTTTGTTCATATTCTCCTCCTCAAAAGTTTGCCACTGAGCTGCCACTGGGCAAGATTTCAAGAAGCAGCCAGAGAGGAGAGATTGGCTCCTCTTGACGATGCATGAGAATGCCTAAGAAGGTGACAGGTCCCACTATAAGCCATCAGCCCTCATGCTGCAAGGGCGGGTATGGGGGAAGCAGAGTTTTCCCACGGCATAAAATTGCCTGTTCCACAAAAAACAGCTCCTGGATTTCCCAAGTCAAGGTCCTCAGCTCACCTTTCCTCCAGCACCCAGCCACCAGTGGCAGTGAACAATAGAGACTGATCCAAAAAGACTCCTTCTTGTATTTGGTTTCAGGGTGAGAGAAGTGCTAGGGCTCATTTCCCTAATATCTCAAAGGTGAACTTCAAGACTGGGTTGACGGGTGAGTACTCCACTCCACCAAAGAACCCTGATAAAGCACCCACTCAGTGTCAGGGGCTGTGCTGGGGAACAAGGTGGGATGCAAAGGTGAATGATGGGGGGACCCTGCCTTCCAGGAGTTTATAACTTAGCATGTCGACCAACTCTACGTTCAAAAACAACTCTGGGTCAAAGCAAGATCAGTGCTATAGTAGAGTACAATCATTTCTTCATTCCATCAACATTTCTTCATGCAGTAAACACTGCAGATTTGGTGTTGGAGTGCTTTCACCAGGCAGCAGGAATGTGACATTGCAACAAAGATGGAGGAGGAGAATAAAAAGGCACCCTAGAGGAGGTGGTCCTGAAATGAACAGCTCCTGTCCTGAACTGTAACTGCTTCTCCTGAAAACTCTACTTCCTAACAGCCTCCAGGTCTTAGGCAACACTGAACTAAGCAGTCAGCCACAGAGAACAACAAACCAGGCAGAAATGTCCCAGGTGGGTGGCAGTGTGTGTGTGGGTGACTTAAATTTTCTGTGCGACAGCTTCATTTTTTGCGAACTGGGAGTAATTATGCCAACTTTTCCAATTTCATAAGGCCATGGTGAGGATTAAACCTGATAGAAAGAAGGGTGTCGTTTCAAAATATTTAACCCCAGGTATTGCCTGGATACTGATAAGTCAGAACAGATGTTGGGCTTGGGTGGGGTGGTGGTGAGGGTGCCAATTGTTAACACTTTCTTTGCTGGATCAAGCGGGGCTTGGAATAGCAGTATTAGAAGGTGGGAAGGAGGGGACTCGGGAGGATGGGCTGAAGCTACGTCCAATCTCACAGTGGAGAACTTCGACATTTCAACCACTGAACTTGTCCACTGAATATCAACCTTGCTCCTAATGCTCCCACAGGGAGAAAAGTGCTGATCAGTTTCATATGGACATGAAGATTTGGTTCTGCCTTCTTTGTCAGTCTCACCCCCTCCACAATTCCATTCCTGAGCCCCACTCACTCAGCACAAATGCACACACACAGACACACACACAGGCATACACTCACACACAGACACACACACACAGAAAGACACAGGCACACACTCAGCACACAGACAAATATGCACAAACATGGACACGAACACACACACACACCAGCAATACTAAACTACCATGCTTTCTCAGTTCTATGACACCATTAAGCATATGAAACACCATCAGTTTAATAATAAGTCAGGGGATGTGGTATGGAGAGAGCAGAAACTACATTAAATATACAATTCAATTGACTCCGACTTCAAGAGTCAACCCTGTTTTAGGTATTAGGCCAAGGGTTCTCAACTTTAGTGGGCTTAAAGTTCTAAAAAGGTGTGTACAATGGAAGAAAGGGGCCAAGACAATTTCATGTGGTGGAAAGATCACTTACTGACATATGAAGGACAAAGGGAAAGTGAAGAAGTGGAGGGGGAAGTGACATTTCTTTCCCCTTTTATGAACAGAGCCAGCCCCTGTGCCCCAAGGCTGGGCACCTTTGCTTCCTACACTGGCTGTCAAAACAAACTGAAAATGCCTCTGCGCCCATGCCTTTACCAGAAGACATTCCTGCACAGACAGGCAGGTCCTGCCGAGGAAGAGAGAGAAAAAGAGGGAGTGGTGAGTTAGGCAGGAGGGCAGGGACCCTTCCCAGTTTCACCCCAGGAGCAGCCACAGCAAAGAGCCCTCCTTCAGGCCAGCGGAGACAGCACAGCCACCTGCCTCGAATGGACCCACGATCTTATTTATTTGGTCTTTCAGTGGCAGCGGACACCCTTTCCAAAAACTCAGGCTCTGAGACCATCTCTAGTGGACAAGGAGAGCAGAATCCCAAAACAAAGTGATTGATTTTTCTCTCCACCCTGGAAAGTAGGGGCTTACAGCCAGATTAAACTGGATTTAGCCAGGTTACACTGGCCTCTGAACAAATCAATGTGTGTAGCACTTCCTGCATCTAAGAACCGGGTGGTACTTCAGACGGGCTTCACTTCAGTCCCAGGATCAAAGCAGCACACTATTTTCAGTCCCAAGCCATCCCCATTTTCTGTCCTCCCTGACCGTCTTTGGTGCTGTTCCTTCTCCCTGGGACACCCTTCCTCCCTCACAGGGATCAAGGCACAGAGTGAAGCTGTTGGCTTGTTCCCTTGTCTTTCACCATCACTACAGTATTTGGCTGGAGGTGCTCAAATGTACACTGTCCTCAACTACCTGAACAGTTTGTAAAAAATACATCTTCCTGGTGCTGCCTCCCCAGAGTCTAGCTCGGCAGGTCTGCAGCAGAGTGCAAAAGACTGTATCTTTCACATGCTCTCCAGGTCACTGATGCTCAAGCAGCCCCCAGACCACATCCTGGGGAACTCCGAGCTAACGAAGAGGGCAGGGACTCTGTCTCGTTCATCCATTACATGATGGGGTGGAGGCTTCAATAAGTAGATGCTGGCTGACTGGCAAAGGTAAGTCGCTGGGTGGGTAGCTCAGGAAATGAGTGAGTGCATAAATTAATCTAGTTTATTACTAGTTTATTACTGACTCATTCAGTCAGCCACCCACCCACCCACCACCTAATTAATTATGCTACGTATCCAATGACTGTAAAAAGTATTGTGCAGAATATAAATGTCGGGTAACATCGTTTTTTTAAAAAAATCATTGTGGACTATATGTACAACATGGAATCGTTTTCCCAAAATTCTCCCTGGAAAGCTTTGGCATATATTCCATGGAGATACTTTCAAGAATCCAGCAATGTCTTAAGTCTATTTGCCAAGTACTGCTGTGGAGAGTTTGAAGCTTCTGCCTCTACTACATGGAGTGAGCTTCTGGGTGTACTGGAGTCCCTTCTGTGCACGCTCTGGTCTTCTAGGCATCCCCCTGACCTTCAATCCAGCTGGTGTTCGACTCTCTACCTGATGCTGTGCCCTGGGGATACAGGGATGAATTAAACATGGGCCCTGCTACGCTAGGCAGACTTGTAAGATCTCCTCCCCTGGTGTGCATACCCTGTACAGCGCCCTCCCATGAAAGTGAGCAAGACTTGTGAATATGATGGGATGAAATTCCAGCAACTATTTTTACCTTATGTGGCCAAAAGGATTTTGCAAATGTAGTTAAGTTCCCAGTCAACTTTGAGTTAATCAAGGAGATTATCCTGGGTGGGCCTGACCAAATCTAGTGAGCCATAAAAGAGGTCAGAGAGTCAAAACGTTGGGGAGCATGTTGCCATGTAACCACAAGGGCTGTATAGTAGCAAAGGGCACTAGGCAGCTAGGAGCTGGGAGCCAACCCTGGATGACAGCCAGCAAGATAACAAGGCCTCGGTCCTACAACTGCAAGGAACTGAACTCTGCCAACAACCAGTGAGCTTGGAAGAGGACCCTGAGCCTCAGATGAGATGCAGCCCTGCCTGACACCTTGACTTCTGCCACATGAGACTCTTGAGTGGAGAACACAGCTATACCATGTGAGGACTTCTGACCTACAGAACTTGTAAGATAATAAATGCATGTTTTACTTTGCTAAATTTGTGGTAATTTGTTATATAGCAGTAAAATCTCAAAGAGTCCTTTCCCCCAAGAAGCTCATAGACACCTAGGGGTGACAAATACAAGCTAGTAATTACTATGCTATATTGTTTTCAAGACTACAGCAATTCATAGCTTTAGTAGTTTTCAAAATTGAGCCAAATTTGCCTTCGGAAAGTTTTTCCTATTCATCTCTAATCCATCTATGCATTCACTTAATTTACAAACTTAAGTTGAGCTCCTATTCTGTGCCTGATACTGTGCTAGACACTGAGGACCCAAGGTGACACAGATACAGTTCCTGATCCCCTGACCTTGGACCAAAATGTCACTCCCAAACCTTGCACAACCCACTCATGCCCCAAGACCCAGCTTAAGTGCCACCTCCTTGACCTAACTTCCTAGATCTCCTGTAAAAAAAAAAAAAATAGCTCATCCTCAGAATTCCCACAGCAAATTTCATGGTACTCTGCTTAACACGTCTTGGTTCCACTGTGTGTTTCAACTGTCTGTGCATCTCACTGGACTGTGACCTCCTTGGGGACAGGGGACATCCCTCATCATCTACCTTCACAACCTAATGTCTGACAGGTAGAAGATGCTCTGAAAATACTGGTTGAATACTGAACACCTCACCATTTATCCCTGGATTTCCTTGCCAGCTAGCCCTGGGTTCTCCCTATTTCCCTATTTTAGAGTCAGTGCATATTGAAATGGAGGAGAAATACATCAGGGGAGACACTGGGACAGTTGGATATGCAGCCCCATTCTAAGACTGGCCTTGCCTGATGCCCAGAATTAACCAAATTTTTTGGAATAATAATCCTTGGTCATGATTATAAGGGTTCTTTGCTTATGCAGAAGGTCAATTTCAGAAGCATTACTCATACACTGAATTTTTGCCTGTCAAATCTTATTTTTTAAATGATAGATTTAGTCTGGCATGGTGGTGTGCACCTGTAGTCCCAGCTACTCAGGAGGATGAGGCAAGAGGATCGCTTGAGCCCAGGAGGTCATGGCTGCAGTGAGCTGTGATGGCACCACTTCAGTGTAGCTGGGTGACAGAATGAGACCCTGTCTCAAAAAATATAATAAAAGATAAAATAATTAAGTGATGGGGTTGCTGTTTACTTAAGGAATGACTATAATGAGCCTTATTTTAAAGTGAGGACTCAAAAATTGTTTTTTGATAACACCACTAATTCGAAAAGCATGTAAGGTAGGCTAAAATAACTGGAGAACATGAGAGTAAAACTGAAGATTTTCCTAAAGGGAGAGGTAAATTAATGGGAAGAGGAAGAAGATAGGCCAAGAATTTGGAACAAGATAATCCCTGAGCTTCTTGAAAACCAGGACAAAGAGGGAAAGATGTTGGACTTTTTAGCTGTTGCTGCCAGATGGAAAGAAGCAAACCCGTCCACCTGGGAGAGAACCCTGTCCTTGGAGCTCAATTATGAGTGGCTCATGAGCGAGATCCATGAGAAAATGCATTGCATGCAAAGTATGTGTCCCAGTGCCTGGCACACAGTAAGTGCCCAGTGACAGCCAGTTAGCAGCAGCTGCAGCAGCAGCCACCTTTCCCTTTCCCAGAGGTCTTTAAAAGGAGAACTGGATGGCATCTAACGTTACCTTTCACTACAGCTCTGCAGAAACTAACAGTCACATTTTTCTAACAGGAATTTGGGATATGCTGAGTTCCCCCAATGTCAAGGTCATGTCATTACACGATAACTCTGGAGAGAGATTTTTGGAGACCGCTTAGCTAATTTATAGATAGCGTGACAGATGGCAAAGTGGGACTCTGTTGCTTCTGTTTCAGCCAGGGCTTCATACAGCAGCCATCACCTGTCCCCTGAGGCCAGACCAGCACATCTCTGACCTCACCGTACACACAAAGCACCTGGGCATCTTGCTCCGGTATTTTCTGACCGTTAAGTCTGGGATGGGCCTTAAAAGCCCCCTTTCTATAAAGCTGCAGGTGATGCTGTTGCCACAGAGGGGCAGCCAGTTCCTGGAGCAGGTGCTGGGACAACTAACCAGGTCTGCATGGAGCAGGCTGCTGAAAACCCATTGTGAGAACCAAACTGTAAACATGCATAAAGGTTCCACCTGAGGAGGTGAGAATGAGAGTGTTATTTTAAGAGAAATTGTTTGGCACCTTGTGAATTCAATGTTGCCTGAGGGAGGTGAGAGGGGCTTCACACATTGTTGCCTAAGATCTAGCAAGAAGAGCTCTAAGAGACCACCTGGAGAGTGTACTGTCCCCAGACCTTGGGGACGCAGCAGTGAGTAGTGCAGTGGGCTTGATTACAGGGGACACCGACATGGGATTGGGGACGTAGGAATGTCAGACTAGAGATGCAATATGGCTTCTGCCAGCTGGAAAGCCTCTCTCAGCAGAAAGAGAAGGAGGTGGCCCTGGGTGTGGCAGCTTAAGAAGCAGCTCTGGAGAGGCACTGCAGGGGTAGAAACACAGAAGCAGGACAGGTGTTGGTGAGGGAGGCTACCAGGAACCCAGGAAAGACCCATGAGAGGAATCAGCAGCTCTGAATATCTGCTAGGGCTAGAGAAAAACAAACTGGCATATCAGGGACACACACACACAACACACACAAGGCCTCCTCCTGTCTCCACCTCCCTCCTTTTCCATGCTCCCACCCAAAGGAACTAGAAGCTGGTCTGGGACTGTTGCTGCCTACAATGAGATCATTCCTGGACTCAAACAACTGAGGGACTTTTCATTCTCTAAGCACAAGGACAAGCTGTGGGCTGCCGAGGTTTCTTTGACCATGGAGGGATGGAGCCCAGCTCCCAAGCGTGGGTTGAAATGGGCAACATGGAGATGATATGGAGCTGCTGCTGGTGCCCCAGGCATCCTTCCTGTTCAATGAATGGCTTCCACCACTCTTTTGAGCACCAATTCAGTGCCAGCTGGCCTTTTCTGGGGTTAGGCAACTAGGATTTGAACCTTAGCTCTATCCCTTACTTATGGTGCTATGCAGAAGGTTCACCCCATGGCACCCCAGAGAGGACTGAGAATGAAGCAAGCCCACTGCCTGGCGCTTGGCACCCCACAGGGCATGCAGCAGGGCTCAGCCAATAGTCCCTTGCCGATTCCAGAAAAACAATTTGATTTGTGCTTTAAAATGGTGCTTCTCCAACATGAAAGAGCTTGAGAATCACCAAGGGCAGTGATTAAAAATGCAAACTTTGTAGCTCCCCCCACCCGCCGGCCCCAATAAATTCTAATTCATAAGTCTCTATGGGGCTTAGGAACCTGCTTTGCATCTCCCCTTCTGGGTGATTCTGACTCAGGTGATCCATAAAGCACACATTTTGAGGAAAAGATGTTCAGGATGGCTCTTAGGTGAGGAAGCAGAGTGTACTGTTCTACCCCAAAGGAATATTGCGACACCTCCAACCAGGATTCAGCCAGGACCTCAGGGCTCTGGGTGAAATGTTTTAAACAGGAAACAGAAATTCTTTTGCAAATGCCACTGGCCACCTGAGCTGTCTGAAGGTAAAAGAAGTGTGCATATTTGTGCATCCCACATATGAGCCCTCAGCCTAAGCAATGGTAGTGTCACAGGGAAGAAACCCGGCAAACTCCCAGAGACAGGAGAGAGGCATGATGATGGCCCTGTGGGGATTCTGGCAATGAAGGCAGGATAGCATGGCCACCTCCCCTGCCCTGGGACAGCAGGAAGAGGACAGTCCATCACTGTCCAGCAGCACTTCTGGGGCCACATACAATGTCTATGAATGGACCCCAACTGCAAAACAGGATCTTGCTGTGGTCCCAAACAAACCTAGCACTTAGTTCTGTTGACCCGGATCACTTAAAGCAAAGTGATAAAGCAAGTGACCGGGGAGGCAGCCTCGATGTCCCATCCACCACCTCCCAACACATCAGCTTTGTGACCTCCTCTCTCCACTGACACCTCACAGTGGAGTACACACTAGGCTCTCAAGAAGTATTTCTTGCATAAGTCAAAGGACGAATGGATGAATTAGTGAAAAAATGAGTGAATGAATGAATGCACAAACTTATCTCCCATTTCCAAGTTTCCTTTCTTCAACCCAATCTATATCATGCAACCAAAGTGTTCTCGCCACGCTACAAATGATCTTAAGTTCCCCTTCTACCCAACACCTTCAGTGGCTCCCACTGGATCATGTGCAAACCTCCAGCTATGTCAGGACTTCCACAACCCAGCTCCTACCTATACATCCTTCATCTATTTGCAGCTTTCTGAAAACACTGTTTCTTTGTGTTTCTCAAAATCCTTCTTCACCTACGTTATTTCAAGTCACCCTTCAGACTTCAGTTTAAGCATCACCTCCTCCAGGAAGCCTTCCCTGACTGCCTCAGGCTGGGTTAAGTCGCCTTTCAGTCAGCAGTTAATTATTAATTCAGCAGAAGGTTATTAAATACCTACTCTATGTAGCACACACACCACTTTGAGTTTCCATACCATTCTATACAGATCTCCATTTATCTCCATTCCCCATGCCTATACAGGCCAGAATCCGAGAGGAATGAAATGATTGTGAAATGAATAAATAAATGGATCCTATAATTCCCAGGAGACTTGTGTGCTGCAATGGTTAAAAAACGTTGTCAGACGTTGTCAAGGACACCGCAAGATGGAAAATACCCCCTTTCTTCCAGAACAGAGCAAAGCTTTTGTCACATATGGCACAGGCAGCAGATTCACCGCATCCATTTTCAGAAGCTGAGGTTCCTGCCTGTCTTCTCCAAGAAGCAGGGCTTCCTCAGCATGTCTGTGTCACGCTGTCTGCAGGAGCACGTGACTGGGGAATCCCATCTGTTCTCACCCGCACGCCCACCCATGACAAATGAATTCATCTGCAGTGTTTGCCAGGAGCTGCTTTGGGAGCAAAGGAGACTGGTGATGAATTATTCATCCTGAGGAGACGCCCGCCCCAGGTTTCCAGAGCGGGTGCAGCCTGGAGAAGCACCCCTCTCAATTGCAGGGCTCAGGCCCCAGGACACAAAATAATAGTTAATAATAGTGAGCACATCTACCATGTATTGACTTCCTACAATACACGCTGTTGGGAGCTTAACCTATATTATTTAATTTCATTTTCACAATAGCCCCTCGAGGTTTCATCATCCCCATTTTCAGCATCACAGAGGGGGAAGGTCACCAGCCCCTGGTCCCACAGGTTCCTCTGATCTCCAGAAGATGTGCTTGCCCCTGCAGAAGGGCAGAGAGTCAGGAGGGAGCAGGGAAGCCCAGGGAAGCCCAGGGAGGGATCCCCTCTAGCAGAGCTGAGAGATGCCTGGCCTCCCCTCAACCCCACTAGATTTAACATTCAGAGCAGCACGTGGATCAGGCAGGATGACTTGCTCGGAGCCCTCGCCAGCCCAAGGCATGTCAAATGCAGCTGCTATTTCCAGCAGCTATTCTACCAGAGAAGCCCTGTCACATCTGATATGGCTGAATCCATGATTTTGGAGGATGGATGTGCAGTCAGCAATGGCTATACAACAGATACTAGAACAGTTGCTGGGAGCTGGGGAGGAAGGGGAATGAGGGGACCCCTTAGGAGCTTAACACTTGATACAATTATCCATCTTCAACCCCATGGACTGACGGTGGGAAAGGTGGAGAGACAGGTGGCATGATCCTTTTAGGAGAAACAAAAGCGGAAGAATAGCAAAATAATAGACAGAGGGAGCAAACAAACACTGTGCGTGATAGAAACGCATGACCCACCTCATTTCACAAGGAATTTGGAGCCACCTACAAGATCAAATACATGACAGCAAAACCGAAATATGTAAATAAGAAATCAGAGGAGTGATAAATAATGAACGAGGAACAGTGTGTCCGGCAGAAGTAGGGATGGAAAGTGGGCTGAGTTAGGGCTCCGAGCCCCAGACCACCTCCCGGAGAGGGGCTGCTGTCAGCTGTGTTAGAGACACTTGGCAGTTATCGTGTCACTCAGGTGTTCTCTGGCCTGATTGCATCAGCTCACCAAAGCAAGGGCAATTAAAGGCCATCAAAGCTAGCACAGGTGTGGAAAACTATGGCTGGCAGCCTCCTGGGCTGACTCTCAGCCTCCCTCTGAACCATCTACTGCCTCAACCTCCACTCCAGGGTACTTCTCTCTTGTCTTTCATTTCTACTCCTGCAGCCTGCGTTTCCTCCCAGGTCTGCTCCTCAGCCTGATGTCTTTGTCAGCCTGAGTGTAGCAGGCATAAGGATTCAGGAACCTCTACTCCAGTCAGCTCCAGTGCAATGACACCAGAGGAGTGTCACCACCAGGCTGGACAGTGAGGTGTCTCTTGCCCTGGCATTTCCTCTAACATGGTGCTTAGAATGTCACCACCATCACCACCCCATGAGTCTGGGAGCTCTCTGACTGCAGGAGCCAAGTCACCCACCTCTGGATTTCCAGGGCCCAGCCCCCGGCTGCAGAACCAAACAGCAGTGACATTCAGCCTTGTGACTCATGTCTCTGCAGTGACAGTGCTCAGGGACCCAGGCTGCTCTGCAGACCACAGGCTCAGATGGGATTCCATTTCTGTCTGTTCTCTGACTACGAATGTCTCAAGAGCAGCCCCAGGCTCTGGTGCTGTACATGGTATGGACAGTTCTTTTGATGGCCATCAGAGAGAGATAAATCATCGTAACTGTGCATTCTCAACGGGACAAAAAAAAAAGCTACTTAGGGAGCAAAAGCTATCTTAGCTATTGCCATGATTTTCGGCCCTTCAACAGGCCACAGTACATATGCAGCATATCTCTGGCATGAAAATTTCATGGGATTAGGAAGAAAAGATCTAAAAACACTCACCATGGCAATAATCATGAACAAAATATTGAGAAACACTGGTCCATACTACTCATGTGCATGAGAGCCCATCTGGTAGGCACCTCCCAGCTATGCCTTCATTTCTCCAAAGAATAACCAGAGGTTCAGGGAGGTCATATGACTCACCCCAGGCCACAGTGGTGGCACTGAAATAGGACTCAGACCTGGTGCTAGAGGTTCTACCAGAAGACACCTTCCATGTGTGGGAATGAGATGTTTGTCTTGAGGCACTCACGTTTGTTGTTGTTGTTTTTATTTTGATGTTTGTAAGCAAAAAATAATTTTCCTTTTCTAAAAATGAAATTAAGTTCTATAAATATTCATTGCTAAGACGGTATTTCTCTAAACACCATCTCTCAAAATCCCAAACTGGACTTCCTCTTTGGAATTCAAAAACTTATCTTCTCTTTGGAATTCCAAACTTAACAGAGCTTAATAATTCATAAATTCAGTCGGGCACAGTGGCTCATACCTGTAATCCTAGCACTTTGGGAGGCTGAGGCGGGTGGATCACCTGAGGTCAGGAGTTTGAGACCAGCTTGGCCAACATGGTGAAACCTCATCTCTACTAAAAATTAGCCAGACATGATGGCGGGCACCCATAATCCCAGCTACTCAGGAGGCTGAGGCAGGAGAATCATTTGAACCTGGGAGGCAGAGGCTGCAGTGTGAGCTGAGATCGTACAACTGCACTCCAGCCTGCGTGACAGAGTGAGACTCCATCTCAAACAAACAAACAAAAAAAATTCATACATTTACTCAAGAGGTGTATACATCCAGTAGGTACTAGGCATGGGGCACTGAAGCCACAGAGAGGAATTAGATACAAAACCTGCCCTCAAGGGGTTTCCAGTCTAGAGGAAGGTGGTGCCCAGGGCTGGGTCCACGCTGAGAAAAGGTGAGCTCGGAAGGCTGCAGGGTACAGACAGGAAGGCTGGGTAAGTGCAGTAGGCTTTGTGAAGGGTGTCCCTCTGAACTGAAACTGAAAGGCAGGGCAGGTGTTCCCTGTTGGAGCAGACAGATAAACAATCTAAACAGAAGGGCTAACATGTGCAAGGGGACACGTCTGAGGGAGCCTGAAGGGTGGAGGAGCTAACAGTTCTCTAGGGAGAAACTTATGTCCAAGTAGCCACCACCATTATTGGGTCCTCCTTCTGCCCAAAGAAACTGAGCAGAACAAATCTAATCCTCGTTTAACCTGACAGGCTGTACGAGTCTGATCCCATACACTCATGCAAACATTGAAAGTGGGCAACATCCCGTATAGAGACTATTTACAAAGGTGAGGAAAGGTTTAGGGAAATCAACAAGGGAGGGTGAAGCCCCTGGGATTGGCAATAACAGAGAACTGTTACCATCTCTCCAACTAAGGAGGCCAGGGGAGAGACCAGTTGTCAGAAACCAGGAAAACTGATGGCTCTTGGAGGAGCTGTGGCCCACAACAGCCCAACAGGGAGGGGACCAAGTCCTCTCCTCCTGACTCTGACCCACCCATCTCCTGCTGGTTCCTCCTATTGTCTGCATCCAATCAGAACTCAGAGGCAAGGAGGCCACTGGTGAAATTTACAAGTTGAGTCTCCCATGGGTGGAGAATAGATTTGGAGAGGCAAACAGAAAACACCCAGCACATGGACAGCCATGGGAGACATCTACTTTTTTTTGGAAACCTAATCTGCATATAGTCTCTGTTCTGGTGACATACACACTCTATGTGCTGGGGACTTGACCACTTAGCAGCAAGACGGTCATCTGACTCAGACCTGGGCAAACCCATCCATCCATCCATTCATTCATTCATTCATTCATTCATTCCAGGCATGGCACTGAATAAGAAGGATATGTCCGTGAACAAAACAGACTTCCTTCCTAATGGAGTCCAAGCAATGGGAGTGCTCCCGGAATATATGCCAAGCCAGTCATTCAGAACCTAGTTCTGGAACCTCTGTGGACAACAACAGGAAAAAAACGTTCTCTTTCTGTTGGCCTTGGAGTTGAGAGGATGCAGGTCTGGAGACCCATGAGCCAGCCAGAGGGCAGCAGAGTGAGGATGGCTTCAATCCACCCAAGGTCCGTGGTGCAAAAGCACTCCTGGCTCTAGTTGAGGGGAATATTTCTCCACCGAGCCACACCCCCCTCATCTTCCAGAGGAGATTTCCTGAGATCACCGGGATTGGATCAGGGACACGACACTTAGCATGCTGGCACTGTGATTGGGAATAAGAAGGCAGTGCTGGTTTTTTTCTGAGTAAGAACATATTACCCACACTGAGTGACCCACACGAAAACAAGGAGGAAACAATTACTTTGAAGCCTGAGGACAAGATAAATATAAACTCAGACCATAGGCTTTCTGAAGAGGAGCGGCATTAACTGGCAGCCAGCAAGAAGGGATCTGTGACAGAGCTGAGGAAACATCCGTGGCTCTGTGTGGGTTTAATGAGGCGTGCTCACGGAAGGCTGGCAGGAGAGCAGAAAAAAGCAGGCGAGGGAGGGAGGAGCTCTGGGTCTCAACCCGACTCTGCCTCTAATGGTCTCTGTGACTAGGGGTAAGTCATTTATTCCCCACTCGGGTTTCACCCTCCTCAATTGCTAAATTTAAAAAGTAGATGGCCGGGCACAGTGGTTCACACCTGTAATCCCAGCATTTTGGGAGGCCAAGGCAGGTGGATCACTTGAGACCAGGAGTTCAAGACCTGCCTGGACAACATGATGAAACATCGTCTCTACTAAAAATATAAAAATTAGCCAGGTGTGGTGGTGCGTGCCTGTAGTCCCAGCTACTTGGGAGGCTGAGGCCAGAGAATCACTTGAGCTGGAGAAGCAGAGGGTGCAGTGAGCCGAGACCATGCCACCGGACTCCAGTTTGGGCAACAGAATGAGACTATGTCTCAAAAAATAAATTAAATAAATTTAAAAACATAAAAATAAAAAGTAGATAGTTGTAAGTGGTGTTGGGGTGTGGGCACAGAGAAAGGTGAGGAAAAGCAGCAGGCAGCATTGTGGTCAGACTTCTGTGCAAGTCCTAATTCAATCTTTAAAAGCCATGTGACGTAAAGCAAGTCAATTTCTAAGCCTCAGTTTTCTCATCTGTAAAATGGGCATTACAGCACCTACCATAAGATACACAAAGATGTAAGTGATCTCCAGCACATGGGAGAAGCATGAGAAAAGCGAGGCAACATCACTGAGAAGAGATCCATCTAAAAAGGTCAATACAATGCCTTCCAGTCCAAAAGCCTAATACTTCGGGAACTAAGGCATGGCAGCACTCTTTGAAGAAGGCAGAAATTCCTTCCACTGCCAGGCTCCCTGCTGAACAACAGTGTTCTCTCACCTTGGCTTAACCACAGCACCTTTCATCCTCTCAATTTTCAGCTGTAAAAACTTTGAAAACTATTAGACCATTTGTCTGGATTTCTGGATTTGCAGGTCACGGGCATCATTGAAGATAGAGCCACCCTAGTAAAATGCAATAATAAATGCAACATTTTTCATTTAATACTGCTTTTAAGAGCATTATCTCCCTCTGTCTTACCATTGTTAATACACTGATGGAAAATTCACACAAAAAACATCCAGTGCCTGAGTCCTGATTCCTGAGACCAGACAGAGCCTTTCTTAGCCTTAAAATGCTTTCCAAGAAAACCATCATGGGGGCCAGAGAAAAGACAATGGACAGCCACACCCATCTCCACCACTGAAGCTGCCTGTGCCCTCAGAGAGTGCTCTCTGTAGATCAGAAAAATGAGAACTGTTTTCTATGTAGCCAGTAGATACAGGTGCTATTCTAGGTGTTGTACCTCAAAACAAATCTTTGATGGTCAATATTATTAGCCCATTTTAGAGATGAGAAAACTGAGGCTCAAAAATCCCGAAGTGACTTTCCAAGGCAACACAGATATTCAGCATCAGTAACAACAACTGATAAGTCCTGTAATTGAGCCCAGTACTGTCTTACCGGAAAACCTGCATTCTTCCAAACATGTCAACATGTCATCTCTTAAAGGATAAAACGAACAGCACTCCCACGTTGGAATACATGGGTACTGTCTCAGTCAGTTTGGGCTGTTATAACAAAGTACCAGAGAGTGAGTAGCTTATAAACAACAGAAATTTATTTCTCACAGTTCTGGATACTGGAAGTCCAAGATCAGGGTGCCAGCATTGCTGGGTTCTGGTCAGGGCCCTCTTCTGGGGTGCAGACTGACACCTTCTCCTTGTGGTCTCATATGGTGGGCAGAACATGGGAGATGGGAGAGGGCTCTGGGGTCTCTTGTACAAGAGAGCACTAATCCCATTCTTGAAGATTCTCCCCCATGACCTAATCACCTCCCCAAAGCCCCACCTCCTAATACTATCACACTTGGAGTTAGGACTTCAACATATGAATTTTGGAGGGATGCATTCAGTCCATAACAGGTTGCCCACCCAAGGGAAGGAATATTTGGGTGGGTAAGTCCCGATGTGCCTTAGAAAACATCACTGCAGTGTCATGGACACAGATGATGAGGGTCCATCCACCTTCTGGGCTGCCACAGCCAGAAGACCAGCCTGGCGACATCTGCAGCTTGCCCTTTTCCCTTGAGCCAGAAACATCCAGCACCAGGACTTGATGTCTCCTCGGCTGACACCCGGAAGTGTGTGGGCTGTGTTCTTTTTTCAAAAGATAGAGATGAACCAGATCCCAGGCAGCACATAAGGGAGGTCACTGTGGTCAGAACAGACTCACGGAGGGAAGAATCCTCTGGGAAAGCATAAGTGTTTATTTAACTGCTTTATGCTTCAGTGAATAACTAATTTGTACCAAACCCCAGTGTTCTTGAGGTGTGTTGATAAATGATGTTGCAAAAGCAACATGTTTCTGTGCTTTCCATGTGTTTTGCATTTCTGGAGTCTGTGAGGAGAGTCTCTAACTGGGGCTCTAGATGCTGGGAAGCACTGCACAGAGGGCCCCTGGGTTTCTCTCCTCGACCTCGGTCACTCCAGCTCCCAGACCAGCACATAGTAGAGATGTAGAGATGCAAAAAAAACAAAAAACAAAAAAGTTGCTTGGGTTGACATGAAATACATTTAAATTTTAATCCCCAAAGTAAACATGATTTGAAAGGTAAACAGGAAGGCATGACTGGCATATACCAGGAGGAGTTTGAGCAGGGGATGTGGGGCAGAGGTGAATGTTTAAACGGCTCATACAGTCAACCTGCAAACATTAGGAGGGCTTTGCTGTGTTTTCTAAATTTTCTGGTTAGATAAGTGTATGTGCAGATGTAATACACAGTCTTGTGTTCCAATTATCTCTACATATGAATAATATATTTTAAGATATTTGATGACTAAATATATTCATGCATGTGAGGGGCACATAGAAGCTCTCAGGAAAATGGTAGCAGTCTGGGCCCAAGAAAACGTCTAGGAAAATGAAATTCCAACAGTTCATCACAAATTGTTCGATAAGAAGTCTCAAGAAGCCAACGCTGGGAAATGGGAAAGGCTCCCTCATAACTACCAGCTGACAAAAGGAACAGGTGACACGAGGTGCTGGCAGGAAACATTTTTAAAAGTTCTTCAAATCTACAGGAAGAGCGCAGAGGAGCAGAGGAAAGACAGGTTATGACCAAAATGATGCTGCCTGACCTAGGGTGTGTGGGTCGGGGGAACAAAATGGGGGATTCACTTGGGGCAGATGGTGGGTGGTAACAGATGACAGGTGAAAGTGGTCTTTTTTTTCTTTTTTAACCTCAACTGGTGGTTCTGTCTTCAGCAAAAACAATGTGTTCCAAAGGAAAATGAGGAACAAACCTCCGTAAGCAGGAACAAGTTGGAACATATGAAAGATCCTACCAGGATGCGAGACACTGGCCTAGATGAACCCTCCACCTGGATCTGGCTGCAGAATCACACAGGAAATTTATCTTTTAAAACAGATAATGGGAGAGACATCTGGATCCTGAAGATGGGCAAATACAGACTTCATTTTCCAAAGGGAGCCAGGATGGGCCAGGTTCAAATCCTCATACTAGTTCCAATGTTACAGGCTTTCCGTCTCCCTTCCTCTTCTGGTGGGATCATGAGGCCTCTAGTGCTGGGGCTGCACCATCAGTGTTAGAAAGAGAGAAAGGTTATACCCTCCACTCAGAGCTACAGCCTTTCTACCCAGATGCCTGGTCAGTGCCTCCACCAGCTCACACCAACAATGACTGCCTGCCAACACCAGATTTCACCTCCAAACTGGCTTGGATTTCACCTCCAAACTGGCTCATTCCAGGATCGCCCTTCTCAGGAAATGACACCACCATCTAATGCAGTTGCTCCAATCAGAGACCCACGAGCCATCCCTGACTCTTCCCTTCTCTTTATCTGCACATTGACTTCCAGAATAAATCCAGAAACCTCTGTCTTCCCTTCACTTCCATGCCTAGAACTCAAGTCCAGCCACCACCACCACTCACTGCATCACTCCAGTGATCGCTGACCTGGTTCCCCACTAAGACTCAGCAGAGCCGCCAGAGGGACAGCCTCAAAGCATATGTTTTGCATTATATTTAAATCTAAACTCTCTATCCTGCAGGTGTGCCTCTGCAAACCCACCTGCTACTGTTCTCCCAACTGTGCATCACATTCTAGCTCCTCTGGCCTTCCTTTAGTTCCTGGAACACGCAAGCTTTCCTACCTCAGGATCTCAGGACACGTGATCCTCCAAGAAATAAGTTCTCTTCCACCAGCTGCACCCGCCCCCAGCACTGGGCCTGACTGGCTCCCCTTCCGGCAGCTGTATCTCAGGGACGCCTCCTCCCACGACTCTCCATATAACTAAGCACTTCATTTCCAAATCCTAATGCATAATTATTTGTCCATTTACTTGTCTGTCTGCCTCCGCAACTAGAGAGTCAGCTGCCTGAGAGAGGAAATGATGGATCCGTAAGCTTAGGCCTGAAGAAATCCTCAGGATAGACAGTGGAGGGAGAGAGGGGTGAGAATTTCAGGTACAAGAAATTGCATGAGTGAAAACACAGCCATGGAACAGCACACATAGAGAGGAGCAGGTCCTGAAGGAGGGCAGGAAGGAGATGGGGTTGGAGATGTAGGCAGAGGAACCAGGAGACCTCAGATGGCTAGACTGGGAGCCCCTTCCCAAGACGCACACATTGCTAAAATGCCAATCCCCTCTCCAGGGAGAAGCCAGAATTAATTGTTTGATGTGGTCTGACAAAATGGGTATTACCATGTAATTACCACCCCCCACCACCACCCCTCTGCCACCTGTTGAGAGGAGGGTAACACAGTGTGTATGTCATCTGGAGGACACAGCAGCTTCCAAGACAGGTCACTATTGCCAGTAAGGACCAAAGGGAACCATTTCTGAGAAACGACAATAAAGTTGCCCACCAAACAGGCATTGGTGTTCCAGGACTTTAACCCAATCCCATTGAGTTGGGTCCACATTCTAGCAACCTCTCTTCCTTCTGGACCTCCAGAGTGGGCAGAATTGAGCTTCCTCCACAAAATGGCAATACTTACTCCTGAACATCCATCATCTGAAAAGGCAGGAAGGGGCAATGGTTAAGAGCATAGACTCAAGCCAGACTCCTGGTTTGGCCACTCTATGGCCATAAGAGATGGCCACAAAACAGTTACTTAACCTCCCCATGGGGCCAAGTCTTCGTCTGTAGCATGAGGTCACTAACAGCTTCTATCTCACAGGGCTGTTGTGAAGATCCGATGAGCAAATCACTAACAAAGGAAGGCACATTTATCCCCACTGTGCAGTTGGGTAAACTGGAGTTCAGAGAGGTGAGTAATTCAGCCGAGGTCACACAGCTGTAAGTGGCAGAACCAGTGCAGTCCCATCCCAGAGCCCCACGCTCCTGACCTTTGAGCCACAGCGACCTGCTCAGCTTTCAGGTGGAGCCTCACCCGGATGGCCCCACCATACAGTATGGAGACCCCAGCACACAAGCAGCTCTGAAGGTGGTTCCAGGACACTGAGTAAAGCGTATTGTACTTCAGCTTAGTTAAGTATAACCACATCCTGAGCACAACCAAAACTAGGTCAAAAAAATTATTTCTGGGATTTAAAAAAAAACAAAAGCTGCAGGACTATCTTAAATGTTTCTCCCATAACTTGCAGCTGAATGATCTCAAATGAAAAGCTTGATACTCTTCTTCCCCACCATGTCACATCGCTGTGGCTGACTGGAATGAACTGGTTCCGAATGGCAGCCCACACCCCTCCCCCCGCCACATAGCTGGCTTTCTCCAAGCACAGCAAAGTGAACTAGGGACAGAATCAGCTGCTGCCTCTGAGGGGCGCAGACACACAGCTGTTCTGCCTCTGTCGCCCATTCCACAGAATAGACGTGCCCCCCACCCCAGCCCTTCCTCCCTCTGTCTCACTGCCCTCCAGCCCCTACCCCTCTCCAAATGTCACAAGTACTTGACAATTCCAGTCTCAACAGCTCCAAAAACTCTAACCTCTACCTTTGGTCACTCTGTGTTCCCATTTTGTACTCCCATCCCCCCAACCCTCTCATTCGACAGATGAGGAAACTGAGGCCCAGAGAGCAAAATAGATTGTTTCAAGTCCCACAGTCCATTGGTGGCAGACCAGGGCAAGAGCCCAGGGCTCTGGGGACTCAGGCTGGTCATCTTCCTGCCTCATCAGGAGAAGGTCCTAGGGACACTTGGGTGGTATTCATTTCCTGGGGTTCTCTTAACAAATTAACACAGACTTGGTGGCTTCAAACCACAGGAACTTATGTGTCACAGTTCTGGAGGCAGAGGTCTGCCATCAAGAACTCATCAGGGTATCACTCCCTCCGAAGGCTCTAGAGGAGAGCCCTTTCTTGCTTCTTCCAATTTCTGGTGACATCAGGTGTTCCTGGGCTTCTGACTACATAACTCTAATTTCTGGCCCAGTCTTCACATCATCTTATCCCCCTCTCTCCATGTGTCTCACCAAGGACAAGGACACTGTCACTGTATTTAGAGCCCACCAGGTACATCCAAGATGATCTTATCTTCCGATCCTTAATTATATCCACAAGGAGTCTTTTACCAAATAAGTTCATATCCACGGGTTCCAGTGTTTAGGACACCAATATGTTTTGGTTGGTCATCAGTCAACCCACTATAATGAGTTTCTTCCTGGGGATTCCCAGTGCCTTTGGAAATCAGGAATTTGTGAGGACCATGGTGGGTAAAGACCCTCAGATCAAAGTTACATCAGCCCACACAGTGGAGCTCGTGGATCTGCAGCAATGACCTGCCCCCAACTGGACGCCAATACATATAGTCTCAGGAGAGTCACTGGGATACAGAATGCCAGAATAAAGAGAAGAGCTGCTATTTATAGAAGGCGTAGTGGGTAACAGGCAAGCTGCTAAATCATTATACACATTGCCTTTCATCCTTACAGACACTCTGTAATGTAAGTAGCAAGTAAACTCCATCAATTACTAGCTGGGTGCCTTGAGACAAGTAAATTCTCTAAGCCTCAATTTCCTCACCTTAAATGAGTAATAATACGATCTGCATTGAGAGGATCTTGTGAGATAAAGAAGAAAATGTATGGGAAATGCCTAGCACAGTGGCACACACAGACACACACAGTACGAACTGATATCATCATTACTCCTCTCTTTATTCAGTGTCACCATCTGGTTTTTTTAAATCAATGTTATATCTCCTTTCATAACAGCCACGACCCCAAAACCTTCTTAGGGTGTAAACAGTAGTTATATACTTGGAGTGTTATTTTACATGCACGCAGGAAGTTTGTTGTTTCAAGGAACTCCTGGGGGACTCCTGCTGTAAGGCTTAAGATCCTCCGGCAGCATGAATATGAATCTGCCAAGGTATCTACTCTACTCATTTGTATTCATGGTCATGTTCTAATTATTTAAGTGGGGCACAACTCCTGTCAGCTCAATGAATCTGTGTTTTCCAGTCTTGGCTGTATTCAGTCCCACTGACTGGTTACCTCATTCTCTGATTCTAAGACAAAGCCTGAATTAATTTAGAATATTTTGGTTCTCCCAACCACTACAACATGACAGTACAAAGGGAAATTTTGAAGAAAATGAATTCTATTGTTAAAACAATGCCCAGGTGCAAAGAAATACAAATGCAGACACACACAGAGAAGAACCACTTGCTCACATTTGATTCCACAAGCTTTTGGCAGGAGCCTGCATGGCGGGTGGGAAAGATCACAGGCTTTGGAGTCCAACAGCCCTGGGTTCAAATTTCAGCTCTCCCTATCCCAGTTGTGGTGTAAGGCCTAAAGTTAAGGATCAATATGGCGGGCTGCCTTGACATCTGGTGAAACTGGCAGGGCCTCAGATGGCCTAACTGAAAGTTCCCCTCCCTCCTCCGCTCCCATGGATAAGGCCCTCAGGCAAACAACCCTACCCATCATGACACCGGCCATGGTTCCTGCTTATCCCTAAATAGCGTGTTTCAGTTCCTCCTCCAACAGAGTTGTTAAAATAAGCCAATCAGATCCTCTTGTGGGAACCAGGGGGCACCCCCGCCAGTAAGCCTGCCTCTCACAGCCTGGTTTGCTCTCTGTGATCCCACATGCAATCCTCATGGGGACCAGCATGGCACGCAGTGTCCTCCCCCTGGGGCTGTGAGTATATGTGAAGAATAAACTATCGATCTCCCCCGTCCAGTGTCAGGTGTCATAGGTGCAGCCAATCCCATATCCCATAACTGTAGGGTGAAATCCTTCCCTCACCAATGGAATGATTAAAGCACCAGCTGGTGTGCTGTATGAACTTTGCCATTCTCTGACCAATGGTTTTATCAATTTCTCCAAGGAAGAATAAAAACTTCCTTGCCAAGAACCAAAACACAAATTCCTATGGTCTCACTACAGGTACTCCCTGGTCCCCCAAAATAAACATTAAAGCAAGGAGATAAATAACCCTTGAGAGTGGATGGTTGATACATTCCCTCCCACTTCCTCACTTTCATGCATAAACAACACTTACATTCCTAAGAAGGGATAGGCTAGATCCCTTCTAACTCTAACATCATATGTGTTATTATTATTAACTAGTGGACAGTAGGGCACAGATTAAGACTATAAAGCTATCTACCTAAGAAACACAAACACATCAGCAAGAGAGTGGTGCTTGGTGCAGGAAGGGCAAAAAGAATGCATCTCACATGCAGAATCTAAATGATTGTTGCTGCCCCCTAAGCACTGTCTTGAGAAGGGTCCAGCAGCAGCAGGTCATGATTGATTAGTGATGCCTATGATTGATTTGTGATGTCTGCCATGGGCAGGGGTGTGGGCCAAGACAGCAGGCTGATGGCAGAGGTGCCCTTCTGCCTCTATGGGAGTAAGAGTACCAGTCTTGCACACAGAGCCCTAGGGTTCTAGTCAGTCTCCTTCTAGGCACCTCAGTCTCTGTCTGTAAAATGAGATAAATGAACTGATGATTTCTGGGATCTTACCCTCCTCTTTCTTGCCTGGTCTCCTTTAACGTAAGGAGTCACATCATGGTGAGGGACCTGGATGGGGTCACTGACCTCAGGAAGGAGAGAGAAGAAACCATACAGACCATGCTTTTGGCTAATTGTGTTTTTTTTCTGCCTGATAAACACTTAAAATCCTACCAGGTCTGACCCCAAAGAAAGTCTCAGAAGCAAAGGAATTGCTGTAAGCTGCATTTGCTCTCTGCAACAGCAATTTAAGATGTAAAAATAACAGCCTTTGTTCCAGCAAGGCCTGGGATCTGGGCAGCAAAACCAAAGAAACCAAGGCCTATGCTGGGGCTCTGTGTGGGCTCTCTCCAGAATTACCTGGTGAGGTGGAGCTCCCCAGCTCTGCCACAGGCAAGAGGAAGACCGGGGGTAAAGCCACAACCTCTTCTCCAAGGAGCAACTGAAACAGCAGCTGAGCACAGGAAGAGAAAATGGCCCAGGTTGGTGTCTCTTCATAAAGAGGCCCAGATCTCTTTTCAATAAAATGGCCTTTAATCGCTTTAAAGATTTTATTAAAAATTCCCCATGGACCAATTATCGGCAATGCTTCCTAGCCACGATCTATCTAGCAATCATACCCAAGTCTTATGCCTTCGCCTGCAGATGCTCCCGGGCCTGCTGTCTCTCCTTGTCTTCCCAGTGCATCAGTCTCTGTGTCTCTGATTCTGATTATGTATATGTCCCCATCTCAGGCCTTGTCCCTCTGCAACTCTGTCTCTCTCGACTTCTCGGTCTCTGCACCTCTGCTCTCTCAATACCCATCTTCCTCTTTGAAACTGTCCTCCTCTTTTTCTCCATCTGGCACACTCTGTCTCTCTCTTTGTGCCATTCTCCTACCACCCCCTCCTCTTTAAGATCTTCTTTTTCTCTAGACAGAGTCCTGCTGTCTAGGCATTCTTCTCATTCTTTCTGCCTTAAAGAAGTCTTTTCCAACATGAAATGCCTGCTGTAGCCAGACAAAAATTCTTTGGAAGCACACCCTCTCAACCACTTTTGCATAAGGCAACTTATTTGAAAAACATTATTACCATAATTAACAAAAACAATTTAAAACCGCAATCAGCCTCTGGTCCCTGGAAGCAGCACATAGAAATTAGTCAGTATTCTCTCCTTGCCCCCAGAACCCAGGAGAAAATTCACACACACACACATACACACACATACAGAGAGAGAGAGAGCACTTTCTACCCTTCACTACAAATGGTGAACACTTAAAATGCTACCAAATTTGTGATTTCTTTTATTAGGTTTTAAAAATATAAGATACAGCAAGCTATACCTCTGTTAAACTGTATACGTACATTTACATTTTATAAAGCTATTTAGCATATGCCTCGCCAGGAGCACTACTTAAGTGCAGTTTAGAGCACCTTTCCAGTTGGCACAAAATTATATTCACTCAGTTACATAAGCAGATATTAAGCATCCATTGTTTGGGGGAGGTTGACATATGAAAAAGAGACCACCCTTCCTCTAAAGGTATGTAAACACTGAGGGAGGAAACAAACCTCCAAACAGAACATCACGTATAATAAAGGTAGTAATAGAAGGGACACCTGAGGGAGGTAAGCAGGAACGACACAATGACTTCCAAGCTTAGTTCCCGAAGGACGGGATAGCCATTCCAGACCATCAACTAGGGGAAGACATTGGCACTTGGAGCAATGCCAAACTTTGAATTAATGCTTTATATTTTTCAAAACATTATTTGTAAGTACCTTCCCCAGCATTCATGTTTTGATCCTCATAAGCACAGTGCCAGGCAGGTTGCAGGCACCTGATGCAAGTTTGTCAACCACTAATGAAGAAGTGGATGACCTGGTCATCTCTGGGTGAGCAGGCATCTTGTCTCCTTATCATTGCAGGCTTAACAGCTAGCCCATGGGTGGTTCCAAGTGCACCTCCCATACATGTGCACTGAATGAATCTCTGGGCGAGGCAGAACTGGAGGCATCAGTAGCTCTATATGACAGATGATAAAACTAAGACAGAAAAGATAATCCCATGGCCACGGTCATCTAGCTAATTAGGAAAGCTGTTGAAAACAGATGAGCATTCATCCACTCTGAGATTCCATCCATCCAATACATGCATTATTCTCTTAAGCATTTCTAGATCCATCTCAAAGTTTTACCTCGCTGTCATGTCAATAAATAGAAGAAGAAAGAGCCCTAAGAATGAGAGTTTTCTGGCTGGGTGCAGTGGCTCACGCCTGTAATCCCAGCACGTTGGGAAGCCAAGGTGGGTGGATCACCTGAGGTCAGGAGTTCGAGACCAGCCTGCCCAACATGGTGAAACCCTGTCTCTACTAAAAATACAAAAAATTAGCCAGGCGTGGTGGCAGATGCTGTAATCCCAGCTATTCGGGAGGCTGAGGCAGGAGAATCCCTTGAACCCAGGAGGCGGAGGTTGCAGTGAGCTGAGATCGTACCACTGCACTCCAGCCTGGGCAACAAGAGGGAAACTCCTTCTCAAAAAAAAAAAAAAAAAAAAAATAGAATGACAGTTTTCCAATCACCTTACCTAGAGTTCCTCTGCTCACACCTTAGACCACTTCCAGAATCAAGTGCTCTAGTTCATTCATTCATTCATTCATTCAAAAAGTGTTTTCTCATTCTCAGACACCTACTCCCTCCCACACCCTGGGCCAAGAACTGGGCAGAGAGGCCTAGGGGTTGCCCTTTCCCTGAGCAGCTGACTGTCATTCCAAAACCATCTCAACCAGAGAGGCCTCTTGGTTCTTTCATGAGCTGTCTCTTCACAGAAATTATGTTTAGTGTGTGCTTTAGATTTAGATTTCCACCCAGATCTTCCTGTATAAGCATCAGGTGAAGTTAGTTTAACAAAGACTAGCCTCGTTCCCATCCAAGACCAAGTAAATAATAATCTCTAAGGTGAAGAAAAGATAAAAATGGGGCATTAGAAATTTTAAAAGGGCCCAAGCAATTCTCACAAGCAGGCCCTTCAGAAGTGACCAAACCAAGCATTTCTGTCATGTCTCAATAATGTGGTAGAGAAAGGTCACTGAGTCAGGAGCCAAAGGTCCCTGTGCCAGCCCTGGGTGTCCCACCAACCTGCTACATGATGTTGAGCAGGTCATTTCCTTCCACTGGGCTCCATTTTCTCCTGTGTGAAATCAAGTGTTGAGCTAATGGATCCATCAGCGGGGCCTTCCCGACTGTCCTAGACCATGAGTCTGTGCAAGTTCTGATCCATTTTTAAACCACTCCTTTCCTGAAGATGAACTTCTGCAGCAGTGAGGAAACCGGTCATCACCAGGAGTTCCTCCCCATGCAGACAGACAATGAGTCTATTTCGGAAACAGAAAGTGTTTGCTCAGCGCAGTGTACCTCTCCCTACAGGACAGAAACGGGAAGATATTTCCATTTAAACTCTCAAAAGCTAATAAATGAACACATCTCAGTGGTGGTTCCGTTTGTCCTTCCTCAACACCTTCCAACATGTTTGTCCCTGATGTCTCCTTGGGACGTCAGTAAAAGGGGGCTCAATAGAGTCGCTCAGCATTGCTGTTCCTCAAGCGTCCATATCCTTCTCTGGCTGCCAACCTGGGGGTTCACTCACTCCTTCCAATTTTCCCTTCTCCCAAGAATACGCTGGACAATGGCAATCTCCTGGTAATCCCCTGGCTTTGTGTCTAAGAGCAGCTCCTCATCTTCCATCTTTGATTGCACTAGGCTCCAGAACCTTCTCCAAGCAGTGCCAAGCCCAGCTCATCCCAGCCTCCTGGAGGCCTCTTGCATCCCTTGAAACCCCAAACACCACGCATCAGGACCCATGTTCCCTACTCTCCCTAGGAGAGTTTGTCCTTGTCACTGATGTGGACCATTCCCATGTGTCACTAGCCGGGGAGAGGATCTCCCTTCCCTCCTGCTGCTACTCACATCAGAATCACATTGTCCCACAGGATCTGGAGGCACTGGGGATGGTAAGAGTGAGTCTTTCAGTTCCAGGCTTGATTCTTGCTGCAACGTTCCAGTAAAACGCCCATCCAGATTCCACCTCCTCAGAGTCGGGGGACACACAGGCATCCCTGGCCAGCTCTGGTCTCTAGGGAGGTCGGTGATGTCCCTGAATCTCCTGGGCCAGCTCATCTCAGAGCTCAGAGCTCAGCGGGAGTCTATCCAGAAAGGCAGGGCCAGCCTCTTCTGTCTCACTGACCCATGGAGCCTGGCTCACCTGAGAGAGGACCCCATGTAAACATATGTATGGGTTGAACTGTGGTTGGTGTGGTCCTTACCAGGTGGCTCCAGGGCCCCCAGACTGGGAGAAGACAGAAATAAACAGTGCTTTCAGGGTGAAACATCTGGGGATTCTTCACTGTCATGGCCTTATTGAAATTGTTTTCATCGTTCCCGCTGGGACCTAGACAAGCAACTCCCTGGGTAGTATCCCAACTTACATGGAGATCCCAGACAGAAGCACACTTAGGCCAGCCCTGTGCTCCCCACCCAGGCACCTGCTGAACTCTTTCCATCCATGATCTTTGACTGGGTCCGGGGGCCTGGATTCACACCTCATTGATAAAACCTAACTGCAGCCTTGTGCAAGTGTCCTCACAGCTCTAGGCATCAATATTGGCTTCTCCAAAGCAATTTAAAGCACATCTCCCTCAGAGGGTTGTTATGAGGGATCATTGAGAACCACAGGTACAACACTTTCTGATTTCATTTAACTGAATTTGATGCTTGTCCAAAGTTTTCCTATTAATTCTCCATTGACTCAAAACAGAAATTCACATCCCCAGGGGACCACTTCATACTTGTCATCATATCAGCAGCACCTGGGATGGGATGGGGCACTTGGCAGGCCCTCAGTGCACGTTTGCAGAGTGAATTGGAATCGAATTAATCAGGATCAGGGAAATAATCCATGGCAACTCAACTCTCCAGTGGTAGAGATATGACCAGCTAAGACATCTAGGGCCTAAGGCAGAAAATGAATACGGCAAAAAAAAAAAAACCTGGAACATAACAAAACTATGATCTGTCAAAATATTGGACAATGTTTTCAAGTCCAGAGGTTAAAACAATCAAAAATGTATTAAATACATTAAAGTTGAACACTCTGGGTTGAAGGACATGCACAATTTTCTGTATTCCAGTATAATAGCTTCACTAGCCTCCTAACTCATCTCCTTCCTTAAGAGGCTTGCCTTTCCATTCCAAACTCGACTCCACAGGCAGAGTGACCCTTCCAGTGCAAAGCCAGTTCTCTCACTCCACTGCTGAAACATTCCCTACTCTGTTAACAGGACTTAGGACTCCATTCATCATCTAGGTCCTGCCTACTTCTTCCCCCTCACATCCTATCTCTGTCATCCACTCTGGACACACTGCACTTACCAAGCAATATTGCAATCCTTCACTTAAAAATGCCTGTCTTCTTCACCAGAATAAAAGCTTCACGAGGGCAAGAATTAGTAGGATGTCTTTCTTGTGCCAGGCACAGGTCAAGAGCTGAAGGAGAATTTGGTGAACAAATGCCCCAGTTCATGCTAAGAATAATTTGCCACCACTTGAAGAGAACACACAAACAGACACGGCAACTACATAACGCCAAATTCTGGGTTAGATAAAATCACAAATGGTCTTTCCTACATGGTAGATGAAGAATCCCCATTCTGAGTTATCATAATTATTGACCTGTTCAATGCCCAAAGAAATTGGGGTCAAAGAATCTTACCATATTGGAGGAGAATTGGAGGAGGCCTCCTGAATTCTCCAGGAGGTTACCTCATACTTTATTGTGAGTGTCTGGATTGGAAATGTCCTAGAAGTCAACCCCACTCATCTGGATCATTAGCCCCTCCCAGTTCAACCCCACTCATCTGGATCATTAGCCCCTCCCAGTTCCTAATTCAATGAAAAGCCACCACTAGCCATTCTGTTCATGAAAAACAACCCCTGACTGATGTGTGAGTTTGTTCTGACCCAGCAGAGAAGGACTGGGAACAGCCAGATGTTTCTCCATTTCCTTTTGTATCTGCTTTCTTTTCAATCCAACAAGAATGTGTTCATCTCTGACCGCAGACACAGCATTCTCATTTCTGAAAATCGCCATGGAGAAATCAACGCCAAGGCCAACACATGTGGGAGTGCTGGATGCTGCCTTTGTGGAAGTTTAGGGCAGCTTATGAGAGTGTACTGAATTGATGATTGCTTTATTTTTGTTAGTATAGATTTTAAAAATAAACTAATAGGCTGGGCACGGTGGCTCACACCTGTAATCCCAGCATTTTGGGAGGCCAAGGCAGGCGGATCACCTGAGATCAGGAGTTCGAGACCAGCCTGGCCAACATGGCAAAAACCCATCTCTACTAAAAGTACCAAAATTAGCTGGATGTGGTGGTGCACACCTGTAATTCCAGCTACTCAGGAGACTGAGACAGGAGAATCACTTGAACCCAGGAGGCGGAGGTTGCAGTGAGCCAAGGTCGTGCCACGGCACTCCAGCCTGAGTGACAGAGCAAGACTCCATCTCAAAACTAAGTAAATAAATAAAATAAAAAATAATAATAGGCCGGGCACGGTGGCTCATGCCTGTAATCCCAGCACTTTGGGAGGCCGAGGCGGGCGGATCACGAGGTCAGGAGATCGAGACCATCCCGGCTAAAACGGTGAAACCCCGTCTCTACTAAAAATATAAAAAATTAGCCGGGCGTAGTGGCGGGCGCCTGTATTCCCAGCTACTTGGGAGGCTGAGGCAGGAGAATGGCGTGAACCCGGGAGGCGGAGCTTGCAGTGAGCCGAGATCCCGCCACTGCACTCCAGCCTGGGTGACAGAGCGAGACTCCGTCTCAAAAAAAAAAAAAAAAAAAATAATAATAATAATAAACAAATATTTCCATGATATTTTTAAGTTGCTAATTTGTGGTCAGTCTTTCCATCATCCATCTCCTCCTCTGTTTTTCTTTGTAGGTTTTATCACTGCTTAACATACTATTAACATTGTCTTACATTTTATATCTATCACCTGCCTGCCACTCCTAACTAGAATGTACAATCTATGAATGAAGAGGTTATTTTTTCTCTTTTGCTCACAGATCTATTCCAAGCACCTAGAACAGTGGCTGGCACATAGTAGATGCTGGAAAAATACTTTCTGAATGAATGAGTCAGTTCATGTGGTCAACCTTCTCAGGTAGGTATTTTTATCTCCATTAGATAAAAGAGAAAATGGAGGCTTAGAGAAGTTAAACTATTTTTGGAGATGATGCCCCAAACTCAAAAGTTTTAAGCAAAATCAAAATGATGTGAATGCAGGAAACTTCAGAGCCATCTCAGATAAGACCAGGAGCTTATAGGACGCTAGAGAGCAATAGTTAGACATGGGCAAGGAAGAATCATGTAGTCAGTATCAAATGTTGTCCACTATGGATGGCAAATGCTGAAAGAGGTAAGAGAAAAATGGATTTGTGAGCCATGGAAACAACAGAAGGCCTCAGAAAGGAGGTGACCCCGGAAGAGGCTGCCTCTTAAAGGCTAGGTAGGGGTCATTATTACTTGAAACCAATTTGAACCTCTGTAAATTTTTCTGAGTCTGAACAGTTTCTGGCCCCAAAGTTCAGCTCTCTTAAACCTATAGCCTACCATAGAAAGGATTCATTCATTCTATACACATTTACTGAGCAGCCACCTAGGTCAGGGGTGCTGCCTCAGTGCTGAGCATGCAAGGATGAACCAGCACAGGCCTGGGTGGGGGACAGCAGCCCCTACACTGACAGTTAAGAAAGGATGTGAGAAGTTCAAGGAGCATGCCCAGGACCTCCTGGACCCAATGCTCCCACTGATCATTATTCTCTTTGTTTTATTTTATTTGATTATTTATCAGTGTATTCACATTTACAGACACAATAGATGCTCAAATATTCTGTGGAATGTAACAGTGAGTAAAGGAATGGTACAAGAACAGGTCTGGGGTCGTTCCAGCAACTGAAGCTCAGAGCCACCGTGCCAGCCGACCAGTTCAGCCAGAGGCGGGGAGGGATCTCCTTACAGCTAAGGAACTAAAGCTCAGAGAGCTTAAGGAATCACTCAGCAAGCATGGGAATCAGGATATTAACCTCCATCTGTGCGACCTTAACCTCTGTAGACTGCCTTTGGTGCATTCAATTTTCAAAGCACCTTTGGGGGATATGTTTGTTATCTCTGCTTTATTGATAAAGGAGCTGAGAGTAATTAGCCCAAAATCAAACTGCGTTCAAACCTAGACCGAGTAGTGAACAGGAGCTCAAGGAAGTAGCGAGAGAGCAAGCATAGACCATTTTTTTCTTCTTTTCCAAATTAAAATTTATATTTATATTTATTTAATTATTTTATTTTATTAAGATGAGGTCTCACTATGTTGCCCTGGCTGGTCTCAAACTCCTGATCTCAAACAATCCTCCCAAAGTGCTGGGATTACAGGTGTGGGCCACCATTTTTTCAAGAACCTCAGGGCGGAAGGCTCTCAGCCTTTATTCACCCCCTAGTCTTGTCCTCATCATTTGGCATTGCAGCCAAGTTTGTATTGCCCCGCCAGCTTCCACGGTCCTGCCCCAGCTCTGCCAGGGTTGGCCCCTGAAAGAGAGGCAGTGTCCAAATTTATTAAATGGCTTTTTTAAAACATCTCATAATGATTACATATTTTTCCATGAAATTTCCTTGCCTTCATTCCAGGAAAAGCATTAATTATGGTCTATAATCAAGATTTTCATGTAATATGCACTCTGTTGACATAATGCCAGATAAAACAACCTTTTTTGAATTAATGTAGTTTCTTAGTTTTTAATTAACTTTAATGTGGAGAAGGGAATTATCAATAAAATTGTAAATACTTAGGTTTGGAAATGAACCTTAATTTTCACATTACCACATTGAAACACTATAAGAGAGTTACATATATAACCTGTTATATCACAGAAGATGCTATAAAATTTTTTAACTTGATCATATAAATCACCATCACTAATAAACATTTTCAATATTTCTTAAGCAGTATCTAGATCCATGCGGAATACCTCAAGTTCTTTTGAATTTTAATGCTTGTACATTATGAGAAAAACTGAAAACAGCAGTATGTTGTTCGACTTTGTTTAAATCTCTCTTCAAATGATACCATACCTTACCTTACAATGAATGAAAAAACAGCTTCTGTAGACACTAACTAGTTTGGGGATTATTTGTACAGGAATCTTCTTCAGGCCAGGCAAATATTTTTGTTTCTTTGTTTCAATGTCCTTATATTTTACTGGAATTTCATTTTTGCTATGTATTTCACGTGAGGTTTTGAGTTTGTTTCTCCACACTTTTAAAGACTCATTTTTAATCCTTAAGAAGTAAAATAGCCAAACTGAAATAATTTTTTAAATTGTGCCAGGAGGATCAGGAAGCCACAGAGAAAACCCTTGGTAGTGGTTAGTTCTCCCTGGGCTCAGTCCTCAGAAGGTAGGGCTGGAAGGGACCTTTTGGGGGTCGCAGATTTCCACCCACTTACTCCAGGCAGCCCAGGTGTCTCTTGTCTTTGGCCTGCTGTCATTTTCAGGACAGGCTTTTCAGGAGTTGGACTAATCTTTTGTGCCAGTTTGCTTCTCTTAAGAGTGGGGTGGTGGGCCGGGCGCGGTGGCTCACGCCTGTAATCCCAGCACTTTGGGAGGCCGAGGCGGGCGGATCACGAGGTCAGGAGATCGAGACCATCCTGGCTAACACGGTGAAACCCCGTCTCTACTAAAAATACAAAAAATTAGCCGGGCGAGGTGGCGGGCACCTGTAGTCCCAGCTACTCGGGAGGCTGAGGCAGGAGAATGGCGTGAACCCCAGGGGGCGGAGCCTGCAGTGAGCCGAGATTGCGCCACTGCACTCCAGCCTGGGCGACAGCGAGACTCCGTCTCAAAAAAAAAATAAAAATAAAAAATAAAAAAAATAAAAAAAAAGAGTGGGGTGGTGTAGGGGACAGGCCTAAGGTTTTAGTTCTGGCATCCACTCATGGCTGGTCTCTGTGCCTCAGTTTCCAAAAATATGAGATGGGGACAGTGGTTCCTCTCCTGCCTCCCTTGCAGGTGAACATGGAATACTGAATGTGCCTGTTCTTTGAAAAGCTAAGTGTCTATTTCTAACATTTAATGTATTAATTTAGTTTACACATAGAAATTTAATACTCTGCATATGTGTTCATTTAGAAATATTTCTAATTTGCCATACTCGTTTGGTGAAACCATTTATTCTTTGATATCACTGTTTCTGATGCCTCTATACACTCTAATTCCTCAACTCAGTTTTCCAGAGCATCCTGTATTCTCATGCACCGTATTTTCATACATCTAGGTTGCTTGGGAGAGATACATCTTTTGAAGCCATCCGTGATGCTGTCACTGAAAACTCTGTCCCAGGCCCCAAATACCCATCCATCTTTGAGGATCCTTACACTATAACCACTAACTCTACTGAGGTTTTTCTTTCATAGATCTTTAAAATAATTGTTCACAGCAGTTTAACTTGCATTTGTAAGAACATTGCCCCAGGAAAAATGATTTAATCCATTAAGCAGCTTTGTGTGTGTGCATGAAGCCAATTCCATTGAGTGACTGCTACAAGTGTCTAAAACTAGCACTACTATGTTTATATCACAGGCAAATGTGCCCCTTCCTCAAAGAACCTGTTGTAACCTGTTGTCACAAAATAAAACAACTGAGATGGTGCCACATAATAAAAATTTTGTAAGGACTCAATTATTAGGTGATTCTTCTTATGAGAAATACATTTAGGAAAAACTGCTTTCTATTATAAGGTGATTCTTCTTATGAGAAATACATTCAGGAAAATTTGCTTTCTATTCAAGTCTGTATTATATAAGACTAGAATTCCTGCCTCTTTCAGGTCCTCAGATACACTGAAGTCTCCTTCTGACATTTGGACCAAGCTGTCTCAATCCTTGGAGCTCCTGGGCTGCTTCCAAATGCAGTAGAAAACAGTGGCAGGATTTAAGGTCTCTGCCCCGATCCCACCCTGCCCATTCCTCCTTCTATCTGAGGAACTTAGGGACTCCACTGGGCCCTCTATTATTTTCCTGAGGAAGAGTTCTGCCTGATTTCTCTGTGGTCTGTGATGACCAACAGGAGATGTGCTCAGAACCCAGAGGCCCTGGCCAGGCTCCTTACCCAAGGGAACCCCTGCAACGTGTGGGTGCGGCTGCTTGGTGATGGACCAGTAACATCTCTGAGAGTGATGATGGATGGTGGTCAGCTGCTAGGAGAGCCCTGGCTTGGGTGGTCTGGTCATTCTCTGTGGCGCTCATGGAGAAAAACTAATACTGTGGAAAGAGACAGCGAGACTGAGCTCAGGTCAATGAAAGGAAATGTGGTCAGCGTAAGACTCTCTAAGGATAGCTGCCGTGTGTTGTTCCCTATCACTAAGAAGGTTCATGAACAGTCTAGGCTACAACTCTCAGGGCTCTTGAAGAAGAGATTCAAGCATTGCATGTGGACTTCTATGAAGTGACCTTAAGGTCCATTCCAGCCAGATGTAACATTTTGTTTAACCATTTCCAGCCTGGCTGAACATTCTGCTATCTAGTGGCAGTCTTCAGCCGCAGTGTGACGGAGGCCAAAAGCAGTTTCTCTTTGTACCTTATTTTCTGAAGAAATCCTATAACCCTGGATGACCCAAATACCCATCCCACTTACGCCAGCTCCCAATACCCCCATACTTCCTACCAAGCTTTATGCCGAACCAATTTTTTCATCTGGGTTTAGATTTCCCACATCCCTAACCCATTCTGGCAAAGTCAAGATTTACCCCTGCTGAGTAACATGACTTCTGGACTGAGCGGCAAACTCATCAGGATAAACCAGACTCCGGAAATTCAATTCATCCCAGCAAACCTTTTTGAAGTCTACTGCACAATTATAAATCTAAGTTTCAGTGCCCATTTTAAAGATGGAAGGCTCAGAGAGATGAAGAGCCACAGTCTCCCAGCAGTTAGGCAGCAGGACCGCGGCTTCATGGCAAGCCCCCTGACTCCCCAGCAGGACTTCTCACTGAGAAAGAAGGTGCTTCCATTAAAGCCTCCATTAAAGATATTCATGTTTTAACCCCCAGAATCTGTGCTATGCTAGGTTACATGGCAAAGGGGAGTCAAGGTTGCTGAAGGAACAAAGTATGGTAATCAGCTGACCCTAAAGAGATGATTCCAGATTACCTAGGTGGGCCCAACACAGCCACAAGGTTCCTTTCCAGCAGAGGAGGGGGCAGAGAGGAGTCAGAGTGAGAGAGAGATTGTGCTGCTGGCTTTCATGATGGTAGAAGGAGCCATGAGCTGAGGAATGCAGGTAGCCTCAAAAGCTGGAAAAAGCAGGGTAACAGGTTCTCTCCAGAGTCCAGAAGGGACACAGCCCTGCTGACACCTTGTTTTACCCCAGTGAGACCTATTTTGGACTTCTGACCTTCAGACATGTAAAATAACAAATTTACACTGCTTTAAGCTGCTAAATTTGTGGTAATTTGTTACACAGAAGTAGGAAACTACAGTCATCCTTCAGTGTCCATAGAGGATTGGTTCTGGGACCTCCTGAGGATATCACAATCCCAGATGCTCAATCCTTAATACAAAGTGGTGTACTATTTGCATAGAACCTGCAAACATCCTTCCGTATACTTTAAATCATCTCTAGATTACTGTAATACCTGATACAATGCAAATGCTATGTCAGTAGTCATTATACTGAATTGTTTCTTTTTAATTTGTGTCATGTTTTATTGCTGTATTGTTCATTTTTATTTTTCTGAATGTTTTCCATTTGCCATTGGTTTGAACTCTTGGATGCCAACAGTCATCTCTGTGGCTCTCTCCTTTACTCATTCCAGTCTCTGCTCAAAGTCATCTTAACAGAGAGAAGCTGCCAGCAGCACAGATGAAGTGCTGCCCTGCACTTGCACAGTCTTTCCACCGTTTTCCCTGCTGTCCTTCATGGCGCTGACCAGGTCCTGCAGTATCAGGCGTCCCCTCATTTCCTGGCATGTGTTTGTCTTCCCACACTAGAACGCAGCCCTGAGGGGTGGCCTTGAGTCCTTCCTTCCCTCTGTGTCCAAGCCCAGAGCCTGGCCCCGCACAGTGTAATGTGCCCTGAAGAGTGAACACATGAATGTGTTGGTCACCGCCCCATTGTGCAGCGTAGTTCTCCATGTCGGTCGTGGGAAACTGAGGCTTGGAGGGGTTACGTGACCCTTTCCCCACGCCACGAAGACAAGGAAGCAGGAGGAGAAAATACACTAACTTTGGACAGCCTCAATCTGGATTCGAACTCCACCTCTGCCCCTTACCAACTGTGCACACACAGGAGGGGGGTTACTAACCCCTTGAAGTCAGCTTCTTCCTGCAACACAGACAGATGCCACTCTGCCACCCTCACAGAATGTTAAAGTGGGCCAAACCCTGCAAAATACATAGCCCAGCCCTATCAAGTCCTATTCAAAGGTGACACTGTATTTATCAGGGACCATGAGTGACCTTCTGCTCAAAGGGGTATGGCATTGCCATCAAGAAATCAGAACTCTGCTTCTCACCTGTTAAGGTTTAGGGCCTGCCAGATATCCGACCTGCACTTAACTCTCTATTCTTATCACAGAAACTGTGGAGTGGATTTGATTAGTTCTATTTTACAGACCAGACAACTGGGGCTCCAAGAGGAGAAGTAACTTACCTGCCCCACATGCCACAGTCAAGACTGGCAGCAATGGTGGGGCCCAGTACACTCTTTCCCACCCCCAACACTTGAAGACCTCAAAAGTAGGTTGATGCCATGTCTTTACTACTGTGAATAGTGTTGCAATGAACATATGTGTGCATGTGTCTTTACAATAGAATGATTAATATTCCTTTGGGTAGGCCAGGTGCAGTGGCTCACGCCTGTAATCCCAGCACTTTGGGAGGCCAAGGCAGGTGGATCACAAGGTCGGGAGATCAAGACCATCCTGGCTAACACAGTGAAACCCCATCTCTATTAAAAATAAAAATAAAAAATTAGCCAGGCGCGGTGGCAGGCACCTGTAGTCCCAGCTACCCGGGAGGCTGAGGCAGGAGAATGGCGTGAACCCGGAAGGCAGAGCTTGCCGTGAGCCGAGATCGCACCACTGCACTCCAGCCTGGGCGATAGAGCGAGACTCTGGCTCCAAAAAAACAAAAATCAAAAAACAAAACAAAACAAACAAACAAACAAACAAATATATATATATATATTCCTTTGGGTATATACCCAGTAATGGGATTGCTGGGTTGAATGGCTTTCTGTCTTTAGGTCTTTGAGGAATTGCCATACTGCCTTCCACAATGGCTAAACTAACTTAAACTCACACCAGCAGTGTATAAGCATTCCTTTTTCTCTGAAATCTCATCAGCATGTCATTTTTTGACGTTTTAATAGCAGCCATTCTGGAATCAACCTAAATATCCGTCAATGATAGACTGAATAAAGAAAATGTGGTACATATACACCACGGAATACTATGGAGCCATAAAAAAAATGAGATCATGTCCTTTTCAGGGACATGGATGGAGCTGGAGGCCATTATCCTCAGCAAACTAACACAGGAACAGAAAAACAAATACTGCATGTTCTCACTTATAAGTGAGAGCTAAATGATTGAGAATACATGGACACACAGAGGCGAACAGCATACACTGCGGTCTTTCAGAGGGTGGAGGTGGGGAGGAGGGAGAGAATCAGGAAAAATAACTAATGGGTACTAGGCTTAATACCTGCTTGATGAAATAATCTGTACAACAAACCCCCATGACACAAGTTTACCTATGTAACAAACTTGTGCTTGTACCCCTGAACTTAAAATGAAAGTTTAAAAAAAGAAAGTAAACCGGATTCTTCCTCCATATGTATCTCAGTTTCAGCATCTGTGAAGCCCACTCTGAGCTGTCCCAGGAGTATAAATCCCTTTATGCATTAGGCACCTCTCCTCTGGAGAGCTTAGCAAGGGGGTAATTTGACATTTATTTTTGTAATTCCTTGATCAATGTCTGTCTCCCCCACCAGGCTACAAACTCCATGGAGCTGCAGAACCATTTGGTGTGGGTTCCCCACTGGTTTCCCTGGTGCCTAGCACAGAGTCTGGCAACGAGTAAGGGCTAAAATGTATTTTCAGAATGCACCAACGGCTGCAAAGATGGACTCTAAATGCCAATGGCAAACTTCTCAAACTCTAGCTTCCAACAAGGTGGGCCAGATTTTCTCCT
Source organism: Homo sapiens (assembly GCF_000001405.40). NCBI lineage: Eukaryota > Metazoa > Chordata > Mammalia > Primates > Hominidae > Homo > Homo sapiens. The sequence continues at coordinate 132,442,629 of NC_000008.11, forward strand.
AGTTCCCCATACAAGCTACCCCGGGGAGCCGCATGAGCTCCTACCCGGGCCTTGGTCTTCAACTGACCTATGAGGTCAAGGCATTCTCTCTCCCAGAAGAAATATCCAGGGCAGAAAAACCACTCCCACAGTGCTCAAAGCATTTCCCTTTGAACATTTTCCTGCTTCTTATTTTATTCATAACCAGGCAACCTGAAGCTTTAACAGGATACATGGTTTTTTCTCTCTTCTAGATTTAGAGAAAAAAATGTTTGAGATATTTTTAACTGACAACACCCAGCCCCTTCTCCCTATGCAACACCCTCTCCCCGAATCTGTGCTCAGACACCCTATCTCAGCCCCAGAGACAGGCTCCTGAGGCCGAAGCAGCTCAGGCCATAAATCCTCATCTGCGGCCGGTAATCCACATGGAGAGAAATGACAAATGCTCTATTTAGCCCTATTTCCAAGGAAATTAGAATTACAAATTGGAGCTATTGCTAAGGCCCCGCTTGAGCATAACCTTTGGAAATAAAGGTAGGGAGGGGGTCGGGGAGGACTGGCATTTGGCTAGCCAATTTCTTTGTCAGGTTAGCTTTTGTAGAAATCCACCCCCACCTATGGGAATCACACCCCTCCCCATCCCTTCCACCCCCAGCACTACCAATTAGAGCCGGTGGCCCAGGAGTATTCGCTCTGGCTTTGTTCACCGCTAAAGGCACCACCAAACCAGGTAAGCAATCACTTCCAGGGAAAGTACAGAAAATTGCTTCTTTAATTGGGTAGTTTCTAGGGCTAAGAATAATTTAATTGAAAACCAGCATTAATGAGAATCAAAAGGTTTTAAAAAGGGGCCTGGATGGAGATGTCCACGTGTCAGAGACAAGTGACAGCCAGAGTTCTCAAAAGATACATGGAGAAAAGGGCTTTGTTAAAAATCCATCATCCCCCACTACCCACACTCCTACCTCACTCCTCCAAACACACCCCTCCCCAGCACAGATACACAAGGCTGATTTGGATGCTTATTTCGAAAAGCTTCATCTCATCTCCAAACCACTGAGAACTACTGGGGTAGATGTTTTTTGTTGCATTTTGTTTCATTTTCTTAATTTTGCAGCCAGTAGTGAAATATAAGGCAAACAGTGTAGATTTCTACGGGGTGAGTTCCAGGAGCCCTGAGTTCAGGTCCCGTTCCAGTACCCACTATGACCCTGGTCAGGTCACCCAGCCCTCTGACACTCTTTACCCCCCCATTTGTCTTATTTACTCAACAACTACTTTCACACAGCTAAGGGCCAAGCATTGTTCTCAGCACTTTATAAATAATAAGTGATTTAATCCTCTTACCAAGCCCCTTGGACAAGCACAGTTCATTGCCCCCTTTTCTTCTTATCAGAAACCCAAGAGGTACCGAGAGGTTCAGAAACTTGCCCACAGTGACACAACTGGCAAGTTATGGAGCTGGGAGTTGAACCCAGCAGTCTGGTTCCAGGGTCCACCTCTGGCAATACACAGAAAGGATGCTACCACTCCATCAACCCCTATTTCCCAAGGGGTGTGAGTGCTCAGAGGACGTGGGTGGGTTGCTGAGCCCATTTATCTCATGTGATTTAGCTCATGCCCCTCTAATCCTTTTGCACCTGTCTCCTGTGTGCTCCCTCCTGCCCTCCTCACCCAGCCACCAACTGGTTCCTGGCATTAAGCTCTGTTTCTGCACTTTGAGTTCTGATTCTGTGCCTTCGTGCTACAACTGGGGTCATCTGTCCTGCCCCGTGTGAAGGGTCTACACTGAATATCGTTGAATCAAGGATTTTATTCCAAATAATGAGGCACAAACTCATAATAAAAAGACAGCATGGTGTGGAGGACAGGAGCTGGTGCTTTGCAGCCCAGCAGCTGGGACTGAACTTAGGAAAATCATGTAACTTTTCTGTGCCTCCACTTCCTTCTTGTAAAAATAAAGGAATAAATAATCAAGCCTACTTCATAGAGTTGTGCAAACTGAGCATGTTAAAATAAGCATAGCTCTACAGAATGCTACGGGGAATGTGGTATGAGACAGATGCACAGTGTGACACAGCTGACCACAGGTCAGTGCTGCTCCGCCAACTGAGCTGCAGGATGGCAGATTGCAGAGAGCGTGGGATTTGGTGGCATTGGACTTTGACTGAATCAGGCATGGGACTCTGTCACATCAATCAGCATCTCCAAGCCTGTTCCTTTTATATAAAATAAAGAGAATAATAATTCCTGCTCACTTCACCTGATTATGAGGATTCGACAAAGCAGAGTGCTTTGTAAATTACAAAGGAACCTAGAAACATTGAGCTTTATTCTTAGAACAAAATTAGTTGGTGAGAAAGTATAAGGAGACTTGGATTTCAGGGTAGTAATATGGGCTAAAGCCTTCAGGGTGTTTCCAGGTAACATGCTCTGCACCCGATCAATATCACCTTGTAATTCTCACAATTCTATGCCTGTTTTATAGACACAAAAACCTAAGGCTCAGAAAGGCAAAAGGACCAACTGGTGTCATGAAAAGGGGTGGACTGACATTTGGAGCCAAGTCCCAAATGCTCTTAATTGTGGCATTACATTGTCACATTCCTGTCACTGTCACTTCATGGGGAAGCAAAGAGCTGGCCTTTCAGAAAGGAAGAGGGTCAGGCCCCAGATCAGGAGAAGGAGAGGCAGCTGTGAGCAAAGGTGAGGAGGAGGAAAGGCAAGGCAGGTCTCCATGGCCCAGGGCAGCACAGCCACGTGGCTTTCCCGCCTCTCTCCTCCAGACTCTGCGTTCACTGTGGGCAGGGACACATTAGCTTGCATTTATTTCCCCCATGCACCTGCCCCATCCCCAACATAAATATTTTTAAGGGAAATCAAGTGAATGAATGAATGATATTACTCAACTGAGGCACTAAGATCAAGTTAAGAAGAAATAAAAAAACGACTCTAATAAGCAGTAAAGCCATGAAGACATCTTCCCCAATCCTCCAAATCAAATTAATTTTCCCTCCTTTGGGCACCCTTAGTTCTTCTGTGATTAGCCCCACCCACCCACCCCAAAAAAACACACAAAAAATCATTATTATTAATATCATTTACTGAGCTCTTACTATGTGTCAGGCATTTCCCATACAGAATCCTATTCAAGTCTCACAACTACCCCATTTCACAGATGAGAAAATCAAGACTCACCAAGGTTACAGAACTGGGCTAGGTCATACGGTTAGTAAACCCTTGGTTTCATCTCAAGTCTCTGTTTCTGAGGCTAGAACTCAGCTGTTTCTCTACATCCCTATCTGTCTGCCTATTAAACACTTTATAATTTTCCAAGCAAGAAGTCCATCTTACATGCCCATATGCCCGGGATACCTTGCACAATGCTGGGCACAGAGTAGTGTGCTCCATGGGCATTTGCAGAGCTGAACTGTATTTAATCATCTGTGTCTATTCAAAGGCTGAGGTCTTTATCAGATGGGAGCCCAGAAGGGATAAGCTGGGTTACTGTTTGCCTCTCCAAGCAGAAAAAGAACCAGATGACCTCCTGGTACATGTTTATTGCTAACGGCCCTGCAGTGGCTTCCACAACATGCCTCAGCCTGGATCCACCAACCTTAAGCTACTCTAAAGACAATGCCTTCGTGGTGGCCAACAAGATTAGCACCCAATTAATAACTAATTTTGGAAAGACTGTGCAAAACAGCTTGGCAAACTGCATCATGCCACACATTAGCTTGACCTGAGAGCACCCTGCCTGGAAATGAACAGATCAAAGGGGCTGAAAACATGAGCTTGGGAGACCCGGACTCTGCTCTCCTTGGCTGCTGGGAATCTGTGTGTCCTTAAGCAAACTCCCTCCTTCCCTGGGTTCAGGTTCTTCGTCCTTTAAGCTGAAAAGCAGAGCTAGACTGGGAAGACCTCTTCCAGGTCCAAAATTCTAGAGCTCCGGGATACAATTAAAGCCAAGCAAGGCAACCAGGATGAGTCTATGTGTCAGCAAAAATTCCCAGGCAATGCTAATTACTGGCACTTAACCAACTCATAGTTAACTCCAGGTAATTTCCAGAGGATTTATTACAACTCTGAATGCTATTTTGTGAGGGAAGCAATGTATATTTAATATTGACAGTACAGGAGGCAAGTTCCCTTTCTCCAAGCCCATAAATTATCCCAGGCGACGGGAGGACAAAACTACCAAAGGCTTGTTACAAGCAGGCTGCCTCCCAAACAGAAATCAGGCTTAATAGAAAACAATAAAAAAGATGTAGGAGGAGACGAATTTAAAGCCAGAAGCACGTGAGTGGTGTGTGAGACAGCATGTATGTGTGTATGTGAATGGCCTCAGAAAATCAAACGATAGAAGTCAGAGAGGAATGTCCAATTCATCTCATTACCATTAGGGTAGCTTCCTGTTCAATCCCACAACAAACATTTCCTGAGCCCCTTCTGGGAACCCAGGGTGAGTCACATCAGACTTGGTCCCCAAATAAGCTATGCATGTGGCTCTTTCCCTCTCCCCCTGGGACTCTGAGTCCATCTTAGGATGCTCTGTTTTCATATCCCCAAAATGAGAATCCAAAGACTTACATCGTGGCGTGTTCTGCAGGCTTCATAAGGTAATGAATGCAAGAACAAGATTTTTAACAAGTGGTGGTAACACAGCTAGAAATAACCCTAAAGCAGGGCAGAATGGGCAGACAAGGGTCAAGATAAAGGTACCAGAGAAAACCACAGGCAGACAGTAAAGGTTTCTAGGACACAGATGTGGAGAAGACACTGCAAGAAAGAAGAAAAGGAAGAAGGTGGGGAAGAGGTGGTGGAGGGGTACCTGTGCGTGGGCCACACAGTGATTGGCTGTGTGTGAGGAAAGAGACTGAAAAAAAACAGGAGAAAGAAAAGTAATGGAGATTAAAGAAAAAGAAGGAGCAGAGTAGCGGGTGAGCTGGGTTATGGGAGAGAGAGAAGAAGAAAAGAGGACGTAAACCATAAGGGAGATAAGATAAAACAGAAAATCAATAGAAGTGCCTAAAGTTGATTCATCAAGAGACAGCGCCACGAGCGCATGATTTAGAGATGCAGGAGAACCACCAGGAGTTCTAAGGACAGAAAGAACGAGACTGCCTCTGGGGAAGGGGCTGTGGCTTTTCATTTTTAACCTGCCTTCCTATATGACTTTGGGCTTGAATATATGTATGTATTCCTCTGATAGAAATAAAAATAATTGAAAGCATTTTTAAGAGATGGAAACAGAAGTTACCACGGCGTAAGTACTACCTGCTGGGCATCACCCCCAGCGACTTATAAATACCATCTCATATTTGTCATCCCAACCACACTACAGCGTAACCAAATCCCCTTTTCATTTTCCTTTAGCTGCACTTACTTTGTGGGGGCTGTTGTGAGGATTGAAAGAGCACAGGTAAGCAGCTACAAATGTGCCTGGAAAATGCAAATGCTCAATAAACGTTCCTTCCTATTGTCAAAGAATTTGACAAGCACTCCTCCTTTTTCCTGGGAGCTATTCTGCCCCCTGTTTTGTAGCAGCTGTCATGCCATCTTATGATCCTTTCACCCAAAGACACAGGTGGGGAATAAGGGTTCTGCAGTAGGCACCTGAACCCAGCTAAGTCAGTGGGTCCCTAACTTAGGAAGGCAATTACTTTTCTTCACTGTAAAGCCACACCCCTCACTCAGGCCTTCTTGATCTCCTTTGGGGTCCATGAGCAAGCAAGATCCCTGGGACGCCTCAGCTGGTTTAAGATGGGTTTCTGCTACCAGCCTCTGAAAGTGTCAAGGGAGTTCAAAAGCAAACGTCATGTAGGCGTAGGTCTCTCCAGGGCTTTCCCAGAACAAGAAGCTGAGCTCTAAGGGGGAAGAAGGAGAAATATGAAAAAAAAAAAAAAAAAAAAAGAGGAAGAAGAAGAAAACAAAAGAAAAAGTAAAAAGGAGGAGGAGGAAGGATGTGCTTGCAGTGAATTCTGCGTTTTGATTGTTGCTATTTTATAGCTAGGAAAAACTAAGCAAAAGCAATCTCTGGTCACAGCTAGAAAACTATTATTTGCGTTTCTATCTTTCCAACCCACGATCTGTGCCATTTGGATTTCATGGTCTAAAAATATCTCCCAAACTTCCAAGTATGTTGGCATGGGTTGATGGACTTAAATTTTTAATCCATTTGTAAATGTTTTCACACAGCTCTTTTTTCCCTCTCAAATTCTATTTCTTGCTGAATCACTTCCATCATTTAGTTTGGCATTTATTTGAGCAGGAAGGAAATCATCTTGAACACAAATGTCAGCCCTGGCCCCGAAGGCTCCTGAGAGAGAAAAAAGGCCAACACGGGTTAGAGACTGGTGAGGTTGCCACGGTACGGCAGGAAGAGCACCGGCTTCGGTGTAGACTATTCTGGTTGCATCTGGCTGTGTGACCCTGAGCAAAATATTGGACCTCTCTGAGCATGTTCTTCAGCTACGATGTGGGGATAATGAAATTCAGTTTAACAGTGTTTGTAGCCATTCAGTGGGTTAGAGCCCCATGTGTACCTCCTAGCACAAGGCAGGAGCTTAGTAAATGGCCTCATTGTGAATTTTAGGTGTCATCTTGAAATGTGTCTTGTAAAGACCATGTGTATGCCTGCCTCCGCATCCCTTCTCCAGCCAATGGCAGAGTCACTCTTGCAAAACACAAATCTGATCATGCCACTCCCGACCGTGAAACCCAGTGGCCACAGGATCGGATTACAGTGTTCACTGTAGACCACTGTGGTCTACAGTGAACATAGTACAGTGGTCAATTTCCCATCCCCCCTCCACACCAGCCTCTCCAACTGCCTGCCCTCCAACCTCCCAGCAGGATGCTCCTACTCTGCCTCTCATGGTTCTGATTTCCAGTTCAGGTCCTCCAGCTCAGCCACTCCCTTTTCCCACCTCTCTAGACCCCCACAGGAAAACACATCTCTGATGGTATTCCCTCTGGAGCCCTCAGATTCACCCCCCACACCATTGGCCCTGCCTGGGTCATGTGCTTACTCCTGTACCTGTCATCATTGTCAGGTGAGGCCAGCTGATCCCAAACAATGAAGTGAAGAATAGGAAGGAATTAAGTCCCCAAAGTAAAATCATGGACTGCTTGGTGGGAGAGCTGGGGGCTACATGTGGGAGGCAAGGATCAAGGGTCAAGGCTAGTTTCCACGGATGAGCAAGGGACAGTTAAGAACCACTGAGGCCTTAAAGTTTTACAAACTGAGAAATTAAGGTACAAGATGGGCCCATAGCAAGCCCAAGTTCATGCCAGGCCATCACCCAGGGTCCAGCCCCCAACTCTAGCCCTCTTCCCACTGTGTCCAGAGTTGGTGCCTTCCACTGGGTTCACAGTCTTGCTGACTTTAAGAATGAAGCCGTGGACCTCCGTGGTGAGTGTTACAGCTCTTAAAGGTGGCATGGACCCAAAGAGTGAGCAACAGGAAGATTTATTGTGAAGAGCAAAAGCACAAAGCTTCCACAGCATGGAAGGGGACCCGAGTGGGTTGCCACTGCTGGCTGGGGTGGCCACTGCTGGCTGGGGTGGCCAGCTTTTATTCCCTTATTTGTCCCCACCCATGTCCTGCTGATTGGTCCATTTTACAGAGTGCTGATTGGTCCATTTTACAGAGTGTTGATTGGCCTATTTTACAAACCTCTAGCTAGCCACAGAGTGCTGATTGTGCATTTTTCCAGGGCACTGATTGGCACATTTTACAAACCTCTAGCTAGCCACAGAGCGCTGATTGGTGCATTTTACAATCCTAACTACAGAGTGCTGATTGGTGCATTTTATAATCCTCTTGTAAGACAGAAAAGTTCTCCAAGTCCCCACTCGACCCAGGAAGTCCAGCTGGCTTCACCTCTCACCTCCGTACTGCCAACACCTTCCCCCTCCCCCAGGAAAACAGCTTCATGATTAAATCAATTTTGCAATCAGCAGTTCCAGCCACAGGTTCCATAGCAGGATGTGAGGAATGGTTTCTGAAGATGAAGTGGAAGGGCTACAGGGCACTGAGGGGCAGGCATCACACCATCTCCCACAGGCAGGCCCACCAGAGTCAGGCCCAATGCAGGTGAATGCCCTTTGAGCCGAAGAGGAAGAAGGAGCTCACATGCTTGTTCTCCTTCTAGGGAAGCCTCAGCACTCCAGCTTTCCCTCCTTTCCTCATCATCACCGTCCTCCCTTCTCTGCCCTTCAATGGACGACTGGGGCAAGGGAAGGGGGTGAGAGAAAAGAAAAGCAGAACTGAAAAAGGACATCAAAGGATGGGTTGATTAGAAAGCTCTTTCCAGAGAAGGATGGAATGTCTAGAAATAACGTCTGTGATGCCCTTTGTTCTGAGCCTTTCTGAAGAGCTTTTACTCATCGCTCAAGATCAGTAATATGGTTTGGCTCTGTGTCCCCACCCAAATCTCACCTTGAATGGTAATAATCCCCATGTTCCATGGGAGGGACCCGGTGGGAGGTAACTGAATCATGGGGGTGGGTTTATCTTGTGCTTTCTCATGATAGTGAATCAGCCTCATGAGATGTGACAATTTTATAAAGGGGAGTTCCCCTGCACATGCTGTCTTGCCTGCTGCCATGTAAAACGTGACTTTGCTTCTCCTTTGCCTTCTGCCATGATTGTGAGGCCTCCCCAGCCACGTGGAACTGTGAGTCCATTAAACCTTTTTCCTTTATAAATTACCCAGTCTCAGCTATGTCTTTATTAGCAATGTGAGAACAAACTAACACAATCGGGCTCAAGAAGCATCTCCTTTGGGAAGACTTTCTTAATGCACCATCCACCACGGGCAGACGTTATCCTGTCCCTCCTCTATGCCCACTGGCCTGAGACACACTGCACATTCTATTTGTGTGACTGTCCCCACAGCTTGCATTTTCCAGAATAGGAAATCAGTAGGTGCTCACTAAATATTCAATGAATTGGCTAAGGATGCAGATGTACAAAGTGCAGGGAAGAAGAAGATTTAGTCATGCAATAAACAGAAATGTAGGTGCAGGAAGGAAGAAAGGCGTCTATTCACACAGGACTCCAACGCTGGAGCAGCAGAGGATGAGTTTTGCAGAGAGTCACAGCACACATCTATCAATGGATAACTGTTGCAAATATTCACCCACGACATTTTCTCCATTTAACTGATGAGATGAGATCTGATGTCTCCAGGCCTTAAAATAGGACAGGAGCAGCGGGAAGGTGGGGAGAGAGGACAAGCTTGGATGTTTGGATGTTCGGTCAGCCTGTAGTTTCAAGCGGCCTCAACTGGGACAGGTCAAGAGAAAAATGGGACATTTTCAAATGAAGTTCTTTTTTTTGCAGAACTAAACACCCTGGAGTTGGAGGGCACCTTTAAAGTCACTGGGCCCAAACACTCACAGTGGTATGTGGTTTCTCACACCGCAGCCAAGGGTTGGGTTTTTCGTTTGTTTGTCACTGTGCTAAAATATACATAACATAAATTTTTATCATTTTAACCATTTTTAAGTATGCAATTCAGTGGCATTAACCACATTCGCATCGTTGTGCAACCATCACCTCTATCCACCTCCCAAACATTTTCATCCCCCCAAAATGAAACACTGTTTCCATCGAGCAATAGCTCCACCTTCTCTGCTTCCTCCAGCCCCTGGCAACCACCGCCCCACTCTCTATTTCTATGAATTAAACTCCTCTAGGTGCCTCTTTTAAGTGGAGCCATGCAGTATTTTTCCTTTTGTGTCTGCCTTATTTCACTTAGCCTCATGTCCTCAGGGTTCATCCATGTTGTAACAAGTGTCAGAAATGCTTTCATTTTAAGGCTGAACAGTATTCCATGCACATGCTGCTTTATCACCTCCACTGGAACCTTCTGGCAAAGATGAGACACTACCCGCTTTCCAAGACTGCTGTCCCCCTGCAGTCAAGTATGACTGGCACCAAATCCTTGGGTTCAGCAGCTGAGCATCTTGCTATTACTCCTTCCACTGGCCAAGGGAACCACAGAAGAGTCCATTCCTCACCCACAAGACAGGACTAGGGATATCTGAGGGTAAGGCTCACAGTCCTCTTCACTCTCTGCCTCCAAGCTGGGCATGCTCCAATCTGTCAAGCATGATAGAGGATTCAGGTCATTTTCGGGCCACCTTGCTAACCCTCCTCCAGACACATCCCAGTGAGTCTGTCTGGGTTATTCAGTCAGTCAACAAACACACACTACAGTCTGGCCCCAAGCTGGGAGCTGGGGACACCACAGTGAACTTGACATGATGTTTGCCTGCCTAGAGCTCTCAGTTTAATGAAGGGAGACAAATCAGTAAATAAACATGTAACTTACAGATTATGATAATTACAGCTCATGACAGGGTGCTTGGAAGGATATAAAAATGAAGACTGGCTGAGAGTAAGGTGGTCAGGGAAGCCCCTCCTGGATCCGAAAGAAGCCACTTCATGGGAGTTAAGGGTGCGGTCTCTCGGGTAAAGCAAAGGCCCCCAGGGGAGGCAGGACCTTGGATGGTCTAGGAAGGGCCATGGTGATCTGGAGAGCAGAATGCTGGGGAATGGCTGGTCCACCCAAGGGAAGAGAGGTGGGCAAGGGCTGGATCATCTGGGGCCTGTTGGCCTCGGTGAAGACGGCGGGTACTAGTCTAAGGTCAACAGACAGCCCCTGAAGGGCTTTGAACCATGGAAGGCATCATCTAGCTCACTCTGGAAAAAGACAACTCTGGCTGCCGGTTGGAGAATGGATGGGTAAGAGCAGAAGACAGAAGAGAAGTCAGGACATTGCAGGAGATGAGGCCTGAGAGGTCGGGCTGCCTGGAATTATTATGTGGGGACCCTCAAGGCCAGTGGCACAGACTCTGTGTATCTTCGGCTGTTCTTACAGTAGAGCCTGGGGCCTAAAACCGAGGGGCCTGCACTGGCCTAGAGGCTCCTTCTAGGCGGGTGGTGTCCCTGAGTGCAGGCTCAGAGGCCAGCTGGCTCCCTCCTCTTCCCCTCCAAACCCTCCAACTCTCTTCCTGTGAGCTGGATCATGATCAGTCAATTCTCATTGATCTGTTTTTTTTTTATCATCTCTGAGCACAAACATTGACCGACTTAAAACCTGGAGTAGAATCCACACACAACAGACTCCTGATAAATTATCCTAAATGGCAAGGATGGTTGTGGGGGAACAGCAGTGGGGCTGACCTGGCCCAACTAGAAGACGAAAGCTTCTCCCCAGGCTGCCAAGCAAGCGCCTGCCAGAAGCGTGTCTGTGCAGTCCCCACGGAAGCCAGTGGCATTCAGGCTTCCGAGAGCAGCTTCCAATGCCAGTGTTCGCATCTGGGGTTTGGTTTGGAACTCAGCTCGGACACTGCAAGGCCAAAGGGATTAGTCAACAGTGCTTGTTAAACACAGACCTCATGCCTAACACCATGCCTGGCACCGTCGATTAAAAGAAAACATTTCACGCGTGGCTCTTACTTGCAAGAGAACCATGATCTGGTTAGGATGCTCATGGCAGACCCTGCCAAGGCAGAGACTAATGAGAGATGAATCTGAGTGGTAGCTCCACTGGAGCTCAGGGAGAAGGGCCCAGAAAAGGACTGGGAGAGAAAGCATGGGCCTGTCCTCGGGTTCATGTAGGTTCCATCCCAGCTTCACAGCCTAACAGCTGTGTGTCCCTGGGCAAGTCACCCAGCCTCTCTGTTCCTCCACTCTCTCACGTCCACAACAGGTCACAGTCATTAAAATTATGTACAGTGTGCCCGGAGTGTTATATTAATAACAGTAGCTTCATTTCTACAAGGTGTGCTCTGTGTCAATGCTGTACCAAGTGCTTTACATAAATAAACTCATTTTATTCTCCTACATTCTTTTTTATTTTATTCTCCTTTATTCTCTATAAGGAAGGAAATCTGTAAAACGAGTACCTCCGTTTTACAGACGAAGAAATGGAGACCCAGAGGAATGAAAGAACTGCCCAAAGTAATCCAGCTAGGAAGGGGTCATCTCAGTGCCTGATACCCACACTGTCCTTTCCCCCGACTGACCACCATGGAGCAGCAGATGAAATGGGCTTGAGGAGCCAGAGAAACTCAGACATAATTAGATGCATTGATATGGTGATGTACACCCATGGTCCTGGAAGTATTACTCATAATAGCCAAAAGGTGGAAATGAAGAAACCCAAGTGTCCCTTCATGAACAAATGACATATACACATACAATGTAATATTATACAGCCACTAAAAGGAAGGAAATTTTGACACATGATGCAATAGGGATGAAGCTTAAGGACATTATGCTAAGCCAGTCACAAAACAACAAATATTCTATGATTCCATTCATAAGAGGTATTTAGAGGTGTTAAAATCACAGACAGAAAGTAGAATGTGGTCGCCAGAGGCTGGGGAGAGGGGGAAGTAGTGAGTTACTGTGTAGTGAGTACAAAGTTTTAGTTTACAATATGAAAAAAACATTCTGTGCCACTGAACTATACACATAAAAATAGTTAAAATGGTAAATTTTTTTTAAGACAGAGTCTCACTCTGTTGCCCAGGCTGGAATACAGTGGCGTGACTGCAACCTCCACCCCTCGGGTTCAAGTGATTCTCCTGCCTCAGCCTCCCGAGTAGATGGGATTACAGGTGTGTGCCACCACGTCTGTCTAATATTTGTATACTTAGTAGAGACAGGGTTTCACCATGTTGGCCAGGCTAGTCTCAAACTCCTGACCTCACATGACTCTCCTATCTCAGCCTCCCAAAGTGCTGGGATTATAGGCGTAAGCCACTGCACCTGGCCATTAAAATGGTAAAGTTTATGTTATACATATATTTTACTACAATTAAAAAATATTGATATGGACATAAGAGGCCTATGCTTCTTCTTGGGTGCCCCAGTATTACTCCCTGTACCTCCATTTAGATTTATTCGTTTCTTCAGTTGGCATTTTTTGAGCTTGGTACCTATTCTATTTAGAGCTAGAATCCAAGAGGCCTGGATTCATCACCACTGTCCTCGTCATTGCTGTCCTAGCAGATACTTACACTCTCATTGTGCCCAGCACTTGTCCATGTGTTCCATCTGCACTAACTAACTCATGTAATCCTCACCGGCACCCTTAGAGGTGGATACTTTTTTTTGTTTGTTTGTTTGAGACAGAGTCTCGCTCTGTCGCCCAGGCTGGAGTATAGTGGCGTGATCTCGGATCACTGCAAGCTCCGCCTCCCGAGTTCACGCCATTCTCCTGCCTCAGCCTCCCAAGTAGCTGGGACTACAGGCACCCACCACCAAGCCTGGCTAATTTTTTTTTTGTATTTTTAGTAGAGACGGGGTTTCACCGTGTTAGCCAGGATGGTCTCGATCTCCTGACCTCGTGATCCGCCCACCTCCGCCTCCCAAAGTGCTGGGATTACAGGCATGAGCCACCGTGCCCGGCCGATGGATACTATTAATATTCTCATTTTATAGATGAGGAAACTGAGACCCAGAGAAGTGAAGTCCCTTGCCTGAGGTCACACCACTGAAATTCAGACTCCCCATAGTCTGGCTAAAAACTCTCAGCTCCAAAAAGCCTCTGTCACCTGAAACACAAGCCACATTTTCATCCACATTCTCTCTGCCCACCCCCAATCCAACCAAAGTGGCCAGGCTTCTGTAGCGACAAGTTGTGCAGCCTGGGGAGGGGTCCGAGTCACCGCAATATTCCTGGAACAAGCCCACTGCTTCTGCTATTTCCAAAGTCAGCATTTCCCACTGCTATTTTTTTTTCCAGATGAAAGCAACAAGGTCCCCAGCTTAATATGTTTCATACAGTGACACTAATTAATGTTCCAAACACCAGGGCTCGGGGATTGAGGGTGTGTGTGTGTGTGTGTGTGCAGTTTGTGTTTAGGTAATTTATTTTCCCCCACTTTTGAAATGATGTATGTGGGTATTTTACCTGAGCCAAACTGTTCATAATTCAAAAAGCAATGTTAGCTTTCTATTTTTTTTTTATTTTATTTATTTATTTTTTTTTGAGATGGAGTCTCACTCTGTCGCCCAGGCTGCAGTGCAGTGGTGCGATCTTGGCAGCTCACTGCAAAACTCCACCTGCCAGGTTCACGCCATTCTCCTGCCTCAGCCTCCTCAGTAGCTGGGACTACAGGCGCCCGCCACAATGCCCGGCTAATTTTCTTGTATTTTTAATAGAGACGGGGTTTCATCACATTGCTCAAGCTGGTCTCAAACTCCTGACCTCAGTGATCTGCCCGCCTCAGCCTCCCAAAGTGCTGGGATTATAGGCATAAGCCACCGCGCCTGGCTGACTTTCTTAAAGTCATAAAAAACTACTGTGAACTACACACTAACCCCACAAGTGCAATCCATTCTGCAGCCTCCTACATATGTATTTTTGCTTCAACCAACAGTGTGAATGCTGGAAATCTGAAGCCAGGAGCCTTAGGCAGTCACGGCCTTTAGAACAAGAAGTTTACAGATCACAGAAGGGAGTGGTCCTCAAACAAGGGTGCCAACACCCCAAACAGACCCTTTGGAAAGAGTAGATCTGATTTATTACAATAGGGGAACTCTAACAGTGCTGTGGGCAGGAGCCCAGGATGCTGAACATCCTGCAGAATGTGTGACGTTCCTGCCCCATGAGGAACAGTCCTATCCATAATAGCTTCTCCACTGAGAAATCCCAAAATGTGTCCATATAGTTTTTCAGGGAAGAAAGATACAGAGACACCGAGGTTTCTTGCCTAAGGTAACACAGTAACTCCTCGGTTAAGAAAGGTCACACGCCTCCAGCTTCATCTCTTGTTTCATCCTCTCACCACTCAGCTACCCCAACCCTCCCACTTCCATATAAAGGGTCCCTGGATGCAGCCACTGGGAAATGATCACACTTTAGGACTTTAGGAACCTGCTGCATTTTCTCAACACCAAGCCTTTGTCAGTGACTCCCTTCTGCCTTCACCCCTAACCCAGACTCTGACACCGTTCCATCTTTCCACGCCTGGATCAAAGGCTGCCTCCAGAAAACCAGCCAGAGCTCTATCCCGGAACCCCTCCCAGCAGTCCATCTGTATTTTGACTTTCAGCCTGTGTACCAATCTGCCTTTGTACTGGAGTTGGTTATTAGCATTACCCTTACCATCAACAGTACTATGCCAGCTGCTGAACAACCATTCTGCTATCCTATGGTCACAGTGGGCTGGTGGGGCAAGACATATTATCCTATTTTACCAACGAAGAATTTGAGGCTTAGGAAGGTTAGCAACTTTCTGGAGGTGGCACAGGTGGCAAAACAGGGATTTGCTCCCACATCTGACAGCAGAGCCCACACTGTTGTGAGAGGGCCACCCTGCCTCCCTCCATGGTCATGAGCATGTCCACCTCCTGTCCAGACGATGAGGTCTTTGAAGGTAGAAGCCCTGCCACTTCCATCCACATCCTCCTTATGGCAAACCCTCCATAAATCATGTCAGAGTCCAGGCATCCTGACTCCTGGTCCAGGACTTGCCACCTGGTCTAGGTCCTTTTCACCCCATAAGCCACCCTTGGCCCAACATGACCTCCCTCAAGGTACATGGTGAGTCAGGAGTAGGGCCACACAGTGAGAAGTTCCCTAAGGTTCCTACCTCCCAGCAACCAACAACAGTTCACTACAGTAGCTTCAGTTAGACAAAATAAACACCTTCCCATCATATCTTTCTGGCTCAGCAGTCTGCTTTAGCATTGCAGTGGGCCAGGCCCATGAAGGCATCCAAGCTTCCAGAACCAGAGGACTTCTACATGTGTCATGCCTACATGCACAAAACCCGCCAATCAACTTTTTAAAATAGACTTTATTTTTTAGAATAGTTTTCTTTTTTTCTTTTTGAGACAGAGTCTCACTCTGATGCCCAGGCGAGAGTGCAGTGGCACAATCACGGCTCATCGCAACCTCCGCCTCCCGGGTTCAAGTGATTTTCCTGCCTCAGCCTCCCAAGTAGCTGGGACTACAGACATGCACCAAAACACCCAGCTAATTTCTGTATTTTTAGTAGAGACGGGGTTTCGCCATGTTGGCCAAGCTGGTCTCGAACTCCTGATCTCAAGTGATCCTCCCGCCTTAGCCTCCCAAAGTGCTGGGATTATAGGCATGAGCCACTGCACCTGGCCATGAATAGTTTTCAATTTAGAGAAATACTGATACTGTAGTACAGAATTCCCATATAACCTGCAGCCAGTTTCCCCTATTATTAACATCTTACATTAGTATGATACATTTGTTACAACTAATAAATCAATCCTAATGCATTTTTATTAACTAAAGTCCATACTTTATTCAGATTCCCTTAGTTTTTACTTAATACCCTCTTTTCTCCCAGGATCCCATCTAGGATCCCATATTTCATTTAGTTTCACATTTCTGTAGGCATCTCTTGGCTGTGATAGTTTCTCAGTCTTTCCTTGTTTTAGATGACCTTGATAGTTTTGAAGAATACTGGTCAGGTATTTTGTGGAATGTTCCTTGGTTGCAATTCATATGATTTTTCACCCATAATTAAACGGGGGTTATGGGATTTGTGGGGGAAGACCACAGCAAAATGCCATTTTCATCACATCATGTCAAGGGTACATACTATCAACATGATTAATCATGGTTGATGTTAACCTGGATCACCTGGTGTCTTAGTCCATTTAGTGTGCTACAAAGGAATACCTAAGGCTGGGTAACTTATAAAGACAAGAGATTTATTTGGCTCATGGTTCTGCAGGCATGGTGTCAGCATCTGCATCCAGTGAGGACCTCCAGTTGCTTCCACTCATGGTAGAAAGGCAAGGGGAGCTGGTATGTGCAGAGATCACAGGATAAGAGAGGAAGCAAGGCAGAGGAAAGGTGTCAGGCTCTTTTTAACAACCAGCTCTCACGGGAACTAATAAGAATGAGAACTCACTTATGCCCCAGCACACAGGGAGGGGATTAATTATTCATGAGGGATCTAACCCCATGACCCAAACACTTCCCATTAGGCCCCTACTTTCAACACTGGGCATCAAATTTCAACATGTAGTTTGAGGGTACAAATATCCAAACTATAACACCTGGCTTGAGGTCGTGTTTTACAGGTTCCTCCATTATAAAGTTTTCTTTTTCTTGTTTTTTTTTTTTTTTAATTCCCTTTTCATACCCTTTGGAAGGAAGTCACTTATGCAGCCCTCACTAGGCTCCCTCTCCTTGAGGGTAGAATATCTACATAAATTAGTTGGAATTATTCTTACAGGAGATTTCTCTCTTCTTCTCATATTTATTCACTCATTTATTTGTTATATATCAGTATGGGCTTGTGGATATTTATTTTATACTTTTGTTATACTCCAGTATTACTTTATTTTTTGTCTCAAATTGTCCCACATTGGCCAGGGGGTGCTCTTTCAGTTGGCTTATGTGCCCCTTTGACATACTCCCATCAATATGGGATTTTTTAAAACACCTTTTTACTTTCTGGCACTATAAGATGCCCTTGGCTCACCTTGTATATATTTCCTGCCCCATCCTAGAATCAGCCATTTATTCAGGGATCCCTGTATCCTTTTTGTGCAGAATGGTTTTAGAAACCAAGGTCTGGATGCCAGGTGTGCTCACTGCAATCAGGATTTGACTTTCTAGGCTCAATGAGCTGACAGCGCAAGGATATATATGTGTGTATATAGCCCATGCATATACACATATTTATAAATATTTCTATTCATAACCATCTATGTTTGTATTAAGTTAAACATGAGTTTACATGCATATTTCCAACTCAAATCCATACTACATGGATACTCTAGACTCCATTTACTTTTCTGTAAACTCTCACTTCAGTGGTGAGAAACCTAGCTCCCACCACTGCCATATTTTGCTTAACCGTTAAACTCCAGTACACAAGTATAACAGTATGAGAATCATTGACCCACACCCCATGGGAAACAACAGCACTTACGTACTAGGCCTTTTGTTTTTAGTCTTAGAAACTCCATTCATTGCCAAAGTTGCTTAGGTCAGCACCTTCTCCCTCCATCACCTTCAATGAGGTTGTTTCATTTATTTGTAATATAGCTAGATTCTCTTGTCACCATCTGCATCCCTTCCTGGGGTTCCGTGACCTCCTAAATAATTTTTTAAATTTACAAACACAAGGCTCAATTTTTGTGCCATGAAGTTCTGTGGGTTTTGACGAATGCACTAAGTCATGTATCCACCATTACGGAATCACACAGAATAATTTCACCACCCTAAAATATCACCTGCGCTTCATCTATTCCACCCTCCTTCCCTATCTTCTAGCCCCTGACAACTACTGATCTTTTTCCTGTCACTAAAGTTTTGCTTTCTCTACAATGTCATATAATTGAAATCATACAGTATGTAGTGTTTTCACTTAGCACTGTAGCTTTTGTCATTTAGCAATATGCATTTAAGATTCATTCCTGTATTTCATGACTTAATATCTCATTTCTTTTTACCACCAAATACAATAGTTTATTGTATGGATGTACAATGGTTTGTTTATCCATTCATCTTGGTTGCATTGTTCTTGGCAATTATGAGTAAAGCTATTAGAAACATTTCCATGAAGGTTTTTGTGTGGATATAAGATTTCAAATGAGTTGGGTAAATAAGAGCACAACTGCTGGACACTATTGGTAACACTATATTTAGGTTTGTAACCAGTGGCTCACACCTGTAATCCCAGCACTTTGGGAGGCCGAGGCGGGTAGATCACATGAGGTCAGGAGTTCGAGACCGGCCTGGCCAACGTGGTGAAACCCCGTCTCCACTAAAAAATACAAAAACTAGCCGGGCGTGGTGGTGGGCACCTGTAATCCTAGCTACTCAGGAGGCTGAGGCAGGAGAATTGCTTGAACCCAGGAGGTGAAGGTTGCAGTGAGCCAAGATTGTGCCATTGCACTCCAGCCTGGGCGACAAGAGCAGGACTCCGTCTCAAAAAAAAGAAAAGAAAAGAAAAGGCACCCACTGCCTTCCAGGGTGCCTGTACCATTTTTCCATTCCCATCAGCAATGAATCACAGTTCCTGTTGCCCTACATCCTTGTCAACATTTGACATTGTCCTCGCTTTGGATTTTAGCCACCCCCATTCAAATAGGTGTGTAGTGATATCTCATTGTTGTTTTAATTTACAATTCCCTAACGAAATTATATTCAGCATCATTTCATCTGCTTATCTGCCATCTATATATCTTCTTTAATGAGATGTCTGTCCAAATATTTTGTCTATTTTTAATTGAATTGTTTTCCTTATTGTTGAATTTTGAGAGTTCTTTGTATGTTTGCTACAAGCTCTTTATCAGATAGGTGTGTGGCAAATATTTCTCCAAGTCAGTGGCTTGTCTTTTCATTGTCTTAACCATGTCTTTTACCCATTAAACTTTCACAACTACTCTTTTGCAGATGAGAAAAATCGAGGATCAAAATGACAGCTTTTTATAGCACCATTTTAGTCTTGACTAACACTAGCAAGTGTAAACCATAAAAATCAACGAGTTATTACAGGACCTTGTAAATATACTAAAACCACTGAATTGTACATTTATTTATGTATTTATTTATTTATTTATTTATTTATTTTATTTTTTGAGACGGAGTCTTGCTTTGTTGCCCAGGTTGGAGTGCAGTGGCGCTATCTCGGCTCACTGCAATCTCCGCCTCCTGGATTCTCATGCCTCAGCCACTCGAGTAGCTGGGATTACAGGTGCCCACCACCACGCCAGGCTAATTTTTGTATTTTCAGTAGAGAAGGTTTCACCATGTTGGCCAAGCTGGTCTTGAACTCTTGACCTCAAGTGATCTACCCACCTCGGCCTCCAAAAGTGCTGAAATTACAGGCGTGAGCCACTGCACCCAGCTGTGAATTGTACACTTTTAAATGGTAAGTTTTTAAGTTATATGAATTATATTTCAATTTTTTACAAATGACAAGAAAATCAACAGTCAGTGAGTGGCAGTGCTGGAATATGAACTTTTGACCGCATCACAGCTACTGCATTCAGAATATCTGAAGCCAATCCCAGCCCTGCCCCTGAAAAACTCTGAGAAAGTCAGATACTTTTACTGAGGCTCTTTGTCCCCATTGATAAAACAGGGGCCAATTATACACATCTGGCAGTGTTATCACAAGGATCAAATGCAACAATGTTTTTAATGATTAACCTGATACCCTGGACACAGGTCAATAAGGAATAGAAAGAATGATTACCATTGTTATTACTACTGTTGATATCCCAAAATGGAAGAGTATTCTCCCTCTCCCCATCTACCATTTTCCCTTTCCCTCCTTCCCTCTTTCTGTCTCTTTTTCTACACACACACACACGTATACATATACAGTATATGCCTCATTCAAGACACACATACACAGACAATGTTAGCATTCCGGGAAGACACAAAACATAACAACCTTTAGCTTTTATCAGATTTTTACTTCATAAATAGCCCTGTTTTGGAAGACGACAATTTGGCCCACAACATGTTCACATCTATGAAAGAACCCAGACTAATTTAGTGGGATTAAAAAGACCAGACTGTGTGGCTTCAGTTGGCAACTTCATTTACAATATTTATTGAGCTCTTTTGTGACAGAAAAATAAAATCAAGTAACAAGAAGTATTTGGAATAAGAAGCGTAGTTCAAGAGCACCAGAGGAGAGGAAAAACCTAGAGGAAGAAAGAACCCAGGCATAAAGTCTATAAGGCTGTCACTCTAGTTGAGCCACAAATGGTATTCACAGCCCTGACAGCCAAAGCAAACAAAACAGAAGCATCCTGCAGAATTCATTTTCTACAAGATGAAAACATAATTTACTCAGGAAAGAAATCCGCTAGTTTCTCACTCAAGTGAACCGAAAACTCTCTAGATCTCTTTTTCCCTACTCTTCAAGTAAGCCGAGTGTGTGGTTGGGTTTAGACCTCTAATATGATTGCAAAAACTCAGCACTGGCCTCCCTGGAGGTCGTGTGGTCTAGGCAAGTGTTTTTCATGGCATACCTGCTTCCTCAGGTGACTCGGGCCAGGCAGCAAATCTTTTCTTCTACACTTCTATTTTCAATGTAATTTCCTCCCTTTTATCAAAACGGCACATCAGAACTCACACTTTATCATGCTCTAGGACATAACCTTAGGGTAGGAATTATGATACCATATTGACTTCAGCATTACTTTTATTCAGTGACATCATTTTTTCTTTTATTCTTTGAGATGGAGTTTTCCTCTGACGCCCAGGCCGGAGTGCAATGGCACAGTCTCGGCTCACCGCAACCTCCGCCTCCCGGGTTCAAGCGATTCATGCCTGTAATCCCAGCACTTTGGGAGGCTGAGGCGGGTGGACCACCTGAGGTCAGGAGTTCAAGACTAGCCTGGCCAACATGGTGAAACCCTGTTTCTACTAAAAGTACAAAAATTAGCTGGGTGTGGTGGCGGGCGCCTGTAATCCCAGCTACTCAGGAGGCTGAGGCAGGAGAATCGCTTGACATCATTTTTATATTAGCAGAATTGGAAAAGAATAAGGATGGAATGGCCATTTATCTGATACCTACTATACGCCCATAAGACTGTATCACAGCCACTTCATTTAATCCTTACCATGTGCACAGACATGTTCACGTTACAGACGAGCAAACAGGTCTAGGCTGGTTAAGTGGTTTACTCAAGGTTACTGGTTAAACAATGATACAGCCAGACTTCAAAGCCAGTACTTATGTCCATGTCTGCTTATCAGTGAAGCCACACACTCCTTGGAGGCTGGCATTGTGTCCATTCATGCAAAAAGACTTTGTATCCAGAGTGTCATGTGTTGTATCAGGCTCTGGAATGCAGAGAATGGATGCTTGCATGTATGTAATGTGCCACTAAAAAGCAAGTCCTCATTCGCTTTACACAGCTCAAGGTTCACCCAGCTCAGGTTTTATGATTCCACTTTCCTTTGTATCACTTTCAGCAACTTTCCTTCAGTGTGATAAAAAGTCGGACCTTGGATTCTTCATGGTCAAGGCTGTACATTAGAAAACGAAGGAGGAAGTGGTCTCCATCCTGTACACATGATGAAATGTACTTGATGGAAATCTTCCCTGATCCATTTAAACAGTGTTGACAACTTTTCGTGATCCCCAAGTGGACTCAGTATCTGCATATATTAGAGTGAGTGTCACACCATTATGCAATTATTTATTCACCTATTTGACCACTAGTCCCTCAAGAGCAGAAACTGATTTATTCACCCCTCTTTCTCCTATTCCTAGCCCAAGGTCTGGCATCTGCTGGGCCTGAAATCAATGGCCTCTGAGTGATCAGTCAGCATGTCTTGAGTTTGATCAGTGTATGTATACAAAACCTAAAGGATTACATTTTTTCCAAGAAATGTTTTCCCAGTCAAACAAGATATGTTCAAGTCATGGCACAAAAAGAGGAATTTAAAAAAGAAATCTCAACGTTTCCTTTCGTGTTCCAGAACTGTGAAGGGGAATGTTAATGACTTCCCCAGGAAACCAGAACTCCAGCACAGGGCGGAAGTCACAGCACCTAGTTTACAACCAAGATCCTGCCATTTTCTCCACAAAAGATGTGTTTGTAAGAGCAACTGGAATATCTAATTTAATCTTGTTTTGAAAATGCTAATGTTTCTCACATTATAAATTAGTTAAGATTCTTCATTCTTTGAAAGTATCACAAAAGCCACTCAGAATTATGTCACCAGGATTGAAGTTGTCCATGCTTATTTAAAATAACTCTCTTGGGAGTTCTAGATCAGCTTGGGCAACATAGTGAGACCCCGCCTCTACAAAAAACAATTTTAAAAAAATAGCGGGCATAGGCTGGGTATGGCGGCTCATGCCTGTAATCCCAGCACTTTCGGAGGCGGAGGCGGGAGGATCATAAGGTCAGGAGGAGATCAAGACCATCCTGGCTAACATGGTGAAACTCCATCTCTACTAAAAATACAAAAAATAATAATAATAATAATTAGCCAGGTGTGGTGGCAGGCGCCTGTGGTCCCAGCTACTCGGCAGGCTGAGGCAGGAGAATCACATGAACCCAGGAGGTGGAGCTTGCAGTGAGCCGAGATTGCACCACTGCACTCCAGCCTGGGCAACAGAGCGAAACTCCGTCTCAAAAACAAACAAACAAAAAATAGTGGGCATAGTGGCACCTGCCTGTGGTCTCAGCTACTTGGGAGGCTGAGGCGGGAGGACTGCTTTGAGCCCAGGAGGTCGAGGCTGTGGTGGGCCATGATTGCACCACTGGACTCCAGCCTGGGAGACAGAGGGAGACCCTGTCTAAAAAATAAATAAATACATGAAATAAAACAAACGACAGGAATAAATAAAAGGAAAGAACTCGCCTGTTTTATTTGGTGAAAATTACAAATATGTGACCATACCATAATATTAACAAGGAGAAAGCTCCTTTCCCCAAAGGATAATGCAGGCAGTGACCAGGTTTTGCGGTGCTTCTGAGAACACTATAATTCCAGCATATAGTAACAGCTTAGAAAGTTTAGCTATCATTAGATACCAGGCATTGAATTTACATATTTACAAATACTTTTAATTCATTTTTTTCCGGAATGACAACCCTAACTGAAAAATTAATGAGGGGGAAAAAACACTAGAGAATCATCACAACCCTTAGGCTTCAAGACTTCCTTTACTTAAGAATCACCGAGAAAACAGAGCCACATATTGTGAGCTTTAAGTCACAGTATTTTCTTTACTTACGAACCAGAGGACGACTACCAGTTGTCATTGGCGCCCTTCCCATACCTCCTCAGGACTCACTCCCAGCCCCTGCCAAAAGTAGCCTAAATGTGGCATGTTTGTCTAAGAAATTTCTCTGCCCCCAGGAGCACCGCTTAGGCAGTCATGGCTGGAGTTCAAGGACCATTCCTGGCTGTTCTAGATGGCATTCCAGGGTCCCTAGGAAGACTAAGCCTCAGTTGCCCTCATGGTAACCTGCTTAATGACACATCCTTATAATCTACTTCTTTCCTGTCTTATTTCACTTACCTTCCCCGATTTTACAAAATTCTCCAATTTGTCTTGGAATCACCTCCTAAATCATGCATTCTCACTAGGGATGCTATTGCATTCCAGGGGGCAAAATTCGTTCTGGGAGGATAGAGTGAAAAAATCTTACTCTTTTTATACTTTATATAGCAAGCCCATATAAACACACAGTTTACAAAGACGTACACAGTGTATCAGTACTATTAACATTTCATGGGTGAGGGCAATTGGGGAAAAACGTCTCTAAAGACTCCTCAAAGGGGAGATATTGAAAACAAGAGAGAGCAACTGTGTGGTAAATAAACCACGTGCCCTGAGCCCCCTGGCTCAGTGTCGGCTTCTGGTGAAACACAAACCAAGAGAGAATGCCAGCACTCATCCCCACACTCTGTTGGCCACAGTCCAGTCCTCCGTTGCTTCACTTAACCCTTTAAATAACCTGGAAGGCAGGGAAAATTAGGTCCATATTTCAGATGAGCAAACTGTGGCCACTAGAAGTCAAATGAGTTACAGAAACTAGAGAGTAAATCAGCAGAAGACTCAAGGTGAGAGCCTGGGTTTCCTGGTGGCTGGGCGGGTGTTCCCTGGGCTCTCAGCCACACCTTAGAACTATCTAGAGTGCCTAGCCCATGGCACAGAGAAATAACACTACAAATAAATGTAAGTGGCTGTTAATAATAAAAATAAATCAGGTCTCCATGAATGGAACAAACAATGGTGCTACCCCACAGATGACTTTATAAACCACACAGTGGATACAAACATTAGTTGTCATTAACATGGAGGTTTTGAATGCCCCAACTCAAGGCTGAGCTCAGTGGAGTCCAGAGACTATTTTATAGGACTCTTGGTAGAGAACTAGATGGGAGGCAGGGGAAGGACAGAAAAAGGGGGATCTTAGCTCTGGGATTTCAGCAGAAAGAGAAGCCTTCCTTGGCAAGAGTCCATGTAGGGATGCCTGATCCCTCAGCCCGACCTGCGTTTACTCCTCCTACTGTTCATTTATAAACAAACACCTCACCTCACATGGATCAATAAGAAAATGTGGCCCTGAGTGGTAACTCATCTTGCCCTTGAAAGAAAACATTCTGAACAAATATCCCTAGCTTTTCTGAGATAAAGTGAAAGACCCCATCAAGCAAAACTATACTTCGGACAGGATTGGACTTAGATCCTAAGGCAGCTGTGAAGCCAGAGGAAACAAGACTCTTCTGATGGCACACTGCTGTTGGAGGCACGTGGGGAGGCCAGTGTGGCTGAATGGATGCCCGCCTTGCACGAAGACTTGGTTTGGGTCCTCCCCTTAGCAGCACCACCTTAGGCAAGTTTCAAATGGCCCTGGGCCTCTGTTTCCTCTTCTCAAAGTTCCGTTCCAGCTCCAACAGCCTCTGATTTTTCTAAGCTGTCAAGCGCCTCTCTCTCTGTGCTGGGACCATAAATCCCACAAATTGCTGCAAAGTAACTGCTGATTAGTGTGATTAGACTTGCTGATTATTAAGTACTGCTGGTTTCATTTTTCAGATTGGCATTACCAGGGCTTCGGAGAAGCATCCATAGCTGATACATGAGACAGCTGATATGGAGTGAGACGAAGCAGAAGCTGGGATTGGAGGGACAGGCAGAAGGAGAGAGATGAATAGTCCAATTGGGCTAAGCGATTTTCCATTAGGACACATGGCCTGGGCTAGATGAGTATATTCTCCTAGCCCAGGACTTTCAAGTCTTGTTGGATAAGATTTCACTCCATCTCTCCAAGAAGACACCATCAAGGCAGAAATAAACTTAAACTGCTGTAATGAGTTTACAAAGAACCTAAGGGGTCAAAGACAAAGAAGTTCTATGCATATTCTGCCTGCCTGCCTTTGGGTAGGACACCAGCTTAGGAGAACCGGGTTTGGTGATTTGCAAGCAGGCACCTGCTGTAGCTGTTTAAGCAGGTTACCCTGACATTGAACAGATGGCAGTGTTGCCCAAGAGGTGATATTATAAACTGTGAAATGATGTAAAAGCATTAGTTATTACTAATATGCTGGTTTTAAAGGGCTCAACCCAACTGTTACACTCTTGCAGAGTGCAGATAATTTTACATGACTCTTAAAAAGGAGCGCATGGAGAGGAGAGGAGGTTCCCAGCCCTGAGGTCTGAATTCAGTATAGAGAGAAGCCCACCTCGGGGGGAAGCCAGCCAGAGCCCACGTATGGGATACCCCATGAGCCAGCTGCTTAAGTTCTCACTCTTACTTAGTCATACACTACATGCAGGAAGCAGTGTTGCTCTTGAGCTGTAACCCAATTTGTTCCCTAGAGAAAACGCTTCAAACAACTCTTCTATCACTTCTGTGGCAGAATGAAAAGTCCCATCCAACAAGGCTACAATGTGGATGGGATTTGATGTGCATCCTGTGACATCTGCAAAATCAGAGGGGGCCTCAAAACTTCACATTGACTTCAATTTTCTTATCTCCAAACCTATGACTCTCTTCGTCTTTCCAAAGGGTGATCACCTTGGGGAAGCTAACATCCCTATAGACACAGGTGCTGAGGTATACGGTTAATAGATGCCCAATAAAAGTAAGCACTGAGGATCAGGTGATGCAACATAAACAGAAATGTGGCAAATCTGTGCATGGGCAGATGCTTGAACCCAATATAGACAAGGTCCTAATTGTGGGGCCCACCTGATCCTTCTACAGCTTTAGGAAAATACTGCCTCAAGATGCTGCCACTCACGCTCTCTCACACATTGTGACTGTTACACCAATTATATGCAGCAGGTATTGCGATGCCCATTTTGCAGACTGTATGGTAAGTGAAGTGTCCAAATCACATAGTTAATGCTGCTCTACTGAAAGCTCACTCAACGTACTCTGACAAACCCAGAGCTATCTTGGGCTACCCAAAACCAGAATGACAGGGCATGGCATCTAAAAAGGGTTTTTATTCAGTCCACATTTGAAGATCTTTTCCTTGCTTCCCTTGACACTGTCCCGCTTGTTAAAAGATGAAACAAATCTTGTTTGCATTCTGTGAAGACCTCCAGACCCAAACCAAAGAGAAAAAAGGAGCAGGGACCCTGATCGGTGGGAAAAACCATAGGATCACAACCAAGTTTCATTTGATTTATGAAACTTTTAAACATTTATGAAATGTTAAGAAATGAATAAACTTGAAAGCGGGAGCTTCCAAATAATGCAAGAATAATTTAGCATTAAATTGAAGAAAATTTGCATTCTGTTCTCCAAGCAGAAGAAGGATACCAGGCATCACTTGGACAAACAGTAGTACCTTCGTCTCATCCCTGGCTGCTTAAACCTCCCTTGAAGAAGTCTCCATTGATACAACACAGGAAGGTCAGCGATGTTTCCTTTCCCTGCTCTCCTGAGGTTCCTCATTTGCATTCTATTATTGCATTTGCTAGACTCTTTAAATTTAGTCATTTCCAGCCTCTCTCTCCATACAGAAAGAACTATGCTCATCTCCCTCAACAGCCTGGCACAAGGTTTGGCAACAGGGTCTATACGCAGAATCCATGAATCCAAGAAAACCCATTCAGCTCAGCCAACAGTTCTCAGCCTGGCTTCATGTCGGAATCACCTAAGGGCAATGCCTGTCATCTGGACTCACGTGTATGCTTTGTGTGTTTGTGTGTGTTGAGTCTTCTTCTTTTTAAACTATTTGCAACTTTTTATTTCTAAAAGTTGTTTTTAAGTTAAAGGAATAATATAACATACATATATATTCTCTTTACCTGGCTTCACCAATTGTTAATATGTTTGCCACATTTTCTTTTTCTCTTTCTCATTTTGGGTGTGTGTATTGTGTGTGTGCATACACACATGCACTTATATTGTCTGTATATGTGCCGAACCATTTGAAAGTAAGTTGTAAACATCATGACTTGTCACCACTAACTATTGCACCATGCATCTCTTCAAAATATAGAACATCCACTTACATAACCACAATGAAATGATCAGGCTCAATAAATTAAATTTTGATACAATAATGTTATCTACTATGGAGGCCATGTTCAACTTTTCTTAATTATCCTTATATAATGTCCCCTGTTATTTATTTTTTTCAGCTGGAACCAATCAAGAGTCAAGCACTGAATTTGGCTGTTATGTCTCTTTAGCCTCCATTAACTGAAACAGTTCCCCTCATCTTCTTTTGTTTATTTGTTTGTTTGTCCATGACATGAAGCCTTTGGAAGAGACCATTCCAGATATCCAGCAGGATGCCCCACAATTTGAATTTGTCTATTATTTCTTTATGATTAGGTTCAGATCATTTTAGGCACCATTGCAGGTATGTTGTACATTTCCACTGAATTACGTCAGAAGGATGGGTTAGTTTGTCTCATTATACACAAGTTTGATAACTTTTGTTCAGGTGGAGTCTGCCAGATTTCTCTCTTATGGTACCTTTTTGTTTGGGTGATTTACATGCATGCCAAGGTTTGAGAGGCCCGGCTACTCAAAATGTGGTCAGCAGAGTCACAGCATTGGTTTCCCCTGGGAATCTGTCAGAAATGCAGCTAGCTATCAAGTTCCTGACCCAGGAGGGAAGAGTTCTGGTCTCCCTTCATCACTCTTCTATTGAGTACACCACGACATGAGGATAGAAGCACCACACAAGAGTGAGGATTCAGGTGTGACCCCAGCTGTGCCAGTTCAGTAGCTTTAAGAGCCTGGGCAGATCTCCTAACTTCTCTTATTCATTTGTAAACGCGAGCCACTGGTCACCCTCCAAGTCAATACGGATGGCCTGAGATGATTGCCAAGGGGAGTGTGCATGGATTTCATGAGGGTTGCAAGAAGGCAGCAGATTAGATATGATCAAGAAGAGAAGCAAAAGAGAGAAAGTATTTACTAAATGCTGATAATGACATGTCTAGGTGTTTTATATCCATCATCTCAATTAAATTTCACAACAATGCAGAATAATGAAACGACCTCTATGCCTTACCATATACAAAAATCAACTCAAGATGGATTAAAGACTCAAAAGTAAGATCTGAAACTATAAAAATCCTTGAGAGAATAGAGGAAACACCTTAGGAACCTGGTCTAGGCAAATATTTTATGCCCGTGACCTCAAAAGCACAGTCAACAAAACAAAAAATAGGCAAATGGGACTATTTTAAACTAAAAAGCTTCTATGTAGCAAATGAAACAATCAACAGAGTGAAGAGACAACCCCTTAAATGGGAGAAAAAATTGAAAACTATTCATCGACAAGGGACTAGTATCTAGAATATACAAGAAACTCAGCAGTTAAAAAACAAATAATCCCATTACAAAGTGGGCAAAGGATATGAATAGATATTTCTTAAAAGAAGACATATATATGGTCAAAAGATATATAAAAAGATGTTTGATATCACTAATTATCAGGAAAATGGAAATCAAAACCACAATGAGATATCATCTTACCCTAGTTAGAATGGTCATTATTAAAAAGGCAAAAAATAACAGATGCTGATGGGGATTCTGAGAAAAGGAATTCTTACATACTGTTGGTGGGAATGTAAATTAGTACAGCCACTATGGAAAGCAATATGGAGATTTCTCAAAAAACTAAAAATAGAACTATCATACCATCCAGCAACCCCACTACTGGGTATTTGTCCAAAAGAAAAGAAATCAATGTATCGAAGAAATACCTGCACTCTCATGTATATTGCAGCAGTATTCCCAATAACAAAGTAAGGAATCAACCAAAGGATCTATCAATGGATGCACAGATAAAGAAAATATGGTATATGTACACAATGGAATACTAGTCAGCCATGAGAAAATGAAATCATGTCATTTGCAGCAACTTGGATGGAACTGGAAGTCATTATGTTAAATGAAATAACCCACACACATAAAGACAAATATCATGTGTTCTTACCCATATGTGGGAGCTAAAAATGTTGATCTCATGGAGTAGAGAATAAAATGATAGATACCAGAGGCTTGGAAGGATGAATGTGCAGGAGTAGGGGTATAAAGAGAGGTTAGTTAATGGGTACAAACATACAGTCAGAGGGAATAAGTTCTAATGTTTAATATCAGAGAAGGGTGACCATAGTTAACAACAATGTATTGTATAATTCAAAACAGCTAAGAGAGAGGACTTGAAATGTTCCCAACACATAGAAATGATAAATACTCCAGGTGACAGATGCCCCAAACACCTTGACTTCATTGTTACACAGTCTACGCATGCAATGAAATAGTACATGTACCTCATAAATATGTACATACATTATCCATCAATTTAAAAAATTTTACAACAGCCTTGGGATGTAGGCAGTATTATCTTAATATTAGAAATAAAGAAATGGAAATTCAGGAAGGTTGAGCAAATTATTCCAGGTTACACAGAAGAAACAGCAGAGTTAAATGCAACCAATGTTTGACTCCAAAGATCATGCTCTTACTGCTGAATAAAGAATGACAACTTATCAAAATCCTTGCTTCTCAAAATGAGAAGGAAATTGGCCATACTGAGGAAGGAAAGGCAAAGAGAGATTAGTGGGATGAAAAAAGGTGAGGACTGATTGAGAATGGTTAAGAAAACCAACATCAAGTGGTAGATGAGAAAGAATAAAATACATGGGAGCTGAAAAGGAGAATGAGCTAAATAGAGTCAGGGAAATGGAAGTTGAAATCAGCATTGTCTAGAGAAAAACTGATGTTACTTCAGTAATGAATTACAGTTTATAGGCATGGCTAAGATACTGCTGGAGGGATTCATTCTACTCTGGCTGGGACGTTGACCAGATGACCAAATTCTGAGATTTCTGCTAATATTAACAAGGTTGTCATTAGAGTATATGTTCCATTAGGCAGAGATTGTTTTGTTTCCTTTTGTTTTATTTATTTCTATATCCCTAATATCTAGAAGAGTTCCTGGTACAGAGAAGGCATTAAAAATATCTATTAACTGATTAACGTTAACAACACAAATATCTAACACTGAATGCTTCTTCCATGTAAAGTGCTCTTAGTTTCACAAGAGCCTATAACTTACTTACAACACTTCTCAGATGAAGAAACTGAAGCCCAAAGATACAGCAACTTGCCCAAGACCATACCAGCTATAAGAAGCAAGCAAGTTTGGAGGCCCAAATTTATCTTACCTCCAAATTGGGAAGACTCTGCATTACCGACAGCATTAAGTGGGCATTCAGTGTCTCCTCCAACCTGAAGACAATAGATCTTCTTGTCAACATGCTAAGTCCACTAGGCAGGCCCTTTATGTTCCAGAGCAGCTGCTGGCTCCATGTGTCTCACTACCCAGTCTTGCCTGCCAGATGTCCCTGGAGCAAGCATACCTCAGAATGCAGTCAGTGGGTATTTCTTGTGATCATTTTCCCTTGGTTTGTCAACAGGAGAGTGATTGATCACAGCTGGCTGTGGCAAGATGGTCAGGGCAGCAGGATGCCTATCCAGTGCCAAATGAGATGAATGCCAAGATGAAGCCAGCATCTTTTCACTAACAGGCAAAGAAAGGGGAATCCCTGGACAGCCTCAGGACAGTCACAGTGTCAGGTATGTATGACTTTTAAGGAGATCCCTATTCAGAATTAACTAATGTATACTGAGTGCCTAGTGTTGGGCTAACTGCATTCATATATACTATTCTTTGAGACTAAAAACCACCCTGTGATAGGGTAGTGTAATCATCCTCAATTTATAGGTCATCCCCAACTTGACTCCTGCAGTCACAGAGACACAAAGCAGTCCAGATGTGAACTCCAAGTCTAGCATGTTTTTCATAAAATCAGAATCTCTTTCAGCCATAAGGTTAAAAAAACTAGAGAAGTGATCACCCTCACTCAAGTTAAAGCATGGTCTCCAATCTTGTTTTCTCTCCCATAGTCCATTTTTGGACTTCTAAGAACTATTCTTATAATTAAAGTCCTGTAATGCTGGCTTTGACTACTTACTGTTACTGGGATAGTAGTAAAGCTATTGCAGCAAAGTCTTGATTAACCAGAACCCTTACAGAATTCTCACATGCATCCATTCAGCAAATGCTTACTTAGTACCTACCATGCACTCTGCAGCCTGCTGTGGAGTGGTAAGGTTACAGGAGAATAAGCAGCTCCCACTCTCAAGTAGCTCTCAGCTCAACAGGGCAGACAAGCAGAGATCAATCAAATGCGAGGTACAAAATTCTATGCCTGGGGAAGCTGGGCCAAGGTGAAGGGGAGTCACCAAGTGAAAGCAGGGGATGGGCATTTGATATGGTTTGTCTCTGTGTCCCCATCCAAAACTCATCTCAAATTGTAATCCCCACATGTTTCCAGAGTGGCCTGGTGGTAGGTGACTGAATCATGGGGGTGGATTTCCCCCTTGCTCTTGTCGTGATAGAATTCTCATAAGATCCAGTTGTTTGATAAGTGTGTGACTCTTCCCCTTCACTCTTGCGCTCTCTCCTGGCACCACGTAAGACATTCCTGCTTCCCCTTCTGCCACGATTGTAGGTTTCCTGAGACTTCCCCAGCCATGCAGAACTGTGAGTCAACTAAACCTCTTTCCTTTATAAATTACCCAGTCTCAGGTATTTCTTTATAGCAGTGTGAAAATGGACTAATACAGGAAATTGGTGCCTGGAGTTTGGGGCACTCCCATAAAGATACTTGCAAGTATGGAAGAGACTTTGGAACTGGGTAATGGGCAGAGGTTGGGACAGTCTAGAGGGCTCAGAAGAAGATCAGAAATTGTGGGAAGGTTTGGAACTTCCCAGTGACTTACTGAATGGTTTTGACCAAAATGCTGACAGTGATATGGACAATGAAGTCCAGGCTGAGGTGGTCTCAGATGGAGATGAGGAACTTATTGGGAACTGGGGTAAAGGACACTTATGGTATGCTCTGTCAGAGACTGGTAGCATTTTGCACCTGCCCTAAAGATCTGTGGAACTTTGAACTTCAGAGGATGATTTAGGGTATCTGGTGGAAGAAATTTCTAAGCAGCAAAGCATTCAAGAGTTAACCTGGCTTATTCTGAAAACATTCAGTTATGTGCGTTCACAAAGGGATGGTCTGAAATTGGAACTGATATTGGTAAGGAAAGCAGAGCATAAGGATTTAGAAAACTTGTAGCCTGACCATGTGGTAGAAAAGAAAAACCCATTTTCTGCGGAGGAATTCAAGCCAGCTGCAGAAATATGCATAAGTAATGAGGAGTTGAATGTTAATAGCCAAGACAACAGGGAAAATGTCTCCAGGGCACATCAGAGAATTTTGTGGCAGCCCCTCCAATCACAGGCCCAGAGGCCTAGGGGGGAAAAATGGTTTCCTGGGCCAGGCCCAGGGCCCCACTGCTCTGTGAAGCTGCTGGACTTGGTGCCCTGTGTCCCAGCCGCTCCAGTTCCAGCCATGGCTAAAAGGGAGCAAGGTACAGCTCAGCCCATTGCTTCAGAGTGTGCAAGCACTGAGCCTTGGTGGCTTCTGTGTGGTGTTGGGCCTGTGGGTGCACAGAAGACAAGAGTTAGGCTTTGGGAACCTCCACCTAGATTTCAGAGGAGGTATGGAAACACCTGGATGTCCAGGCAGGAGTCTGCTGCAGGAGTGAAGCTCTCATAGAGAACCTCTGTGAGGGCAGTGCAAGAGGAAATGTGAGGTTGGAACCCCCACACAGAATCCCCAATGGGACACTGCCTAGTTGGACTGTGAGAAGAGGGCCACCGTCCTCCAGACCCCAGAATGGTAGATCCACAGACAGCTTGCACTGTGTGCCTGGAAAAGCCACAGGTACTCAATGCCAGCCCATGGAAGCAGCCACAGGAGTTGAACCCTGTAGAGTCACAAGGGTGGAGCTGCCCAAGGCCATGGAAGCCCAAGCCTTGCATTAGGGTGGCCTGGATGTGAGACATGGAATCAAAGGACATTATTTTGGAGCTTTTTTAATGCATGCCCTGCTGGGTTACAGACTTGCATGGGGCCTGTGGCCCATTTGTTTTGGCCAATTTCTCCCGTTTGCAATGGAAACATTTACCCAATGCCTATACTCCCATTGTATCTTGGAAGTAACAAACTTTTTTTTTATTTTACAGGTTCATTGGCAGGAGCAACTTGCTTGTCTCAGATGAGACTTTGGACTTAGACTTTTGAGTTAATGCTGGAATGAGTTAAGACCTTAGGGTGCTGTTGGGAAGGCATGATTGGTTTTGAAATATGAAAAGGACATGAGATTTGGGAGGAAGCAGGGGCAGAATGATATGTTTTCGCTCTGTGTCCCCACCCAACTCTCGTCTCAAATTATAATACCCACATATTGTGGGAGTCGCCTGGTGGGAGGTGACTGAATCATGTGGGCATATTTTCCCCTTGCTCTTCTCCTGATAGAAGTTTCAGGAGATCTGGTTGTTTGATAAGTGTGTGGCTCTTCCCCTTTGTTCTCTTTTTCCTGCCACCATGTAAGATGTGCCTGGCTTCCTCTTCCCCTTTGCCTTCTTCCATGATTGTAAGTTTCCTGAGACCACCCCTTCCCACCTCCGCCAGCCACGCAGAACTGTGAAACAATTAAACTTCTTTCCTTTATATATTACCCAGTCTCAGGTATTTCTTTATAGCACTGTGAAAACAGACTAATACAGCATTTGAGGCAAAAGAAACAAGGTAAGGGTTTGATTGATTTCCATATTTCCTGTATTCTACCTTTAGGAAGGAGAAAAAAAATAATCTCATCATGGACCTGGTTCATTTTAATTTAAAAAAAAAAAAAAAGCATCCACTAGATTGTAGGCCTATGGTAAGCCCAATTTCCTGGGCCCATTGTGCCATTAGCCACAGCCCAGAACAAGATAATGGATGCTTGAAAACATAAATTTCAATGCAAAATCCTGAATCATCAAGGAAAGGTTCAATTATGTTCACTTGACTGGACTGTCTCCTAAGCTGCAGGGAGAATGTACTATGCATGTACTAAGTAAGTATGCTTCAATATTAGGAGCTCAATGGGAATTCAACACAGGTTTTCCTGTGTAGCTCCCAATTTATCAGAATCCGCAATCCCACCACCACCCCAGTTCATCCTCAATTTTCCTAACACTGTGGCTTCCTGAGTTCTGACCAGCCCCCAACTTGATTCTAAACTCTCATTTCTAGCAATTTGCCATCTGAGAGCTAGCAAGGGGAGGCCAAGGAATTACTCATGGCCCTGCATTAACAATGGGGAAAGGGGCACCCAGTGACGCTCAGCAAAATACCCAGGGTCCCACAATTGTTGGAAGAGCATCAGAACTGGAATCTTGGCTCAGAAACAGAGTGAACCCACTGCATTCAAATGCGAGCTCCAGGAACCTTAGCTGTGTGATCGCGGACAAGTGATTTTCTCTCTTGAGGTTTTCATATCTTTATATAACGGAGATAATAATTTCCATCTAATAGTACTGTGTGAGGATTAAATAAAATTAGTACATTTGCATATTTGCATATATATGCATTTGCATATATAGTTCCTAGCTAGGTAACTGACTTTCTTCTCACAAAGTCTTAAATTTTCCTGGATCCTTTTTGGGAAACAGGCTCCAGGTTTTGGCATTATCAAATCTGCTTCCAGGTGATGCAATAATTCTAGAAAAAAATAAAATTGAGGCTCAGTCAGTAACAGCTTTAGCTATTCCCTTCCCCAGACTGGACAAGGCAGGGCTGGAGGTGCTGGCTGGGAAAGGTGGGAAGAGAAGAAAGAGGGAGCCCACATGCTTCCATAGGACCCCCAGGTTTTTCAGTCAGTACGTACTGAACGCGATGTGCATGTGAAAGGACACGTGAATCATTGTATGACTGTGTGCACTCAACGAACTTCTTGTGCCTTTTTTAACTATCACATATTTCAGTATTCACTTCAATTTAACTAAACATATTGCTAGAGACAGAGAGAGGAATGTATTTTAATGCTTTTTTTTCGGCCACCTAAAAAGAGCAAATGAAAGAGCAACAATTGTTAAGCCGTCTCTCCAACCAGACCCCGACCAACACCTGCAAATAGACACACACACACACACATACACACGCACACTCATACAGACACCAACATCCACGTTTCTGGGAAAATGCCCCACTCCCACCCCACCCTTCCTGCTGGTTCCTTAGTTTCCGGGAAGGCACCCTCTCCGGGCTTGGTAACCTCCTTGAAGAAACCTGTTGCTAAGTCTGAGGTCCTGTGTGGACGCCCCCACCTGGTGGCCGAACCTAGAAAAACGTCTCTAACCAAGAAAAACTGGCAGGTAGTGTAACTAACTCCAAGGCTCCTGAGCCCTTCCGACCACATCAGTCATGGGTGAATTGGAGGAGAATAGAGAGGAAAATCCACTGCTAAACGCGTGGGGGAGAGAGGGGGGAGGGGGGGTTGCCAAGGTCATAGGCAATTCCCTGCCAAAACCCTGGTACAGTACAGCTTCCTAGAAGCAGCCATCAGGATGACTAAACCAGAGCCAGAAGGCAGAGCTTGATGGCTGGACGTGCCCTGCCAGCTCCGAGATGGGTGCTGACAGCACAGATTTCCAATCTTGAATGAGGAGCACCCCCACCATCCTCTCCCCCCTCCCAAATACGGGTGGATTTTCCATCCCCAGTGGCAGGTGCAGAGGGAGTTCCTTCTTCCTTCTGGCCATGCATTTACATCGGACTAGCAAGGAGATTCTTTCTAGGAGAACAGTGCCTGGGTGCAAACCTCCAGGCCAAGCCCCTCACATTCCCGGTGCCCTAGGCCAGCCAAAGCAGGAGAAGCAGCAGCGACTGAGGCTGAGGGAATATCGGATCCCAAATCAAGGAGATGTTTCAGCCAAAAGAGTCCCCGGCCCCCTCACCTCCTGGCTCTGTGAAGCCCCAGCCCCTCAGTCTAGGCTTAGACACACACGTTCCCATTCACTTCCCTAAAAGGAATCCTAGAACATGCATTTTGGCCAGTCCCAGCTCCCAGTCAGAGCAGCACCAGGTTCTTCTCTGTACCAGTACCCAGCGATCAGAAGGGTGGCACAAGCAAGCGACACACACACACACACACACACACACACGCTCCCCACTATGGGTGGTGCGCACCCCTCCCATCCCCAACTAAACTCAGTGGCGATCCCAACAGAAGGGATCCACCCGAAACAGAAACACAGAGCTCACGGGAGGACCCGCTTTATCCTCTTCAACCCTCACATTAATTGGAAAAACCCACATAATTATTTTAAGCTTCCAAACCAACACCCCTAGAAGATGTCATAAATGTGCACCCGCGCGCGCACACATCCGCCCAAATCAGCAGGGGAACCACGCTTCGTTTTTTAAGCCCCTAGTGTGGAACACCCGGAGAGCGGCAACACACACACACACACACACACACACACACACACACACACACACCCAGGGAAACGCGTGCTGAGGACGGGCTGGTCTCCCCTTCAGCGGGAAAGCATCCATGGGTCTTAAAGCCCCAGAGACTTCTCAGCTCCAGCCCCGACCCCAAGTCCCCAAGCGCGCCGCCGCCGAGGGCGCCCCGAGCGGCCGGGTACTCACACCAACGCGTGGTAAAGCAGCGCCCAGCCCCGCGGTCTCTCCAGGGCGTCGTAGATCAAAGTTTGGATGCGCCGGTACTTGGCGTTGTTTCTCTTGACTGGGCGGCTCAGCGGGGTCTTGGCCAGGAGCCCGATGCCCTGCGGGGTCCTCCGCTGCCCCTCGTCGCGGCCGCCGCCCTCCAGCAGCAGGGTCCCGTCTTTGTCGGCTCCGGCCCCGAGCGCCAAGGTGACTTGCTCCACGTCGCCGGGCGCCAGCCCCACTTTCCGCTCCTCGTCGCCGGCCGCCGCCGCGTCCCCTCCGGCTGGGTTAGCCGCCCCGCCGCCTCCGCCGCCCCCGTCGCCGCCGCCGCCAGCCGCCCCCGCCGCCCTGCGCGCCTTGAGCCCCATCTGCCTCGCCCCCGCCGGCCGCTTCGCCTTCTCCGCTGCTGCTCTGGGAAGAAGGGGCGCTCGGGGTGCGTGAACGAGGCGGCGGCGGCGGCTGCAAGCCCGGGAACTCCAATGCCATGATCCGCGCGCCCCTCCCCACCCCCCCCCAAAAGCAGGCAAAGGCGGGCCCCCTGGGGGGCAGGGGAGGCCAGGCAGGGGGTCAGGGGGTCACATCCCGCGCGGGTCAGCCGCAGGACCCCGAGGGTCGCGGGCCGGGGGCTGCGGAGAAGCTGGGAGGGCGCGCGAGGCTGGCGCGGAGGCGCTAGGGCGCGCGGCGGCGGGAGCCTGGAACCGGCGCTCCGGGGCGGCGGCGGCGGCGGCGGCACCCAGGCCGGCGAGCCCAAGACAGCATCGCAGTTTATTTACAAGCCCGGTGCCAGCCGCCCTCCCGCCCGCCAGCCACACGCGCCGCCGCCGCCGCCTCCTCCCTCCTCCGCGCTCCCACCCGCGCCCCTCCCCGCCCGTTCCAGCCTCAGCCTGTCAGCAGCAGCAGCAGCGAGCGCGCCGCGGGCCGAGAGCACGCCGCGTCCCTCCCTCCCTCCTTCCCCGGGGTGGGGCCCCATTGTCCCGCCCCGTCGCGGCGGGAGGCCCGGGCGGCGGCGCCCCGCCTCTTCCCGCCGACCCCCACCGCTGATTGTCTGGGGACCCAGGATCGCCTGGGCTACCGCCGCCCCCGTTGCAACCAGGCAGTGCGCCAGGCGGCTGCAGAGCCCGGCTCCTGGAGCTCCCGTGGGCGTTGGGGCTTCCCCTGGATGGGGCGTGACGGCGGGCAGTTGGGGGAAGAAGAGGAAGGGAGGAGGGACTGGGGGGTTGTCGCCCACCAAACATTGGCTCTGTGGTTGCAGCTTTGTGAATTTCCCTCACCCCCTACCCCTGCTCCTCGGCTTCAGAGGTAAAAGCCAAGTTGTCGGGTTGGTCAAGGCCGGGCGCACCGCGAACGCACCTGCTCTGTGGTAGCGAAGCTCGTGACTCCCTCTTCCCTCTTCCCTCTTCCCTCTTCCCTCTAGTTCGTGGTTCATGGTGGATGCCGCGGCCCTCTCCTCCCCCAATCTTTGAATAGCACCTTCACCTGTCTGGGTGGGCAAAGGACTGAAGAAATGCAGTCAGAATCTTTGATTCCTGCTTTGCTCCCGACTTGCACCCAAGCCAGTCATTCCCTCTCTGGTCCAAATTTCAATTCAATCAACCAATCTGTAACCCCTCGTGAGCTTCCCTGGCAAAGGGTAGTGATCTCTGTCCTGAAGATATGAGGTCTCTGCACTCCTAAGACCTCCGTCCTAGCCGGTGGAAGACAATGAAAAGACAAATTTTAACAGTAGAATTTCCGATATTGGTAAATAGTATGTGGTAACAAATTAGAGTGCTGCGCTATAGTGACTGGGGGAGTCACTCTAAACCGGCTGGTCGTGGAAGGCCTTATTGTGGAGGTGATGCTTCGAGGTGAGACCCTAATGACAAGCTGGGAGCAACTATGTAAATGTCCAGAGAGCCCTCCAAACAGCAGAACAGCGGGTGCGGAGGGGAAGGGTGGCTTGAGCTTAATGAGAGTAGGCCACAGGCAAAGGCTAGATCTTGTAAGACACTGACAAAGGACAGGAGCATCCTGCACTTCTTCCATGCCCACCGCCATCGGGGAAGCCTCCATTCCTGCTGCCCCATGGCATCTGTGGCCTCCTTTCCTTCCCACTCTCTCACCTCATGTCTGTCAGCTGGGGTGAGAGACATGGGGTGAGGGGAGACCCTGTGAACAAGGCCGAGGATCTATCCCTAGTGTATAAGAAAAGAGGAATCAGACCTGCAAGAACACCAGCTCTGGATTTGCCTGGAGAAGTTGGCCAAGGAGAGCATAGGAGACAGGGAAGGGAAGAAGGAAGGGAAGGGAGTAGGAATGTATGGGCTGGGGCAGGGGAAGGGTCAGAGAACCACCACCCTATAGAATGACTATCAAAGGGGAGAACCTCAAAAGAGGTCTCCAAATCAAGAAGGGAGGAGTTTCCAGAGGAAGTTAAACTGTAAGACTGAAATCATTAAAACAGTGTGGGATCGGTACAAAAATAAACTCTCAGTGCAACAGAATTCTTTGTCCAGAAACAGACTCTAGCATGGGAACTTAATATTAAACGGGAAGAGTTCATGACAAGAACCCCAGGGGAAAAGGCTGTTCACTGGTTGATGGGTTTTGTGAGGAATTATAGGAAATAGCATATGGAAACGTGGCAGTGCCCAGTAGGACCCCTGTACATCCGTGAATAGATAAATGCTCAGCAGTGAGTTGGAGTAAGTAACCAGTCCAGCAGGCTCTGGAAAGGAGAAAAAGCCCAAGGAAAGGGAATTGCTTGGATCAGAATATCTCCAAATGGGAGCTGGGCACTGCAAAGCCTCCTCCTGCCCATGTGTTAGCCCTGCCATGCCCAACACACCAAACTCACGTGTATTCTTCCTGTCCTACTCCCATCCCAACTAACCAGGAAACAATCTTGCCCTTTATCTCTGAGCACCTTTTCCAAAGTCGCTGTTCTCCCTCAGTCTCTTCCTGTTTTGTTCATTCATTACATTTATCACTGCCAAAAATGATCGCATTTACATTCTGTTTACTTGTTTACTGTTATCTTACTAAACAAGAGCAGGGACTAAGCATCCTAGTTTTGAATCCTGGAAGTGTGTCTGTCATATCACAGGCTCTCAATCTGTGTTGGCAGCATGAATAAATGATGAATAAGCGAATGAAGAGTGTAAAGCTCTCAGCACAATGCCTGGCACACAAGCATTCCATGTATGTTTGTGGGTGAGATTTTTGTTTGGTTTCGTTTTACCATTGTGAAAGTCTTCATACTTAGGAAGTCTTGCTGCTCCTTTATGCTCCTTGCAACTTAAGAAACATGATAAAAACATTTTGACAGTATTTAAAATAAAAAGGCTCACTAGATAAACATAAAAAGAAGACGAGTCAAGGAATGTGGAAAGAAGATGTGAGAATTTATTATTGTGCAATTAATCAAAAGTTCAGATTCCCAGAATGACAGTTTGGATCCTCAGATACATGAAAAGACTTCTATTTTGATGGGAGCTTCAGACTGTCAAGTATTACAATTTAAGATAAGGTGCAGGGGCTATTTGCATGCCTCCCATAAAAGATGAGGTTAAGTCAATAACAAATTCATAACTGAGCCAATTAAACCCAATGATAGGGAAACTGCCAGGTAGTTGAGTCTAGTAAATGGAGTTGCTTTGATGGTTTTATAATCCAATGGCAAGCAGTGTTTAGGCTTCTAATAGGGGCTTTGGAAATGTCATCAAAAGCAGGGTGTGCACTGAGTGTCATTGGAGGAACTGTGTAATCACAGCGCTCCACAGCACAGGTTTCAGCTAAAGAAAATCAAACATCCTATATCCCACTGGAAGGAAACTTCTCAGAGGCCTAAAGTCCCTAAGAGCCTCAGGTTCCAGCTGAACATGGCACCAAAGCAAAGAGTTAGCGACACACTATCAACAAGGACAACAATGAGGCATTCCTCTCCTGGCTTTGAGCCCCAGCTCAAAGTGTAACATTGAAAACCCACCCACCTGCTTCCCCTCCTCCATGCCTTAGCTTTCATTTTTGCTTTTCTCTTTAGCTGGTCTTCATCTCAATGTATAGGCGAGATGTTCAGGTAAACTCTCTCTCCCTTGCAGGTGAGGCACTTCCTGGGAATGAGTAAAAAGAGAGAGACAAAGGGCTTTCTCTGAGCCTACATTTCTGCCTCTGTAAATCCAGGGTTGTAAGCATCTCATGATGAGGTGATATTCCAGTGATGGTTATTATGACTGTCATTGAATGAGTAGGACAGTCTCAGGTTCACAGGCATATGCAAATGGTGGTCCTGCCTGCCCCTCTCACTCTGTTCCCTAAACACATTAAATAATTGCTTTAGGCCAATTTTAAATTTACTTTTATTATTTGTTACACAAGAAATGCAAAGTAGTTGTTAGGAAATTATGAAATGTAAATCAGCCAGAAGGCAACAGTAA
Source organism: Homo sapiens (assembly GCF_000001405.40). NCBI lineage: Eukaryota > Metazoa > Chordata > Mammalia > Primates > Hominidae > Homo > Homo sapiens. Next base: position 132,484,580 of record NC_000008.11, read on the forward strand.
TCATCTTGTTACCCAGAAACACCCTCTGTGAATATTCTGATCATGACTACTGCCAACAGGACTGAAGCATGCCTGACCTGCAAGCAATGGAGATGCTCAGCCCCCAGTGGGGCACCTTCCCTAGGGGACCAGTCAGCCACTTGGTGGCAAGTTGATTACACTGGACCTTCCAAACATGGGCGGGGGCGGACATATGCCATTACTGGAATAGACACGTATCCTGGGTACAGAATTGCCTCTCCAGTCCTCAATGATTCTGCCAACAACACCATCCATGCATTTAGGAATGCCTCATTCACCGTCAAAGAATTCCACATGAAACTACTTCTGATGAAATCATTTGTCCCCTAAATGCTTACTCTGGACCTGGGTATAAATCTACCTCTCAGAGGAGCCAGTGAGACAGATCTTTGTAGCCAAAAAGAGCACTCTTTGCTTGTTTGGAGGAGACACGACAAGCTCTAATTCTGGGTCTAGGAACAACCCGGGCCAAAAGGAAATATGTTTGGGAACAATGGATCCCATTACTACCCTATATGCGTTTTTTATTCTTGAAAACCCAATCTCAGCAAATCCTCAAATTTACTGCCCCCTCTTCTCTTCCTCCAGGTCTTCTTTTTGTCTTTCCCTTTCCTAGACTTCATATCACTGTACACTAGGACAGAGGAACTCTTGTTCCCTTACAGGTGAGAAGCCTTCCTGGGAAGGAACGAGAAGAAGCTAAGGAACACCCTTGTACATGTCACTCAGCAGAGGAGGGCAGAATAGAGTTCAGCATTTAGATCGTCCTGGCTCTGTGACTTTGCACTTAGTGACCTGAAAAAAGTTGCCAGACTTATTTCTAGCCTGCTTCCTCAGCTGTTCAATGGGACAATGTTTCTTATCCTCCCTGCCTTAGACTTGGTCTGAGTATCATTCCTCCCAGGATCCACGTTAAGGTAGGGCTTTGCAGCCTGTGATGTACTGTGCACATTGACTACATTACTGAAAGGCATCTGACACAGCATCGTGGAAGGCACTCAAGTCAGGCATGATGGGGAATGAATGAGCTCCAAGCCAAACGGCGCTCACCTTCTCTCCAGATGGGAATGATTAAGGGGCTTAACTTAGATTGTTCTCAGTTGGAAAAGTGTTTCTTTTCCTGCCTCACATTTGCAATTTTTACATTAACCTTCAAATTAATTTTGCATGTTTCTTAATGTCACTTTTGTCTTTTTCTTTTAAATAATTATGTTGGGTAAAATATCCAATTTATCTACTTAACGAATTCATTCATTCATCCTTCCAGTGAGCATTCACCAATTGCCTGTTTTATGTGTTGCTCTCCATCAATGAAAAACAGAAGAAAAAAAATTAATTCTATATTTAGTTCCAAAGATGAGCTAATAAAATGCAAAACAATTTACTCATCTTTCTACGGTCATTGCTGTCAATGACCTGGCTCGTGATGGATGCTTATTATCATAATAACATTTATCGTGTGCTTCCTCTACACTTGGCACTGGGCTGACTGCTATATATAGATTATCTCATTTAATCCTCACAACAAAGTTATGAAATAGGCATTATGGCTATTGCTTTTCATATCAACCATGATGAAAATTATACTTAGGTTAAATACTGCACCCAAGTTTACATGATTAAGAAATGACAGCCCCAGGATTCAAGCTCAGGTGATCTAACTTTGGAACCTATACATTTAACCACTACAATGTATTATTTCCTGAGAACGCTATTCCAGGTGGCAGGTTCAGTGTAGGCAAAGGCTTGGAGGCAAGACAGAGAGTGGAGTTTCCAGGGAAAGTGGTTGTGATGGTTGGAGGCAAGCGTGGATGGAGCAGAGGCCACATGGGGAAGGCTTTCATATATATACCAGGCTTATGGACTTGGGGGTCATGAGTTACTTTAAGCGTAAACTGACCTAATCCCAGGTGGTTCCACAAAGGGCTTTCTGACAACTCTGTGGAGGAGAGGTTGGAAGTGAGAAAAATCAATTCAATCAGAGCAAGTACAAGGCAGAGCCCAGCTGAGAGGTGTTGAGGCAGATCTTGGAGAGGAGGGGCTGGCTGCAAGAGGTATTTAGAAAAGAATATTGCCAAGAATTGCTACCTAAAAAGACAGGGCTGGGTCATGGGTCACTTTGCATCTTAGAGGCAGAAACAACCTCCCCACAATGTCGCAGGCTCTTGCCATCCTGACTGTGGTCTCCCTGCTAGGCTGAGCATCCTCTTCTGGCTCCGGTAATTGGCTCCCTGGGCAGTCTGTTCCTTTCTCTTCACCAAATGACACTTCTTCTCTTTGGGTCCTGATTGTTAAAACACCCAGTTTGCCCATGTCATTTACATATCCCAATTATCCATTGCCATTTTCCCACTAATGAGCCCATGTGCCTGCGTTTAAGAGCGTCTGACCCAGAGTCCACTTGCTCAAGGGGGCTGAATGCAGCAGGCACAGACGCTATTCATAGTGCCTTCAGACAAAAAGGGCTGGGGCCATTTTTCTTACCTCCCTCTATTAGGGCTGGACTGACTCTCTAGACAGCAGACCTTTATGCCTCATTACCCCACCCCACAGACACCACGATGCTCAGTGTACCTTGGTTACAAGAAGAAAAGCACCATGCCAACTGGAGAAGCACTCTGTGTTCTTCCTGCAATCATAAAGGGCCCATTGTGCCCTGAGGCACAGGTGCAGATCCTATTAAAGCCAAGGCCTTCTTAATCTCCATCTCAGAATTCTTTGCAGAGGGGAAGTTGATGTTTGTGTGCTAAGCCACTGGCCAGGAGATGATGCTGAATAGGGAGAGTTCAGGCTTTTGAGACCGCCTGCCCTGAGTAGGAATCCTGTCCCTGAAAAATGCTAAGCGTTTGACCCTGCACAGGTTTAATAACCAGCCTTAGTCTCACCTGAAAAGTAGGAATAACAATAATCACCTTGAAAATATGTGTCAGGATTAAGGGAGTTCACATCTGTCAAACTTTAGCACGAAGAGGCATTCATTTCATATTCATTGATATAATATGAATGGTACCATATTCATTCTTACTATTTCATCCAAATGAGAAGAGAACTTTCAGGTATGAAGCCCAATGTTGCTCTAGGTTCTGTGACAGTGACCCACGTTTTGTATCACAACCCAGTCCACTTAATAGAATACACATAGAACTAACTGAAATGATATTTTCTATTCTCTATGTTATAAAATGCTGACTGCAAGCTATAATTTTTTGATAGCACTTCCATAACAAAATCCCACAGACCAGGTGGCTGAAACAATAGGACTTTACTTTCTCAGGGCTCTGGAGGCTGGAAGTCTGAGATCAAGGCGCAGGTAGGATTGGTTTCCCCTGAGTCCTCTGTCCTTGGCTTGCAGATGGCCGACTTCATCCTGCTTCCTCACATGGTGTTTCCTCTGTGTGCATGCCCCCTGGTGTCTCCTTGTGTGTCCAAATGTCTTCTTATGAGGACACCAGTCAGATGGGATTAATTCCTGCCCTAATGACCTCATTTTAACTCTGTTGCCTCTGTAAAGCCCCTATCTACAAATATGGTCACATTCTGAGGTCCTGGGTATTAGGGCTTCAATGTATGAATTTTGGGGGGCCACAAAATCAGCCCGTCACATGAACACATTACAGTGACTTCACATTTTTACTGAGGGTCATGAATCTGGCCTATAAAATGTTAATCCAGTTCAATCTTCAGCCAAGCTATTTGGTTTCTGCCTGAATATCTCCATCATTTGGGGGCTCATTGCCTCCCAAGAAATCCCATTGTTGAATAACCAATATACTCACCAATTGCTGAGTGTATGTTCTATGGCCAGACCCAGGCTAAGCATCTTCTTTACCTCATTTAGTTGTCACAACTGCCCATTGAAGTTGGTGTTACACAAATATACATTCAAGAATATGTGTGGCCGGGCACAGTGGCTCACACCTGTAATCCCAGCACTTTGGGAGGCTGAGGCAGGTGGATTGCCTGAACTCAGGAGTTCGAGACCAGCCTGGGCAACACAGTGAAAGCCCGTCTCTACTAAAATACAAAAAATTAGCCAGGCATGGTGGCATGTGCCTGTAATCCCAGCTGAGAGAGGCTGCCTGTAATCCCAGCCTCTTGGGAGGCTGAGGCAGGAGAATCACTTGAACCCAGGAGGCGGAAGTTGCAGTGAGCCGAGATCACACCATTGCACTCCAGTCTGGGCGACAAAGCAAGACCGTCTCCAAAAAAAAAAAAAAAAAAAAAAAAAAAAAAAAAGTGTGTGGATTGCTCAGAGTCAGAGAAGAATATCTGAGCAGAGATTCAAACTCAGATTTTTCTCCAAAGCCCAAAAAATGATGTCTGCATTATTGGAAAGTCCTTCATGTTGAGATGAAAGTTTCCCAAAGTAATGTGAATATCAAAAAGATGATAAAATTCAGATGTTTCATAGGAGGCCTGTGATTCCAGAAAGGTTTGGTGTTTGAAGACCTAGGATTCCATTCCAGCCTTAGCACTTTCTAAGTGGCCTTGAGGAAGCGCTGTCAATTCTCTTCTACTTGGTTTCCTTCTCTGGAAATGGAGAAGGAACAAGTAATATCTACCTCTTGTGCTCATGGTGAGTTTCAAAGCTAACTGTAGAGACCCAAAGGTCTCTATCTCAATCTGTCTCTATCTCAATCTCTGTCTCTGTCTCAGTCTACTGAGGTTATTGCTGCATCCCAGCTGGTTCCTTGGGCTATATTCTCATTGCTGCCTAACCAATTATTAATCTCTCTGAACTTCATTTTCTATTATGATGATTATCCTTGTATTATATATTATCTGCACAATAATGACTTTCTCAGAAGATTATTGAAAGATGAGATAGTTTAATCCATGTGTGACATTGCATTATTTAGAATTGTCTTGACTTTTCTTTTGATGCTCCAAATTGATCAAGAAAAAACAATGAAAAAATACCTTTTCTTCCTCAGAGGAAGAACAGATAAGTCTCTTTGATCTTCAGTTAAGGCTCCCTTTTAAACAGGTTTTAATTTTTAAATTTTCTGAGACCACCCCAAACAGGCTTTATGAATGCAAGTCCCAGCCACAGTTTACAAACCTCCCGTCTGCAGGGACCAGGCAGGAAACTTAAGTCACCACACTTATGTAAAGGGCTATGTGCAGAATCTACCACAAGAGGGAGTAATTCATAAATGGTAACGGCACGTATAATTGCCATCATGAGGAAAAAGGAAGAGGAAGAACAAAAACAATTAAGAGAAAGAGGAAGATGCTCTTAGGCCCTAATTCTGGAGCATCAGTGCTCCCTCAGACTGTTCCCCTTCATCTACACCCCTGTTCTAGGCCAGGATCCCTGTGCTATGATTTTGGACTTCTCATCCTGGTCTCAAACTTTACGGGCGATACTTCAAGTGGTTTTCAACCTAAACTGGAAATCCTCATTCCATAAAGTGTTTTTGCTACAAATAATTTGTGGCAAAAATAAAAATAAAACAATAAATTAAAACAATCCATTAAAATATCACTATCATTTATTTTCTGCATGTGCAAACTACAGCTGTCATCTTTTTCCTCAAGTTCTTTGAGTAAATAAATGCTCAGGATAAATATTCTGTCATTTTCTATTCTCCCAAAACATAGTTTCGAAAACCCAAAGGGCTAGATGTGCCCTATTTAAGAAACATGTATCACCACCAACTTTTAGTAGCCAGCACTCATTAAACACACCAGGTAAGAGTCAAATATCTCCATGAAAACCTTCATGCTATTGGTAGATTATGTCAGAAAACCAAGCATCAACATGAGTTCATTTCCAAATATAACTTTTGGATGGCCAGCCATACTTTCTTTCACTTTTAGAAAAGGGGTAACAGGACCCAACAGGATATCTGTATGTAAAGGTTGTTCCTTTGTGTTTACACAGTGCCTCCGTGCCCAGATGTGGGATTTTTTTTTCTTTTTTGTTCGTATGTTTGTTTTTGCATCTCTTAGCACAACCTGATGTGGTCTGAAAATCAGGAGAATGATTACTCTTCAGCAAATATGCACTCTCCTGCATCCATGGGAGGATTACGCTTCCCGCTGACGTGGCTGGTTCCCATAACTTGCTCTTGCTGGTGGAATACGGACAGAAGCAAACATGTGCCACCTCCAAGCACAGGCATTCAGAGGCATCACCTGCTCATGCTGCTTCTCTGGGAGGCCTGACCTCCACCTGGAGAAGAACATGCCCCAGGGAACTGCTGCCCCCTCCAGCCTGGACCCCAGAATGAGACAGGGGGAACAGAGCTACCTCACTGTCCCACAGACCTGTGAGCAGAATCAGTGCCTATAGTGGAAAGCTATTGAAATTTTCACCATTTTTTTTGTGGGTTTTTTTTTGTGTGTATGTAAGGAAAAATCAGAAATTGGCAAAAGAGATTATTTGGCATTCTTTCAGGGGAGGGCCAAGATTCCTGAATCAATGATCTCTGCGAATCATTGATTCTACAGGAATCTGCACCTTTGACTGTCTTACTATTGAATCTATTTACAACTCTGTGAGGATAAAGGTTAACTTGTAGAAAACTGATAACAATGCCAATGAGTTTTGTCCAGTAAAGATGCAACTGATTCGTGCCATGCAGAAAAGATAACTCCAAATGTTACATGTTATAGCCTTTTGAATGTTAACCTGTTTTGCATCTTTTCGCAAATTTATTTCAGCATTTCTAGTTGTCTATGTATCTTTCTGTTCTACAAAGATCTCCTTTGAATTGGTCTTAGCATACTAATGCTTTGCTCATTACTTGATGAGTTGAATAAAAATCTTTAACATGTATTCATTTTACATACACGAGAGGTATGTTTTTAACTTATAAAATAAATGTTAGCATTTGTTATGAAGCAGAGGCGAACATATGAGGGTTCTAGGCTAGTTTCAGTCATCATTGACTGAGCAGCTTAGAGAAGCCTTCAATGTCCTTATCTGTAAAGTGAGGTTTTGGGACAGAGAGTTTCTTTTTTCAGTTTTAAAGGTCTCATGGAGTAGGGAGGGCGAGTATTATGAACCCATTATACAGATGGAAATGCCGAGAGTTAGAGAGGTTTCAGATTTTCTCAAAGCCCCGGAATACCTCTGCCTCCCACATTAGTTCAACATCGCTGGACTGCACAGCAAATGGACCTCGGGCTGCACAGATGAAAACCTTTCACGAGCTCATGCTCAGGTTCTTGCTTAAGGAAAAGAACAGTGTGTGGAGTCTCACAGACCGAACTTGCCTCTTGGCGTCACGAATTAGTAACTGTTTAACCTTGGGCAAATTGCTGAATATCTCCAAACCTCAGTTTTATGATATATACTATGGGGATAAAAATGTGTACTTTATAATGTGGCCGTAAAATGACAAAGGAAATGTATAGTGGCCAATACGGTACCTGGCGCATAGCGGGAGTGCTATAAATGCCAGCTTGCCTTCCATCTCTTTCAGCAGTGTCAGAAGAATTCCTGCTTCAGAGTCAACCCAGCACAAAGTTTAAGGCTCTACTACTTTCTAGCTGTGACTTTGAGCAGGTTAGAAGGCGCCTGTGCCTTCGTTCTATCCTATGTAAAATGGAGATAGGAGTGCTACCTCTTAGTACCGGTCTGAAAATATCCACAGGGCAATATCCAGGACTGCTGAACACAGGGGCCACAATGGAGGTGCTAAATCCATTGTTTTTAATCATTAATTAATGATTTTTTTAAAGTCAGGCAGAGTTAAGGTCAGAGAGAGGAACAACAAGGATCTTTGTATGAAATTTTGAACAGAAACTGCCTTAAAAGCCAGACTAACATCAACAGCCTATAGAGTTGGGGAGCCCAATTCTCAGCTGAAGGAAGCAGAATTACATGATAAAAGAGCCCTGCTTAATCAAAAATTGTGTGAACCCTAATTTCTAAAAATGTTGATGAGGGGTATTATGTATTTATATGCAATTCTGAAAGACTTATATCCATCTTAATGGCTGGAAATGTCCTTCAAATTTTCCATCTGCCCTGGAATAGGTCTAATGTGATAACAAACAGGAAATTGACTGGGCTGAGGGACATGCAGTTCTGTTTTGTACCATAAAATATATGAGGCTGCTGACATTGCATATTAATTAGCTGATCCTTTCCTTTCCAAATTAAGAGCTCAGTTTTGTATTACTTACACGGATGTAAAACTTAGCTCTGTGGTTTTGGATGCATCGAGAGCTCATTCACTAAATATTTTTGGAGCACTTAGTAGTTTCCAGGATCTTCCAGGCTTGGCAAGGAATGAGGTAAGACATAACTTAAACCATGGAAAATCTCTTACCCTCTAGGAAGATGATGGGGGGAGGATAAGAAAAGAGTAAAAGTGATAGCAGTAAATCATTCCAGAAACATCTAGGCCTTTCCAAAGCATCTAGTATGTTTTATCTTGTAGTCATTGGGAATCTTGTGAGCTTCATGTTTTTCTCTTTGTTTTGGCCAGAAAGCTAAGGGCTGATATTCCCTGCTTTCATATATATATGTCTTAAAACTCTTATTATTCATTCATTCATTTAATAGTTATTGCACAACTACTATATGCCAGGCACTCTACTAGGTGCCAGAAATACAGCAATACACAAAACAGGCAAACAGTATTGCACTTAGAAAGCTTAAAATCAGGGCTGAGCTCAGCAGCCAATACCTGTAATCCTAGCACTTTGGGAGGATGAGAGGGAAAGACCACTTGAGCCCAGGAGTTTGAGGCTGCACTGAGCTATGACTGCGCTGCTGTACTCCACCCTGGGTGACAGAGCAAGACCCCCCAAAAAAAGAGAGAGAGAGGGAGAAAAGAAAGCTTCTGTTTAAGTAAGGAAGATTAACAATAAACACAACAGAGAAGTAAATATAGGGTTAAGATTTTACTTGGGCCAGGCATGGTGGCTCACACCTGTAATCTCAGCACTTTTGGAGGCCGAGGCGAGTGGATCACCTGAGGTCAGGAGTTCAAGACCAGCCTGGCCTACATGGCGAAACCCCGTCTCAACTAAAAATACAAAAATTAGCCAGGTGTGGTGATGCATGCCTGTAATCCCAGCTACTCAGGAGGCTGAGGCAAGAGAATTGCTTGAACCCGGGAGGCGAAGGTTGCAGTGAGTAGCTGAGATTGCACCAGTTCACTCCACCCTGGGTGACAGAGTGAGACTCTGCCAAAAAAAAAAAAAAAAAAGATTTTACTTGATGTTCCAGTTACTTATGGCCATGTAACCAACGCCCCCCAATCTTACTCGTGCAAAGTAAAACATCCTTCTGTCTGTGGGTTAGCAATTCTGACAGGGCACTGGGGAATGATCTGTCTCTGCTGTTTGATGTTTGGGCCTTAGCTGGGAAGATTGCCACTGACTCCAATGGATGGGGCTGGATCAGGAGGGGTGAGAGGATCCACTTCCAACACGACACAGCTTCTTCACTGGGAATGGTTGGATACTGGGCTCAGCTGGGACTGCCAGACAGAAAGCCTACATGATGTAGCCTCTCCAGTATGGTCATGTCAAGATAGTGGGACTTCTTATGTAGAGGGCAAGTGTCCAATGATTTAGGCAGAAGCTGTACAACCTTTGAAGAACTAGCCTCAAAAGTCACCTCCTGTCACTTACAATGCATGCCATTGGTCGAAGGAGTCAAAGCTCACTGAGATTCAGGAAGATGGAAAACAGACTCAATGGAAAAGTTTCAAATTGTTTGTGAGTCGATTTTAAAACTGGCACATGACTTCAGGGTCAATTCCCATTATCGTGGGGAGGGGCTTCATATTTAGAGTCAATCACACCAGGAGTTGAACAGCGGGTCAGGCATGTGCTTTTATTTAGCAAGCATCATTGTGTGTTGATGGTGAGTCTATCACCGCGCCAGGTGCTGGGGGTTCCACATTGAGGTAGACACAGTTTATCCCCTTGAATCAGGAAAGGAAAGTGGCTAAACACCCAATGATAAATGTGCAGTTTGAGAAATACGGTGGTGGTGAATACACAGGGGACAATGGAACCACATGGAAAGAGAAGTTAATTGAGTGAATTTGGGAAAATTATTTAGCATCTCTCTGTGATTAGCGTCCCTATTTGTATAACAAGGCTGATAAGACCTGTCTTATAAGACTGGTTTAAGGATGAGATGAGACAAGTAATCTAAAGCAGCTCCTGATCAATCACTTCTCATCATCCTGTTGAGGTCTGTGCAAGCAACTTCTCACTATCTGAGCTTTTCCTAGTTTGTTTATTTGTTTGTTTGTTTGTTTACTTGCTTATTATCTGAACTCACCAAACTAGAATATAAGATATATAGAGTCTATTATTCAGGCTATAGTATAAAAAATGAACTCGTCTCTGTCTAGAAAGCCCTTCCCTTCAGATATTTTGTGGCCAACTCTTTCACCCTTTACAAAAAAGCACTAAATACGCTGCCTAGTCATTCTTCTTAAAATTGCATCCTAGAACCCCCTCTATAATCGCTGGCTTCCCATTCTGTTCTATTTTTCTTTTTCAAACAGCACTTAAAACCTCTAACATACTCTACATAAGCTTTAGACTTATTTGTTTATCCTCTTGCCCTGCTAGAATGTAAATTGCATTAGGGCAGGGATCTTTGTTTTTTTCACTGATGCATCACAGGTGCCTGTAACCATACCCTTTTCATAATGGAACAAATGAATCCACTGGGAAGGGGTAGGACATTGAGTCAGAAGGGTGGCAGGAGTCCTTTGTAAGCCAGGATAAACAGTTTGGATTTTTTTTTTTCCAAAATAAGATAAACAGTGTAGACTTTTATGAGAAGGTATGACATGAACTAAATGACATTTTTACGTCATTCTGGCTGCTGTAGAGAGAATGGAATAGAAGAAGTCAAGATTGGACAGGACATGAGTTAGGAGAGAGGGTGATGGCTTGGACCAAGGTGATGGTCCTGGAGACAAAGAGAAATTTGCAGCTTTCAGATGTGTTTTTACATGGAAGGAAGAACTGACCAGACATGCTGATGGGCTGAACAAGAGGGTGAGTGAGAAGGAAATCGAGGCTAACTCATAGGTTTTTGGTTTGAGTAACCTGGCATGATATAATGTCATTTACTGATATGAGTCAAGACTAAGGAAGAAGCAGAAAGTCTGCGTGTGTGCGTGTGTGTTGGTGTATGTGTACGTAGTGTGGTGTGTGTGTGTGCAGTGGTGTGTATGTGTATTGTGTGTGTTGTGTGTATTGTGTTTTTTGTTTGTGTAGTTTGGTTGTGTGTTTTTGTGTGTGTAGTATTAGATGTGTGTGCAGTGAGGTGTGTGTGTAGTGTGTATGTGTATAGTGTGGGATGTGTGTGTGTAGCAGTGTGTGTTCATAGTGTGTGTGGTGTGTATGTAGTGTGAGGTGTGTATGCAGTGGTGTGTTGTGTGGTGTGTGTGTGTAGTGTGGGAGTGTGTTTCTAGTGAAGTGTGTGTGTAGTGTGGGGTTTGTGTGCAGTGCACGTGTTTTTGGTATAGTAGTGTGTGTGGCCTGTGTGTAGTGTGGGAAGTGTATGTGCAGTGTGTGTGGGGGTATGGTAGTATGTGTGTGGGGTATGTGTGTGCAGTGGTGTGTATGTGTAGTGTGTGTGTTGTGTGTATTTTTTTGTGTGTAGTTTGGTTGCATGTGTTTTGTGTGTGTGCAGTATCAGATGTGTGTGCAGTGAGGTGTGTGTGTAGTGTGGGAGTGTGTTTATAGTGAACTGTGTGTGTACACTGTGTGTAGTGTGGGATGTATGTGTGCAGTGTGTGTGGAGGTATGGTAGTATGTGTGTGGGGTGTGTGTGTGCAGTGGTGTGTGTGAGTTGGGTGTGTGTGCCTGTAGTATGGGGTGTGTGTGCAGTAGTGTGTGTATGTGTAGTGTCGTGTGTCAATGAGTGTAGTGTGCTGTGTATGTATGTGTGATATGGGCCACCAGGGGTGGGGCAGTTAAGATTTTTTTTCTTGACTTTGTTCATTGTGAGATGAGTATTAGACTGATGAAGTATTCTCCATCTAGAATCCAGCCTAAGGAGACAGTCAGAAGTGCTCACCAAGATTCAGAGGTTCTTCATTGCCTTACCATATTTGTAAGTCACAAACTGGAAGCTACCACAGGGTCCAGCCTTATGAGAGTGGTGCAGTCAATCCCAGATCTTCCATATGACAGGGAGCTGGTCATCCTTCAAAGTGCTGCTTACTAAGATGACAATGAGACTGGAAAATTCTCATTAAATAAACAAATGGCTGGGTAAGTGCTTACTGCATGGTGTATTCATGTTAGTAGAGAAATATCTACAAAATACGCTCGTGGTAAACTCTATAAATCATGAAAATGTAAAACTGCAAGAAATCTCAAGGTCATCGTTTCAAAATGCATGCTATAGTTGAGCAAAAGAAAAAATCAGTGAAGACTAAGAGGCTGAAGAGTTCCTCATTTAAGCTGTGACATTTGATCCTATTAGTGGGAAAAGACCTGAACTGAGAGGACCTGTGTCCTCGCCCCTGGTTTTGTTGCTGTTGCTTTGCTGGGTGACCTTGGAGACACCATTGAACGTCTCTTGGCTCAGCTTTTTCACGGTTAAATGAGACAGTTGGTAATTCCTTGTTTTTCAGAGTTTGCATGGTTTGGATGCCATTGGCTCTTCCTTATAGCAGGGAGTTTTTCAGCTGCAAAGAGCGGTGGAGTTCCTCTCTCCCAGCCCACTCATAATTCGGCTTATGTGCAGAAGGCAGAAGACCTTCCCAAGGGTACACAATGCTTCTGTAAATAGCAGTTTATAGACTTCAGCAGAAGAACCAGAAGCAAACAGAGGAAGTGAAAATGACCACTAGAAGAAAAACTGATGACAGAAAAACAAAATCAATTAGACTTTATCTTTAAAAAAATCAACTATGACTTTAATTGATTTCAAATAAAATATTTCGATCTTTATGAGATACATTAGATCGTTGAAAGTCATGCTTACAGAAAATATTAGTGTCTGTGAAGAAAACACTAAGCTTCTGCAAAAGTTTTGCCTCTCACTTCTAGTCACGTCCCCACTGCTAGTCCATTCTCTGAAAAGTGTACCCAAAGCAATTTTCTTTTCTTTTTTCGTTTTTCTTTCTTTCTTTCTTTTCTTTTCTTTTCTTTTTTTTTTTTTTTTTTTTTTTTGAGATGGAGTCTCGCTTTGTCACCCAGGCTGGAGTGCAGTGGTGCGACCTCAGCTCACTGTAACCTCTGACTCCCAGGTTCAAGCAATTCTCTGCCTCAGCCTCCCGAGTAGCTGGGATTATAGGTGCCCACCACCATGCCCAGCTAATTTTTGTATTTTTAGTAGAGACGGGGTTTCACCATCTTGGCCAGGCTGGTCTTGAACTCCTGACCTTGTGATCCACCCGCCTCAGCCTCCCAAAGTGCTGGGATTACAGGTATGAGCCACCATGCCCGGACCCAAAGCAATTTTCTAAAAATGAAAATGTCATTCTGTCACACACACACACACACACACACACACACACACCCCTGCCACCTGAGACATCTGCACTGTAAATGGCTCAACGGGTACCATTTTCTATGAGATAAAGATTGAGGTCCCCTGACCTGACCCCACCCACCTCTTCCAGTTTCCCTTGCTATTCCCCTCCCTCCCCTCCTGGTCCATGCCTGTTCGCTCTTAAATATGCCCGGCTGTTTCTAAACCTTCTGGTCTTTGACAATCCTCTCCTTTCATCCTTGATCAGCTCTCCTCACCTGGCTCACCAGGAAAACACCTACTCATCTTTCCAGATTCAGCCGATCATCATCTCCTCCATGAAGACCTTTTCTGACCTTTGCTGCTTTTGTCCTTTGTAACTGATTATATAGGGCTCCACACAGGCTGCTATCCTACCCAGTGGAAAATTTCTTTGCATTTACTTCTTTACCTGCTTAGCCCCTGCCCCTTATAGGCTAAAAGCTCCTTGAAAACAAGAAATATGTTATTTCATCTTGGTATCCCCAGTACCTATGATGATGCTGCCATTCATTTATTTGATAAAAATTCCTTAAGTGGCCACTAAGTTCCCTGCATTGCAGCGGGCAGAGTAGACAGCAGAGACTGCGTAGTAGAATAGCAGATACTGCACTTGTTTGTCCAGTTCCCTTTATTCCGTGGTGGTAGATTTTTAAATCTGGGTACATTGACACCCAATTAAAGGTTACATTTGGCACCCCTCTTGCAATTTTGTGGCCATACGAACAAGTTCAAGCTAATGGGATGTGAGTGGAAGTGATGTGTGCACCTTCTAGGTCTTGATCTTAAAGGGGAAGGGAGTCCTTCCTTTTTCCTTTTCTTTTCCCGTTTTCTGCTGGTCTGAATATGCCTGTGACAGTGGGAGCGGGAGCAGCCCTTTTGGATCCTGAGAGAGAAGCTACAAGTTAAGCGTGGCAGAACAAATTAAAAGTAGATTAATTTCCCTTCATCATCAAGCCTTCACACCATCCCTGAACTGTGTCTAAACTTACATGAGATAGAAGAATTAATGGACAGTCGATTCAAACCAATGCATTTGGGGCCTGTTTCTTAAAGCAGCCTGCCCTGTACCTTGCTCATATAAATGGTGTCTCAAGCAGAGATGATCTTTTTACTGATGGAGCTTGTTTAGCATAGACACTGAACACATGGCTAATGAAATGAATGAGTGAGTAAACAGTCCAAGGTCTAACCAGAACCAGCTAGAAAAAATAAATGAGTCATTTGTCACAACAGGCAGATAGCATCGTATCCTATAAGGTTGAAATTATTTGGAGCCTGTGCTTCAGACAGTGGGTTTAGGCATTGCAGCTTCACAACTCTATCTGCCTCGCCCTCTGCAGACAGAGCCACTGTGGTCTTTTAATTCTCCCTCCACGCGTTGTCTTTATTCTGTTTCCTCCTAGCCTCTCCCAAAGCTGTAGCTCTAATTTGGATCCTTGTTACCTATTACCTAACCCGTGGCACTAGTTAGTGAGCTGGCCTCTCCACCCTCCTGTCCTCCCCCAGAGCTGTTGCCATGGCAATCTTCCCCTGGCACAGTGCTGATCAAAACCTTCCAGGGCTCCCCACTGCCTTCAGGTAACAGCCCAACCTCCTTAAATTATCTCCAGGCATTGGCCCACCCCCTTCCCTGCCTTAACTCCCACTCACTGTCCTCACCTACGCGGTTTCCCTTCCCACGACACACTTGCCATTCCCTTTCTAGATGCTTATTTTCAAGCTGATCCCTTTCCCTGGAATAACTTCTTTGTCCAGTTTCACTCCCACCTCTGCCTGTTAAAATCCTACCCTTCTTTCGAAGTCCAACAAAATGCTGCTTCTTTACGATGCTTTTTTATGTTTTAGGGTCAAAAGGAATCTGTCTTCTCTCTGGACATTCCTAGACTTCTTCATTCGCAATATAACATTTATCACACTAGGATTAGGATGAAGTGCAGGCTGAGTAGAGTAGAAGATAATTCAGTACTATTATTAACAATAACCACAATAACAGTCATAATCAACAAGATCTAATCATTCACTGAGTGCTTACTACATGTCATGTCCTATCCTAAGAGCTTTTTTTTCTTTGATGGAGTCTCTGTCACCAGACTGGAGTGCAGTGGTGTGATCTTGGCTCACTGCAACCTCTGCCTCCTGGGTTCAAGTGATTCTCCTGCCTCAGCCTCCTGAGTAGCTGGAACTACAGGCACGCACCACCATACTCAGCTAATTTTTGTATTTGTAGTAGAAACAGGGTTTCACCATGTTGGCCAGGATGGTCTCGATCTCTTGACCTTGTGATCCGCCCACCTCGGCCTCCCGAAGTGCTGCTCCCAGGGCTTTAACTGCATTAAAGCATCCACAGCCCACAGCAATCCTGTAGGTAGCTCCATTTTAGAGCTGAGGAGGTCATAGGCACAGAGAGGTTAAGCAACCTACCCAGGGTCACACTTCTGGGACTTTGAATCTTGACCTGACCGTTTACTAAACATATTAACTTAGGTGAATTATTTCACCTCCTTGAGTCCCTAGTGTCTTCATCTCTGAATGGTTTTGTTGAGACAATGGTATGATATGCTGTATGGGAAGTCTCTAAGCCAGCTCCATGTACATAGCAGGTACTCAACTCATGCTATCTCCTCATCTGCAGGGCTGTATCTTATAGCATGACTTCTCATTTTTCTCTAGGTGGCAGGTGCCTACAAAATGTTTGTTTACGCTGAAAATTATGTTTTGTGTTGGATGACAAAGTTCCAGTCATACTCTGCCCAATATCTCTCAACATAAATAAGGTAGCATAGTGGTTACAGCACAGAGTTCTGGGTGTCCACTAATCATTTCTGTTTTACTACTATGTTAGTAACAAAAATAATACATTTTAACTCAAAAGAGTGATTCATAAGCTTCTCTTGCTGCTAGGTATGACCACAATCCCAGTTCTGGCCGATGGTATGTAGGCAGAGCCAATGGAGGCAAACAGCCTCTCCTTTCCCTTCTTTCCTTCTTGTCACCTGGGATGAGGATGTGAAGGTGAATCTTCAGGGACCATGCAGAGCGGGCAACACGCTGGAGATGGCAGCTGAGTGAGAAGATCAAAGGAGCCTGGTTCGGACAGTTGACATCAAGATTGACACATGAGAAACAAGTAACTTCCGATTTGTTTAAGCCACTGTATTTGAACCTTAGTTATATCCACCAAACTGATACTCCAGCTAGTACTGTTGTGACAGCCTAGGTGAACATAATTGCCCGCTTGCTGGCTGAGTGAACTTGGGAAAGGTACATAATATCCCAGTGCCTCAATCCCCTCATCTTTTTTTTTTTTTTTTTTTTGAAATGGAGCTTTGCTCTTGTCACCCAGGCGCCATCTCGGCTCACTTCAACTTCCACCTCCCGGGTTCAAGCGATTCTCCTGCCTCAGCCTTCAGAGTATCTGGAATTACAGGTGCCCGCCATGATGCCCAGCTTATTTTTGTATCTTTAGTAGAGATGGGGTTTCACCATGTTGGTCAGGCTTGTCTTGAACTCCTGACCTCAGGTGATCCACATGCCTTGGCCTCCCAAAGTGCTTGGATTACAGGTGTGAGCCACTGCGCCTGGCCAATCCCCTCATCTTTAAGATGAGATAGCATGACACCTATGTGGCAGAATTGATGTGAAGATAAATGAGATAATGCATGTAAATTGCTTAGCACAATGTTTGGCACACATTAAGAGCTCAATAAATGTTAGGGATTATTGCTATTACGAGTAAGCTAAAATTGCAGCTTTCCAGAGACCTGCCCCCTTTTCTAGCTGGGGTGCTGATTCTACTCCTGGAATAGCTGGTGCAATGATCTCATCTTCTCATGTTTATAGAATTCATGGCACAAATATGCTTCTCTTCAGTCCCTTCTACCAATGTCATCCTTGCTCTCCCTCCCTTGGCCTTGTGCTGAAGCATGGAATGGCTTATCTCACTACCAGAAGGAAAGCAGAAAGCAAAGTCACACCACTGTCACCATGACACACTTCTGAAATGGCTGGTGGATCTGCAGGATGTATGCTTTGCTCAACAGAGGAGCCGGGGGGAAAACACATTTTTACTGGGCACCTCCCACAGCCTGGAGCTCACATGGGCACTATGCATCTCACATAAGCCTCACTTCTCCCCTCTGTGTGGTCATTGACACAATTGCACAGACACTAAACTGAAGCTGAAAGATATGAAATAATTGGTCCAAGATCACATAGCTGGACAATGAGGGGATGCTCATCTTTAGATGGTAAGCTGGTCTGAATGAAGTCAGAGATCTCCTAACATTCCAAAGGTCATAATTAAGCTTCTAGGGTGAAATCAAGGAATGTTAAGAGATATCTCAAATCTCTTCCGAAGATCCAGATGGCAAGGAGTGTTAAGAGATCTCTAACTTCAATCAGACCAGCTTGCCATCTGGGGATAAGAGAATACCAGTGTGCACAATTGATTTATTTGAGCTTTGGGGAAAGTCTCCTTATGAAAAATATGTCTTTCCTTTGCTACCTGCGTTTTAGCAATGAAGCTCCAGGAGATTCCACTGCTGCTGGGATTCCAAATTCAAAGCACCACAGGGAGACAGGGGCCCATAGGGTCATCCAGTTTTCTCACAAAGCTACTGCCTTTCTAAGCGGCACACTATCTATGCTCCCCAGGCTATATTTTGCTCTTGGGTTATGCTTGAGTTTAAGTAAGACTGTCTCCAAATTTTAGATAAGGATATTTTCTTAAATAAATAAAAAAGAGTGTTGCTACAAATTATGCATCTGTACTTGGGGCCTATGAGGATGGTCCTAGCGCCTCCATGGTTTGCAAGTCCAGGGGAGGGTCTTAGGCCTGCAGCAGGTGACAATAGGAGGGTGCTGGGGCTCAAAGAGTTCATGCAGACAAGCAAGCCACTGGCCTCGTGGCCCTCCATTCCACCTTAGCAGCTTAATTATGATTTCTTTCATATACTGGATTCTTCTTAAGACCACATCTTGGACAGAAACAGGGCTGCTGCTAGTAGAACTAAGAAACAAAAAAAGTGTCAAAACCACTGGCATATTAGAAAAATTCCTGATTGATAGAGGATTTCAAAAATCCTTGGACCTAAGTCCTGCTCTGACACTGTGAGTTCTTGTGCAAATTTCCTTACCTCTCAAAGCCTCCATTTCCCCAGCTGCAAAATGGAAAAACCAAGTATCAATTTGGAGGATTGTTCTGAATATTGAGATAAGAGTTGGTTGTTGTTATTTCACTTTCAGAAATCTGTGAGCTAACCGAAGTTCTCACCCTCTTTCATGGCAGGATGGACTTTGAAGGAAGACAACCACAACAACTCCTAGATTACACAGTAAAGATGCATTTAAGCCAGCATCTCTCAGAATAATTCCCTAATAAAAAAAGTACTTGTTCATAATGTAGACTTCTGAGTTCCATTCAGAATGATGAAGTCAAAACTTCAGAATGAACATTCCAGCTAATTCTTATGCATGTTAAAATGTTAAAATTTTTAACATAGGTGATAATAACTAAGTGGCTAAAATTAAAAAGACTGATACCACCAAATGTTGGCAAGGAAGTAGGGCAACTGAAATTATTATACATATCTGGCAGTTTAAAATGATATAATGACTTTGGAAAACTGTTCAGAAGTATCTACTAAAGTGTAATATATTAATAATTTATTATTAATAATAAATATATTATTTTTATGAACTAGCAATTCCACTCCTAGGTACATACTGAAGAGAAGTGATTGCACATGTCCACAAAAAGACATAGACAAACATGCTCATGGAAGATTTATTCATAACTCCAAACTGCAACTAACCCAAATTCTCATCAACAAGCAAATGGATAAATAAATTGAGGTGTGTTTGTATCATCAAGAAATAATTGCTAGGTTTTAGAAATAGGCCAGAGATCCCTGGATGTCCTCTTATTGTCTGGCAATACTAGGTGCTGTCTAGAGGACTCTCAAGGTTATCTGAGTATAGAGAGTGTATGCTTTTCTTTCTATTGCCTAAACAACTTTAAGTTACAGAAAACTGATAGCAGTGCAAATGTTTCCTGTTCATAGCAATGAAAAGGATTCCTGTCCACAGCAAAGCAAACAGATTCTGTCTGGTAGAGAATATAAATCTCAGTAATTCAAGTACATTCTTATTGAAACCTGTTTTTAGTGTTCTACTGATTCCTTTATTAATGAATCTGTTGAATAAAATCTTTGATACATGGTCAATTTATATTTGCATAAGAGTCAAGTTTTTAACTTAGGAAAATTATGATTTAGATGTATACTTGACAAATACACAGATCTTATGTTGATTAAAAGAAGCTAAACACACACCAAAAATGCATGCTGTAAAATTCTATTTGTATGAAAACCAAAAAAGGGTAAAACTAATGTATGGTTTTGGAGATCCAAACAGTGGTTACCTCTGCTGGGTGGGTGGGTGGGTTTGATGACTGGGAAAGAGCCCCAGGGAAGCTTCTGAAGGGATGAAAATATTCTACATCTTGGACTTGGCACTGGTCATATGGGGCCATACATCTACAAAAAACATTACCAGGCTGTACACTTAAGCTATGTTCACTTTTCTCTATGAAAGTCATACCTTGATTTTTTAAAAAATCAAACTTGAAAGTAAAAATTAATGGATGATACGTAATCCTTTCAGCAATGGTGTTATCCTCTCAGCAAAAGATGGTACTTTATCTTCTTAGTGATGGTGTCACATTGCTGTAACTAAACTTCCCGCAGCACTTTGAAGCCCCAGAGCTGGGTGCAGTAAGAGGTGAGGGAGACTGACGGCCCCTCTAGTCCCTTCCTCACAGGGCTGCTGCTGAAAACAGTCTCCCTGACCCGAGTCTCCGAAGCTGTGGCCAGTAACACACCCTGTCACTCTAACAACCTCATTAAAGTGGCTGAGGGCAGAAATAACCCAGGTCTAGACAGCTGGAAGCAGACAGATGCTCCTCATTTTAAAGCTCAGCAAAATGTATTTTAAAGAAGCACTAAAAAGCTTTATAAGGAAAGTCTGTCAAAAATCATCGCAAGCATCCATCTCTAAAATAGCCCTATCAGCAACATCTTTTATACAAAATCAAATCAAAACGGAATCTTTGCCTAGAAAGGAAATTTCAAGTCTTCCAAGTCCTTCTCATTTGCAGGCATCCATCCTTGACGTCCTCTGAAGCATCCATACAAGGGGTCATTCCGCCTTTACTACTGAAAAGAAAGCTCATTACTTCTCTCTGTTTATAACTAGAAAGTACTGAGGATTTACTTGGCTTCACCTGGTTTCATCCTCACAAGCCAGTAATTATCATTGCCATTTTACAGATGGGCAAACTGAGGTTTAGAGAGATTAACTAACTTGCCCAAGACCACACAGCTGGCGAGGGTTAGAGCCAGGGTTCCAGTTCAGCTCTGACCACATGACTCCTCTGAACAATTCCCCTTCCAAGGCAAGCCAGTGCCACCCTTGGGAAGCTCTGATATTTACAAAATTGTCCTTATAATAAAGACAGTCTGCCTTTTAATACTTTCACCTCTTCAGCATCTACTAAGTTATTATGTAACCCTTGGAACTGCACAGAGCATCTATTTTTTTCTTACATCTGAGAAACTTTCACCTATTTGAAAATATTCCCTATTTCCCCCCAAGTCTTCTCTTTTCCACACAAAATATGGACAACACTTTACTTTCCAGTGACCAACTATCTGGATTTTCAAGGGATGGAGGGAATTCTTAGGATAAGGGACTTCCAGTGCTAAAATGGGGACAGTTGCGCAAACCAGAAGAGTTGATCACCCTACATTTTTTTTTTGCTAATGGTGTTACCTGATGCATAGATTGTTTTTATTTTTTTTACAAGGCCTGTTCTGCATGATGACTATATCATTCAAAACTCTTATTGCAATTGCAGAAACTACCTCAACTGGCTTAAGCAAAAAGGGGAATTTCTGGGTTCATGGAACAAAAACTCCAGGAGTTGCAGGAACAGAAGTGTGCAGAGATGGGTGCCACCTCTTGTCTTTTGTTTTCATTTGCACTACCTTTCCAGTTTGCCTGAGGAAAACCTGTCTCCACCAAACCCTAGGCCCAGTTGACAAGGGCCTCTTTGACATAAACTGTCAACACTGTCATGAGGGCAGCAGTCATTCTCTCATAAACTCATTTATTTCATAGCCAGCTCTCCCACCACACTGTGAGTCCCTGAATATCTGTGTCTCGCTTGTCTTCATTTTCCTTTTTTTTTTTTTATTTTTGAGACAGAGTTTTGTTCTTGTTGCCCAGGCTGGAGTGCAATGGCATGATCTCAACTCACCACAACGTCTGCCTCCCAGGTCTAAGAGATTCTTCTGCTTCAGCCTCCCAAGTAGCTGGGGTTACAGGCATGTGCCACCATGCCCAGCTAATTTTGTATTTTTAGGTGAGACGGGGTTTCTCCATGTTGGTCAGGCTGGTCTTGAACTCCCACCCTCAGGTGATCTGCCCACCTCGGCCTCCCAAAATGCTGGGATTACAGACACGAGCCACTGCACCTGACCTTGTCTTCATTTTCTAAACACCTTTTACCTCACCCTTTACAGAGTAGTTGGCATTTGTTGAACAAGTTAAGACTGTCTTACTTGGGACAGAGACTGTTCATCACCCCCCAATATGCACATCTTCCCTTTTTCTCAGCTACAGAACCTCAATTTTATTCACTGTGGCAATGCACCCAGCTAACAAGCAACACTTCTCAGTTTCCCCTGCAGCTAGATGAAACCATGAGACTAACACTGGGCCAAGGAGATGTAGGTAAAAGGGTTACAGGGAAAGCTGTTTCAAGGAGCCGACCCAGTGGGGAGGAGCACCACTTTGTCTTTTACAGATGCTTTGGCAGCCTGCTCAAAATGGGGACTTGATGCTGAACTTCCACAGACTTCTTCTATTATGATCCATCTTGAGGATGGAAATCATCCACTGATGATGGCAGATCAGATAAGCAGTTGGCTCCCAGAAGAAAGTGTGAAGCTTCCATTATAGTCCAGATTTGCCTCCTCCTGACATCTTTTATGTGTGAGAGAAAGGAGCTACCCTGTTTAAAATAGTGTTATATGGGGTTTTCCTGCTGTAGGTGTTATGTACAGTCGATTTACTTTTAATTTATGATCAATTGTCTGTTTGAATAAAGAAATGTGTGTAGGTATAACTGACTAATTGGTGAAAATTAGATAAACCTTCCTGTTAACTAGCTTTAAAAATGAAGCTTCCAAATCCCAGCACTTTGGGAGGCTGAGGCGGGCAGACCACGAGGTCAGGAGATTGAGACCATCCTGGCTAACATGGTGAAATCCCATCTCTACTAAAAATACAAAAAATAAATAAATTAGACGGGTGTGGTGGCAGGTGCCTGCAGTCCCAGCTACTTGGGAGGCTGAGGCAGGAGAATGGCGTGAACCTGGGAAGCAGAGCTTGCAGTAAGCCAAGATCATGCCACTACACTTCAGCCTGGGTGGCAGAGCGAGACTCCATCTCAAACAAAAAAAAAAAAAAATGAAACTTCCTAGTTCGCCTCCTATAACTACAACTCTTTCAGTTTCCTATTTTAAAAATTGAGTCATAAAGAATTAACATATCTTTACAATTAAGCCAAAACAAAATATAAGTGGGTGTTCATAATGTATCCTCTCACTTAAAAGTGCTGGAAAACTTTGTTGGCAAGAAATGGGTGACCAGTGAACCAGGGAAGGTTAATGACAGACCTGACTCATCATGACACAAGGAAAATCTTCAGTTCCTTTAGTACAAAGTCTCTTTATTTCCAAAGCAAGTCTTGCACTTCCTGGTTTGGGCTGAGGTAAAAACTGACTGTATTAGTAAGGGTTCTCTAGAGAGACAGAATAGGATAGATGTATATATAAAGGGGAGTTTATTAAGGAGTATTGACTCACACGATCACAAGGTAAGGTCCCACAATAGGCTGACCTCAAGCTGAGGAGCAACGAAGCCAATCCGAGTCCAAAAACCTCAAAAGTAGGGAAGCCAGCAGTGCAGCCTTCAGTCTGTGGTAGAAGGCCAAGAATCCCAAAGTGGAAGAACTTGGAGTCCGATGTTCATGGGCAGGAAGCATCCAGCCTGGAAGAAAGGTGTAGGCCAGAAGAACAAGCCAGTCTCGTCTTTCCGTGTTAGTCGGCCTGCATTTATTCTGGCCGCACTGGCAGCTGATTAGATGGTGCCCACCCAGATTGAGGGTGGGTCTGCCTTTCCCAGTCCACTGACTCAAATGTAAATCTACTTTGGGAACAACCTCACAGACACCCCAGGAACAATAGTTTGCATCCTTCAATCCAATCAAGTTGACACTCAACATTAAGCATCACACTGACCCTGCTTATTAGCCGGAAGGTAATGAAGGAGGCTGACTTTGAGAACAACTCACATCTTGAGAGGCACCCTTGCAAGAGCTTCAAGTAAGGTCTTCTTTATATTAATACTATGTCCTTATAAGAGGAGACTGTTTCTCTTTTAAGGGAAAAGAGGCTTCTTTGTCAGTCAGAGGGTTTTAGGAGAATTTGAGATTTTAAGATTCTCAAGCTCATCTATCCAAATATCCCTATCCTAGGTCTCATAGTCTTACTCTTTACCTATCATGGCCCAGACTTTAATATAAGAGACCTGTCAAGATTATATATAGTTTCCTTTGAAACTATGTCTTTTTAAACAATCAGATCCTGGGCTTTGTTTTCAGCAAAGTCTGCCCTGTGACAGCAGGAGATGAAATTATCCTTTAAAACTGCCAGGGAGACTTAGTCCATTTATGTTGCTAAAAAGAAATACTTAAGGCTAGGTCATTTATACAGAAAAGAGGCTTATTTGGCTCATGGTTCTGCAGGCTGTACAAGAGGCATAGTGTCAGCATCTGCATAGCTTCTGGTGAAGGCTTCATACTGCTTCTACTCATGGTGGAAGGGGAAGGGGAGCCACCATACAGAGATCACATGATAACAAAGAGGAAAGAGAGAGGATGAGGTGCCAGTCTTCACCAGTTCGTGCAAGAACTAAGAGTCAGTGAGAACACACTCACTCCTGGGAGAATGGCACCAAGTCATTCATGAGGGATACATCCCCATGATTCAAACACCTCCCAACAGGCCCCACCTCCAACATTGGGTGCCAAATTTCAACATGAGATTTGGAGGGTCAAATAGCCAAACTATCAGAGACCAATCTGACTTTCATAGAAACTTTAAGTTGGCAATTTTGATCTTTTTTTTTTTTTTCATTTTTAAAGCCTTAAGTGCCATCAAAAGTGGTCACTCCATACCACACTCTTCATAATTATCATTACTCACAAACTGGTTGTATTAGTCCATTTTTATGCTGCTGATAAAGACATACCTGAGACTGGGTAATTTGTATAGAAAAAGAGGTTTACTGGACTCACAGTACCACGTGGCTAGGGAGGCCTCACAGTCATGGTGGAAGGCAAAAGACACATCTTACATGGCAGCAGGCAAGAGAGAATGAGAACCAAGTAAAAGGGGAAACCCTTCATAAAATCATCAGATTTCATGAGACTTATTCACTACCATGAGAACACTATGGGGCAAACCACCCCCAAGATTCAATTATCTCCCACTGGGTCCCTCTCACAACATGTGGGAATTATGGAAGCTACAATCCAAGATGAGATTTGGGTGGGGACACAGTCAAACCATATCATTCCACCCTCATTCCCTCCAAAATCTCATGTCCTCACATTTCAAAACCAATCATGTCTTTCCAACATTCCCTGAAAGTCTTAACTAATTTCAGCATTAACTCAAAAGTCCATAGTCCAAAGTCTCATCTAAGACAAGGTAAGTCCTTTCCACCTATGAGCCTGTAAAATGAAAAGTGAATTGGTTACTTCCTAGATACAATAGGGGTACAGGCATTGGGTAAATACACTCATTCCAAAGGGGAGAAATTGGCCAAAAATGAAAGGACTACAGGCCCTATGCAAGTTCGAAATCTAGCAGGGCAGTACAATCTTAAAGCTCCGAAATGATCTCCTTTGACTCCATGTCTCACATCCAGGTCATGCTGATGCAAGAGGTGGGTTCCCATGGTCTTGGGCAGCTCCACCCCTGTGGCATTGCAGGGTATAGCCTCCCTCTTGGCTGCTTCCACAGACTGGCATTGAGTGTCTGTGGCTTTTCTAGGTGCAAGGCACAAGCTGTTGGTGGATTTATCATTCTGGGGTCTGGAGGACTGTGGCCCTCTTCTCACAGATCCACATTTTCCCCATTGTCTTGGTGACTAACATTTGGCTCTTCCTTACTTATGCAAATTTCTGCAGCTGGCTTAAATTTCCCTCAGAAAATGGGTTTTTCTTTTCTATTGCATCATAATGCTGCAAATTTTCCTAACTTTTATGCTCTGTTTCCCTTTTGAAACTGAATACTTTCAATAGCACCCAAGTCACCTCTTGAATGCTTTGCTGCTTAGAAATTTCTTCTGCCAGATACTCCAAATCATCTCCCTCAAGTTCAAAGTTCCACAGATCTCTAGGGTAGGGGCAAAATGCCTCCAGTCTCTTTGCTAAAACATAGCAAGAGTCACCTTTACTCCAGTTCTCAACAAGTTCCTCATCTCCATCTGAGACCACCTCAGCCTGGATTTCATTGTCCATGTCATTATCGGCATTTTGATCAAAGCCATTCAACAAGTTTCTGGGAAGTTCCAAACTTTCCCACATCTTCCTGTCTTCTGAACCCTCTGAACTGTTCCAATCTCTACGTGTTACCCAGTTCCAAAGTCACTTCCACATTTTTGGGTATGTGTATAGCAGCACCCCACTCTACTGGTACCAATTTACTGTATTAGTCTGTTCTCACGCTGCTAATAAAGATGGACCAAAGACTGAGTAATTTATAAAGAAAAGAGATTTAATGGACTTACAGTTCCACATGACTAGGGAGGTCTCACAGTTATGGCAGAAGATGAAAGAAGAGCAAAGGGATGTCTTACATGGCAGCAGGCAAGAGTGAATGAGAGCCAAGGGAAAGGGGAACTCCCTTATAAAATCATCAGATCTCGTGAGACTTATTCACTACCATGAGAATAGTATGGGAGAAACCACCTCCATACTCCCACCAGGTCCATCCCACAATACACAGGAGTTATGGAAGTTACAATTCAAGATGAGATTTGGGGAAGGATGCAGCCAAACTATATCACTGGTCAAATGCAGCTACCATTTGATCTCTCAAGTTTTGCATTCCACTGGCACTTCATTCCAATTAAATGTAAGTGAAACTTTAGAAATGGTGATTACGGTGAAAGGTTATTACTGCACTTACCATAAGCAATAGAGTTTGTCTTGCCTCCAGACTCATGGGAAATTTACCTCCAATACTTTATCTGGAAGGTCTGTTTTCTTATATCACTTCTTAAACCAATTATTGTAGCATGGGTTCCCTTAAAAGTAAAGACTGAGGCCAAGCTTAATTAAATGCGTGTAATTTGAGGAGAGCAAGAGAGAGGCAGGAGAGAAAAGAAAGTAAATGCAAGCTGACTTTAGCTTCTCAAGAAAATACAGTTGGTGACTTGGTCATGAGCGATTTCCCTGGGGAGGTTGTATGGAATTACTGCATCAAGCAGGAGAAGAACAAGTGATATATATATATTTGCAGACTTCTTCTCATCTTATCTCTTACTTCTTCTCATCTCATGTTTCTGGTTAAAATTCATCCCATAGGGGCATTAACACATTAACACACTTAAGCATTTAGTTTTTATTGACTTCCACAGGCATCCACCAGGGAAGCCATAATCAGGATGGGTCTGGTTGGCTTGGGCCAGGGTGGTGGAGCAGCTTTAGTTTCCTCTAGGATAGGCCTGGTTAAAACTAAGTTGATAGAAGGCAGTGTTATGACATGAGACTGTGGCCGCAGGAGATTTGCAACCAAGGATGCCATGAGCAAGGAGCCTCCTGGAGAGACCCAGAGGGCCTCAAGTGTTGCATAAACAGGGCCAGTATACCTGTGTGCTAGCTGTTCTCCATTTGCCCCTTCCACATTTATGCATTTTCTTTTTTTACTCTCGTCTGTACCTTTAGAGGCTGGCCCTAAGGACTGCTTTACCCTACGTGCTTTTCCCTGTCTCTTCTGGTTGGATTCAGCCAATGGGAGACACTAGGAAGAGATCAGAAAATAGAGTAAAGAGTGGTCAAGAATTGTTTCTCCCACTCCCTCCCTGACTGGTGCTGTGATTCTAGCAGTGGTTGCATCCTTCCGTGACTAAGTCCCTGTTGGAAATCACTTCCCCCATGATTCCACTAACACTGGTTCCTCTCCATGCCCTTACAGGTGAAGGGTTACCACCAGGCTTACTGTCAATGGTACTGGGTTCTTCGACATCTTTCAATGGTACCCTTCACCCAGAGCTGGCCTCTGTAAATGGACTCTTCCTTAAATTTTCTTCAAAATCCTAGCTGATTACTTTCTAGTTTCAACTGGGACACTAAGCCTACCTCTGTTTATTTCATTCTGTTGTTTTATGAATTCTTGTTTGGCTTTTTCATTTTAAAATAATATTCCTGTTTAGGTATCCTAGCAATTATGACACATTTCCTTCTCCTCTATGTCTAATGCTTTCTTATAGGTTGGGATCTTTGTCTTACTTCTGCATGCTGTGTTCATTTTTCCAGTGTATTTATTTCTTCTGTACTATATTTGCTTAGTCATTGCACCATTTATTTCCATCTGTCTCCTGCCTGAACAGTTCTGTACAGATGTTCTATTTGCTCTGATACTTTGGGGCTGATTTATTGATCCTTCTCTCACTGTATATGACTCCAGTTAACCTTCCCTTTCAGGTACAGTATGAGTGAGGAAAGGATGTTAGGTCATCTTCCATTTTTCAAAACTGGAGAGAATAGCTGAGATGCACATGTATGCACATATGCATATACACACCTCTACACACCCACCCATACACATAAACACACAAACTGTGGAAAGATTCACTGAGTTGCTAGCTCGTTTTTACTAATATATCTGAAGTTTTCTCTCTCTCTGATATTTTGTGGCTTGCTCCGCCTGGTTAGGGCACATATTCTAAGCCTTTAAAGAGGTGCTCTTGGGCTTTGACAGTTTTCTCCAAGTCACTGATGTAGAAGCACTTGCAAAGTCATCAACTCCATGTTTTGACAAGAACTCCTCCAGCTATTCTTACTAGTTGGCTGGGTTGTTAGTTTCCTCTTGCTGCTGTAACAAATTACTACACATTTAGTTGCTTAAAACAACACAAATTTATTATCTCACAGTTCTGGAAGTCAGAAGTCCAAAACTACAGGGCTGCATTTCTTCTGGAGGCTGTAGGGGAGTGCACTAGGCTGAGCAGCATTCCCCAACCTGGGAAAAAATGCATGTCCATCCAGAACCAAAATATATGGCCTTATACGGGAAAAAGTTCTCTGCAGATATAATCAATTAAATTAAGATGAGGTCATATTGAGTCATATTGGGTTGGAGTGGGACCTAAATCCAATGACTGATGTCCTTATAAACGGAGAACAGACACAGAGACACAGACAGAGAAGACAGTTATGAGAAGATGGAGGTAGAAACTGGACTGATGCAGCTGCAAGCCCAGGAATGCCAGGGATTTCCACCAAGCACCAGAAGCTAGGAAGAGGCAAGGAAGAACCCTTCTTCAGACTCTTTGAAGGGAGTACTACCCTAATGACATCCTTGATTTTGGGCTTCCAGGCTCCCATATTGGAAGAGAATAAATTACTGTGTTAAACCACTTTGTTGTTGTTGTTGTTGTTGTTGTTTTTGTTTCTGAGATGGAGTCTCACTCTGTCACCCAGGCTGGAGTGCAGTGGTGTGGTCTTGGTTCACTGCAACCTTTGCCTCCTGGGTTCAGGCAGTTCTCCCACCTCAGCCTCCCGAGTAGCTGGGACTACAGGTGCCCACCATCACATGTGGTTAATTTTTATATTTTTAGTAGGACGGGGTCTCACCATGTTGGCCAGGCTGGTCTCGAACTCTTGACCTGCCTTGACCTCCCAAAGTGCTGGAATTACAGGCATGAGCCACCGCACCCGGTGCACTTTGTGATACTTTATTATGAAAGTCATAAGAAACAAATAAGGTGAAAATCAGTTTCTTTGCCTTTTTCAGCTCTTAGAGGCTATCCCCCTTACTTGGCTTGTTGGCCCCACATCACTCCAATCTCTCTTTCCTTTGTGACATCTTCTCTCTGACTCTGACCCACCTGGCATCCTCTTATAAGGACCTGGTGATTACATTGGGTCCATCTAGGCAATCCAGAATAATATCCTTATCTCAAGATTATTGACCTAATCAAATCTTCAAGGTCTTTCTGTCATATAATCTAATATATTCACAGTCTTCTGGGATCTGGACATGAACATCTTTTGAGCACTGGATTGGATGGAAATTGTTCTTTTTACCAAAGCTGGGCTGGCTCCTTAAAGTGTGAGATATCCCAATGGTCTATAATACACTAGATAACAAGAACTAAAACATAAATTAAATATTTAAATAAATATTAAATAGAGAAGAACAGCTAGAGGGAAGGAACCTGGTCTCTTGATGACATCTTTGAGTTGTACCTACTGCTGGACTTTTCGCATAAGTCACTATGGTAGGATTAGCTATTGCTCACGGCTTAACACCTTAACACAATCCTAACAGAAACAGTAGGACTGTCTGTATTCCTTCCAAATTCCCCCCTTTCAAGCTTCAAGGAGGTGCCCTCTTGCCTACCAAGCAGGGACTAGCTTACTGAGTGAGCAAATCCATATTTTGTTCTATAATCATAACCATGTTCAAGATATTTAAAATGTTGCTCATTCCTCGGCTTCGTTTTTTTCCTTGCTTTAATTATCAGGAGGAAGATTGAGTGCTTATATAGTCAAGGAGAAAGTAGGACTGAAACTGAGCGCTTGCTTTTTTTCACATAGAATATATGATAAATTCATCAGCAGAGAGTCAGTTTGGGGAAATTTTTATTTAATAATTGTCTAATCTTGAATATGCCTACATTATCTCACTAACCTTCCAGGCGGCCAGCATGGGAGGTTTGATAATCTTCGTGTACAGGCAAACGAGTGGATGCCCTGAGGTTCCCAGCTTCTTAAAGGCTACGGAGAAAGTGTGTTACAGACCTGGGATTCAGACCTAGTAGAGAAATCCGGAGCCTGCAGACAGAAAGAAAGGGTCTTCTGGGAAGGGGAAGGGACTCACGTTTTTTGAGTTTCCGTTGTGTGTGGTCACTGTGGTCAGCGTTTCTTATTAGTGGTCTCGTATTTATAGCAGCCCCGGTGGATCAGTATTATTGGCCCAGCTTCAGAAGCAAGAAACGAGCCTGGAGATACCAGGTATACTGCCCAAAGTTGAAAAGATGGTGGTAAACGACAGAACCGGATTTGAGCCAAGCTTGATTTCAAAGTTGTGTTCTCACCCATTAGGCAAAGGTGCCAGGCTTGGGTTCAGGATGAGACCCCTACCTGCCTTGAGGAAAGAGGACAATTTCTTCAGTATCAGAGTTATTTTTCTCTCAGGAGAGCTAGGAACACTTAATTCGATACTAGAAGCAGTACTAGGATACCCTCCATCCCTAGATAGCTGCAGCGGAGACCTACCCATTACTCCAGGGGCAGTGTCAGGAGCCCATGGCCTGTTTGGGCTTCACACTTCATGGTGAAGAAGGGACTGCACACCAAGCCAGAAGTGTGCCCCGTTTCAGACAAGATTAATTCAACCTGCCTCAAGGCTTGGATGTGCAGATGGAGTCTGCATTTGGGAACAAGATCACTATTCCACCAAGGATTTGGAGAGGTGACTCAGCAGCAGACTGCTGGGGAAGGCAAAGTCAAGGCAGTCAACCCTGCCTCTGAGGCTGGAGTGCTGTGTGAACTCAGACAATTTCCTTCCCCTCCCTGGACCTCAGCACCTTTTAATTTACCTATCAATCCCTGAGTTGCTTCAGCTCTGACAATCTAGGACTTGCAGGAATAACACATCTGGTCATGAGGAATAAATCAGTGTAAAGGGAAATTCAGTTATTCAGCAATAGTGAAGAAGAGCCTACAGTGTTTATGGCTGTGGGGAGAGTTCTGCTCCAGCTAGTGTAATATGGGTCTCAACTTTGAGCAGCTCTGGATTTTACAGAGATTATACTCTGATGATTTATGAGTAAAGTCCTCCTTGCAGAGTAGCTCTGGTTGCCTAGAGTGTGAATTACAAAAGACAGGGAATCCAAGTGCTTTTAGAAAGGGTGTGCCCTCCTGATGTGTCACAGGCCTGCTTTCTCCTTTGTCTTGGCTCCCAGTGACAACACGTTTGAGTTTGTATCTCCAAATTAGACTCTTGATTTGTCTTGCAGAACGCTAGTCCTGCCTCCATTTCTTCCTATCCCTCCCTGGCCACTGCAAGCCGAGGGGGAAGCTGTAATTTGTGAGCTGCCCTTTCATTGCAGTGTGAGTAACAAAAATGCCTTAATCCTCCCTCATCCTGCAGGGCTGTGCCCAGCAGCCAGGCCCCCAGAGGACATGAAGGCCAACGTGAACGGGATTCTCTCCCATGCATTATTCACACCAGTGCTTCCCTTTCTATTTTTAATGTTCAGCATGTAGCGGTTCCCTCTGCCAGCTATTTTTAGCATTGTTGCTGCCAGCTGACAGCAGAGACAAAGGCACCGAGGCACCTTGAGAATGACAAATGGCGATTTCAATGATGAAAATAGAAAGGCTAATTTTCTTCCAGGAAAGAAAAGGAAGAAAACGTCTGTAGTTGCAAAGTTGCTTGGGCTTGAATTGAATTTTTAATTTGGAACATATACACTGCCACGCACATAAAGGATTTCCTTTCACACACACACACACACACACACACACACACACACTCACATGCTCATCATTCTCCCAGATCAAATACACTCTTTTTTTGTGAAGCTTTATCTGATGCTTCTCTCTGCTCCTAATAAGCCCTCCTCTCTCTAGATATAGCATCTCCATTATTGTGATCCTCACCTGGTATTGTAAATGTTTGCTTCTCTGCAGGCCGTGAGCTCCTCTCACTCAAGGACTTATTGTTAAATCTCCATTGTCTAGTATTAGGAAAAACAAGCAGCCCCTGCCATCTAGAAGCCAACCGGGCACTCACAGTTAGGCATGTCATTCCCTGTTGGACATAAACAATCTCATTGAATACCAGAATCAGACAAGGTTACTCTGAGACCATGAGAAAGTGAGACAAAACAAGAACACTTCATAATTTTGTCTGAGCACAGACAAAAACAAGGTAGCTCTGCCAACCACAAAATATCATGTCTTCTCTCTTGCCTAAAATGAATGACTGCTACTTCTTAATCAATCCATCAATCAATCACATCTTTATTCTTTCCAGTCCGCCCTTCCTATAGACAAGGTTTATTGAGATGTTCAATAATATAATTACCCCACTTTCTGAGAGCAGCCAACCTAGAGAAAATCTCTGCTTCTTTAGACCCACCCCCAAGTCTCCAACAAATATCCGAATCCCATAATAGGTTGTTTCTAGCACCCTGTTACTGAGTGGTCTGGAAGCTTTCATGGAACTACAAAAAGGGGAAGCTACAAAAACGTCAGAGGAAGAGTGGAAGGAAGGAAATAAAAATGTCCAGGGTAGTATCTTCCCTTTGATCTTCCACTCATAGCTAAGGGAGCTATGTACTAGCCACACCTGCGTAGGTGTAATTTTATATAAATGGGATTATATTAGTGAAAACATGAATAAGAACATTTTGAGATTTCATAAGGAGGTCCTCAATAATAAATTTCTTTTAGACCTGGTGATTTTTATGTTATTGCTTTTTCCATTATGTTCACATAATAGTTCAGAGATTTACTTGAACCTGCCTTACGCCACCTTTTGCCACTAGGTTAACAAATTCTTCATTACAATAATCTCATATCGGCCTGCAATTTCTAGGGCCCAGTCAGCTTTGGGGTTGTCATATTTCTGCTTCTTAATGGTTACCTTGGGCTCCTGGCTTCTGTTCCTTCATTCCCGTGATAGCAATTGTCTGGTACTTCCAAAGATGGATCCACAGCAAAATCCTCTGTTGTACAACCCCTAGTGCTTTTATGCTCTCATTTTTCTCTCACAGAAGCCCCTTCTGTGTCCACTATATTCTGGTCCTAAATGGGGGTGGAAAGCATGAGAGCCACCTTATGAGGGGCTGACATGTGAAAGATGATTATAATTGCCTTCAGTGGGCCCATAAGATGAAAACCTAGAGATTCCAGAGAGACACAGTCCAGCTATATATAGGGAGAAATTTCAATATTAGGAAAAATAACTCAAAGATATAATGGGCTGCTGTATGAACTAGTGAGCTGCCCAACATGGGTAGTATACAAGCAGAAATCAGAACTGGCAGAAATGTTTTAGAACACCAACATGGGGTGTGTGAGTCTGGAGGTGGAGTGTCAACAGAAAGGAAGTGTTGTTAGAGTAATTGCAGAGTCTCTGAATCCATGGACTTCATCCTCCTCCACCTTTCTTACAAATACATATTGTTAAATGTACTATAAATGCTGTTGTGATTCATAAGATAAAATTTCACTTAAAACGATTACTGAGTTTGTAGTAGCATAATGTCTCAATCAATGAATACTAAAAATCAAACTAATGTTATGCAGGAGTTTGTGAAATTTTCTGACCCTGAAAGGTGACTTCTCATTCTTAAAATATTCTCATTCACACAAGGTGGGAGAAATCAGATGACATTTACATTCTTCCCTGCTGTGGTTTGAATGTTTATGTCCTGCCTCAAATTTGTATGTTGAAAACTCACCCCTAAGGTGATAATGCTAAGAGGCAGGGCCTTTGGGAGGTGATAAGATGGTGAGTGTGGAGTCCTCAAGAATAGGATTAGTGCCCTTATAAAAGAGGCCCCAGACACAGTGGCTCATGCCTATAATCCCAGCACTTTGGGAGGCCGAGGCAGGTGGATCATGAGGTCAGGAGATTGAGACCACCCTGGCTAACACGGTGAAACCCCGTTTCTACTAAAAATACAAAAATTAGCCGGGCATGGTGGCGGGCGCCTGTAGCCCCAGCTACTCTGGAGGCTGAGACAGGAGAATGGCATGAACCCAGGAGGTGGAGCTTGCAGAGAGCCGAGTTTGCGCCACTGCACTCCAGCCTGGGCAACAGAGTGAGACTCCAGCTCAAAAAAAAAAAAGAGGCCCCAGAGAGATGCCTTGCCCTTCTGCCAAGTTTGGATACAGTGAGGAGACATCATTTATGAACCAGAAAACAGGCAGTCAGCAGACACAAAATGTACCAGTGCCTGGATTTTGGACTTTCCACCCTCCAGAGCTGTGAGAAATATATGTCTATTGTTTATAAGCCACCCAGTATACAGTATTTTGTTAGAAGCTCATACAGGCTAAGATACTTGTAGACCGGTTCTTGGATTCTAAGCATTCACCTTTAATATAACATTATTTCACAAAACAAAGAAGAGACATAAGCTATTAGCAACAATAAGATTTGTGCGTGTGATTTAGTTTGTCACTAAGAGATGCATTATTTAACAAATATATAAGGGTCGTGCCCATTAAGAAAGAGGAAATTGTATTTAGTAATTCAATTGTCCATGTATCTGTCACTGACATTTATTTAAGACTTTTTTCTTAAAAATCCATTTGCATAGGCCACTCAAGTGTCACATGGCCCTGAACTTTAGATGTCAACTAAGGTGAAGCATGCATCATGTCAGGCAGTCTTCAGGAAGAGAAAATAAAACGCTTATGGAGACAGGTGGTTGGTCATTCTTCAACTCTACTCAGGAGCTGAATGAAACAGGGAGCAGTTCAATCCTGCATCAGAAGCTATTCAAATTGGCCCCTAAGTAGGCCTTTCTGAAAGCAAGTGTTGTCAAATTTTACAGCTCTCGCTGGATAGGCTGAAGTCCCTTCCAAAATATGGGCATTGGCATTCATCCTCATTTTTGAGCAACTTGTTTTAGAGAATATGTTTACCTTCTTACCTAGGAGGTCAAGTGGCATCTAGAGAGAGAAGGATAAGCTCAATGAAGCCAATTTTTAAAGAGTATATTTAAGGAAGAAATGATATAACTTGCATCTTAAGGTGGTGGAAGTATCCTTGGGTCACAAGACAGGTGATCTGTGTTCTGGTTCAGTTAATCTACATCAGAGTTTGAGTTCTGGCCTCAGTTTACCATGAGACTGAACCATATCACCTTTGGTGAGATATGGCGAGGCCAGATGCAAACCCGAAGAGAAAAATGGAAAAGAGTTTCACAGTTTTGTTATACTCACAGCTCCTTGGGGAAGACACAGGATGCCACACAGGGCCACTGGAGAAGTCAGTGTTGGGCATGAGGCAGAGGGAGAAAGGGAAATGTGGGGAAGCACCTTTATTTGGTTTCTGGGGGAAGGAAATGGGTGAGGTAGGGTAAGCCAGTTTAGAATTGGAAAATTTGAATAATTTCAGCAGGGTTAAGGCCATCAGGGTTTTCCCTGGTTGTCTGGTACCTAGCCCCAGGGTGATTAGTGTGGGTGTATAGTGGTTGCACTGTGAGAGGCTGATGAGGGAGATGACTGGGGGAGTCAGCTTAATTAGCTACTTAGGAAGGGGAACTGACAGGCTCTTAGCCATGGTCTCAAAACTGAGTCAGACAGCACTTAAACGATATTACATGGACCTTGACCCTTTCTGGCTTCAGTTTCCTCATTTTTTCACATAGGAAGAAGGAACAGAAGGTCTTTAAATTTTCTTCAACTCTGAAGTTATTCACTTTGGTAAAAGTGCCTTCTGAAATTATTTGTAACATCTCCCAGAGACCCATTGCTTTCCAGCTAGAATATGCTGAAATTCTAGTTTAATGTTAACAATGATTTTCAAGATATTGCCAGCATTGTCTTGGATGCAAAACATACCATAAAATGAATATGCAATGCAAATTTAATTTTTAATGCAGTATTTGAAGCCCTGGTAGACAAATCATCCACCTCAGCATTGTTCTCACATAAAGTACAGATTGCAGTTCCAAAAGCCATGCCCTGGACTTGCCTTTATTCTCCTAACTTTATCTCCAAGGATTCTCTCTCCCTGTGTAATCTTCTTGGGGATCATGAATCTCATTTTCTATTCATTCATTCATTCGTTCAATTATTCAACCATTCAACACACATTTACTGACTCAAATTTCTAATTATCAGGTATTGTGTAATCATTGAAGATGCAGAACTAAATAAGGCATTGCCCACCTCCTCAAGGATTTCAATGTCTAGGTCAGGGAGCTATTCATCTCAGCAGACATGTTAGGGAAAGTGAAAGAGGAGTGAAACTCAATGTGACAATGTCACAGTTTTCAATCTGGTCTAAAAAAAATGACCACACAAATTTCTCTGTAAATAGAGAAAAATGGGGAAAATGGCTCAGCCTTTTCTAAAAAAATAAAATAAAATAAAGTGAAGGCAGTGACATGTGACTTCCTCTTTGTGGGTCTTCTTTTCTTTATTGCTTCAGTGTCTCTTTACAAAACCCCATGGGCAAATTTTATTTAGATGTGCTTTTCCTGAGGGTAATCTATTCTCTGAAGTTTCCCTCATTTCCTCCAGCCACCCAATATTTTACCAAACCCATATTTAATCAGCAAAGTCATGTTGTGTGAACAGCAACTTAATTAAACTAGAATTTAAGACTTAAATCATTATGCTTGTCTTCATCATCTGATCATTTATTTTAAAAGTTTTGTAAATGTATTTTTTAAATTATGAAGTGTGTGTGTGTGTGTGTGCATACACTCACTGCAACAAATGAAACAATAGATTACAAAGATTTATAAAGGCAAAGATAATCATCTTCCGTGTTTCTCATTTTAATCCTATCTCCCTGAAGTAACCAATGTTATTAGCACATCTTTATCATAATTCACACAAGTGTATAAAAGCATATATAATCAGGTTTTGTCTTTATTTTTTAGCAAATTAGAATCATATACCCATTACTCTGCAACTTCCTTTTTTTCACTTTAAAATATATCCTGAGAATCTCTATAAATCCACTGAAGATACCTATCTGCTTATTTTCTTCATGCATATGCACATAAAACACACACACCAACAGCAACAAATACGCACACATTAAATTAATTAAGGCTATATTTGGCTGCATGTGATAGACAAGATAGCTGAACAAACAAGATTAAAGTTTATTCTCTCTCATTTAAATGAGGTCTGGAAGTCAGTTGCTCAGTGGTGAGCTGTCCAGGCCTGGTGTGGCGAATCCATAACCAGGGAGCCACGCTTCTTTTGTCTTGCTGCCTCACCATTCTTTGTATGCTGCCTCATGGTCTAAAATGGCTGCCCAAACTCTGGCCATTATGTCTATCTTCCAACAGAAAAAAGAAGGGTAAAAAAGGACACTTCCTCTTTCTTTAAGGATGAGCATACAATTTCTCGCCTTACATCTCATTGACCAGCATTTAGTCACCTAGTGCAAGGAAGGCTGGGAAATGTCTTTTTCTGGGCAGCCATGTGCCAGCTAAAAAGTCATTTGTTTCCTTACTAAAAAAAAAAAAAAAAAAAGTAAGATAGAAACTGGGAGCCACTCCTGAGTGTGTGTGTGTGTGTGTGTGTGAGATATCTCATATAAATGGAATCATATGAGCAAGAACATGAATAAGAACATCTGGAGCTTGCACGAGGAGGTTCTCAGCAATAGATTTCTTTTGAGTATGGTGGTGTTCAGACCAATGTTTTCCTACATTGTGTTATTAATCCAAGGATTTTCTTGTACCTACCTTTAGCCTCCTTTTTCTACTGGGTTAATAAATTCTTCATCGTAATCATGTCATGTAAACCTATAATTCCTGGGTCTCAGTCAGCTTTGGGATTTCCATGTCTGTACAGGGTCAAAAGCATGAACCTGTGAGTTAGGACATTGGAGTTCTCAGCTCAGCCTTTCCATGACAAGTTCTGGGCTTCTGGATGAACTATCTCCTTGCTGGGCTCCAGCTTCCTCCTTTGTACTGTACTCTAGTGCCTCTTTCAGAAAAAGTAAAAAGAATAAATTCTTTGGAGTCAGATTCTCATGGGTTCAAATCTTGCCTATACCATTGACTGATATTCCTCAAGCAAACGGTTTAACTGAAGTTTCTTCATCTATATGACTAGTACAATAGTAACTACGTCATACAATAATTTTGAGAATTAAAAGCTACATCCTGTTACCTGTTTAGCACAATGTCTGATACATTGTTGATGCTCAATAAATGTGAGTTCTCATCACCTTGATTGTTTTATCTTTCTAAACAATTACTAAGGCAATCTAAATTCTGGTTCTCCCAATGTGTCTGGACTCTTAATGACAATAATAGCAACAACAACAAGAACAAGAGTTAGTATTTGTTAAGCATTATGTTCATGTTCGGTAATACTAATCAGAAGAGTTCGCTTATTTTTGAATCAGTGTATTTGATTTGGAATTGAAATATACTAAGTCACTGTGTTCCAGGTACTATGAACAGGTTGCTAAGATACTTCAGAGGAATATCAGAAGGCAGAGATCATCTTGTGACCACAAGAGTGGAGGTACATCATTAATGCTCAATACACATGATTTTCACGAACAGACTTGGGGTTGGCCCACGTGAAGTGGAGGATCCTGTTGAGACTGAAGCTTCCCATTGTTTGTTGAC
Source organism: Homo sapiens (assembly GCF_000001405.40). Lineage (NCBI taxonomy): Eukaryota > Metazoa > Chordata > Mammalia > Primates > Hominidae > Homo > Homo sapiens. The sequence continues at coordinate 132,523,776 of NC_000008.11, forward strand.
AGGACCCCTTCTCCTGTTCATAACATAGTGAGAAAAGCCATTTATGAAAGGGATACATGGAAACCAGAGGCTTGGTGGACTCCCAGGGCAGAGTTTGAGATAGTCTTGTACAGCAGACAAAGAGGGAAACAAGGGGGATGAAATCAGGTTTCTCTAAATGTGAATTTGGCTGAGTTTGTGTGCTAGAGATTCTGGTGTCCTGCAATTCAGAGAATCTACCATGGACTTAGGTCAGAGTCAGTGTAAATAAACACAATGTGGAACATTACTTCTGCCTTTCTGATACTGTCAGCATACGAAAAGAAGCCCTAGAGTCGGTGGATATGTGAACAGCAACATATACTGAGCATGTGATGTATGCCAAGTGCTATGGCAGGCAACTGATGAGAATGATGTCATTAATCCTCATTGTAACCCTATGAGATGGATACTTTCACTTTAGAAATGTAGAAAATGAGACTCAAAGAACTAAGGAAGCAACAAGAAAAACTTATGAACTGGGCAGATACAACCAATTAAAATAATGTTAAGATTAAAGATAGCCTCAGTTCAACCAGAAGAAAGATAGCTTGGATAAGTTGGTAGGGGAAAGGGAATTGGACATCATTGGGAAGGACTTTCCCTATGGGGGATTCAGGGTTTTGTTTATGCTCGATTTTTATTTTCCTGTGTCACTGTTCCTGTGTGTTTTCTTTCCCACTGGTTTTCATATTTGCTACTTTAACAATTTCATGGCCCAGGTACATAAACTTCACACATTGCCTCTGTGCCTGGAACTTCCCTTTTCTGTGTCGTGGTGGCAAGGTTTCCACCTGGATGCCCCGCAAGCATAGCATGCTCACAGAAAACTAACCTTCCGTCCACCCCATCTTCTGCTCCTTGCTTCCAGGTTCACCATCTGCCCAATCTCCCAAGGTGTGAATGAAGAGCCATCCTTGGCTCCTACTCACACCCTCCTGTTAGCTGCCACTTCCGTCATCTGATTCTATGGGTTCTATGCACACTTTCTGTGCCCTCCGCCTCCTCTTCATCCCTCCAGCTTTATTCCTGCTCAGGTTCCTATTCTACCACTTGGACTTCTACAACAGTTTTCTTTCGCCTCTCTGCATCCAAGGAGAGGGTATTTAATGACCAGTCGTTTGACTTTGGTAAATGCATTTTCTACCTAAGAAAATCATGGTTTTCCAAGAAGCAGGTGCTGACAAAAAGATTCATGTGCAGATGATGTGTGTGGACATGTTTCCAGGAGAACCTGGAAAGGGAGCAGGGGAAGCACTGCTTGGAAAGAAGTCAAGTAGGGGTGAAATTTCATGCCAGGTCTCCAGCCAAATCCTGCAGGAAACTCTGGAGTTTGTACCAACTCAAGCGAGAAAGCTGGGTGTTCATATTCCTGCATCAGTCAGTCCTTGGCTAAGAACCACCCCAGGGAGACCAAACTCAGAGCTACTTCCTGCTCACTGCAGGTGGCTTCAGTAGCCTAGGGCAGAGAACTTCAGGTAATGGCTGAAGGCAGCAAAGGCACAACACACCCAGAAATCAGGCAGGGGCTCATAGAAGCAGGACAGGGGATCTCAGGGGATCTGTGTGGAGCACCAAAAAGTCTGCTGTAGAAATTTTCCAGTTTTAAAGATAGGAGAGAACTAACATTTTTTGAGTACATTCTGTATTCACAACCACTCTGCAAGTGGACATCATTTTCCTCATATTATTTGAATGGGACAAAAATAATATCACCTTAACTAGCTTCTCCAGAATTTTTCAAATGGAAGAAATATTCCTCAGTAAGGTTATCTAAAGATTTGGATGTCCAAAGAACAAAGAGATTAAGTCATTTTGCATAGAAAATAAGCCAAATGCACTCACTTATTCATGAGAAGGAGAAGAGAAATAAGGGAAGAATGGGGAGTGAGTCAGGCAAGTGGTGAAGGATAGGGAACAGCATAGGGTGGCATTGCCAGAGTAATCCCCAGTGATGGGATGACCAAAAGGACTCTAGAAAGTAAAATGTCACACACGCTAATGACCAATGAGGTGCCTGGCGACACAGATAAAGCCAGGGACAAAGCCAGCAGAAAACTGTGTTTTCCCCAAAGTCAACTGCCGCTCAAAATTACTAACAACCCTTTTTTTTGAGTGATTGCTAGTTTGTTGCAAATGACTTCCCCAGCCCTCTCTATTTCTCTCACCCCTAAACGAAGAGAAACTCAGTTACCAAACTGCACCAGTTTAATGGCAGTCCCCAGTCTGGAACCAATCCTTGCTTCTTCTTCATCCCTCTCCATTCCTCCTTACAATCCTTCAGCACAAGCCCAAACCCTAAGAAAAAGAACTTCCCACTCCAGCCTAAAGAGGTGCCCCCAGGTTTCTCTGGTCTGTGGTTTCCCTTGCTGCAGCAAGTTAATAAGGCCAACTTTGATAGTTTCAGGTACATTTATGATGGTCTGTGTCTACGGGTTCTTTGCTAGACTTTTCACACCTAATACATTTTGTTTGGTTGGTTGGTTGGTTTTGTTGTTTTGTTTTGAGACAGAGTCTCGCTCTGTCGCCCAGGCTGGTATGCAGTGGTGTGATCACAACTCACCGAAGCCTCGACCTCCATGGCTCAAGCGATCCTCCTGCAGTGGCACCCTGAGTAGCTGGAACACAGATGTACACCACTATGCCCAGCTACTTTAATGATTTATTTATTATTTTAGAGATGGGGTCTCCCTATGTTGCTCAGGCTGGTCCCGAACCGCTGGACTCAAGCTATCCTCCTACACTCCCTCTCAGTGTTGGGATTACAGGCATGAGCCACCACACAGGTGTATTAGCCCAGGGCTAATACATGGTTTTAAGGTGCCATGCAATGTGGTAAGTGATGCTTCCTCCCTCTTTGTAACTCCTTAAAGCTTTGAGTGAGGGGTTTGTAGGTGGTTGAGTTTCACCCCAGGATCAACATAGCATGGTATAGAACAAGACAGAGTAAGAAGCCCAGTGATCACAGTAACAAGGGAATTTAAACTATTCAAACTGTTGCATGGGTTTCTGATTTCCATGGACCATGTGATTGTGATGGGGGTGGGTATCAAATCAATCTTATGGGAGGAGATCCTGCTGCTAATCTTCTGACACTTATTGTCTTCCGCCTCCTTTTAGCATCTCCCCTGAGTTTATTGGACCCATGGCTAACCAGCTAGAGGTTATATTTTCAATCCTCCCATGAATCTAAATGTGTCCATAAGCCTTGGTCTGGCCAAGGGGATAGAAGCACAAGAAATCTGCATAAGTTTCAGGTCAAGTCTTTAAGATGGAAGGCTCGTTGCCTTCATTACCTCTTTTTGCTTCTGTCCCACAGGCTGCAACATGCAACTGGTGTAGGTGAGTCAGCTTCGACCAGGGGGACAAAAGCAACAACCTGGAGAATGCTGGAGGATCCAAACAGAAGGGTTTGGTTTCCTCCCCATCCTGGCGGAGCATCCTCCTCTGCCCGTTCATCCCCTGCTATCCACCTTCCTCAGTGCATTTTGCGTGTAAGAAAGGGAGAAATTAACTTTAAAAAAACGTTTCTGAGTTTGCTTATCTCTTTCTCAGAGCATCTTAGCTTATGCTCTATTCAACAAATCTAGATCTGAAAGGATTTGGAGACCTGAGCTCATAACTAGGCTGTGTTACAGGCCCAGAGAAGCTAGATAATTTGTGCAAAATCATTTAACTCATGTGACCGAACCCCCAGGCAGGCACCTCTGTCCCCAGTCTGTTTCTGAATAGTCTCCAGGAGTCATGTTCTCCTTCAGATTCTCATTTTCTCTCTCTCTCTCTCTCTCTCTCTCTCTCCCTCTCTCACACAGAGGCATTTGGACTTCTTTGCCATCCCCACATCCTCCACTAAAAGCATCAGCTCCAGAATTCAGACATGTCCATGATGTGTTCATGCAGAGTCCTCAACTCAGTGTGGCTTGTGAAAGAAGCTCTGTGGGGATCGCCCTGGCTTCCCTGGAAATACTAGGATCACTGAGATGGCAGGTTCCACTGAGATATTACACTCAGTTGCCTATAAAAACGTCACTCTTAAAACAGAAGTAGAAAATGTCACACTTTCAAGTCATAAACCTAGTTTTAAAATATAAGAAAGAAAAAAAAAGACAAAGAAGCTCCAGCCCCCCACAACGGAGCTCTGCACCTCTGTGAATGTGTGAGACCAAGGCATTGTCTTTGGGGCAGGATGAGGACACTTGAAGAAATGTCTCACGATGGGGAAGTTAAGTGGAAAATACAGGCTTCAATGGTTTAACAACAATCCCCTTTTCTGGCATATGGAGCTGGGCACTAAAAAGCACTCCATCCCTCTTAAGCTAGTGGACAGAGAGCCACACTTGTCCCCACTTCCAACCTTCCTCTAGCACCACGACGAACTGGATCTCTGGTGACTGTATGTGATTGTTTTCTCTAGGAGGATGCTACAGACCAAATAATCACTTTCATCACTTTGAAGTTATGCAGCTTCTATGTTCTATGGTCATTTCCCCCAGGATAGAGGAGAGTGTTATATGGGGTTATTATGAAAACCCTTTATTTGGGTGGTAGGATTGGGATCCTGTTTTCAAGAAGTGAGCTCCTCCAAGAATGAGGCACCAAGCTGTGCAGACCCATCTTTGACATTTCTTCCTCACATCCTCTTACAGGGTGGCCTGACAGGGTAGGCAGAGCTTGAGCTTGCATCTTATAACACCAGGGTTTAATTCTAAGCTCCTGCTAGCTAACTCAGTGACCATAGATAAATCAGTTGACCTCCTTAGCCTCAGCTTACACATCAGTAAATTGAGTATAATATAGTCCAGGGTCATTGAGAAAATCAGAAGCAAAACTAGTCATAGCCGACATTTACAAAGTGCTCCCTATTTGCCAGGCACAATTCTATTATTTACAGGAGATCTTTCCTTTCTTCCTCATAGCAAATCTAGAAGGTGGTGTCATCATTCTCTGTGGTGCAGATGAAGAAGCAGAGCTTCCAAGGGGTGGAGAAGAAGCTGAAGTGTAGGAAGATTAAGTAATTTCCTAGTGGCCCCCTTGGTCCATGTATCCCTGGCAATCTACCTCAGGAATCTACATTTTTGCCCCCTACGCTCTAGCCACTTGCCTTGCTGATGTCTGTCCTGTGTCTGCCACATTGTCCTTGAGTCTCTGTACAGACCAGATGTCGTTTCCTTCATTAGACACAGGAGGACACTGACACCCAGAGCCGCCTGCCAGGCTCACCCAGTGATAAGTGGCCAATAAGAATCAGTGCCCAGGTATTTCCAAAGCACTTTTCTGTCTATTATTTCTTTTGCCAAAGCCCCACAAGGCAGGTACTGTTATCTCCAACTTAGATAAAACACTTGGAGTACAGAGAGGCCAAATGACTTCCCCAAGGTCTCATAGCCAAGTGGTAGCAAAGTCACAATGCAACCCCCAGTCACCTGACCCTGTCCTAGGACATGGCAGGAAGCACAGGGTATGTCCCAAAGGACAATGCTGTTGTCAGTAAAATCACACACCGATGGAGAGGGTGGACAGGTGTCTCCCTTTATTGTCTCCTGGAAACACTACAAAACACTCCTTTCTGGTGTAGGGAAGTATATCTGGTTAAGCAAGAATTAAGTACTAGGGGTGGCATTACGTATGTGCATGTGAAAGGGGGTGGTCATGCCTGCCTTAGAGAGACAAGGGGCATGTGGAGTAGGGGAGGACAGAATCACATAGAGGACCCCTAGGGAGAGAAAGAGAAAGACAGAGAGAGAGAAATCAGCCTCTCACTATGGGCTCAGAAAGGACCAGAAGACAGCCACTTGTGGGGTGTGTGTGTTTGTGTGTGTGTTTCATGGTCAGAAGGAGGTGCACAGAGTTTATGCTCAAGTCTCATTAGATTTCTAAGCACCTACATAAAATTTATTCATTTCCCTGGAATGATAATTTACTTATTTGCCTCCCCAACCACCCTATTATCTCTGTGATGACAGAGGCTCTGTTTATTTATCTTTGCAGTATTTATTCTCCTAGAGATATTTGCATTTAAAGGAAAGGAAACCCCCAAAGATGCATTTATTTCAAGAACAACTTCTAATAACATCAGTGTTTTGCTTCTTAAAACATACCTAAGGCTTTATCATGTAGAGAGTTGGCCAAAATGTACCTAATAAGACTGAATGCCTGGGGGACATGCAAAGTAGGCCACTGGTGAGGCAAAAGAGCCATGGTCAGAGAAGAAGTTAGGAAGTTCATTCTGAGAATAAGAGGAGGAGGCGTTAGCCTTACTTATGAGCATGCTGACTACACAGAAAATGCTTAAACAGAACATACATTCTGCTTCCATAAGTTTGGTCAAAACCACCTTGAATGTCAGCTGAAAACTGATGTGAGAGAATGTAAATTGCCTGCCTGTGCTGGTCCTATCCTCCCAGTATCACCAAACTGGACATGCATCCATCCAACCAGTACAGCAGAGCCAAATGCTGGCACTGGGATTTGCAGCAAGAGAAAGTGAGGCATTTATTGCAGGGCGCCAAGCAAGGAGAATCAGGGAGTTCATGCTTAAGACCCAAACTACCCAATGGCCTACATGTAATGGTTTTTTTTATTATTTTTTTAGTTGGAGTCTCACTCTATTGCCCAGGCTGGAGTGCAGTGGCATGATTTCAGCTCCCTGCAACCTCCGCTTCCTGGGTTCAAGTGATTCTCCTACCTCAGCCTTCCAAGTAGCTGGAATTACATGTGCACGCCACCACACCCAGCTAATTTTTGTATTTTTAGTAGAGATGGGGTTTCACCATATTAGCTGGGCCGGTCTCAAACTCCTGACCTCAGGTGATCCACCCACCTTGGCCTCCCAAAGTGCTGGATTACAGGCGTGAGCCACCACGCCCAGCCAGGGTTTTTAAAGGCAGGGAGGCAAAGTCGTAAATTAATACATGGAGGCTATCCATTACTTTTACCTAAAAAGGTGGGACATCTCAAAGGGGATGGGGCCCGCAGGTTACGGGTGGATTAAAAGAATTTGATTTGTGTTTAGTTAAACTTTGTCTAAAAACTTAGCATCAGCAGAAAGGAATGTCTCTTTCACCCATTCCTTTGGGTATGACTTCCTCCACGCCCCCAGGAAGATATTTAGAACAAAGACTGAAATTTACAACAAAAAATTTAGTCAACGTTCAATTCTCCATTTCCCTTTATCTGAGGTCTACATGCCAGTGGATGATATTTTCCATTTAGTAGGGGTCTGAGTTTCTGAAAAGTAACTCAGGGACATATGTTAAGATTTTATCTTCAGTTTCTATAGGAAACCAAGCATTTTGTGGCTCTAATATCTTTAGCTATTGTTGTAAGCTACTATTACTTCCTGCTTATTAGGTTGCTAATTTACTTCTCAAGGCTAGCTGGGTGCCTGAAATTTCCCCTGAAGGAACTCAAGATTTTCTTTTTTCTCCATGCCTGGGGGACCACGCAGGCCACTAAGAGGTGCCCCTGCTCTGTATCATCAGCTATCTTACCTTTGAGAAAACTTGTTAACAGTCCTTCCTTGCTGTTCAAGTTCTTTCCCCCTCCCCCGCTCTTTAGTTTCCTTCACTGGGCTTGAGCTGGTAGACCTGTGGATTTCTAATTCCATCCCCATCTTTTTTTTGACCTGTACTAACAGCACCATATGTTATACAAGTTCAACTTCTTACCGTGGCCAGCACTGGTCTGATTTCTTCTGCAGGCTCATTTTATGCTCATTATTTTACCATGAGCTCTCTGCTCCAGGCTTCTGAACTTCCATTATTTCTCCAGATCTAATGCTGGGCCTTCATACATGGCTATGAACAGGTATGCTTCCCCCAGCCTTTACCTGGTTACTCCTATTTACCAGCAAATGCCACCTCCTGGGAGGCAATATAGCATTATGGTTCTAAATGTGGATTCTTGAAATAGCCTGGGTTGTCCCTAGTTCTGCCCTCACCCAGGTGTGGACCCTCCACAGCTGTTCTTTCTCTAAGAGGTCCCTGTTCTGGGGGCATCTCTGCAGGTGTGAGAGCCAGCTTCCCCCACCCCTTTTAAAACAATAACAGCTTTATTGGGATATCATTCACATACCATTACAATTCACTCTTTTAAAACGCACAATTCAATAGTTTTTAGCATATTCAGGGTTGTGCAACCATTACCACGATCAATTTTAAAGCATTTTCATTATTCCCCCTCAAAAAATTCCACACCCATTAGCAATCACTCGCCTCCCCACTGTCAACTCTAAGTAGCCACTAATCGACCTTCTGTCTTTATAGATTTGTCTATTGTGGACATTTTATATAAATGAAATCATACAATATATGTGGTCTTTGGTGACTGACTTATTTCACTTAACATAATGGTTCCAAGGTTGGCCCGTGTTGTAACAGGTATCAGTACCTCATTCTTTTTTTATTGTTGAATAACCATTGCATGGAAATACCATCTTTTATTTATTATCATCAGTTGGTTGGACATTTGATTTGCTTCCACTTTTTGCTGTCATGCATAATGTTATTTGGACATTCATGTACAAATTTTTGTGTGGACATATGTTTTCAATTTTCTTGAATATATACATAGGAGTAGAAATTCTGGGTTGTACGATAAGGCTATGGTTAACCTTTAGAGCAACTGCCAGATTGTTTTTCAATGGTCCCAGGACTCTTTGTTCCCAGACCCACTCCCAGTTCTTCCTCTGCTAGTCTCTAAGTGGCAGGAGGGCTGACCCCTGCAGGCTGTTTGTCAGCTGGAAGCCCGGAGGGTGAGAGGAAGGAAGAAACCGAGGCATTTCTCTCTTCCCTCTTATTTCCTTCCACTCCAGCCTCAGGCAGCCTCTCCAACAATCCTGTGTCTCTCTCCTCATGCTGGCCCTCTCTAATTCCAGCTTTCCGTGTGTGACACTAGCTCTTAGTTTCCATAACATACCCTCCTTTTCTCTCCCTCTATCTGGGGAGTGCTGGGTGCTTTCTGCTGGTGAAAATCCCCTGTTGGGCCTCTCATTCCTTTCATCACTGGTGTAACTAACCTGAATTCTCTTGTAATAGTTACAGCTGTTTCTGTTTTCTAGCCTATATTTGACCCTTAAACAATACAGGGGGTAGGGGTGCCAACCCCCCACCCCACCACACAATAAAAAATTCACGTATAGCTTTGGGCTCCCCCACAATTAATTACTGATGGCCTTCTGTTGCCTGGAGCATTACTGATAATATAAAATCAATTAACATACATTTTGTATCTTATATGTATTATATGCTGTATTCTTACAATAAAGAAAGCTAAAGAAAGAAAATGTTATTAAGAAAATCATAAGGAAGAAAAATATACTTACTATTTGTTAAGTGGAAGTGGATCATCATAAAGGTCTTCCTCCTTGTCATCTTCACACTGAGTAGGCTGAGGAGGATGAGAAAGAGGAAGGATTGGTCTCTCTGTCTCAGGGAGATGGCAGAGGTGGAAGAAACTCTGTATAAATAGGGACCCACACAGTTCTAACCTGTCTTGTTCTAGTATCAACTAGGGATGGCAGAGGTGGAAGAAACTCTGTACAAATAGGGACCCACACAGTTCTAACCTGTCTTTTTCTAGTATCAACTATATATGCACTGCATACAATACCAATGCACTTATCTGTTTACTGACCTGAATCCAAGCAGAATGTAAGGGTCCTGTGGGTGGGGGGCTACCTCGTTATATCTACCCTTGTATCTGGAGTGCCTGGCCTAGAATGGATCTTTAATAAATATTTATTGAATGATGAAATAATGACTAAAGGGGTAAATTACTAGAAAATTTTCCTGGCAACTGTCAAGGATTGTTCTTCTTTCCAACTCCTTTTCACTCCTATTTCATCTCTGCACAATTTCAAACTCTTATTCCTGTGCACATAGCCCATTTCGCAGCTCCTCTAAAAGTCAGAATGGTGCAACCCATTCTCCTTCCTGTCTACCCTTGCTCTTTGGTGACTTGGTCCATCTTATTTCTTTAATTACAATTTATGTGTGGATGATTCCAAGTTCGTATCTCCAGTCCTTAATGCTCCGATAAACTCCAGACTCATATATTTAACTGCCAGTGTCACGTTTCCACTAATGCCCATCTCACACCTAATATATCTGAAACTGAACTCAAACTCCCCCCACAGTCTCTCCCTTGCAATAAATAGCAGTTCTATTTCCTATATCCATAGGCCAAAATTGTTGAACTCATTCTTGGCTCCTCTCTCTCAAACCCCATATTTGATCTATCAGTAAATCATAACTGACATCTTCCTACACCTCCATTGCTATTCCCCTCGTCCAAGACGTGGCCGTCTTTCACCTGGATTACAGTAGTCACTCTTCCCTGGCCTCCCTGCTTCCACTCCTGCTCCCTACAAGTCTACTCCCAACAGAGCAGCCAGAGGGATACTGATAAAACGTAAGCCAAATCATGTCCCTTCTCTGCCTAACCCTCCATGGGTCTCCCATTGAACTCAGAGTAGAAGCCAAATCTTCATGAAGACCTCTATGCTCCTACACAACCTAGTGCTCCTCCCCACCCCACCCCCTTCCTGACCTCACTTCCTACCTCCTCATGCTCACCTGGCTCCTGTTACCCTGACCTTCCAGCTACGCTTCATACATGCATTCATACCAAGCATTGGTATGGGCCAGCTACGCTTCATACCAAGCATTCCTGGCCCAGGGTTTCTGCACCACCATTCTCTCTACCTGGCATGCTTTTTTTTTTTTTTTTTTTTATCAGACATCTTCGTCCAGGTCATTACCAGTCTCACCTTCTTAGTGAGGCCTTCTCTGGGAACCCTATCTAGATGCAAATTTCCTGTTACCTTCTGCTTCTCTGCTTTCATTTATATCCATCTATATCATTTCCATTTATACCATAGTTTACTTACGTCTTACATTCTTTTTTTTTTTTTTTAAAACAGAGTCTCACTCTGTTACCCAGGTTGGAATGCAGGGGTGCAATCTCAGCTCACTGCAACCTCCGCCTCCGGGGTTCAAGCGATTCTCCTGTCTCAGCCTCCTGAGTAGCTGGGATTACAGGCATACACCACCATGCCCAGCTAATTTTTGTATTTTTAGTAGAGACAGGGATTCACCAAGTTGGCCAGGCTTGTCGCAAACTCCTGACGTCAAGTAATCTGCCCACCTCGGCTTTCCAAAGTGCTGGGATTACAGGTGTAAGCCATGAGCCACCACACCTGGCCTATTACTTATATTCTTTATTATCTGTCTCTACTCTCCACCTTGCCACACTTAAAGCTCCCTGAGGACAGACAGATAATATTTTTTTCTCTTGCAATCTTTGGTGTGTCCTGGTGCTAAAATAGTGCTTTTCACACCATAGCATTTCACAGATATTTGCCATAGCAGTGGAAGGGCTACTCTAAGGAAACGTGCCTTCGGAGTTTCCCACCCCACCCTTGTCATGGCAGGGTTAGGAACACACTCTGCAATCAGAAAGAACTAGGTTCAGACTCTAGCTCTAAGAGTTAATGACCTTGAGCCAAGTATTTAACCCCTGCAACTGGAAGTCTCGTTGGTAAATTCATATTTCATCAGGGCTTGTACAGACCAAGACACAAAACATGGAAACAAGATGTTCCACCCAAGCCTGCACCATTATGTGTATTCCACATAAACTACAGTGTGGGTGCTGCCTGAGAATCTGGGATAATTTTTAAAGTCCCAAATATTCACAGACCTGGATACTTAGTCTCACCTCTGAAATTAGTTGTTAACTGTGGAAGAAGCTAGCTTGCTGGTTTTGAAGCATGAGATCTGAGATGTTACCTTATTATGTCAATAAACAGATAATTTTAGTAGACACATTAACAACATTTAAATAGAAATTTGGGGTAATTAATAGATAAATGAGAAATAGCAGGTGGAAAAAGTTTCCATTTTCTACGCTTTCTTTTCCAAAACACCTTTAAAAATCCTTTTCAAAGATAATTCTCCTTAATATTTAATATGTAATTTCCTCTTCACCCCATAAACGTTTACATTGATGTAATGTATATATTCAGTAAGTTATATTTAATAAAAAGCCTGCCATATACAGGGTCATCATTGACCTCTCATTCACTTATTTACTCCACTTCATTTATTCATCGCACAAGTGTTTACTGAACACCTAATATGTAAGAGACTGTGCTGGGCCCTTAAGGTAATGCACGAGTAAATAAAAGATTTTACTTTCATAAAATTTACAATTTAAGGAAGGACAGAGATTAAGACCTGCACACGAATATCAGTCACCTCACATTTATAAAGGTACAAAAATGGAAAATGATAATTCAGAGAAGGAGATCAATTGCTTCCATATGGGTCATCCAGTTGTACTCAATCTTCTTTGAACTGCTTTGCACTTAATCCTCTATGTGCCTTGGTTCCACAGAACCAGCAGGAAAAAGGCAGAGGTTAACAAATAGAAAGGCCTCAGGCTGCTGCTACTGTCCTGGCTCTTCTGCCTGCTCTTGCTCAGATCCACCAACCTCCTACTTATTACGTCTGGAGCCTTGTCCAGTTCTCATCTACATGGCTATCTGATGGGACTGGCCACCTCCTCCATGGAGCTACCTTTCCCCAGTTTCTCCTGGTTCAATCCCTATCTCTTTCTCAGTCCTGTGGGTACTTCACTGAATCACCCTGCTGTGATCATGCCTTTAGATAAGGGTCCGTTGGACCTTCTTTTCCTCTTAGAAGAGAGAAATCTCCAAGGTTCACAAAAATATTGCCTCATCCATATTGTATTTATTTTAGTAGCAGCAATAATATCTATAGTGTTTTTAATAGGCTAACTATAATAAACTAGGGGAACTGAATGAGGTACAAATGATTTATTTATGACAAAAAGACATAATATAAACTTAGCTCTCATTGCCTTATTAAGTTTGGGGATTATACAGGAGAAAGGACTCTAAAGATGCTTGGTCAAGTAGGGAGAAAGGTAGAGTTTATTGACTCAGATGTATTCCTCTGAAATACAGATTTTACCATCTTGCCAAGGTCTCCAGGAGGTGGTGTGAATTTGTAATCCTGGAAGTGTGGATAAAACAAAGCCTTATGCTGAGCAAAGTTGAAATGCTAGCATTCCTAGGGTAGATGATGGAGGAAGGAATGAAAAGTCTCATGGAAGTCAACATGCCAGAATTGACTTACCATGTTCATATTGAGGAAGACCCATCAGATGACTCATGGGAAGGGTCAGAGGACAACCCTTTTACCAAAAACATAAGGAATACTCTGTTGAGAAGTCACCAGCAACACAAAAACTGGTGAATCTCCTTGGTAGGCCAGGGATGACGTAGAAGAGGCTCTTAAAGAGTTTGGCTTGCAGATAGCAATGGGGATGATAGAATCTTAAAGCAATGAAGGTCAGGCGGCAGCACTGAACTGCCAGAACCTGGAAGTTGCAACTACCACAACTGTCAGGCAAGAGGGCCCGACAAACAGAGGATTATGGAGATGATTCATAGAATATGGCATCCTTTGAGGCAAAGCACATAGAGGGAACATGGGTAATACTTAGATTATATGAGCAGAAGAAATCAAGAATGAATGATCACCAAAGTGGTAGCTGAACATGTGAAGTTTTTCACACTAACTTCCCTCTTCTAAGTTTCCCTTAGGAAGAGAAGCCCACCAGAATCACGGAAAGCAGAATCTTCCAACGTATTTGGAGAAGAAGATCCAAGCAGAGGAAGGGGTGGGCTGTGGCATATATGTAAGTGTGCTTCCCAGATCCTCTTCCTAGGAAGAACTTTCTGCCAGCTACAGTACGTGTGGTCAGCATACACTACAGCCTCTAGTAGTGTGTTCCTTCAGGGTTTGACTCTGCTGCTTCACTCAGGTTGAAGCTTTTCCTAGGGCAGCTAGTGATTGGGTTGGATGGGAATAATCTCACCCTTACTAGTCTCCCTTACTACTCCTTGTTGTTTGTCCTAGCAAGTAGTCCCTCTTATTAAACCCTCCTTGCATTTTCTTAATTTGAGAGTGCCTTCACTCTGATTGATACTATAACCACTAAGACTGATACACCTATGGAGACACCCATAAATACATGATTTGGGGGAGGCACATTTTAAGATTCTGCTTCATGTGTTGGGTCAGTGCAAAAGCCAGTAAAAGCCAGTAAATTACCAACATAAAAACATGGGTCTGGAATATATATTCCACTCTAAGTTTTCCGGAAGGTTTTTTTGTGTGTATTCCCATCAGCTCATACATGATGCAATTTATTCTTCATTCCAAGTAACTGATTGCCTGTCTTCAATGTCACCCGCTGAATATGGCACTGACTGGCCACCGTCAATCAGCCTAGACTCAATCTCTTTTCAACACTGCAGATCTTGCCAGGCTGAAGAAAGCATTTGTTCTCTAGGGGCTTCCAAAAATATTGACAGTTTTTGGAAGAGATTCAACACTAATTTTGGGGACTTTCTATTTTTCTTTTCCATGGTGACAGCTTTCCTGACAGCATGAGGCTAAGCATTTCTGCTATTTAAATGGTAATTTTTAAAAAGATGATGATGATCTCATCTCTGTAGCTTTGTCTGGGTAGGCATGAGTAGCAGAAACATCTCATATGCCAGACTGCATAATGAGCTTTTGAGAAGATGATGGTGCATTGGATTGCTAACACAACTGTGGTCTTGGGGTCAGGCTCCTTCTGTGTACCCATGGCATCTGAGTTATTACATATGGGGTAACTTTGCTTCTAAAAATGGAACAGCTGGCATTTTCTTTTCCAGTTGGTCATTGGAAGCTCCTCTCTGTGGGGATTATATTTGTGGCAGATGCCTTCTTCTCAAGGTATGCTAGACGTGCCATTCCTCAAATGTGTCCTTTACTGTACAGTATTCAGTTCTTTGCAGTTCCCTCCACCTGGAATGCCTGCTCCCTCATTTCCACATGTCCAACTTCTACTCATTGTAGAATTGCCATTGACTCCATAAAGTCTTCCTCCAATCTCTCATGTTGAATTTAGCATTTTTCTTATCTGAACATCCGTAACATTATAATTCTATGATAACTTAGAAATAATACGGTGTAACATTTTAGTTTTCAAAGCATTTTACACATACATTATTTAATCCTCACAGTTTATGACATTATCCCCTTAGTTTGTTTCAAGGCTTGTGTGTTATGCCAGTCATTGGTATTGTTCATCCAACAGTCCCAGTTCTCTTGACACATAATAATGTTATACCTTCCTGTCCCTGTGAATTTAGGCACAGCCATGAGACTTGCTTTGGCCAAGAAAACAGAACACATATGTCATTTCTGGGCTACAGCTTTAAGAGCCAGAGTGCAATTTGCATCACTTTCTTTTTCTCCCATCAGAATGACCAATGATGTTTGAGATTGTGGCTGCTCTGACAGCCTGGATTTTTCTGCTAGGTGCTAGGGATACAGATAGGTAAGAATGATTCCAGCCAGGAGTGCTCGAGCCTGGCGCAGAATTACTGGCACTAGTGTTAGCACATTACTAGTGCTGGTGCATGGGTTACTCTGATAAAATTAAATATTACTATATTGGAAATATTTTCAAAATAATGTAGGTGTATGGGAAAAAAAAATCCTGAACTTGCCTGGAAAGACTTATGGAAACATTTACATTTGAACTGATACTTGAAGGATGAGTACATGTTAGCCAGGCCAAAAAAGTGGAAGTGGGTTGCTTCAGAACAAAGACCACGAGAAAGGTATACAGGTAGAAAAACTGCTTTCAAGGACAGAAGAGACAGATTGAATGAATATGAGATCATAGAGATTATGATGAAGGCCAACACCCTGGTGTATTCATAAACACTCATCTTTATTTTTATATGGCAACACAGTAGGCACTGAGTAAATGATTGCTCATGTCTCTCTTCACATGTCAAGCTCTATACTGTTTTTTTTGAGGTCAGAATAGAGAACAATTTCACATTCTCTGTGTAAATTTTGTATATGAGACCCAACTTTCTTTTCCCCAATGCCTGACCCTTGCTTTGGAAAAGACATGGCTTCGTTAGTAAATGCCCTGATTCAAAACTGTCAAAGATTCTTCATCCACTACCTTCAGGAGAAAGTTCAAACTCCTGGGAAGGCATTCAAGGTCATTCACAATCTGTCCCCAAGCTATCTCTCTAGGATCAATTGTTCTCTGTTCATGTTCATATGGAACATGTATCCTGAACTTTCAACTCTCTGAGCCTTCATCTGTCATTTCGTCCACCTTGAAGGCCCTTTCACTCCTTTTCTCCCAAGCAAATTCATACTCATCTTTCAAGACCTAACTTAAATATCACCTCCTAGATGAAGTCAAATTCTTTCCTGATTCCCTTTCTCCAACAGAGTAAATCTCTTTCCTCTCTGTTGCTTTCTCTCTTTTTGTAAGAGGGATTTTTTTCCCCATTGGTTTTTGGCAGTTTTAATATGATCTGCTTAAATGTAATTTTGTTTTTATTTATTCAGTTTAGGATTTGTAGAGATTTCTGCATCTTTAGCTTGATGTCTTTAGTCAGATTTAGAAAATTTCCAACCACTACCTCATTAAGTATAGCTTCTGCCCTATTCTTGATCTTCTGTCTTTTTAGGGCTCCATTACCCTCTCTTCTATAGTTACCTGTATTTTCTCTGTTCCCATCTCATTCTAGATATTTTTCAACTCCAAAATTCTCCTCTCAGCTTGGTTTAATCTGCTGTTAAAGTAATCCATTGAGTTTTAAATTTCAGTTACTTCATTTTTCAGCTCTAAAATTTTAATTTTTTGATATTTCGAATTCACTACCAAAATTCCCAATCCTTTCTTTAATCTTCCAGAATATATAATGTACATTTATTTTAAAGTCTGAAGTTGATAACTGTATTATTCACATCATCTATGAGTCTACTTCCATTACGTGTTCTATTTTCCATTTATATCAGCTTGTCTCCTTGTGGGCTTGGTTGTTTTTTATTGATTTACTTACACTGTATTTTAAAAACTAGGCAAAGTGAATAATAGGTGTTGCTTGACTACAGTCCCTGATACAGAGGGATTATATGAGATGAGACCTATGATTGTTCCATTTTTCCACCGAGGGTAACTTTCTACAATATGGAAGAGGAAGATGAAGCCCAAACACAGCAGAGTGGTTCTGGTGAGCTGAAGAGACAGAGATCAGAGCTTGGAGGTGCTGAAGAGGCTGGAGTTTGTGGGTCAGCATGTCAGAGAGACAGGAGGGAGCTACGCAGCTAAAGAGCTCCAGAGATATGCATACAGTCCACTTAAATCTTTGAACAAATACTAATCTGTGCATGCAAAGAATGAGACCCCTACTGAGCACGGCAGAGAAGCTGTGAACTGAATGGAGATTCTGCAGGCCACACAATGCTGGGGACATAGGAGTTCCAACCAGCCAGGGAAATCTTGGGGAACCACCAGTTTACTCAGTTGACATCCCCAAAGCCCTTTTTGAATTGAAGTGTCTATTAAAGTTATTTTATGCTTATCTCAGCATTGTATGCTTGGGGTTGGAAGGGAGTTAATTTGCTCATGGGTTTTCAGTTTGAGAAGAACCATATTTAAAAAAGCAAACCCAGCTGGGCATAGTGGCTCACGCCTGTTATCCCAGAACTTTGGGAGGCCGAGCCAGGCAGATCACCTGAGATCGGGATTTCGAGACCAGCATGGCCAACACGGAGAAACCCGGTCTCTACTAAAAATACAAAATTAGCCGGGCGTGGTGGTGTGTGCCTGTAATCCCGGCTACTCAGGAGGCTGAGGCAGGAGAATCGCTTGAACCTGGGAGGCGGAGGTTGTAGTGAGCTGAGATCACGCCATTGTACTCCAGCCTGAGCAGCAAGAGCAAAACTCCGTTACAAAAAAAAAAAAAAAAAGCAAACCCAATGAGTCCAATGAATCTCATCTGTACCCAGAACTAATTTAGATGATGAGATCCTGAATTTCAAGCTAGAACTACAATAGCATGGAATCTTGGGGGTCTTGGGAAGGGATGGCTGCATTTGCATGTGAAGAAATAATTTATTATAAGAAGATGGAGTGAGGTAAAGATGACCACAAATCCTTTGACACTCCTCCTATTGAGAAGTGGGATCTATACCTCCTTGACCCCTGAGATCAGCTTTTAGGTAAACAAGTCCATGCAGGACCTATCTTATGTCTGTCTTGGGAATCTTGGGTTCAAGCAGGCCCCTCTCTTCTTGGCAATTTCCCTACCACAGAATCCTCCTTAGTGGTTGTTTTTTCTATAGTAATACAGGGATAGGCCAGGAAATGTGGCCAAGCAGAATCCCCATTAAGAAATAAGTTTCTGGCCGGGCATGGTGGTTCACGCCTGTAATCTCAATACTTTGGAAGGCAGAGGCGGGAAGGTCACTTGAGGCCAGGAGTTTGAGACCAGCCTGGCCAACATGGTGAAACCCTGTCTCTACTAAAAATACAAAAATTAGCTAGATGTGGTAGTGTTCACCTATAATCCCAGCTACTCAGGAGGCTGAGGTAGGAGAATCATTTGAACTTAGGAGGCAGAGGTTGCAGCGAGCCAAAGGTAGCAGTGAGCCAAGATTGTGCCACTGCACTTGAGCCTGGGCAACAGAGCAAGACTCTGTCTCAAAAAAAAAAAAAAAGATAAGAAAGAAGTTTCTCTTGATATGATGAACATCTTTGAGCAGAAGACACTTTTATGTGATTCTGATTATTTCTTGAGGTTGTATGATCAGACGCAGAACTTTGAGGTCATAGGACATAAACCTATTTAAAATTCTTGCTATACCTTAAAAATGTTCTTTCCAAAAATGTTCCAGTTTACATCACAGTAATAGTTCTGAGAAGCTCAGATATGATAGATCTTGAAGGGGAAATCAAAGGCACATGGGGTTTTCCCTGTCCATAGAAAATGACATAATCTCCTGGTGTCTCCGCCAAAAGCAATTCTCTGTTGGGTGGACTGTGAAGCGTGACTGCTTTTTAAGCCAACGAAAGGCTGTCTAAAAATGGGATTTTACACACTTTTTTTCAAGTGAGTGGGAGCCAGTTGGCTGTAGATCTGAGTTTAGACAGAGGAAAGTTTGAACTGAACTACAATTTTTTTTTTAAATGGGAGATTCACTTGGGGATTTTCTTTTTACATCTAAAACCTTCTGCAATAGAATTGGAATGCATTTAGCACTCAGAGATGATTTCTAAACCAGCTTCAAATCCTGACTTGTTAGCTGGATGGTCTTGAATGTGGAACTTCACCTCTGTAACTGAGTTTCCCTCACTGTACAATGAGGTTAATAACACTTGCCTCTAAGTGTTGCTGAAATATTAGAAAGAGTATCTTCTGCCCAATCCTCTGCCCTGAATACCAGGCTCTGTCTGCCTACATAACATTTTTCCTTGGAAACTAAAACTTAGCATGCCCAACACTGAACTCCCCACCTCCTACTGCCCCAGACAACGATTCCAGATCTCTGCAAACATTGATTCACCTTGCAGTTTCTCAAGCACTTCAGTGTCACCCTTGATTCCTTCCTCTCTCTCAAAAAGTCACAAATCTGCAAATCCTGATGTCTCTCTCTTCAAAACGTACCCAAAATCCAATCACTTCTCCCAACTTTCTCTGCCACCCCAAAATCCAAGCCAGCAGCATGTCTGGATTGCTGCCACTACTTCTAACAGGTCCCTGACTTTTTCCCTTGCCCTGATAGAGCAGCTAGAGCAGACCCTTGGAAACAAAGTCTTCCACATTGCTCCCAACCCTTTAGTGCATCAATGTTCTCTCCCATAGACCTCCACTGGGAATAAAAGCAAAGTGCTGACCATGCTCTGCCAGGCCATACAATTTGGCTCCACCAACTTTCTGACCACATCTTCCTAATTAACTTGCCTCCCATCTCCAGCCATGTGGCCACCTGGTCACACTTCCGAGGAGCTTGGCTCATGCCCACCACAGGGCCTTTGCTCTCATTCCTTAAGCTACTTGGAATCCCCTTCCCTAAGAAGCCCATTCTGGCTCTGACAACTCACTGAGGGCTCTGCTCAAATGCCTCCTTATATAAAAAGCCCTCCCTAACCACAACATTTATCATTGCAGCCCTCATGAAACTCCCTGTCCCTCTCTCACTTGTTGTTTCTTTATACCACACACATCATGTGGTTGGCTTGTTTATTTGTTTACTACCTATCTCCTGATTACAATGTAGACTCCATGGCCAGGCGCGGTGGCTCATGCCTGTAATCACAGCACTTTGGGAGGCCAAGGCAGGCAGATCATGAGGTTAAGAGATCAAGACCATCCTGGCCAACATGGTGAAACCCTGTCTCTACTAAAAATACAAAAATTAGCTGGGCGTGGTGGCGCATGCCTGTAGTCTCAGCTACTCGGGAGGCTGAGGCAGGAGAATCACTTGAATCCAGGAGGCAGAGGCTGCAATGAGCCAAGACTGCACCACTGCACTCCAGCCTGGTGACAAAGCGAGACTCCATCTCAAAAAAAAAAAAGAATGTAGACTCCATAAGAACAGAGACCTTTGTCCTTTTTGTTTATTGTTATTTTCTCAGCCTGGAACATAACAAGTGCTGTATCAATATTTGCTTGAACAATATGAAAGGTATATTGTAGATGTTCAATAAGTAATAGTTATTATGAGTTTTACAGTATTACATTAGCCTCACTTAACCACATATGTCATGAAAGGGATGTGCTGGTGAGCTTAACTTTCTGACTTATTTTGAATTAAATTACTGTTGGTGAAAATTTTAAATTTTAAATCGTATTTTTAAAAATAATGCTTTCCTAAAAAAGTAAATAGATTAAAATTACTCTTCTTGCTTATTTAACCCCCAAAGCTCATGGAATGGCCTTCATCAGGTTGAATGAAAAAACAAAGGTGTCTCTGCAGACAGCAGTAAGCCCCAGCTCTGCCTCTCTCCTCTCTCGTCCTCCTAGCAAAATCTTGTGATGGGATGGGATACTGGCGATGACAGGCCAAGTGAGTCCTGCTCACTCACTCTTCTAAGAAGTGTAATTTCTTTCCTTAGGTACAGGCAGGACCTGGGACTCTTCCTACCTGCTGTGACAGCTGAGCTCCTCTTTAGCTGATGGCATGCTGAGGCCTGTGCACTGCGGAGGTATGTGGGCCAAGTTTAAACCCTGCTTCCTCTGCCTATTTGCTGTGTGTGGTCCAACATCAATGACTGAACTTCTCTGCCCAATTTGTTTATCTGTAAAAGGGGAACTTTGAGACCTCCTAGAATTTCTCACAGGTTAAAGGTGAGGTCTGAATACTGCTGGCTTTATGCCTAGTGCATAGCTGGCCCTAAGGTCATTGGTCACTTTTCCCTCTCAGAGAGGGTCACAGGCACTTCGGGCACCTCAATGCCATACTTGTCCTCGCTCTGCCAGGGTTCTGACCAGTGGAGACATGTCTAATGATCACTATCCCGTGGGAAGTAAGAAAGGGCTCCATTTATCTCTGCAAATCCTCTGTCTCCCAGAGCAGGCCCATCTGGGAAAGGACTGTGCCCTGAATCTAAACTTTGGGACATGGATATTGATAGTTCCTTGAGGGATAGAAGTGGGCGTGAAGAACAAACTTTGGGGCATGGATATTGATGGTTCCTTGAGGGATATAAGTGGGCGTGAAGAACAAACTTTGGGACATGGATATTGATAGTTCCTTGAGGGATACAAGTGGGCGTGAAGAACAAACTTTGGGGCATGGATATTGACAGTTCCTTGAGGGATACAAGTGGGTGTGAAGAACAGACGATGAAACTGTTCACCAGCCCAGATGCATGGACCCAACTCTAGGTCTGCTGCACAGACCCAGAACCACCCCAGATTTTGCTCAGGATGACTCACCATATGGGAATAAGAAGAGCAGGAAATTTTACTTCATGGCTTGAGTGAAATAAAAGAGGAAGCAGCCACCCTTATTCATGCTTTTAAGACATAGTTATCTTGTTCACCGTTAAAATGTATCTCAATGAATGACTTGCTCAGGTGGATTGGATTAACCACTTGGTAAGGTGCAAGCAAGGTGACACTGTTTTAGGAGGTTTCTCATTGGATCTCTCACATTAAGATCTATGTGCCAGCTTTTAGGTGTAGATTTTTGGATTAGTAGGAGTCAAGTTTTATTTTTCCCCATTCAGATATGTGCTTGACTCAGCACCATTTATTGAAAATGAAAAAAGAAAGTATCATTTCCCTACTGCTTTCTAGTCTCTTGTTTATTATAGATTGAGTGTACATATTGGGTCGTTCTGTTTCAGAACTTTATTCAGTTCCTACATCACACTGTTGAAATTACTTTATATATCATGCATTTTTCTTCACTATCTTTACAATAACTGAGTCGTAGTCATCACCACAATCACCACCACCACCACCATCACCACCGCCACCATCATCATCATCATTATCATTATCCTCTTGAGAGCTAATAGTTACTGAGTGCTTACTATATGCCAGTAGTTATACGTGCACTTAGTCTTCACATCAACCTTCTGAGATTGATATTATTATAAACTTCATTTTGAAGAAGAGAAAACTGAGGCTCAATGGTGGTAGGTAGCATTCCCAAGATCATGTAGCTAGCAAGTGGCTACACAAGGTTCTGGCCCAGGTTTGTGAGAGCTCAGTCCACCAGGGCTTTTTACTCTATCCTAGTGTCTCACTCAGCTA
The DNA here is from genome assembly GCF_000001405.40 of Homo sapiens. NCBI lineage: Eukaryota > Metazoa > Chordata > Mammalia > Primates > Hominidae > Homo > Homo sapiens. Next base: position 132,546,457 of record NC_000008.11, read on the forward strand.
TAATCCTCCCATCAAATATGTGCCCCATCTTTGATAGAGAGAAGGAGATTTCCAGGCCATGAGATAGATAGATGCTGGCTTGGGTTTGCTCTATTTGGTAAACAACTGGGTGAGTAAATTTCATCTCAATGGGGTTATTAACTCTGGTGAAATGTCTAAACATCTGAGGTTGGCTATTTTGGGCATCACTGAAGTTTATGCTGGGGAGGAAATTCACAATCCAGTCAATGCCAACCACAGATTGGGCTGTCTGAAGCCTTACTTGAAGGAAGTTCCTCTTGGACGCTCCCCCTTTCTCCTGCCACACCACCGGCTCCTCTCTTGTTGGCATAGGGGTCCCTGGCAGGTAAGACCCAGCATTGAAGGCAGAGGTTGTGTTTCCATAGGGCCAGGGAGTGGCCTTGCCCTTGTCCCACTGGCACCCCTCATAGCTGATCTATCTAGGTGCTTGGAGATGCCGTGTGCTCTGTGTAAAAGTGCCAGCCAGGGACAGAACAGTTCCGGGACAGAACAGTTCCAACCCAGAACAGCAGGCTCTGGAAGACTTAGACTCTGAGTTTTGGGGGCTGCAGATGCAGGGGATAGTGCAACCCAGGAGAACACAGTAATTGGAAGGACACTGGCGGGCAAGGAGGACTTTGCCTTCTCTGACCCTGGGATTCTGCTGATGGCTACTACAAACCTGCTGATATTTCTGCTGAGTGCCCATTCTTGTCTGAAGTCAGCAGTCCAGGGGGTGCTAACTGCATTCAGGTAACACTTCAGATGGCAATTTAATGCCCAGCCAGTGCTGATGAGGCACTATTAATTTGGGGACACTTCAACACCACTTCACTGTGCCAGCTTAGCAACCTGGTTAATTAATTAAAAGAAAGGAGTAAAGGATTTATTTAAAGAGACATTGAAATAAAACCGGAAGAGTCACTGCAAATATTTTGATGAAAAAAGGGAGTTTGTGATTCTATATATGTCAATGAAAGTAAAGCTATACTCTTGTTGATGCACATATATGGAATTTCATGCTTTTTATTATAAATCAGTATAGTATAAAAGAAACATATTCAGTGGGAAGCACATGGGTTTGAAATAAGATAGATCTGAGTTTAATCCAGGCTCTTCTTACTAAAACAATGAAACATCACTTATTTAATCTCAATGAAACCCAACTGTCTCACCTGTAAAATGGGGATAATATTCCCAACATTGCAGGGTCATTTTGGAGATTGGAGGTGGCTGTATATGATGTGCTCAGCATCGTGTTCGACCACAATAGGCTCCTTAAACATGCTTTATACATGAGAGTCCAACATAAGAACTTTATAGACATTGCAAATCATTCTTGAAGTAGGTTCTGTGCAACAATAGTTCTTTGGTCATAAAACCTCCTCATTATATTCCTGTATGTAGAATTGGCCAAATTGGTGTGGAGGGGGTTCCTGGGTTTAGCTGAAGGGATGCCACCCAGTGCAGGCTCACTTGTGTGTTCTACACTCAGTACAGGGGCAGCAAAGCTGTTTCACACAGGAAGTCAGGCCTTTGATTCCAGAATGCTCAGCCTTTGCAGGTTTTTGAGTAGGGCAGTGACATGAAAGACAGAAACTTTGAGGTAAGTGTGCAAAATCACTCATATTGCCTACTAGGGGGCCAGGCTTGGAAACACTCATGGTTAATACATGCCCTGCTCTCAGAAGAGATGGAGAGAGAAAGAATCAGAATAATTCAGAGGTTGTTTCCTCAAGTAAATGTTACAGAAGTAAAGACCTAGACAAAAAAGTCTTAATGAAAAAGAGGATATGAAATATTATCAAAAGTTTTGGTGTTAACATATGTGGGAGTGTCATAAGTAACACCCCTGTTTTTACTGCCTGAGTTCAGAGTCAATGAGAAAGAAGCAAGGGGGGTGATATTAATGGATGCTCATCCACATGGAAAGGGACATCAGGAGTAGGCAACACATGTTCCCTCCAACAAGAAGCTTGATAGTAACTTGAAAATAAAATGTTGCATCTTAATTGATATTCAACATGATACATTGTGGAAGGCATGCAATTGGCTTCAAGGATCACTACACTGTCTTGTGATCAAGTAAAAATATCTGTCTTTCAAAGGCCAAAATGGAACTTTATTTCCCAAAATTATCACTATTTTTGATTAATTTTAGGATGCATTGCTCAGTTTATTTTTGTAGCTAACTCTTCTGGTTGTCTATGCAGTATACATTCTCTCCTTCTTCCTCTCTAATAGAGCCCAGCTTTTCTTGGGTGCAAAACAGTACACAGTTAAAAATACTGTAGCTCCAGCCTCCCTCACAGCAAGTGGCAGCCAGTGAGACAGGGGGAGCCACAATGTAGGTCCTTGTGTGTGATAAGTGTACCCCCTCTTACTTTCACCCTTTTCTGGGGTTTCTTGCTCTTCTACTTCTTGTCCAGAAGGTTGATGCTTTGCTTGAAGGTGCAGCAGCCAATTTGTACCATGAAGATGAAAGGTGGATGCTAAGGATAGTGGGATAAGAAGATTGACAGAGCCAGTGTTTCTGAATTAGTAGTCTGGCCCTGGATTGCTCAACCCTAGACTACCTAGACATCTTATGTATTAGATCATCGTGTGTTGGGTTTTCTATCACTTGCAGCCAAATGCATTCCCAATTGCTGTAATTTTGAAATTTAACATTACACTAAAGGAAGGCATGGACTTTTGCTGTCTAACTTATAGGACATGATTAAGAAAAGGTAATAAGGGCCAGGCACTGGTGGCTCACGCCTGTAATCCCAGCACTGTGGGAGGCTGAGGTGGGTGGATCACGAGATCAAGATATTGAGATCATCCTGGCCAACAGTGTGAAACCCCATCTCTACTAAAAATACAAAAATTGGCTGGGCATGGTGGTGCATGCCTGTAGTCCCAGCTACTTGGGAGGCTGAGGCAGGAGAATAGCTTGAACCCAGGAGGCGGAGGTTGCAGTGAGCTGGGATCGCGACACTGCACTCCAGCCTGGGTGACAGTGTGAGACTCTGTCAAAAGAAAGAAATAGAGAGAGAGAGAGAGAAAGAAAGAAAGGAAGGAAGGAAGGAAGGAAGGAAGGGAAGGAAGGAAGGAAAAGAAAGAAAGAAACAAAGAAACAAAGAAAGTGAGAGAGAAAGAAAAAGAAAGAAAGAAAGAAAAAGAAAGAAAGGAAGAGAAAGAAAGAAAGAGAGAGAAAGAAAGGAGGAAGGAGGGGAAGGGAAGAGAAGGGAGAGAAAGGAAGGGAAGGGAAGGGAAGAGAAGGGAAGGGAAGGGAAGGGAGAGAAAGAAAGGGTAATAAGCCATTAACTGACACAGGGGTCTGACAGGGGCAGAGTTGAAAAGCTGAGTGGCTAGTACTTGGGGACCAAGTGTTCTGCTCGGAGAGATAGAGGCAGTAACAATTTTTATGGTCACAAGTTAGAACACAAAGTCTGAAAAGTGATCTGACTAGGAAAACAGAATCTTTGAAACTTCCTGGAATCCTGAAGGAGTAAAGCCTATGAGCAGATGCAAGTCTTTGAGTGAAGCAGCGTGGGATAAGACAGAACCAAAAAGACAATGATTCTATCTCAGCTCTGCCACTTACTGCAGTGTACTGGAGTAAATTGATTAATTGCCTCAAGACTCGGTTTCCTTCTCTGTAAAATGAGGCCATAAACTCTACCTGGCAGGGGAAAAAAATCCACATCCTAGTCCATGCAAAGTCAACCCCTGGAGCTGGGCACACCATACCTGTACAACCAGACGTGGTAGGAATGATCCTTTGCTATGGGTATTCAAGCATGGGTATTATGATCCTTTGCTATGTCTTTATTTTACCCTTACAACACCAGTGTGAAAAGATACGGTTATCCTTTTTCTATAAACAATGGAACCAAGGTTCAGAGAAGTTAGTAACAGGCCTGACGTCACCCTGCTTGAACTTGGCAGTGTAAAAGTCTCTCCCATCACTGGGCACAGTGGCTCACGCCTGTAATCCTAGCACTTTGGGAGGCTGAGGAGGGTGGATCACCTGAGGTCAGGAGTTTGAGACCAGCCTGGCCAATGTGGTGAAACGTCGTCTCTACTAAAAATACAAAAATTAGCTGGGCATGGTGGCGGGCACCTGTAATCCCAGCTACTCTGGAGGCTGAGGCAGGAGAATTGCTTGAACTGGGGAGGCAGAGCTTGCAGTGAGCCGAGATCGTGCCACTGCACTCCAGCCTGGGCGACAGAGCAAGACTCCTTCTCAAAAAACAAAAAAGTAAAGAAATCTCTCCTGTCCTGGGTTCATTTGGTTTCATACGCATTCACTACCTACCAGATTCAGTAGAGATCACTAGCCTTGGTTTTATGACAGGAAAACCAAGCTGGGCAAGTTGTCATGCAGAACAAAAACAAACTCTCCATTTCCCACCCTGTCCTGGAGCACAGAGTCACCATATATCTAAGTCTTCGCCAATGAGAAGTAAGTAGAGGTGTGTGGGAACTACAAGGAATTTCCTTAAAGACATCTGTGGACATGTACTTTTCTCCTTTGTCTGGCTGGACCATGACTGTGATGGTTGGCACTTCAGCAACTATATCAGGCCCTGAGGTGACATTCAATAGAGAAACTATATGCTTGAATGAAGGAGCAGAGACTTAGAAAGCTACTCTCTGATGACACCATGTAACCTCCATGCTCACTGTATTAGTCCATTCTTGCACTGCCATGAAGAAATACCTAAGACTGGGTAATTTATAAAAGAAGAGGCTTAATTGACTCACAGTTCTGCATGGCTGGGGAGGCCTCAGGAAACTTACAATAATAGCGAAAGGCAAAGGAGAAGCAGGTACCTTCTTCACAGGGCAGCAGGACAAAGTGAGTGCAAGCAGGGGAAATGCTAGGTGCTTATTAAACCATCAGGTTTCGTGAGACTCATTATCACCAGAACAGCATGGAAGAAACTGCTCCGGTGATTCAATTACCTCCACCTGGTCCCGCCCTTGACACATGGGGATTATGGGGAATAAAATTCAATTCAAGGTGAGACTTTGGATGCGGACAAAGCCAAACCATATCTCTCACCCTATATTTTCTGCCTTTGGACTGTTGTTTGATGAGGGAAAAATAAATGTTTCTCTTATTTTATCCATGTATTTTATTTTCTATTCTATGCAGTGAAATTAATCCTAACTTATAAATCCTAACTGAGATAACTGATGCACCTGTTGGTGCTTTTGGTTTAGAAGCTTAGCCTGGGGTAGTGGGCCACACACTTATACCTCTGGTCTGGGATAGCTGGAGAGTGGGCCAAGGGCAAGGTCTGCTGTGAGGACCAGGGGTGTCTTCACATTCTCAAGGACAGGCAATTGTGGGACACAAGAAAGTGCCCTGGGCTTGGAGTCCAGTCTAAATCCAACTGCTGGTCATGCTCACATGAGCTGTGTGGCTCTGTGCTGGGATCCTGGCCTCCCTGAGCTCCAGCTCATCCTCTGTAAAGCAGAGATCAGATAAATACTTCTACCTCATTAGTGCTGTTATGAAGAACAAGCAGATGCTGAGTGGAAGCACCTAGAATGATTTTGCATCCTAACAGGTGCCGGGTCCATGAGTACAACATTGCTTAATCTGAATCTGGAGAGAAACCCACACATTTTCCACCTTTTTAGCTTTCTCTTCTCTTTTCCTCTCTCCTCATATAATCCCACCTTCCTTCTCAGTGCTTCTAATCCAACTTAATTGCTTCCCTCTATGGTCCCATCTTAATGCTTCATGTAGTTGGGATGAGTACTCACACAATGAGTTGCAACTGGAGGACTCCTCAAACCATGAGCAGCCAAGGACAGGGCCTGGGGTTTAATGTCTTTGTGGGCCCAGGGTCTGCCATGTGGTTTCGTGCTCAGAGGCTCTTGGCATCATTTGCTGATTTCAAGGGCTTTGATTTTCTCTACCCTGATGGGGAGGAATGCCTGTGGTGAGTGCCAGTTGTATTTTTTCCTGACACCTCTCATGGTTCATGAAGTTATATTTAGCTTCTAAAATAACCACAGCCCAGAGCAAAGGCCACCTGACTGCAGACCAGACTACACAATTGATGTGCAGGTAGTCAGAGTAAAAAGGGACGGCCCTTGGGGCCACAGAACCTGGCTTCATTCCCAGCCCTGTTTCCACTAGGCCTCTCTGTTCTCATGGGCTACATGACGTAAGTGACAGGTAGTTATTGAGATGACTAAATGAGTGTCAGGTACTGAGGACACAGATGCAGGAACTTGACCCCAAGCTGCTCTCAAGCAGCTGTCAATCTGGTGTGGGAGGCAGACTCAGAGGCAGCCAGGACTGAGGCGGGAGGGCAGAGGGGTGAGCATGGGCTGGGGCGGGGTGGGAGACGGCCTTGTGGAAGGGCTGCAGGGCCTCTTGCCTCACTCTGCCCCTTTTGCCCAAGTCCCTGGCAAAGAGAAGGTGTTCATCAAACGTCCACTGACAAAAAACAGGGGCATGAACAATGCAGAAAACAGAACTCAAATTAAATCCACAGCTGAGTGGAGTGCAGTGTTACTATCTTCAGCAGCTTCAGGATATGCAAAATCTCATGCGCTTTTGAGGGGAGGTGAAAGATCAAGACAAATGGGTGTCTGATCAACGTTTTTTTTTTTTTTTCAATTCAATCAACAAAGGTTTCCCACGTGGTGCTCCCTCTGAATGAACCACTGTGCCAGGCGCCGGGGCTGCTGAAGTGACCAATCCAGCCCCTGCCTTCAAGTGACATATAATCAAGGGTAATACAGACGAATAGAGCAATTATCGCACACTGAGGCTATTAGGGTTAAATCTATAGGTATCCTACTTTTCAAAACAAAATATAGAAAAACAGGCTGGCCACAGTGGCTCACGCCTGTAATCCCAGCTTGCTGGGAGGCTGAGGCGGGTGTATCACTTGAGGTCAGGAGTTCAAGAGCAGCCTGGCCAATATGGTAAAACCCCGTCTCTACTAAAAATACAAAAATTAGCCGCTTATGGTGGCATGTGCCTGTAATCCCAGCTACTCTGGAGGCTGAGGCACAAGAATCGCCTGAACCTGGGAGGCAAAGTTGGCAGTGAGCTCAGATCATGCCACTGAACTCCAGCCTGGGAGACAGAGTGAGACTCCGTCTCAAAAAAAAAAAAAAAAAAAAAAAAGAGAGAAAAAAAAAGTAATACTCCCAAGAATTATTGTGCCACTTCTGGGTGTGAGGAGCAGTCGTAAAGACATGATTTGGGTACTGGAATCTAAGAAATGTGGTTATTTTAACAATTTGCGAGAACTGGATGAGATATTTTACATGGCAGCTGTAGCCAAGGACCCTGAGTCCACAGCTGTCAGAGTCATGCACACTCATTACAGGGGCTTGTTGGGTCCAAAGGGAAAGCAGGCAAGAACCCACTTGTAAGCCTGGTCAGGGGAAGGTGAGAAGCAGTGATGAGTGGGCGGGACTTGAAGGATAAACTTCCCACCCCTATGAGCTCACAGCAGTCTCTAGCTCCTGCCTCCTCAGCAAACAAGTCAAACGTAAATTAGGAGGATATGGGAAGGAAAAGAGAAAGAAGAAACAGACAAATGTCAGGTTTCCTACAAAGGCAAAAGCGTGCAGGACCCCATGTGAGATGACAAGCGATTAAAGGTATTGTTTTAAAGTGGAGTGAGTATAAACTGAGTGCTGTGGAAATATTGCCATGAATGTCTGCACTCGTGGAGGCTGGAGGGTGTCTGGGGCTTTGGTTTGGGGATGGAGTTGACAATGACGGCTGCCCTTTGAGGCAGGGATTTCTCAAGGTGACCTGAGAGGTGATTTTTATAACCCATTAACCAATAAAGAAATGACATGTTTTCACAGCATTTCTTTGAACAATTCTCAATGGGAAATTTTTCTCCACAGTCCACTTAACTGTGAAGGGCCAGAGAGTAAGTATTTCAGGCTTTGTGGGCCATGGGAAATCTGTTGCAGCTACTCAGCTCTGTTGCTGCAGTGAGAAAGCAGCCATGGGCAAAACGCAAACCAGAGGGACTGAGTTCCAACTCAACTTTGTGGACAATGAAATTTGAATTTCTATAATTTTCACATATCATAAGATATGATTCTTCTTTTGATTTTTTCCAACTATTTAAAAATGTAAAACCAGTCCTTAGTTCACAGGCTGTACAAAAACAGTCAGAGGGAAGATTTGGCCTGTGGTTTATTGATACTCACTCTCATCTTCAGAGAGAGTCCCAAAGGACTCATCACTGTGACCCCTCACGTGGCCAAATGCAGCGGGCGCCCCGTCTGTCCCAAGCTCCAGGGAGAAAATATCAATATCATGCCCACAAAAACAGTCTGAGAAAAAGTTTATTTATGTAAACTTTCAAATATATGTTTATAAAAACAAATATGTATGTGTGATACATGTGATATGTATGTATATGTGCTCGCATATGTATTCACTCTTGGTGTGGTCTTTGCTGCTTGCTTCCATATATCCTTTGTTTTTTGGGTAAAGATAATTTATTAAATGTGTAACTAAATGAAGTGATGATCTAATGATGGTATGATGGTATGTTGTATGTCTTTCCCTTTAAATGAGTTCATAAGGCAGGAAATATCCTGGCAGGTCACACACCCCATGTGCAGTTTGGAATGTCTGGCATCTTCTCAGACATTCTGAGGTCACACACCTTGCCTGCCTGTCTCCTTCCTCTTCCTCAGTTTCCTTCCTTCGACCACCATTTCAAGTGCTGTGAAAATTAGGTACAAAGGTACACTAATCTCAACAGCCTTGTCCTTGTCCTTCAATGGGAAACATGGACTATCCTGCCTCTTGGTGCTCTCTTCATTAGTAAGGCCAGGCCTGGAACACTCCTATGGAGGACAACAGGTCTTTTTCAGAGATTCTACTATTTCCTCCTTCTAGAACATAAACTTTCCTAGGAAGCACATTTTTATTGGTCATCTGTGTAGCCCAAGGGGTTTAGACAATGCTTTTGCATAGTAAGCACTCATATTTGTTTAAAAATTTTTTGAGTGACCACTAATGTGAACTTCTCTGTTTCTTGTTAGGTGATTTCTCATTCCCTAAGAGAAGTATAAAAATAAGAAAGCCTTTGGGAGGCCGAGGCAGATGGATCACAAGGTCAGGAGATCGAGACCGTCCTGGCTAACACGGTGAAATCCCATCTCTACTAAAAATACAAAAAATTAGCCGGGTGTGGTGGTGGGCGGCTGTAGTCCCAGCTACTCGTGAGCCTGAGGCAGAGAATGGCGTGAACCCAGGAGATGGAGCTTGCAGTGAGCTGAGATTGGGCCACTGCACTCCAGCCTGGGCGACAGAACGAGACTCCGTCTCAAAAAATACATAAATAAATAAGAAAGCAATATTAATTTACTGATTTCCTATCCCCTCACTTCCTGCTTAGGATCTAAGCTTTACTGAAGAGAGATCATCGTATTTTTTCATTCATTAGATATCACCCTTATTACTTCACGTGAAGCCTCTGCCTGGTTTATTTATGTATTTATGAATGCAAGGATATATGCATTTTAATTATTTTCTCTGTCATCCCACGTCCCCACACCCATTCCACTCTTCCACAGACATCCAATTCACTTTATTTCATTTCTGTCCTTCAAATTATCTTTCATACATTCATTGTGGTATATATATGTCCTTTAAAAACATGTATTTCATGGGGTATGTGATTTTTAAAATTTACCAAGATTGATTCATGCTTTAATTTTCACTTAATTTCTTAGTCTTTTTTCTGGTTACTACTTTTTAAAGATCTAGCCATGTTTCTGTATGTACATCTAACTCATGATGTCTGACACCAAAAAGATTGGCATTTGAAGCACAAATGTCATTTTCTTCATGCATTTCCCTGAATGCTGGACATGGGTGTCCCCTAACTCTGCTATCACAGACAACACTGTTGTAAAACCCAGACCCACCTTTCTTTCTGGAACTAGGTGTGAGTTGTGCTGGCATATGCATTGCAGGGTGACTTCTCTGTGATTGGCCAGGCATCTGTTCTGATTGGTTGTTGCATGGGAAACTAATTATTAAGTGCTTTGACCATCAATCTCCCTGCACTTACCTAAGGTCACCAAGACCTGCTGTTTCTGAGAGCAGAAGGAGTGTTCCTGTTTGTCCACGTCTTCTCAGTACTTAATAACATTAAGTTTGACTATCTTTGTCTTTTCTGATTGCCAGTGAAATATACGAATTAGCCAATTAGATTTTGCCTTTTGTCAATTTCCTACTCCTTTTTTTTTTCCTTCTTTTTCTGATCTCTGAATCTCTCAGGTGTTTTTGACACTTACCTCTTGTTTTAGACATTTGCACATAAGTTTTGATATTAGGGGCCTTGCTGAAAATATCTTCCCCCTCCCCCAAGATCTTAACATATTCATATATTTATTTTCTATTAGCTTCATAAATGTGTCTTTTAAATTTGCATTTTTAATCTATTTGAACTTTATGTTTGCTTAGTTGGGAAGTAGGGATGCTTATTTTTTCTCTTTCCCAATATGATTTACTAAGTAATTCACCTGTCAGCCCTTTACTAATGATGATATTTCTATCATCTATCATACAATTTCCAAAGGTCTATTTTTAATTTCTGTCCTTTTTTATTTATTATTTTGTCATTATCACAATACCTTCGTTTGTATTATTTAGTATGCATTTATGGTAATGGACCAAGGGAAGACCTTTGTATGTAGTAAGTTGAATCTGCAGTTCATTTTCGTTTTCATTTTAAAATTTGTCTTAGCTATTTGCTGAGCTCCCAAATGCTATTGTTTTTATTGGAAATTAATTGAACTTATATATTAATTATCAAAGATTTGACAAAGTTTTAATATTTAATCACCCTATCCACGCACAATGGTATGTACAACCATTTAGAAGGACTTCTTCATGTCCTGTAATAGAATCTAAATTTTTCTCAATATTTTTGCAGTCTTTGGTTAATCCTTAGGTACTTTATGAATTTTGTTTCTGAATGGCAAATTTTTGTTTGTAAATGGCAGCTAATATTCTACTACACTTTTAATTCAAGATTACTGATGTAGAGGGACACTGTGAGACTTCGTCTGCTGATCTCATATCTGGAAAATTTATCGAACTTACTTGTTCTAACAACTTGTCTTTTTCCTCATACGCTTTCTATGAAAATAATCCCATTATCTGCAAGTAAGGATATCCTAATACCTCTTATGTTTGTACTTGTATCTTTGGGGGGTCAAAATCTGCAGTAGCATGTTGAGCAGTAACAGGCATAGAAAACATCCTTTTCTTGTGCAGACCATAATAAAATGCATATAAATAACGGATCTTTAAGGATTTTGTGTGCTATAAGTTTTTAGCAAAAATTATTACCAAGTTAAAGTTCTTTTTAAAAAATATCCATTGTTCTAAGAGTTCATTTTTTTCCGCTTAAAATCGTAACTATTAAACTTCTGACCTATTGACATGATGGTGCAATGCTTCTCCTTTCCTATAGATTAATGTAAATTAAATTGATTGAATTTGTAACATTAAACCACTTCTGCATTCCTGAGATAAAGGTTACTCGCAGTGATGTGTGATTTTTAATGCAATGGTATGAAATTAGTTACTCTCTCTCTCTCTATATATATTTTTTTTATTTTTTTATTTTTATTTTTTATTTTTTTTATTTTTTGAGATGAAGTTTCGCTCTCGTTGCCCAGGCTGGAGTGCAGTGGCAAAATCTTGGCTCACTTCAACCTCCGCCTCCCGGGTTCAAGCAATTCTCCTGCCTCAGCCTCTCAAGTAGCTGGGATTACAGGCATGCACCATCACACCCAGCTGATTTTGTATTTTTAGTAGAGACGGGGTTTCACCACGTTGTTCAAGCTGGTCTCAAACTCCTGACCTCAGGTGATCCACCCGCCTTGGCCTCCCAAAGTGCCGGGATTATAGGTGTGAGCCACCGCACCTGGGCAATTAGTATTGTATTTAAGAGTTTATATTCATATCCATAAATGAAATTGCTCCATATATTTTTGAATATCCAGTTAGATATTAAAATCATTTTAAGTGTCATATAAATATTTAAGCAGTTTTTCATCTCTTTTCCTTTTTCAGACCACCTTAAATGACATAGACTATTTTATATTTTGAACATTTTCTTGAATTCTCATAAAACTTCCAAGAACTCAGGAATTTGGTGATGGGGGAAGGAGTTTGTAGATCAAAGTTTGTTTCTTAACATTGTAAAGTTTTAAAAGTTATTGGTCAATTTAAGTTTTCTATTTTTAATGCCAATTTTGTCATGAGATAGTTTTCCTGAAATTTCAAATGTATTGGTGTATAGTTTATTTAATATTTTATTAAGAAATTTAAATTTCTTTTACATAGTTAGCCATGTTCATGCTTTCATCCTACATTTTGTTAATCATCTTTCTATTTCATCATTTGCATCACCTTCCTCTTTCTTTCAAACATCTTACCAGAGTTTACCCGATTAGTCTTTTCAAATAAACAGGCTTCTCTATTTGTTTTTTTTTGTTGTTGTTGTTGTCCTCTAATTCATTGATTTTTGTCCTATCTTCATAATTGATTTTTCTCTTCTATCTTTGAGTTATGTATGTTTGCTTGTTTTCAAGCTTCCTGAGTTGAATTCTAAGTTTGTTTTTGTCTTTGATATTTTTTAATAAACATACTCAAAGTTCAAGAAAAGTTGTGAAAGACTTTTAAATGGGCAAAACTAAATTACTGGGTCACCTCTCTGGCCCACTTTTCTTTGTTGTCTCCAGATTTCATTGTCTACTTCAATAACCATGTAATTTGTAGACAATTGATAATAAGACAAAAATGTGTCAAGGAGATTGCATTTGGTCATTGCCCTGTGGATATACTGATTTTGTATTTATTTGTAAATTCATTTTAGCATCCTGCATGCTATATGCTAATGACTCTTGAATTCTCCTTTGAAGCAGTTGTAATACCCTACAGGTTCACTCATTAGTGAGCTAAATACAATCTCTCACGTTTATTTATTCTACATTTAAAGGAGAGTTATAGTTTTATCCAAAAAAGTGTCTTTTAACAAAAGCTCTAAATTTTCTTCTAAGCAATGAGCTTCATCTTTCGTATTTTGACAAATCATCTTTTCATTGTCATTTAAACTCATTTATTTCTTTTTAACCCAATTATCACTCTGTAGTCTGTTTTTTAGATTCAAAAATATTGTTTTATCTATCCTTTTATTGATTCCTAATTTTATTGTATATAATCAAACAGGCTTCATTTATATATTTATATCATTCCATTCCACAAAATTTCAAGGTATATTATAACGGCATATGAAGTGTAATGATATAGAAAAATGTGAATTAAAAATTAGGTCATTGGAAAATGTGTTATAAAGCAGATTTCAGTGGGCATACAGGCTGGGTCCACCTCGGCTGGACTCATTACTGCTGTCCAGGTGCATTAGTTCTTTCCCATGATGCTAATAAAGACATACCCAAGACTGAGTAATTGATAAAGGAAAGAGGTTTAATGGACTCACAGTTTCACATGGCTGGTGAGGCCTCACAATCATGGCAGAAGATGAAGGAAGAACAAAGGGACTTCTTACATGGTGGCCGGCAAGAGAGCATGTGCATGGAACAATAAAACCATTAGATTTTTGTGAGACTTATTATCTATCATGAGAACATCACAGGAAAAACCCTCCCCCATGATTCCATTACCTCTCACCAGGTCCCTCCCATGACACATGGGGATTATGGGAGCTACAATTCCAGATGAGATTTGGGTGAGGACACAGCCAAACCATATCACCAGGTGTATCTGGATGTCTCCAGGGAATGGTAGGGCGATTGAGGAAAGACTCACAGGGGTGGGAGAACAAACTGGGATGAAGGAGCATTTAGAGACCCCCAAGACCATCACCGCGTTTGGTAATTTGCTCGGAGGACTCACAGGACATAGCCTATAGTCATACTCATGGCAATAATTTATTACAACTAAAGAATGTAAAGCAAAATCAGCAAAAGGAGTGTGCATGGGGGAAAGCCCAGAGGAAACCAGAGGAAAGCTCCCAAGAGTCTTTTCCCCATGGGGTCACATGGCATATATTCAATTCTTCCAGCAACAAGTCATGCCATGTGTTAAATGCTGTCTACCAGGAATACTTCTTAGAGACTCAGGGCCCAAGGCTTTTATTGTCTGCCTCTACCTGGCACATACCAAAATTCCAGACTCCCAGAAGGGAAAGCAGAAGTTCAACATATACCACATCGTCTGTTTAGGTACTGTGAGCCACGCTTATCAATTCTGGGGAAGGTGGAAACCCTCCCCAAGTCCAAGTTCCCAGATGACGGCCATGCCTGCAGGTCTTTCTAAGCATAGCAGCCTCAGACCTGCTCTGTTAACTCATTTTTGGGGGAGAACTCAACCTGATGAGTGCAGGGGTTGGCTTCAAGAGCTGTACCAGGAACAGACTTTAACCTCCCGAGAAGAGTGGTGGCTCAGAGGATAGTGTGGTGACAATTCCAAAATACGCCTTTAGCAGAACCTGGGGAAACTGGCTGAGTCCTAAGGAGAGATATGGCTTTGCATAGGGTAGCTACTTAAATAAAAATACCACTGCCTTCCTAACTTGGAGGTGAATCCTGGGAATTCAGGAGAAGAGATTGGGCACAGAATGCGTCATTGTCTGACAACGTCCTACAGCTCTGTTGGTTACCCAAGGCAGCTATTGCATGAACAATCTCTAAACAAAATAAGACCACGACTGTTCACAAGAAATGAGGCCAAGCAAAGTTATGTTACCAGAAAGAATATATATGACTGCCATATGGAGTCCAAATCAGGGTTTTTTGGAAAATAATGTTCATGGTATAAGGTGGGTTTTATTTGTATCTCAGAATGGAAGAGTCCTCCCCTCCTCCTGCCCTGTTCTAAGGGGTAGAGCTTACTCTTCCAGATGGCCCCACCTAAACCTAAACCTCACAAGGTCAGCCTGCAGCAAAACAAGATCCTACCTTTCTCTCTGCGGCTCCCAGAATGATGCAATTGACAACGTTTTTAAGACACAGCAGAAGGCTTAGTTTTGATCACTTTTATAGAGAGGTCTGGTACTTCCAAGAAAACGGGACAGCTGGGGTCCTGTTGGGGGAAGAGGATTAAGAAGACAGGGCTTGAGAAAAGAGAGGAATGGAAGCATGGATTATGGAAAGAGTATCAATTGAGGACATCAACTCAAGTCCTAGAGTGCGAGGCTTTGCTTCTGGAATGACAGTGAAGGGGCTGGCAGTTCTTTCACCAGTGGTGTACAAAGTTGGGTCAATTATCGGAGCTTTTTGGAAAGAATACCCAAAGCTTTCTTGGAGATCCAGTATCTGTTTGTACTTTGACGACAGGTGAGAACAATGACAAGGGATCCACACTGTCAGGAATCTCATTATGCACCACTGGCTAGGTGATGGCCACTGACCATCCACAGCTGAAGACACAGGAGAGGGAGACAGTATTCTCACTTCTACCCCAACACCCCCCACTTGCACACAGAACAAAGACCAGGGAAAACATTTTCAATTCATGCAAAAGTAGTCTCTTCTCTAAAGTCTGAGAGCCCTCAAAGAACTGCACTGGGAACTCTTCTATTAATAGTAAAGGATTGCCTGCAATTCCTGGACATGTTGGCATGGCCAGAGCCCAGGGGCATGCATAGTGGTCCAAAGAACAGCAGCAGAGACTGGAGGCTGGAGGGGAGGATGTCCCCAGAAGGTGCTGTCCAATTGAGTAGAGAAACACTGACACTGTGAGAGGTTCCCCAGAAATACATGGGCACACAAGCTGGAGGTCCTTCATCAGCAGATGGGGCTAGAGCCAGAGAAATTTGAATGAAGGCCATGGCAATGATCCCAGATAAACTCACATACTGACACCTTGGAAAATTTGAGTTATATTAGATAGAATTCAAAGATACTACCAGAAAAATAATTAATGAATAGGTAAGTACAATATTACAGTTCAGTGTGGCTTTCAGAGAAATACAGCCAGAGGAAATTAAAATTTTTCTTTTCTATTTTTATCTGCATAACCTAAGGAACACCAAAGAGGATCTAATTCATAATTCTGAACCACTCTTCTAAACTGCCTCTGAGGATCTTTTATTTGGCCTTGCATTGATTTGTAAATATTTTTATCTCCAGAACCCTCCAAAGGAAGGAGAGGCAGGCAGTGATGTAGGTTCTAAAAATGGCCTAGGGGTAAAATTAAACCTGTATCTTCCCCCACCCCCCATCACCCACATCTTTTATTTATACAACAACAGGTGAGGAACCACCTCCTCTTCTTGACACAGGGAACATTGCAATGTCACCTAAGAGCTTCATGGAGGAGGAAGGGCGTTGTGGTGGACTGTATTTTCCAAAGATCTCCCAACAATATCTCTTGTTCCACATGCTCTTTGAGAACCTTGTACTCTCCCCAGCAAGAGGTGGAGACTCTTCTCCCTTTGAACCTGGGCCGGCCTCTGTAATTTCCCTGATGGTTAGGGTATGGCAGAAATGAGCTATGCAACTTCCAAGGCTAGGTTTTTAAAATGCCATACATCTGGCTGGACGTGATGGCTCATGCCTGTAATCCCAGCACTTTGGGAGGCCGAGGCGGGTGGATCATGATGTCAAGAGATCAAGACCATCCTGGCCAACATGATGAAACCCTGTCTCCACTAAAAATACAAAAATTAGCCAGGCTTGGTGCGTGCCTATAGTTCCAGCTACTCGGGAGGCTGAGGCAGGAGAATTGCTTGAACTGGGGAGAGGGATGTTGCAGGGAGTCAAGATCGTGCTACTGCACTCCAGCCTGGTGACAGAGTGAGACTCTGTCGAAAAAAAAAAAAAAAGCCATGCATCCCTTCATTGTCCTCTTGGGGTGCTCACTCTTGGAACCCAACCACTCTGCCCTGCCCTGAGGAAGCCTGGACTAGCTGTCATGGACATGTGTGGCCGTTCTGGCTGTCGGGCCACTTGAAGGCTGGTCAAAAGCATCAGCTGCCAAATGCACAAGTAAAGACATCTCCAGATGATTCCAGCCTCCAGATTCCAAGTCACCCCTGATCTGTGGGTCTTCCAGTCTGAGGCATAAGAGAAAAGTCAAGGTGTCCTCATTGTGCCTGTTGGCATTTCTGACCTACAGAGACCCTGAGCATAATAAACTTGTTGATTTATGTCACTAAATACAGAATGGTTTGTTAGGTAGCAATAGTAACCAGACAGCATTGTTTTTCCTTTGTTGGTGGAGGTGAGCAGAGTAAATAATACGATTCTCTGTAACCCTGGGTCCTGCTGCAGGAAGCTCCTGGCTCATGGTGGCCATGATTTCTCACCTTGATAGCATGAGGACTGGCTCACTTACCCAGTGCAGCTGAAGCAAGATGATAGCTCATTATATCAGACTTCATGTCTCTCTGACAAAAGCTCCACTGGTTTATAATGATTCCAACAATGGACGTTCTTGTCAAGGAAGAGATGTCTTGTGCACTTTGTCTTGCCTTCCCCTCCACCAGCAGGACCTTCACTGTGTCCCTGGGCCCTGGCAGCACTCCCCACTCCTGCCCAAGCCTGAAAGGAGCTCCCCTGGGCCCCTCAGATCCAACACACCACCAGCCTCAGTCCAGGCACACCACCAGCAGGGGGTCAGGGGATATGTCACACTGGCTGTCAGGGATGGTGACAACCTTGGTGCTGTGGGCAGGGTGAGTGCCATGGGAGAGGTGTGGCACATAGCAGGTTGGGGCCCAGATCTGATGTGTTCAGCCTTGCCCTTGGGTAACACTCAAAGGGGGCATTTATATCAAGGAGGGCTGAGGTTGGGGCCACATTGGCACAGCAGATGATGGGGATTAAATGCAGACAGGGTTTGGAGAGGATTGGAGCTGCTTTAGTTGAGGTAACGTGTACAGGAGTTAGTTTCCAATTGAATGTTGAATATAGGAAGCAGTGACAGGGTTTTCTAATCTGGGTGATTGGGAAGTGAATCCATAAAACAAAAGCCAGAAGAGGCAGAATAAGATGAAGTGGCAGAAAAAATGAGGAGGAAGACACTGAACTTTATATGGAATCACGTATAAGACATCCAGGAGAAGAGAGAGGAAGTTTAGGCACAAACTCAAGGCCTAAAATAGAGATTTCAGAGGCATCCACCCAGAGCTGGTGGCAGAAGCCATGAGACTGGGCCCTGGGAGTGGGTGCACATGGAGTAGAGGGTGGAGGGGAGAGGCGACCCTCAGTGACCAGCCTTCATGTGATGACTGGAGGGAGCAGAGTCCTCTGTGGAAGGAACATTAGAACTGGAATCATGGGACCTTTGAAGCGAATCTTCCCTGGCACCTGATATGGTTCCTCGTGCCTCCTAGGTGCTTGGTAAATGTGTGCTGAGTGGAGAGCCCAAGCAGCTGGACAAGCTGCAGCTGATCTCGAATACAAGGAAAACACCAGACCAAATGCAAACAGCAATAATTAGGGAGCAGACGTAGAAGCGAACCGCTAATTTAGCTTGGGTCTGCCACAGAGTGGTAGATACATTGGCCTGACATGCGTCAGTTGCAGATGGGGTAGCACTTTCCATCCAAATGCATCAGGAAAGCTGTGACAGGCTGCAAAGGGTGACAGACACACACCACATGCTGCAAGTCAGCTGTCACATGGGGGGCAGTCTTCCCATGAGCAACGAAGGAGGACATGGCCACTCAAGCCCGGGGGGCTTGAGCCAGACTCACATCTCCTCAGTGGTCACTGTCAGTGGTCTCCCCTGGACATTTGCAGGCCACTCACATGCAGGAGCATGCAGCTGCCAGGCTCATCATGGCAGCCAGGAGGAGAATGCAGACACAAACAGCTGTGTGGGGGATGGTGACCAGGATAGGCATTGATACCACAGGGCCGGTTCACCCTGCTCAAGAAAAGGAAATCAGAAGGAAATCCGAAGGAAAATGCATGGCATGCAGGGTGTTGGGCATCACGCCTGATGAGTTTCTTCGTCGTGAGGACTGGGAGGAGAACTGAAGGCCTCTCCTGCTGCTGGCGGTGCTCACATGGGAGCCATAAGCAAACCAGGCCCCTGGAAGTAAAAAAGGATCAGTGGCAGAGCATGAGAGGGTGGCATGAGGGACTTTGGAAGGAGCAGCCGGAGCGCCAGTTTCTGGAATCACTGCTTATTATCCATGAACTTTTAAGCATGAATGTTAACCTTGTCAGTGTGATCCAAACACAACAGATTTGTCTTCCACTATGCCTTCATCTTTCTTCAGTGGGGGTGGCCCTTTCCTGCCCCTGGATGAAGATTCAGGCAGATCCCGTGGCATTTCTTCTTGGCCCTTCAGCCATTGGACTCATATTCTTCGTCTCTATTCAGAGATGAGATTGTCCCTATAATGGTCAAAACCCTGACTTTGCATCCTCTGTCTCCTCTCCTCTTCTGTCCCCTTCTCAGGATGCTGAAGTTAGAAATGCAACAGAAAAGGTGGCGGTAATGTGGTTCTTCCTCTCCCTTCTCTCATCCTGCTTACATCATGGTCTACTGGACTCTGGATCTCTAGCCGCCTCCTCCAGTGTGGGAGAGGTGGAGTGGGGGATGAAGGAAGATAAAAGGGAGAATGCTGGCTCCTTCCCCTGCCCTTCACCATGCTGTGTGCCCAGGAAGATGACCTCGAAGGACCCCATCAACAGGCTCCCTTGCCTCTGGCTTCCAGTGGGTTTTGGTCACTGGGAAGCTTTAGCAAGAGATGGGAGGGAAGAAGGGAATCAGGTCAAGATGTCCATTCCCCCAGCTGTCTCCCTGTGGCTGGTACTGGGTGGGCTGCCCCTGGAAGGGGGTCTCAGTTCCTGTCAGTTGCCTACTGGACTCAATTGTCTCTCTGGGTCCTGGTGACCACCCCCTCCCTTATTCATTCAAGTCACAGGCTAGGAAAAACAGGACCTTGACTGTTCTTAAGGGCTTGGTAAGGCTTCCTGCTCTGCGGGGTTGGGGGAGAATTGGAGGCAGTTTTTCTCCCTCTTGAGACTCTTTCCTGGCCTCTTCAGAGGTTCTCTGTTTGCCCCTCTCTCCTACATCCTTTGTTCTTTCCACTCCTTTGAGATTCCATCCTCAGTCCCTGGCGTCCTGCAGCACACTCCAGCCTCTTCTCCCAGGCTCCTCACCCCTCCAGTAGTGCAAATGAACAGTGCCCTAGATGAACCCAGGCCATCCTTTGCTCCGGGAACCTCAGCCAGCTTTAGGAGAGGGCCGCATTCTCCTGTTGCCCCAGCACGGCCCTTCTCTGGCCGTCTGGACTGATTCCACCTGCAGGATCAGACCCCGGCCCACTGTCATTTAGAAGCTTCTCCGGCATGAGTCACATACCAGCCTGTGTACCCCCAACTTCAGGAAACACTACCCACGGGGACACCAAACAACACAGTGGCCCACAGTTACAGTGAGGCCAGTTTCACTCTGCTGAAAGAGACTGGGATGAGAAACTTTTAGTTTTGAACCTAGCCAGGTTAGCTCCTTTACATGTCCTCTTTAGCTTATCACTATTTGTACCCTGTGATTTGTAGCTGCAAGACCCTAGTGGACACTTTCAGCATTCTATTTGGAAATCTCTTTCATTAAATGCATCAAGTCAGCAGGTACATTAAAAATTTTTTTCATGTTACCATAGGCAACAGTTACTAAACTTTTTTCTATTACATAACGAGGACCTCCTTTCCTCCATCAGGGAAGAGCATGTTCCTTAGTTTCCTATACATCCTCACTGACAGCCTCCTGGGCCTATCAAGTTTCCTTAATAGTCTTGTGTAGCCACAGAGATGCACTGCTCAGATCTCTTCCAGACAGAACCTACCACAAGGAGTGCAAAGAGCCGAAAACCTCAGCGGCAAGTGCCTCCCAGGTCCACTGCAGCATTCGGGCGGAGGCCCCCACACTCTTCAAGGCAGCTTCCAGTCAATAACTCAACATGGCATGGGCATCCAGGCTTGGCCATTTCTGCCCAGCATGCCCACCTTCTGTGACAATCTTTGTGCTGGAGCTACCCATTGGCTGACATTTTCTCAGAGCTGCAGTTAGAGGATCCTTCTAGCCAATCCTCCTTCCTCTTCCTTCTGCCTCATTTTACAGGTGTCAAAGTCACATCTAAACTTGTGGTCTTAAGGCATCTCATTTGCACTTCTGCCCCCTTTCCTCCTTCTTCCTTAGGCATTACCCCCCAGTAAATCTCTTGCAGTTCTAACTTCTTGGTGTCTGTTTCCTGGAGCATCCAAATGCATCAGCCTCCTCAGGGTCCTTCCAGCTTGACTGCTCCCTGGCCCCCAGCAATAAGCATATGTGTTAGGTTTTTGTTTTGGTAAAGCCCCATCTCCAGATGCCAAATATGTTGTGATTGCTATTGCTACCAAAAGAAAAATTACCCCCAAAATTTAGGAAATTAAAACCATTGTATTTCTCCCACAATTTTGTGGGTTCCATTTTGGGAAAGCTCGGCAGGATAGTTTTCACTTGGGGTCTCTCCTGCCGTTGCAGCCAGATGTTGGCTAGAACTGCAGTAATCTAAAGGCTTGACTGGACTGGATATCAAAGATGGCAGACCTGTCTGTCTGGAAGTTGATGCGGTAGCCAGGAACACTGCTGAGGCTATGATTGGAACGCCCCTGTCTGGCATTTCCAGCATGGCAGTCTCAGAGTGGTCGAACTTCTTACATGGTGGCTGGATTTGCCCAGAGCAAGTGTCCCAAGAGAGCCAAGCAGAATTGGTATGGCTATGACAGCCATCTAGTGGTATGGCCGTGAAAGCCTTATGGCATCATTTCTATAGGTTAGAAGCAAGTCACCAAGTTTAGCCCAGATTCAAGGTAAGAGGGCAGAGACTCCACCTCTTGATGGAAGGAGTGTCCGGTAATTTGCAGATGTTTTCAGACTTTCACAGTGACAAATACGACAAAAGTAGAAGCCAACACTTAGTCCCATATGCAGCCACTTAAAGGCCCTATAGGACCAGCCAGCTACCTGGTGGCAAGTTGATTACACAATAACAATTCTATTATGGAAGAGAAAGACCCTTATTTTCACTGGAAAATGCACTTATTCTGAACATAAATCTTTCTTCCTTCCCTATAATGCTTCTGCCAAAACCACTATCTGTGGACATACCTAACAAATGCCGTATTCACTGTCATAGTATTTCATGGAGTGTCACTTCTAACCAAGCAACTCAATTTCCAGCAAATGAAGCATGCCAATAGAATGATGCCATAGAATTCAATGAACTTACCTGGAGCAGCTGGCCTGACAGAACAATGAAGTGGCCTTTTGAAGGTTTAATTAAAGTGCCAGGATGTGATATAATGCTTTTTGTGGATGAGGTAATGTTCCTTTGGATATAATATAGAATCTGAATCCCCATCCAATATATGGTGCTGTTTCTTTCATAGCCAAGATGCATAGATCTGGGACCAAGGGATGGGAGTGAGTATGGCCCACTCACTACTGCCCCTACTAATGAACTCGACAACATTTTACTTCCTGCTTCTGGAACTTGGGGCTCTGCTGGTTTAGAGAGATTGGTTCCAAAGGAAAGAGTGCTTTCATCAGAAAACACAACAATGCTGCCTTCTAATTGCAAGTGGAGACAAATCTAGCCATGTTGGGGTCTTTGTGCCAGTGAACTAACAGGCAAAGAAGGAAGTTAGTGTACTGGCTGGGAGATTTCACCATGACAAGAAAATGAATAGCTACTGCTCAAGGGCAGTAGGAGAGAAGAGGGAGGGATTTCACTGAAATGCAGATAATTCTTGGGGCATCTTTTTAGTACCTCCAGTTTTGTGGTAACAGTAAATGGAAAACTAAACCACCCAATATAGATAGGACTGTCAATGGCACAGAATGTGCAGGAATGAAGGTTGGGTTGCCCCATGACATCAGGAACTACCCCGTGGAGGTGCTTGCTGAAGGAAAGGTAACATGAAATAAGTAGTGGAAGGAGAAGGCTATAAATATCGGTTATCAGCTGCAGCCACATGATCAGCTTCAAAAACAAGATCTATAGTAGTGATGGTATTTCTTCCTTGCTTCGATATGAATATATATGTGTGTAAACACACATATCCATATACAAAGATCTGTCTAGTTTTTGGAACACTCTTCCCTCAGACATCTTCCTGGTTTACTACCTGACAGCTGGATCTCCTTGGGGAAGAACCCTGCTATACTGCCAAAATTTTATTCTATAAATCTTCCTTTTAGCTTTCTGCAAAGGGGCCCACAATTACGAGGGTGACTGTGCACTGAGAGGAAAGAAACACCCAGACATTTCAGGGATTACTGGACATTGGCTCTGAACCAATGGAAATTCCTGGGGACCCAAAACAACACCATGGTCCACAGTTAGAGTGGACCACATATGTACATCCACATATGAATTTATCTATATACGTAAATCCCTTCACTTTGTTTCTTTTTTTTTCCATTCTAATATAAGATGTGTTAACAGTGGTTAACTTTATATCTCCATATTTAATTCATAGGATATAAAAATGAGAGTGTGAGTCCTCTAGAAGAGAAATAACCATCAGTCACGGATGAAAGAGGTCACATGCAGGACTCTGTGTATCTTTTTTGGGAGAGGGATAATGTCCTCATCTGCTTGGGCTGCCACAAAAAAGTACCACAGACTGGGTGCGTAAAACAACAGAAATGTATTTCTCCCAGTTCTGGAGGCCAAAGTCCAAGATCTCCTCCTGACTTAGTGCTATGTCCTCAGATGGCCAGATGGCTGAGAGAGAGTGGTCTCCAGTGTCTCTTCCTCTTAAAAACACAAATACCATCATGAGGAACCAACCCTCATGATATTATTTAATCCTAATTATCTCCCAAAGGCCCACCTCCAAATACCATCACACTGGGGGTTAGGGCTTCCACATATGGATTTTGTGAGTACACAATTATTCAGTCCATAACAGATGGCACAGTTTTGTTTGTTTAATGGATAATTCTATTAGTTTGGTCAAAAGTATAATTTTGCTTTCTCTCTATGTGGAAATTAAATACAGTCCTGACAAATGTACATGATTTCCAAGTTGGTAGAGGTTGAGTTCTGTTGGATTATGATATGTCAAGTTGGCTAAGGCTGGGAGCTGTTTTCCAGAATTTCCTTCCCTACGTGGTTCCTGGGTAGAGTTGACCATGAAGAAAGGTGTTATACTCAGTCATTGCCATCAGTCGCAGTGATGGACAGATGCAGAGGGACCCAGCCTGCTGCAGCTGATCCTTGATCTCCACCACTGTGTGTCCATCCCATCTTTCTTACCGCAGGCCTGCTGACGAAGGCTGGCTCCAAGCCCACCCACCAGGATCTTGGCCACGGACCAGAAGGGTAGCAGATAAATAGAGGCAACAATTTCAGCAGCATGATAATTTCCATAGACCTCTCCACAAGCTCCCAATCACAGTCCTACTTCAGCTTCTCAGATTCTGTGCAAGTTCTGAATTGTCTACCTGTACCAGTGCTTCTTCTTCCAATTCTCTACCTCTCCCTTCTAGAGCTTCACTACCCAGCTCTTCCCACATTTGTGCCCAATTGCATTCCTATAACCAGTCCCTCATTCTCATCATATTTTTTTCTAACTGATGCATTTTGGTTATCTGCTAAACATTAGCAGAGTCTTCCACTGGAAGCCTGTTTAATAGAGAAAGGCCCTGTCTGAAAAAGCACCCATCACCCTTGATTCCCTCACTCTGACTCTCCTTCACAGCTCTGAACACCACCTGACATAGTCTGTGTGTATGTATTTGTCTGCTTTGTTACTACTAAATCCCTGATGAACAGAGAGGGGGCTAGCACTCAATAGTTGCTCAATAAGTATTTGTTGAATGAATATTTGGGGAAACTGACTTAAATGTTGCTATATCATGATCAGAGTAACAGTAATTTGTCCTACAATGTATGTGAAATATTGAATTCATAATGTTCTAGATAAAGAAGAGGTAGGATATTAAAAAAGTAAAGAAGGAAATAGAGGAGAAGGAGTGGGATGGGGAGTAAAAAGGTGAAGAAAAAGAATAAGGGGAGAAAAGTAATTGGGGAGGGAGGGGAAGAAGGAGCAGGGAGGAGGAGAGACAGGAGAAAGGGAGGAGAAGAGAGAGGAGAAAGGGAAGAAGGAGAGAGAGAAGAGGCTCTAAATGTATGGCTGACACTGTACTAAGTGCTTTCTGCAGTTTATCTTGAGACAAACCTGTGAGGCAAGTGTTATTATTCCCAGATTATACATGAAGCCACTAAGGCTCAGAGAATTAAAGGACTTGCTGAAGGTCTTTACAAAGTGATTGAGCTGGAATCCAAATATAGAGTGTCTGGTTTCAAAACTCATATTCTTGCCATTATACCATGCCACCAGAGAAAGCAGACACATCATGGGAAGGAAAATGGAAATGCTGTTTAAAATCATATTAAAGTATTCCAATTGGGTCTGAAATTACAGTTTTAACTTCTAAGCTTGACCACTTTGCTGAAGTACCAATTTAATACTCAGTCCTTTTATCTATGAATTAATACTTTGCATAAGTAGACAGTATTTATAATCAGTGTTTTATGCAATAGTTCTATGATCTTACTAAACATTTTCAATACCAACCCTTTATTATAGGTAAATGATGAGTTATAGCATTTAAGACATACATTTTAATTTTAAGCTATCTTAAGGATATTACTATGCAAAGTAAGAGTTAAAACACTGGAGCAGCGATATTGACAAATAACTCTGTGTTTATCCCAGGAATAATATGCATATGGTCTCTACACCAACCAAAACTGGACCTGGTGGGTCTCAGCCAATGGCAACGCAGCCAGATGTTTCAAATCAGCGGAGGCACTTCAGGGTTGTCTTCAAAGGTTGGGTCTTCCTCACTTGGTATAATTTTGGGTTCAGGTCGTCTTCTGGGTGTGTGTTTTTTCTCTTGAACTATGTTAGTCACATCAGGGAATGAGTGCTTGCTAGGGTCTACTTCTAGTTTCTCCATGTGCTTGCTTCTATAACAACAAAAAAAGACAAACAGAAACTGATACTACATCATTTAAAATTTCAAACAGATTCAACTCACCCATCCATTTATTCAGCAAACGTTGGCAAGTAATATGCCTGGAGCACAGAAATAAAAGGAGAGAATGTCCCTAGCATCAAGAAGCTTAGAGCCTTGTAGAATCAAGACTCTGACCTGTGGAGAAGAAAAGTTCTAAAAAAAAAAAAAAAAGTCACTGGGTTTCTACTAATGCACAGGCAGTTGGAGGAGACGTCACCTGTGAAACTCTACCTCGTTAAGAATTTGTATTTGATAACTGAAATGATACAGCAGGCAACGCCCTACAGCCAAGATCAATAACTGAATCCTTCCAGGCAGCTCTTATTCCTGAATGCAGCTCATCAGGCTTCTGGACCCTCCTGCTTCAGACAATCTAACTTGCAGGGGTTTGGCAGGGGCATCTACACGGCAAGTTCAGGTGCATAGTAAAGTGTAGCCCCACCAACCTCTCCTCCCACAAGAACCTGAGCCTTCTGCACTCACTCAGTTTTCTCAGCAATAGCAAGCATGAAACAGAAGAAGGGGGCACCTCGGTTGGCCAATGTTCCCAATATCATGGTCAGATATAGATATAGATATAGATACAGATATAGATATAGATATAGATATAGATGTAGATAATCAGGTCTCTGGGCTGCGTTCCCCGCAATTTTGATTCAATAAGTCTGGTGTTGGGGCCAGTAACCTGTATTTTTATAACGTTCCCTCAAATGATATTGATAATCAGTCAAATTGTTTTGGAATCACTGCACCGTTCATTCAAATGTTCATTGAACAGATACGTGTTAAATATCTATGATATTCCAGGTGTTGTATAGGCACCAGGGAAACCACGGTCTGTGCAAATAGACAATGTTCCTGGTAATATCTAATAGCACAGTGTAGTGCTTGAACACAGAATTAATGACACTCTCATACACCTGTTTCATTCTTTGTCTGTTTTCATACAATACTGGTATCTTTGAAGCAAAGGTTTTGTCTTTTTCATCTTTTATCCTAGGCATATGGCTGTATTGAATAAATATTGTTGAATAGATGAAAAATATTATTTTTCTATTGGGGAAATAATGAAATTATATAAGAAATTATCTCTGACCTAAAGAAAATCACAGTCAATCAAATTCAGGAGCTCTAAACTGATGTCCTCAGACTAAGCTCATTCCATGAACACCCTTTGTCAGGGTGTTCTTCTGAAAGTGTCAACTCTCTATTTTCCTTGCAACCATCTCCCTTCATTTCTGTAATCTGCCTAGTCCTTGAAGTCATTTTAGTTTTTGATCCTTCACACTATTTTGACTAATACACAAGGACCTGCTGAATAAAAAATACAAAATATACAAAGAATATAAAATAGTATATTCAGAAGCCCAAACAGCATACCATAAACTCCGTATGCCACAGGAAGGAGAAGAAATGGAAAAGGGGCTTGTGTAGCCTCTGAAGGGGTGAAAGAGGTGGGAATCCGAAGATGCCCTGAAAGATGTGAAGGAATGTGGGTGAGCAATAAAGGGAGAATTAATGCTCCAGAGAAATGAATGGTCATATCCTGAGCACACCTTCCTCTCAGATGCCTCGGTGCCACAATATTCACTGAACCACCTGCCTTTAAAAGAATAGAGTTTTGTGGCATCAGCTATGATGCTGCTTATTCTTTTCTGCATAGTCAGTCATCATAAGGTTGGTGGCTGACTGTGCAGAAAACAGTAAACATGGCAGGCCAGAGATGACTATCTTTAGAAGGTAGGCCTGCAAGGTTGGGCATTGACTGGTAAGCTGTTCCCTACAGCCACATGAAACTTTCCCTAAACAATCAGGGTAGCTCACTGTGCCTTGCAATGTGTGCAGTCAATTTGGTTTATGCTTTCCTTCTGGGACTGCATAGCATTGGCACCCACTAGGCAGAGGGTGCCTACCAGCACCCAACAAAACCCTGAGCATTGAATCTCTAATGAGCTTCCCTGATGGACATTTCATATGTGTTGTTGCAACCCATTGCAGGAGGAATTAAGCATGTCTTGTGTGACTCCACAGGGAAAGGACTCTTAGAAACTTGCACCTGGCTTTTTCTGGACTTAGCCTTTTGCTGATTTTGCCTCCTATTCTTTTGCTGCAATAAATCTTAGCCATGAGTGTGATTATATGCTGAGTCCTGTGAGTTCCTCTAATTAATCTCTGAACCTGGGGTCATCTTGGGGACCCTCGACACACTGCCTTTTGTTGAGCCCCATGCTAAGGCCTTTACTTGTGTCATCAAATCCTCAGACCCAGTGGGAGGACAAGAGGAATAGTCAGCCAAGTTCCCACAGATAAACATAGGCAGAACTAGCTGGGAACTGAATCCAAATCTCTGGTATTAACATCACCCATACTGTTCCTCATAGAAAATTAGGTACCAAACACACAGCATAAAGAGGGGTTTTCTATTCTTGACATGTGGCACATAAGCTTATATCCATCAAAACAAACAGTTCTCTAGGTCAGCATGAATATTGAAACCAATTGTGTTATGACACAGTAAACCCACAACCTGCTAGGCCCTCTTTCATCTCATTTATTTCCTGGTAATCAAGAAACAAAGTTCATTACTGCAAGTCAAGAGGCAGTAGAGTGTCTAGGGTAGCTTGCAAGATCCTGGCTCCTACCTGCTAAGCTGTTGGCCCTTGTGAATTACTCAGCCACTTTGTGCCTCAAAGACCTCATCTTTAAAATAGGGATGACAATGAACATAAGGCTGTTGTCAAGATCAAATGAGTTCATCCATGTAAAGGACGTAGAGAAGTGCCAGAAACACAGCAGGCATTCCGTAAGTGTCAGTGCCATGTAGGAAAAGGGTGGCATCAGTCAATATGTACTAGGATATGGATAAGAGTTCGTTATGAAATTCAGTATGCTTTTCAGCACACATCTTTTAGGTGCCCAGTGCTGTAATCAGTGCTAGGAATTTAAAGATGAGTAAGACATGGTGTATGCCCACAATCAAATGAGGAGGACACACGTATACTGGGCTACTTTGCACCAGCGTGGCAAGGGCTCTGCAAGTAGGATAAACAAGCCAGGTTGAAGCACAAGGAGACAACCATCACCAAGGCCCGGAAAGAATTACGGTAGGAATCATAGAGTAAGGGAACTTGGCATCTGGCACTGGGCGCGGGGTGGGGCTGGTATTTTCCAAGATTTTGAGGAGGAAGAACATTCCAGAGAGGTAACACTGACAAAAGGTAAGAAAACATTTGTTCTGCTTACTCTTAACCTGTTACCTTCAGAGAGTGAGGTACCCAAGGTGGGGATGGGGGAAGGAGCGGGAGTGTCTGGCCCAGTCCAGTGAGGGTAGGGCTGGGTAAGTGAGGGAAGCTTGGATGGCTGGGTAAGGTAATCTGTTGGGGAGGCCGCCTGGAGAACTGTTTAAGGTAAGATGCTGAAAGTCTTTGGCTTTGTGGCAAGTGCCGGTGCCACGACTCTTGGGAACTGGGGTACCTCGCCCACTACATTTTTCTTTTCGCTTTGAGATACTCAAGCAGTAGGGAGTGTGTTTATTTTTAGGAAAGTTAGAGACTGATTTCTTTTTTAAGGAAGGGAATGATGTTTAACAACCTATTTACTATATTTAGTGTCATGTAAATGTAGTTAGAAAACAGAACACTGACACTACTCCTTGTTACTGCCCTGTTGTCTAAATTTCCAATTTTTCTTTAATTGCTATTTGTCACAAACAAGATAATTTACCTTCTCTTTCATTGGCTGCTCACAATTCATGTATCTGTTCATTCAATAAGTGTTTACTGAGTACCTACTATGCACCCAGGTTTGTGTGTGTCCTGGAGACTGAAAATGAAAAGCTGTCTTCCTATCCTCAATAACCTTACTAAGTAGATAAAATAATATTATTGTTATTAGCAAAAAGAGATGTTATATAATCATTATTGTACTTAAAGAAGCTATATGATATGTGCCCAAGTGAGACGATTTGACTGACCAAATTGACCCAGTTGTTTTGGTGAACTGAAAGGGATGTGTTGTTGTTTTTAATCATCTCTCAACATAAGTTGGGTATCCCTAATCTGAAGTTCCAAAATCCAAAATGCCCCCAAATCTAAACCTTTTTGAGCACTGACATAATGCTCAAAGGAAATGCTCATTGGAGCACTTCAGATTTTCCAGTTAGGAATGTTGAACTGGTATCATGCAAATATTCCACAATCTGAAAAAAAATCCAAAATAAAAAACAAGTCTGGTCCTAAGCATTTTGGATAAGGGATACTCAACCTGTATGTTCACAGTCTTATCTGGTGCTCACACCCATCACTGAGCCCCCGCATCCCTTCCCCACCTCACTGATGCAGAAGTGGAAGAAGGGAGAGGGGCAGGGGTCCATCAGAGGCTGAAGCTGAGGGTCAGGCTCAGTATTGGGGCAAGCACTGATATTTCGTTTATTATGTGGTGATTTTAATAACTTTTTAAGCCTTTTTATTGAGTGCAATACATGTATAGCAAAATGCCCAAATCATAAGAGTGAAACTTTCATTAACTGAATGCACCGTGGATTAAGAAGCAGAACATTATCAGCATTCTAGGAGCTCCTACTGTGCCCTTCCAGCCATGATGCCCCACTGAAACCACCATCCTGGAGGCTACCACTTTGCCTACCAAGTCTTCCTTCTTATGGGGGGTGCCAGTATAAGGATTTGCTATTTGAAACTCTAGAGTTCATCTGTGACACTCAAGGAAAGGCCAACAGAATACAAAGATGCTAACCTGGGGTCTTAACTGCTAAGCTGCCGAACCACCTACAAAAACACCTTCTTCCAGAATAATTGTTATTTGAGGTAATAAAACATCCTACATTTTTAAGTCTATCTTAGGTATTCTATTACTCGTAGCCAAATATATCCTTATACAAGTCAGGTCCAAATGTCATCTATCAGTACATACAGAAATATAGGGAAAAGAATGCCAACATCTCCCTGGGAACCAGGAATCCCATAACCTAACGTAAATTTTTACATAGGTAAATTAGACCAGTTATGACTAAGTTTTTATAATTATAGTTATCATTTAGTATAGTTACTCAGTTGTACAAATAATTAATAATGATGTTAATAACAATAGCCACTGACATTGACATGGCACTTTTTTATTTTTATTTTTTCAGATGGAGCCTTGCTCCGTTGCCCAGGCTGGAGTGCGGTGGTGCAATTTTGGCTCACTGCAACCTCCACTTCCTGTGTTCAAGTGATCTTCCCACCTCAGACTCCCAAGTAGCTGGGGCTACAGGTGCTGCATGCCACCATGCCTGGCTAATTTTTGTATTTTTTTTTTAGTAGAAATGGGGTTTTGCCAAAAGATGGCCAGGCTGCTTGAACTTCCGACCTCAGGTGATCCACCTGCCTCAGCCTCCCAAAGTGCTGGAATTAAGGATGTGAGCCACCATGCCTGGCCAGGCACTTTCTAGTTTGGAAAATTTATTCCAAAACAAATGTAGGAAGTTCAAACACCTTCATTATAGTCATTATAAATAAAGCCCTACTTTTTAATTATTATGTTCTTACTTAAAAGGCTATGATATTTGTGTTTTAAGTATATATCTAAGTTCATCTAGTATAATTATTTTGTCCTTGACTTTGAGGAAGAATGGCCTACCTCATTTCCCAGTATATATCCTGGGCCATAATTTCTGGTCTCAGTAATAAGCCATGAACTTAGCTAGTACATTGTTATCTGTGGCACAACTAATTCAGATGTTGTGAGGAATGAACTAAATCATAATAGAGGATTTTAATTACTCATGGATCTCTGGAGTCAAAAACAGTAAGCAGCTAAGCCTGGGGCACTTGAAGATCACAATAATCTCCAAAACAAAGTGGGGAGGGGCCTTTTCACCTTTGCTTTCCCCGCCTTAATGTCAGAGGCCTCTAGGACGGACGCCCATCACTGGTCTTACCCACGACCTGACTGTCAGAAACATCACCTCTAGAATCCAGTAGAATAGCTGGAAGACAAAATCAACAGATTTAACATCATGGAAGTAAGCAAGAAAAAAGAAAATGCCTAAAATTAATCACTAAGTGCAAAACACATCAGAGATTCATTCCTTTTATCAAAAAACATAAAGAAAGAACTTTTTTCTGGTTTCCTAGTAAGCTAGCATATTTGGACCAAAGACTCCCACCTCCCACTGAAAACTTTCTTGAGATCATGAAAGACTTGATAAAATCACAAGGAACTGCAAGGTCACAAATCAAGGAAAGTGGGAACTCAGAAGGAGGAGCAGAGGCCTGAAGTCACCTTTGCCCTGAGAGCACTTGGGGAGCCCTTGAAGTTGTGCTTTGGTCAATCTGACCTTACAGAGTCTGAAGACAGAGGCCAAGGCCCTGAGCATGCCAGGTGGGCAGTCTAACGGGACACCCTCTCCATAATAAGGGTGCAGTGCCAAAGAGCTTCTCTGAGAAGTAAATGCCCACTGCTCACCTCCACAAGGCACTTCGAGGAAAGCTGCTTCAGTGGGGCAGAGGAAAACTGAGTTGTCACCACAAGCTAGAAAGTTTACAGCAGCTGTTGGTTAAAAATCCTCAATCTTGAATTTAGATGAAAGTGGTTCCAAATTGGCAGTGTTTTTCTCTGCAGCACATGCCAATGTTCCCTGGCCAAGTACCTCCCAGGCCTCTAAGGAACCACCAGAATATTTTCCTAGGCAGTGGAGTGTGAAGCAAGTTCCCTGTGCACTGGTTACCAACTTGCCAGGGTCCAGTAAAACAGAACACCCCCATACACAACAGGCTACATGAAGCAGATTTATTACTTATAGACAGGCAGCAGAGGACAACAGAAACCGCAGGGGGCTCAGGGAAGCTGCCTGGGAAGGAGATGGCATCTCTTTTGCACATGCCCCACTTGTACCACAGCACAAGGACCCCAGGAAGCAGCCCATCCTAGATTGTATACCCCTGGACCACGTGATCAGTGGGTTAAAGCGTTGAAGGATGTATGTTTCCGGAGTGGGGAAGGCAACTGAAACAGAACTGAGGCTATTTTAGCCAGCTCCCTCTTATCTCAAGATGTTGTATTCCCAGCACATTCCACAGTTATTCTTGTCAACTACAACTAAGAAAGTGGGGGGAAAGGGTTGGTCCAAGGTCACTCAGATGGTTCTATATGCAGTAGCTCACAGTAAAAAATAGACAACTAGGCCAGGCGTAGTGTCTCGTGCCTGTAATCCCAACAATTTGGGAGGCTGCAGCGGGCGGATCACTTGAGGCCAGGAGTTTGAGACCAGCCTGGCCGACATGGCAAAAACCTGTCTCTACTAAAAATACCAAAAAATTAGCTGGGCGTGGTGGCAGGTGCCTGTAGTCCCAGCTACTCAGGGGGCTGAGGCACAAGAATCGCTTGAACTGGGAGGCGGAAGTTGCAGTGAGCCAAGATCATGCCATCACATTCCAGCCTGGGCAACAAAGGCAAAACTCTGTCTTAAAAAAACAAATAAATGAACAAAAAAGACGACTACTCAAGGAAAAAAAAAAAAGCACGAGAACCAATAGAACAAGAACAGAAATAGAAATATAAAAACTTCAGATATTGGAATATGAAAACATGAACTATAAAACCACTACAATTACTATGTTTAAATAACATGTCTCAGACTTCCTAGTAAAAGATGGAAAACTGGAACGCTTCCCTCTGGACTTAGCAGAACAACAAAGATGCTGCCCTCACTCCACTACTCAACACTGTCCTGGAGCCTTTCCCTGTGCAGTGAGGCATGAAGAGGAAATACAAGAGATAAGGATCAATCGGAAAGCAAGCAAGCAAGCTGTGGTTCTTTGCAGGCATACAGAAAATCTAAAAGAACCCACAGATACATTAATAAAATAATAAGAGAGATTAGTAAAGTTGCTGGCTACAAAATCAAACACAAAAGTAGACTACTTAGTGGTGATGGTCGTACAACATTGTGAATATACTAACTGCCACCGAATTGTACACTTTTAAATGATTACAATGGTCAATTTGAGGTAATGTGTACTTTACCACAATGAAAAAGTAAATTGCAATCTATATACCAGCAACAGAGAAAAAAATAAAATAATACATTTGTGATAGCATCAAAATATCATACACCTAAAAATTAATAAAACATTGGTATGCTTATGGAAAAGTTACAAACAGATACCAAATAAGATCAAAAAAAGGACAGAGAGATACTAATACTATTAAGAACTGTTCTCTCTAAATTGATCTATATGGCCAATACAATTCCAAAGAAAATCCCAATACATACCTGTGTGTGTGTTTGTATGTGAGTAAAAATTGCTTGGTTGATTCTGAAATATATGTGTAAGTGCAAAGGGATAAAATTAGCCAACTCACTCTTCAAGAATAAGGTGAGAAGACATTTCCTACCAGTTATAAAACTCATAAGACTATGGAAATTAAGGAAGTAGAGCAGAATAGAGACCAGAGGCAAACCCATACAGATGTGGACTCCTGGTCTACGACAGAGGTGGCCTTCGTAACAAATGTAGAAAGAATAACCATCTTAATAAGAAACACAGGGACAGTAGGGTGCCCACAATGGGACAAATTAAATTGTCATACTTTAAACAAACTTAATTCCTGATGGATTAGACGTTTCCTCAAATTATACCTAAATGTGAAAAGCAAAAGTATAAAGCCTTACAACATAAAGGACTACTTTTATGACCTCAGGGCAGGATGGAATTTCTAGAACAGAACAAACATAAAATAATTAACCATAAAAAAGTTTAATAATTTTGATTGTTTTAAAATCAAAATCTTCTGTTCATCAAATGACACCAGGAAGAGATTAAGAAGGCAAGTCTGGCTGGGTGCGGTGGCTCACACCTGTAATCCCAGCACTTTGGGAGGCCAAGGCAGGCGGATCACAGGAGGTCAGGAATTTGAGACCAGCCTGGCCAACATTGTGAAACCCTGTCTCTACTAAAAATACAAAAATTAACCAGGCATGGTGGCAGGCACCAGTAGTCCCAGCTACTCGGGAGGCTGAGGCTGGAGAATCGCTTGAATCCAGGAGGCAGAGGTTGCAGTGACCCGAGATCCTGCCACTGCACTCCAGCCTCTTGCCACTGCACTTGACAAGAGCGAGACTCTGCCTCAAAAAAAAAAAAAAAAAAAAAAGAAGAAGAAGAAGAAGAACAAGCCTGAGGTTTCATAATCCTGGTTCTACCACTTATCAACTTTGACATCTTGGGAAATGCCATCTCTCAATCTCAGTAAATTAGAAATAATAGCACTTATCTGCAGTGTTATTCTTGAAGATGAAAGACAGACAACACATAGCATCATGTAGCAGAGTCAGCACTCAATAAATCCCTTCGTTTGGAGGAATTTGTGCTTCTTCCTTCATTTTACAGTGTTATGGGACCACAAGAGGTCACTGATGACCTGATGAATAAAACCCTACTCCAGTTGCTCCTCCCCCTCCATTCACTTTCTCCTCAGCATGAGAAACAAACCACTCTGCCAAGAGATGGGCAAGGGGCCTCTTGTGGCCCTCCCGGTGGACGGCTGC
This sequence comes from Homo sapiens, assembly GCF_000001405.40. NCBI lineage: Eukaryota > Metazoa > Chordata > Mammalia > Primates > Hominidae > Homo > Homo sapiens. The sequence goes on from NC_000008.11 coordinate 132,582,078, forward strand.
ATCTACAGTCCTTTGCCTAAAACCAACAATCCTGCCTGACCCCAGTCCCTGTGAGCAGCTTTAATGGGCAGCTGCTTGGTTAATGGGGTTGCCCAGCCTGAAGCTGGGATAACGTGCACAATAGAGTTTGCCAATGATTAAGGAGCACCATAAACTACCTTCACACAGGCATTTTACATGTGATTGTGGTGTGATCCTTTCTCAGTAATCAAAATGAAAAAGAAAGGCTTTGCAAAAATACCACAGGAGGGACTGCTATGAAGAATCGTGCTAAGACATCTTGAATCCTCAAGTGTAATCACAGTAATGATAGTTTTCCTGGGGTCTGAAAACCAGCTCCGAACTGTTTGCAATGATTTGGCTTTCCATTGCTGATTCCTCACAAATTAGATTCAGACTCTTTCCATGTGTTGATGCTGCTGGGGGTTAATTATGACTGTGAATATTCATAATAGACATAATACCCATGAATCTTGTATGTGCAATGGAAATCACTAAGCTGGGAAATAGAGTGGATTTCCAAGGTTAAAAACAGCAACCCATTTTTCGGTAGGAATTCAATTACATACCTGTTGTTCAAACAAACCCCATGTTTAAAAATCTCTACAAAACTTCAGCAGTTGTCTTTGAATATACCAATGCCTGACTGCTTTATTATGCAACACATATATATAGCTCTTGTTCAGGTATTTTTATGATGGTAATTCTAGCATATACATTTGTATCACAAAGATAGTTTGCCTTACTTCAAAATAGATTTTACCATCTGGATGATAAGAGTCTGAAAATCATAAGAAGCAGAAGGACAGTTGGAAGAACTGGGATCTCATTCTAGAGAAGAACTGAGAAAGGGGAGAGCTTTGTGCAAATTACTTTAAGGGATGTCATTGCTTAAGGGAGATTGGCTTGGTTCTGACGGTCTCCAGGAAGCAGAGCCTGGACCTTCATTTAGGAATCAAAGAGAGACAGAGAGAGGCTGTCTAACAGTAGAGGATACCAAGAAGGGAATGACTACTCTCTTGAGAGGGTGAGGGTCCTGTTGGGAAAGGAATTTAAGCAAAAGCCAGAAAATGACCAACAGTCAGGAGATTGACAGGAGGGGCCCTAGTACCCCTGAGAGTTGAGGCATCTGTGGAGTGACACACGGATCATAAAAGGGAGGCAGTGACAGCAACGGTACCAGCAAGGTTGTCCCAGCATGTCATAGCTACATGACCTTCAGTACACTCTAAGTTTCCCCCTCCCTCAGCTCCCCTAACTGGAAACTGAGCATAAAAATTATGAGGATTGAATGTATTTAATATGGGTAAAGCACACAGAATAGCACCTGACACGAAGCAAGCACTTGGTAAATGTTAGCTGTCATTGGTGTTGACATTACCAGTCGTTATATTATGACGAGACATTGGGACCTGTATATACACAGATTTGATTTTAGGGATGAGGAGCCCTACAAAGCAAGAGTCTACGGTTTGGGAAATAAACATTAACATTCATGGTATGAATCATCTCAGAACTTTAAATAATTGTACAATTTTGGAAGCTGCATTCCAACCAACAAATGACAATGAAGAGAACAATATAATACAGCTAAGGACAGTCTGGGAGGGTGGTACCTTGTATTTGTTTGTTCTCTGCTCCTGTCCGAGGTAGTTTTCATAGATTTGAATGCTCGCTGACCACCTGTGATTACTTCTCCTACCTAAAATAAAAATGAAACACACACCAAGTGGTGCATTACTCCTTGATGTACCTTAAAAAATATACATATATGTATTTTAAAAGATACTAAAACATTTTAATTTTTTCTCTACATATTCCATGAAAGACTCAAACTTGAAGCCCCTATATGCAGTGTAGAGAAGGTTATATCACGAATTGTATCTGTTGCAAGAGTCTCGCGAAGCCACAAGCTATCTACAACTGCCAAAGGCCAAGCAGGAGATATGGTGAATTAATGTATTTAACAAATATTATCGACAAGACAACAACATGCCAGATACTTTTGTGGGGTGTTGGGGATACAGATGTGATGGAAACACTGCCTTTGGGGTGCTCCTAGTGGAAAGTGGAAAGCACTCTGAGATGGGAGCTTGAATCCTCATTCTCCCGGCTCACTGCGCCCTGGTTTCTTCCTCTGCAAAATGAAGGAATCGGTTTATGATCTGAAAGGCCCCTTTTTGGTCTAAAAAGTCCTATAATTCTAATACTTTTAAAACTAAGTAAGCTCAGTGCTAAGCATGTTGAAGTCTCAATAAATAAAATGATTCCATTCAACAAACATACTGCAAAAATTATTGAGACCCAGTACCTCCTCTCAAGGAACTCCTAAGACATCAGAGAGGGGAAGGAAAAGAGAACCTGCTGCTACTTGTCAGACTCCACTACGTGCTAGGCACACACCTACCAATATCAACACTGTATTTCACTTAATTTCTCCACCCCTCAACATTCCTATGAGACAGGGATTGCTAGCAGGAGAAGTTTAAAAACTCTCTTCTCATGTTGCCTGGGTCTGCCCAATATGGGGTCTGCCTTTTGTTTTCAAGGAGTGACCTGGAGTGAGTGTCCATTCCCCTCTCTACCCTCACCAGGTCCTTCTCTATGGCAGGGGAATGACTCATTCACCTGCCACATCTCTCTTATGGGCAGGGTCATTATCTCAAGGGTGAAGGCTATCTGCCTTTCTCTGTTCTGCCTGACTTGGTGTGGTGCACAGCTGTGATCCAGGTTCATGCAACTGATTAAGGAAAAGACTAGGCCTGGACTTCAAGGGTCTATCATCATCTGCCTCCCATCTACTGGCTCAGGCATGTGTCTCGACTTACAGTATATATTTGGGAAGGGCATTGGGAGTCCCAATTTAGCCTTAACACTAAGCCACATTCTCCTATCTAAGCTTTACTAGACAGAAGTGTTGGGCACTTAATCATATTAATACATGGGGTAATTTGTTTCTTATTTAATTAGAGATTCTTGGTTATAGGCTCCAATAAATCCCCAAAGCCTAGCCCATTGTTTATCATGTGTATACTTCAATAAATAAATGATGAATGAACCAATGAAGAAATGATTCCCCATCTGAGACCCCAGCATCAAGCTCGGGGAGGTTTGGGCTCTGATGGATGCCCACTCCTAGATGGCAGTCCTTTTCCTGTGTCAACATCATACAGTGGTGCAAGACTAGTCTTTTACATGGTGCAGTTGTATAATTTTCAATTATATTTTGTAAAAATGCAACACGTGTATGGATGTGTGATGCCATGCAGCTCCCTTTCACTGGAGACCATGAACATAAGAAGTACATCTTCCTCTTTCCATGGGTCTCATGGGAGGGTGTATGTGCGTTGTGGGAAGATCTTCAGCTCCACCCTTTCAATATAAGCTTTGAACACTAGACTGGGGGAAAATAATACCCTTAATGTCACAAGTGGACGGCAAGACTTTTGCTGAAGCTCCAGAAGAAAAAAATAATGAATGCTACTAAAGACATTAAATACCAAGGCTAGAAGGGTTTGTTCAGAAATGTTTCAAAAGCGATGCAGTCTGCACTACAAAACTCATAGAAGTATGCTATGGAAGAATTGGCAACTAAAGCTACCAAAACAATGTTTACTTCTTCAATAGAAGGTGACTCATGGAAAGGTTTGTATTATCAAACATGGTTTATTTTGGAGTAGGCTAAGTCTAAAATGTTGTATTTTCTAGGTTTTAAAATAGACAATGTAATTTTATTGCTTTCCATTAATTTTTTGCTGACCAATGTTATATTTGTGGATGTTACTTTGGCAGGGTATGAATGTCTATATGGTTTAAATATGAAAACAACTTGTTTTCTTCTTTTTCTTTAACTGAATGAGTGGGATGAATCTAAATATTTCCTGATATCCTGGCCTTCCCTTAAGGGAATGAAAACACTTTTCAGTTGCTATTGATTCCAGTTATAGTTAACCAAATCAGATTCATGTCAATTATAAATTTAAAAAATAGAATTAAGAAGATATTTTTTAATGTTTTATGGAGACTAAAAAGAGACTCTCCCTAGATTTAGAGAAGGAGAGAGAGAACGGGGGGAAGGGGTCTCCTCCTGGAAGTATCCCAGGGAGGCAGCAAGACCTCCAAGAGATGTGGCTGTGTAATACATGTGCAGCAGTGCTGTCCAGCAAAATTTTCTGCAATTCTGTTTTTCAATATTTCCTAGTATCTCAATAGGTCTGGTGGAAATGCTCTGTGCTATCCAACACAATAGCTACCAGCTGCCTGTGGCTACTAAGCACTTGAAATGCGGTTAGTGCAACTTAAAACTAAAGTTTTGATTTTATTAAATTTTAATTAATTTGAATTTGTTTATTTAGCAAGAGAGATAGGAACATAACCACAGTCAGCCTCAAACCCATGTGTGTTGGTCATGTGATGGGATGCCGGGATTCTTCTTCAGGTGTGAACGACCTTGTCCATACCAACTACCCGTAATTCCTCTGTGGTCTAGATCACGTGGTCTTTTCAGTTCTGGAACTCTTTGCTCCTTCCTTACCATGCCTGGGACCTGTAACTCTCATGTAAGTGTGAGAACTTGGGGGTCTACAATCCAACCTCTCTGATCAATGTGAGATCTAGAGGATACTCCCCTGTGCCTGATTTGGCCAATTGAAAAGACTCAGGTCGGCCAGGGAGCTCACTGAGATGTTGACTGAGACCTTTGTTGGTCCTGCATCACAGCTCAACTTCTCCCTTTCCCCTCTCTTGGCTTCTTCCCTCCCTTTCCAGGTGTTGACCCCCAGGGCACTTCTTAATACATATTTTGCATGCTCGTCTGCATTTCAGAATCTGCTTCCCAAGGAGCAATGGCACCTTAGCACCTTTTAAATTTCTTAATATTTTAACTCCTTTAAATGAGGTCAATGTTAGTTAAAATTCATTAAAATATCAGCTTAAAAAAAAGAAAGCTCTTGAACCCAAAGTACAAGTTTTGTACAGCTTTACATTGCAATACATGCACCAATGAGAATGGGAGCATATGCATAATTAGAGCCTTAAAACACCCCATTTCTAACACTGTTATTTGTCACATAATAAGCACAAAGACTCTGTGTTTATGGAAATGCAAATAGAATCACAAATTTGGAACTTTTATTCACAGGGAATTTGCTGTGCACCAGAATCTAAATGTGTTTCTTCTTTTTAAAAGGTATTTTCAGCTCATTTAGTTTCAAAGATTGTTTTAAGCTTAAAAGTTAGAAGGAATTAAGGAGTCAGCTGTAAGCAAAATATTAACACCAACATTCATAATAACACTGAAATTCATCTTAATGCCAACATTCATAATAACACTGAAATTCATCTTAATGCCAACATTCATATTAATAGTAGGTTACCTTTTCTGATAAGATCAAATTTGCCCAAGCAGAGGACTATAGGTTCAGTGTTCCAAGGTTTTGGAATCGTAACATTTGGTTTCCCACTGTACCTGCAGTCCTGGGTTGGTCTTCCTCCAGGAAGCAATGCTCATTAATATCAAACATCGTCTTATTCATTTGTGCTAAATGTGTTTAGGAATGACTAATGGAAAAGTTGTAAGGGCCAAAATATGCTTAGTAAATTAGATAATGTGAGACTAACAGTTTCCTGAATCCACAGAGAGAAATGTAATCAACTACTTGAAAATTCAATTGTGGGATAGGCATAAAGGAACAAATTAACATTTTAATAATGTTACATTATTTTAACTCTCATAGAGCCATGCAATTGAAAGTTGGGAGTGAACACAGAGGCAGTACGAGAGTTCACTTTTCTACAGAATACAAAAGTCCATTCTGAGGCTTTTCTGATGCATGACTTTCCAACTTTTGCTTAAATAGTACCTGGGTTGAAGTTTCATTACATTCCGAGGCAGCACCTGCATTGAGACGATCTATATCAACTATAAAAGTTACTCATACCAAGAAACATAGACTATGTGAGCTGTGTAAAAATACAGTAAACTGATGCAATGAAGCTACTTAGCTCTGAATCCTTATACTTTGGGTTGAACCATAAAAATTGCCAATATCTATGTTTGACCCATAAAAAATAATTTCTTATGGTTCAACTTAATATTTAAGTGAATTTAAATAAAAATGAGCAAACAGTAACTCCATTTCAGATGAAAACATGCTACTTGTAAATTAAGAGGGAATGAACAAAGGAAATGAATGTAATCAGGAATACTTGTTAAGAAAGAAAACATAAATCAATCTACTTTAACATTTTCCTGTGAGTTTAGCCTGGCTTCTTAAATAAAAGTGTACATGAAAATCACAATAAATTTATCTTTCTCTTGGATATTTCACTTTCTCCCACAGTTTCAACTATTACCTCCATTAAATCTGCTCCAAGAAATATTTACTGAGCATCTGTTATATGCCAAGCATAGGACTGAGAGGCAGATATGGAATGATGGATTAAAAATTATTCCTGATCATCTCATGAGGGAGAAAGATATATAAACAGTTAAAATACATTGAAAAAAAGTAGAATTGCTAGATATATGCATAGACTACTATGGAAGCCCAAGGGAGGGAGCTGTGCTAGAAAGGATAGAGAGCAGAAATCAAATAAGGTATTTTAATCTGTTCTCACATTGCTATAAAGAAATACCTGAGACTGGGTAATTTATAAATAAAAGAGGTTTAATTGACTCATGGCTCTGCAGACCATGTAGGAAACATGGTGGCATCGGCTTCTGGGAAGGCCTCAGGAAACTTACAATCATGGCAGAAGGTGAAGGGGAAGCAGGCATGTCTCATATGGCAGGAGTAGGAGCAAGAGAGAGAGGAAGGAGGTGCCACACACTTTCAGACCACCAGATCTCAAGAGAACTCTATCACACAGCACTAGGGGGATGCTGCTAAACCATTAGAAACTGCCCCCGTGATCCAACCATCTCCCACCAGGCCCCATCTCCAGCATTGGGCATTACATTTCAACATGAGATTTGGGTGGGGAAACAAATCCCAATCAATCCTGTTGTGATGCTGTCTAAATGTGCTTAATGGCCATTAGATGACTTACTGGGGGCTGTGAGGTTTGATATGAATTTTAAAGGATAAGCAGGAATTTTCCAGAAGATGTAAGTCATGTAGTAGATAAGGAATATTCTAGAAAGA